>NC_000005.10:148828659-149453659 GCF_000001405.40 Homo sapiens
GGAGTGCTGTTGCCTCCCCCACTGGAAACCGCAGGTAACTACTTGTAATTACTGCCCATGACTTAATGTAGAATGATACAAGAATGACATGCACAGATTGCTTAACCCTTTCATTTGCCTTTGAGTCTGCTGCTGCAAAGCTGCATCTCTCCTGACACTTGTGCCCCAAATCAGTTCTGCCTGCTCTTAGTATAGCTCAACTCTCCCTATGGTTATTGTTCTGTGTTGTTACCTCAGAAACACTGACTCACAGAAGCGGAGTTAAGGGGATATGTTTTTTTCTCTCCACGTGCACCCACCACCCACCTTCCAGTTCTACTTGTTTCAAAACTGTTTATATTTCTGTCTTGGCCATGTGTTACAGTGGAGCTCTTTGTACTGCATCAGGGCTTGGCATTTTAGGGATAAGGAAGATGTTCTTATGAGGAAGCTACTCAGACATGGCCCCGTAATTCTGAGGGAAAATTCAAAAGGCATTGGTCATGGGGAGAAAAGCTGGAGAACACATAACTGATGGATACCTCATGAACTAGAAACAGAATTTTAACCCCTTTTCCTTCTTTCCTTTGGTCCCTGTTTTCTTCTCCCACTGACTCTCCTCGATTCAGTGTAAACCAAGGTTCTGAGTCTTAGCACTGTTAGCATTTTGGACCAGATAACTCTTTGTTATGGGGGCTGCATCATTGTATGTGTAGCACCTCTGGCCTCTGTTCATTAGATGCCAATAGCACCCCCTGCTTATAACAAGCAAAAATGTTTCCAGACATTGCAAAAGAGCCCCTGAGGTGCGAATTAGCCCCTGGTTGAGAGTCACTGGTAGAAACTGTAAAAATCTCAGCAGATACATACATTCTTTCTAATGCAAGCGCTTGATTGTGCAGAGCCTTAGAGAGGGATTTTCACAGTTCACCTAGGCAGTAACAGACCCTCACCAGCACTCTTTCCATTCCATCATGCTGCCTTCTAAACTTGTTTTCTAGCTGCCCAAATAGTGATCATGAAATGTTAAGAAGGCTTTAAGTCTGTACATGAATTGTTTGAGAGGGTTTATCAATGGAGGTGAGGCCTGTGGGCCATGACTCCTGTTTGTGAAGAGATTATAATACTGTCAAGAGGCACGTTAGGGGAAATCACAAAAGTAAACACATTTCTTCTCCCAGCCCCTTTCTATTTTTGCCTGTGTGTCTGAGCCAGAGCTTGGCCCAGGTTTGATGAAGTGGATCGTCCTCCTTGGCAACGCCAGGCTAGAGCAGATCAGCCTGCAGGGTTCATTGCCATTCCACTGGCTCATGAAGCTGACTCCACTCCCCTCTTCCTTTCTGTTGCAGCCAAGGTCCCCAACCAGAAAAGCATTGGCCTTCTCTGCTTCCTGTCAACTCAATGATGGGATGTTTGGGTGAGCACCGAGCTATCAGGAGAAGGTTAGGCGCCTGTGATTTTGGAACATGCCATGGCAAATTGGAGAATGTGTGTCATTCAGTGCTTTTACTTTTTTCCAAGGGTTTTCATACCTATTGAAAACCCTTATTACACATTATCACCTTCTCTTTCTACTGCTATTATCACATTCTCTTTCTACTGCTCTGGTCTCCACACTCAGAGATTTGGGCAGCTTCTTTGGCTAATATTCATGCTCCCTGTAGCCTCATAAGATCTCAGACATGGAAGAGCCCATAGAAAGTATTTAACATCTGATGAGACTGAAACGCTGTGAGGTGAAGGGCTTGCCCAAGGTAAGCAGCCAAGGATGTCAGAGTGGGACTCAAGCCAGGGAACCCAACTGCTATTCCAGGAACTGCTGCATTCTCTCCACCACATTAGCATTGCGTTCTTTCCTCACCCTCAACTGGGGCTATAACATAACACATTCATTTCAGCCAATATATTTTTCTTTTGTCCTTAACACAAAATTTAGAGCATAAACAAATAATCTGCAATAGAGACAAAAGAAATAATTGTTCATTTAACTCAACAAGCATCCACTAGGATATCTTCTGCATTTAGGGAAGCTGGGAGATTCCTTAGCTCTTTATAACCAGATGTCGGTGTTGTATATATACTCTTTTGCCTAAAGGAATGTCTAATGTAATTTCTGTTAAAATTCAGGTATTAATGTTAATTCAGATTCCCAGCTAAAAGGAGAGTTTAACCATATTCACGTTCCTTTAGGAATACTGTAGACACAAGAACCTTGATTAGTTTTAAGGGTCCTGATAAGCAAGAGCATTCTAGGCATATCTTAATCCTTTGCTTTCTACCTCTTTGGTGTGTTGCTTTGTTTCTTTTGAGGGGTTGGCTTTTGTCAGTGTCCCTTCGTCTCTCTGTTTGCTGACATGCTGGCCACCTAAGGTTTGTGTTGTATTCCTCATCGTGAGTTTTTTTTTTGCCTGGACAGCAAGTTCTCAGAGTCTGTCAAATAAGAAGAACTTTTTTCTAAGATGCAAGCTGAGAGGTGTGAACAGTGGCAGGACAGGGTGAGCCTCCCCACTGCAATAATTAATGGGATAAGGAATCTGGAGAAAGGGGAGCTTGAGAATAGGAACTGTCTTTACATGATTCTTAGAATGTTTCTTATGGTGAACCTATTGCCAAATGGAGCCTAAACCAGAATCAGTCAGAAAGTATTTATGGAGCACCTACTGTATGCAGCATGAGAAAAGTATAGGTTTCCATTTCTGCCTTTTGGATCATGATATTAAGGATACTAAGCAGATACCTTTTATGGAATCTTACTAAAAGTTAGTGACTATGTTAGACACCTGTTAGGCGTTATGTCCTCACAACTGTATGATGTAGGTAGCATAATTGTCCTCATCTAACAAATGAGGGAGCTGAGGCTCAGAAAGCTTCAGTAACTTTCCAAAGCCATACAACCAACTAGTTGCAGAGTCAGGACGAGAACCCAGGTCTCTGTGATTCCAGGATCCATGGAGCCTAGCACCCAGGCAAACCAGGAAGCAGCACGAGGTAGCTTAGAATCTGTGCCAGAACAAGTGTAAGAACTGGAAATGCAATACTTTGTTGAGAGAAGACGGAGACTGCTGTGGGTTGAGGCAGGGAGGAATGTTCCCTTCCAAGCATGTGACTGCAGGGTTTCTGGGGACTGACACAAAAAACCAATCACTGAAGTGCCTAGTTTGCTTCTCCAAGTCTTTGTTTTGTCTTCTCATCAGAGAATCAGACCAAAATGGAAAGAGGATATGAAACTCTAAAACGAACACAGCAGAGTAAAGCAGAAACACAGGCTGCCCTACGTCCTGGCACTCTTTCTCAGCTCCAAAGTTGGGAAGGCCTCCTAAATTGAGTGGGTAGCCAGACCTTATGGAAATTTGATAGGCCTGGGTAGCCATATAGGTATGTTTTCCATCTTGAGCTAGCATTCTAGATCAAAGGAGATGATTTTCTGACAGCAGAGAGCAAGGAAGCTTAATATGCTTTGAATGATACTTTCCATTGACAGTATAACCTCTACTAAATTCAGTCTGTGCTAATCCATACTTCACTGACAGTGCAAATATAATTTGAAGGAGGGATTTTTCTAAATGCGTAAGAGAACAAACTTCCTAAGCACTTTCAAGAACTTGAGAAATTCTGGTGTTTTGTGAATAATAGGAGGCAGGGTGAGGTGAAAAGAGCCCCCCTCCAACCTCCCACCCACCACCCCACTCTCTCTCTCTCTGAAGTTGGGTGAGGCGGTTTTCTTCAGCCGACTTCCGTTTACTCATCTGTAATTTGAGGCCAGTACAGGTGGTATCTAAGCTCTGCTCCCCTCTGAATTTATACAGTTGTTAATTTACAGGCTAGAGATAATCATTTATATTTCTAATTAGAGTTGATGACATTTGCCATATAAACAATGGTTGAATATTCTGAAGGTTGTCAGCCTGCAGAAGAGAATGCTGTGAAGTACTATTTGGTGCATGATAATTGCTTTTCAGTATGATCTAGGGGGGAAAAAAACAGATTTCTCGGTTCTGCATGAATACAAGAAGGCAAGCAGAACTTTACAGAAAGGCAGATTCTAGCTCGGGTATAGGAAGACTTTCCAAAGAGCGAAATAAATGATCTATCAGAATTGTGAACCTCCCGTTTTTGGAAGCATTCAAGAGAAGCCCAGATGAAGCTGAAGCTCTGTTCAGGATGAAGCACAAGGCCTGCACTGAGCAGGAGGCTGGGCTAGGCTCTTTCCAAATCTGTGATCCTATGTCCTTGAAAACAGCAGACCTGAATGTTCTTAAAGTGTATTCAAACTGTTCCCTAATTCCAGCTGGCCTTCTCCCCAATTCCTCTGGATTTCAGAGGTTTCACTGCATTCCTAAATGGGAAACCTCCGGGGGAAATCAGTATCTCAACAACCTTTGGCCATGGGGAGAAATCCAGAAATAGAGCAATAAGGTTAAGCAGTTTTCCAAACTATTAGACCTTTTCATCAGCTGCTCTTCCCATGCCTTTTGCAAATGACCTACTAACTCCCAGAGCGAGAATAATGAGAGCTGCAAAGTCCTCTCTGCAAAGACTATTACATCCTTCTCCACCCTCGGAATCATTGCACTTCCTCTGGTCTTTTTGTCACCCCTACAGGGCAGGAAGGAATAGAGGCAGGTCCCTGGCTAGCACTGGAACACTTCAAAGCTTCTAGCCCCAAAGCCTGGAGACCTGGGGTCTGTCATAGCCCAGCCACTAAGAGTCTGGGTAACCTCAGGCAGGCCACTTCCCTTCTCTAGACCCATTTCATCACCTCTAAAGAGAGATGCTTTGGTTTATATGGGTCCTCTGTTTCCTTCTTTCTCTAAAATTCTGTAAGATATTAGGAAGTCTTCAGCACCACACATCTGACTGCATTGCTTTTATTTTTAAAAGCATATTTTTTTCTTTTTAAAAGGATAATGGATAATTATTATAGGACATTTAAAAGTATATGAAAGTATAAAATGAGATAAATCCCACTTAATGTCACCACCTAAAGATAACCATCAATAAATTTGATGATGTATATGCTTCCAGTCTTTGTTCTAAGCCTAGCTATACAAATGTACATAAATATATTTGTAAATGAAAATAGAATTATATTATTTATACTGTTTTGGATCCACTGCTGATACTTTTACAAATGTTCCCTTGAACTTACTTTTATGTATACTGTGATACAGATGTTATAATTCCTGTTTGCCCATTGGCCTGATTTTATAGTGTTCAGGTACGAAAGAATCACCACTCCCGGAGAGTCTGAATCACAAGGTCTGAGTTGGGGTCTAAGAATCTGCATTTTAGCAAGTTTCTCCAGGTTTTTCCAACACAGATCGTCCATGGGCCACATTTTGAGAAATAAGGCTACAAAGATATAAACTTTGTGTAAATCAGAGAGAATCCCTCCCCCTGCCCCTTGCTAGTGGATGAAAAAGATGTTTCTATACTTGCCTTGCTGAAAGCACACTTTCTGCACCTGGGCTCTAATCTGCTTTCGGAGCAGAGGAAACTAACCACTGAACACCCAGGACAGAGTTCTTTTGACATTGTTGAATGCCTCCTACCCAGCCTGTTGATTTGTGTGAAAATAAGTCTATTCAGGTCACACAGTGACCAATAACTTCTGTTTGGAAAAGTGCAACAGTAGGTTTTTATTCTCATAGAGAGCCTCTTTTGATAATAGTAACTGCTAATAGCTACGAAGTGCTTCTTATGAGCCAAGCATTATAGTTGGCAATTCTGGTGCATGCTCTCATTTAGTATTCACACAATAATATGCTATTATGTTTGCCTTCATTTTATAAATTGGAAAACTAAGACTTTCAGAGGTAAACTAAGCTGTCCAAGATCACATAACCCACTGGAGTGAAACCCAGGTATTCTGAACCAGAGTCTGTGTGTGTGTTTTGCCACTAGAATAGGCCGTCTGTCTTTTCTCAGTTGGAGATCAGGTAAGAAAGAAGGAAGGAGAAGATTATGAGAGGTTATTTTTAATGGGTGCATTTTGTTCTAATTCTCCATGGAATCTTCTCAGAGGGGCCTGATTAATGTATGCCCCTTGAGACCAAGGAGCAAGCACTACTGTCTAGGCAGGTTGTGATTAAGTATAAACTAGGAAACAGGATCGTACTTAGAGTCGGCATCTCTGTCTTTCGCCATCATTCAGACACAGTTTAAGTGAGCTTCCCCTGCCAGATAGCAGGGCAGAAGGAGACACCTGATCACAGCACAATGGTTTGCACTGAGTCAAATCACCACTTTCGGGCCAGGAAGCTCTTGACATCTGGAAATTGGGTGCTCTTGCCATGTCTCTGACAAGGTCTGTGTCAGCATCTGAGGTTTCTCATTAGAGAATAGCAGGGTGAGATGGGCCATGACACAGCCTGTAACTCCTTATTCCTTAGTGCACTGGCTGCAAAACCTGGGCTCAAGGTGGCTGGGGTCACTGGGCAAAGTAGGACAGGGCCCCAGGGAGCATGCTCTCTGCTGGCTTGGTTTATTTTATTTTATTTTTTCCAGTGCTGTGAGGGGAAGACGGGAGTTTTTAAATTGGTTCATATATCCAGGGAAAGAAAAGCGTTTTTAAAATCATAACAGCAACACCCATGACAAAGCAAAAGTAGAATTCTAGGGAACTCTTGGTTTTTTTTCAAGCACACCATACCGATTTTACAACCTAAGGCTTGTGTCCCAAAGCCACAACTCTTTGTAGGGGGAATTTTCTTCATTTCTTCAATTCTATCTCTAAAACTACTGCTTAGTTTTCTTTTTATAAAAATCCATTTAGATATTTCTAAATATCACAGACAACCCTTATGGTCTGTTGGTGGGTTTTTGTTGCTGTTGTTTTATTTTGTTTTGTTTGTCTGAGAGGTCCTCATGGTTCTTGTGATATGTATTGCAAAAATAAGTCTGTTCTGCTCACAATGTTGCTCACAAACATTCAAACTGGGTTTCTTGTTTCATTTTCCACAATGTCTACAAATCCAAACGTTCACCCAGCATCCTCAATGCAAAAGAATAGACGGTTAACCTGAAGGACAGAGTGGTGCCAGCCTTAGAAATCTTTTTTTATAGAATTGTGAAGGGGTTAGTTGTGTCAGTTTACGTATGAATTTCTTGATGTTATTTTATTTTATGGCAGTTACAGAACACAGAAATGATTTGGGGAAACTTCTGAGAAAATGAACATTCCTGACGCCCATTCTGAGATTCTGAGCTAATAGCATTGTAGTTGGGGGCCAGGAATCTGCATTTGCCACAACTTTCCCAGAGGACGGTAAAGCGGGTGGTCCAAGGATCACAATTTGGGGCCATGGGAGATCACACTGTCTTCTTCTTCCCTTCCTGCTCTACAGCACAGAAAGTAGGCATGTAAAAGCTGATCATATATGGCTGTATGCATGCACACAAATAGCCGTTCAGTCAAATAAGCAGAAGTCGTATTTTCCTGTGTTATCAAATTTAAAAAAGAAGATGAAAACAATTCGTAAATTAACATAAAAGAGGAAGGTGATAATAAAATGCCTTGAGCAACTAGGCACTTAATTAAAATGGTGTTTTGTCACTGACATGGCATTTAACCAGGGATACCTCCAACCTCCCAATAGCATCACTGTCACCTAGACTCTGGCCCTCTGCATGTAAATGGGGAGGTAGCAGCCCAGGAAGAAAAACGAATTTTGCTCCAGTGATAGGTTCCTAGTCCAGTGTTCCTTCCTCCACAACACCTGCCTTGGGTTAAGTCAAATTATACTAAGGTGCATTTGGATCAGTTCACCTAATGCATATAAACCCTCCTTCTTAGAAATCTGAAAGGGGACCCACCCAGCTGCAAAGAAGAATATGACTCACACACATGTATATATACACTTCCACAGATGTACACACCCAAATAAACACACACATAGACTTTTACCTTGATGCCTATACCCATATCAGCAAAAATGCACACACACGCATTTTCACATAGATATTTGTACAAATCTAGGTTTTTTGTACACTTCCATATGATTGCTTAAATAAATGTAGGATGTAGACATACTCAGTATATATTGTCCTTAGATAGAACACTCTTCCTTAGATATATACTGGCATAGGGATCCTTAAGCAGACTTCTCTGTGCTCCAAATGAGTAAATATGCCATGTCATGTCATCATGGTCATGCTGATACCTAAGTACACGCAGATTTATATGCTGACCTCTCTCCCTGTGGAAGTGTATACACCTTTCATTCAGTACCTGCTGATAAGGCTTGGCTGTGTCTCCAACCAAATCTCATCTCTAATCATAGCTCCCATAATTCCCATGTATTGTGGGAGGGACCCGGTGGGATATAGTTGAATTATGGGGGCAGTTTGCCCCATGCTGTTGTCATGGTAGTGAATAAGTCTCATGAGATCTGGTGGTTTTATAAGGGGAAACACCTTTCGTTTGGTTCTTACTCTCTCTCTCGCCTGCCGCCAAGTAAGACATGCCTTTTGCCTTCTTCACGATTGTGAGGACCCCCCGCAGCCACTTGGAACCGTGAGTCCATTAAACCTCTTTTTCTTTATAAATTACCCAGTCTTGGGTATGTCTTTATCAGCAGCGTGAAAATGGACTAATATTCATGTCTGTTGAGTACTCATTATATGCCAGGAACTGTTTGGTGCTGAAGATCAGTGGGTGAACAAAAGCAGTTGATCCTTGCCCTTACTAATTCTGCATGTAACTGAAGAGGTACATTTTTAAAGTGCATACAAAAAGGGCAACTATGGTAAGTGCTACGAAGAAAATATAGCATGTTTTGAGGGAATCCAGCTAATTCTGGGAGGTCAGTAACTGTTCTCCCAAAGAAGTAAAGTATCAACCAATACCTGAAGAATGGCTATCTGATGCCTAGAAAAACAGAAGAGGGAAGAACATGGTGCTTAGGGAGAAAAGCACATGCAAATGGCCTGCGGTGAAAGGAGAGCTCTGAGTAAGAAAGATTAAGCAAAGGTCAGTGTAGCTGCTGTGCAGAGAAAGGAAGGGCATATTGGGGCGCAGGATGAGCCTGCAGGAGGCAGACAGGGTCACACTGTGAAGAGTCTTTTAAGCTGCATTAAGAATTTGGATCTTTAGCCTTAGAGCATTTAGAAGCTATTGATGTATTTGCAGCAGAGTTCAGATTAGTATTTTGAGAGAACATCTCTGAAGATATGCTTACTTATACAAAAGCATTCTCATATAGATAAGTGCACACAGATGGGTCCATGCATGCATTTGTGTGTGTTTTCTTTTTCTTTTTTTTTTTTTTGAGATGGAGTTTCACTCTTGTTGCCTAAGCTGGAGTGCAGAGGAGCAATCTCCACTCACTGCAACCTCTGCCTCCCAGGTTCAAACGATTCTTCTGTCTCAGCCTCCTGAGTAGCTGGGATTACAGGCATGTGCCACCAGGCCTGGCTAATTTTTTGTATTTTTAGTAGAGACAGGGTTTCACCATGTTGGTCAGGCTGGTCTCAAACTCCTGACCTCAGGTGATCCACCTGCCTGGCCTCCCAAAGTGCTGGGATTACAGGTGTGAGCCACCGTGTCCAGTCGTATGTTTTCTTAGAAATGCATATAAGTATTCACTCACAAGCTCTGCCTCTCAGAATACATCTCTCTGTATTTACATGCACGATGTATATAAACCTGGTATGTGTTGGGAGGCAAGGAACACCATCCTCATGGGGTATCATTAGGCCTAAGCCAGTCTTGGAGGTGGAGTGGTGGGGGGACTAGGGAAATGATATATCCAGCCTCAACACTCTGCCTTTGTAGCTTCCCTGGGCTTTGCTGCTTGGCCTCATGCATGTGCCACCAGCTCTACTCCCCCTCCTCTTGGCTCAGAGTACCCAGGGACAAGGTGGGGTTTCTTCCAGAACATGATCATTGACTATTCTTGGCCTGGGCAAGGAGGGGAGGCTGGGCAGGCCGGGTTACATAAAGATTGCCTTGTGCCCTCTCAGAGTTGTAAGCAAAGCCTTTGCCTAGCTCCAAGCCTGGAATACTCTTTGCATAGAGTTGGTAATACTGAGAACTAAACACAAGTAACAATGGGGAAACATAGAGGTCTTCAGGTCCTGGTGGGGACTGTGGTGGGACTAGAAGTAGTGCATCCCATAAGCAACCACTGTATGCAACACTGGAGGAAGACACAGACAAAGCCCGGTAGGAAAGCCTGTTCAAGGCAAGATATCTGTCTATTTTCCTCATCGCCTTGGCACAATAAACACACATACACACATATTTACACATTAGCAATTTTCCCTTCAGTGGGTGTAGCATCTCACAGCAGAGGAAGCACCAAGTAATTTATGAGCCACGATACTCTGAATTATTTTCCCTCCAATGAAATAGAACTATATTTACGTACATTTTGCTCCTGTTTACTAGCAGAGTCAGCAAGGGCTTTAACCAGAGCCAGTGATAGTCTCCAGGAGATCAGTGGAAACATTCATGCAGAAGCAAAGGCTCACCTAAAGCCTTACAGGCCATAAATATGGTCCCAAATGATTTTTTCTTTAATTCATTTATTTATTTTTGTAGATAGCTCACTGTCTCACCCAGGCTGGAGTGCAGTGGCACAATCATAGCTCACTGCAGCCCCAAACTTCTGGGCTCAAGCAATCCTCCCACCTCAGCCTCCTGAGTAGCTGCGACTACAGGCTCACACCATCATACCCAGCTAGTTTTTTTTTTTTTTTTTTTTAGTTTAGTTTTTATTTTTTGTAGAGACAGGGTCTATCTATGTTGCCCAGGCTGGTCTCACCACTCCTGCTCTCAAGCGATCCTCCTGCCTCCACCTCCCAAAGTGTTGGGATTATAATTTTTTTATATTCTAAAGATTTCTACCCACTGAGATTTTGTTTTCCAATGTAAGCTTAGAAAATGTTTCCTTCCAAAATTAAAAGGAATCTGATAATGTAAGTTGAAGTTCTTTTCATTTTGCTTTAGGCTGTGTAGGAGACATGCTTCTTTTCTCTTTGTTGGTTGCCTTTTTATGCTAGCAAGGGACCAGATCCATCACACTGCTGCAGATCATAACACTCAAGGGGACAGTGTATGATAACATTTCCTCATATTGACCCAGAATTTACAGAGGGCAGTTTGTAAAGGGCTTATATATCTACCATCTTGTTTAATCCTCATGACAACTCTGAGGTCAGCGTGGTTGTTCCCATTTCACAGATACAAAGACTGAAGTTAGAAGACTTGCTGAAGGACATGGAGCAATTGTAATACATGGCTGGGTGAGAACCTGAATTCAGTTCTTCATGTTCAGGCTCAGAAAATAACACAAGTTTTGCTACACTCTCCTACCCTCCTAAGACTTAGGGCTCTTCTCAACGTATTCCTCTATTTTCTGGTGCATTCTTGTCTTATAAAGTCAGGGTTAACCCTCCCCAGCACTGAAGCTACAGCTCCCAAGTTGCAGATAAGCAATTGCCTGCTCCAGGGACAGCCCCAGGATGCTTTTACTGTTGACAAGCCCCAAGCTTGGGTGAGCTCATGTGGTTGGTAAGCAACAGTGACTCTATCAACTGTGGCTTAGAACGAAAGCTCTGAGCCTTTCACGGTCCTTGTGCCAGCCACCAGATGCACCATCACCAAGTCCAAGCTGTGGACCATGTGCTCTTCCCATACCTGTCCTCCTGGCAGCTTAGGCTCTTCTGAGGCTGTTTTTGTTCACTTTGCCTAACTCCTCTTGGGTCAGCGTATTTCTGTGGGAAGACCCAGTGTGATTTGCCCCCATCTCACACCCACTTGAAGCAGCCCAGCCAGTTTTAAGGGCCAGGTTCCACACCTCAGTAAAAATTGCAGGCTCTGGGAAGTTATTCAACTTTTTGAAAATCACTAGTGTTTGGTTGAAATGTTTTATTTTAGTCATAGCAATTAAATGTTCTTGTTTTGCACACACATCTTCCAAAAGATGTGCCTTCAGCATAGGTGAATAGCATACAATGGATTTGGGAAAGCTTGGGGTGAATGACATATACCAACCATAAGAAAAGATTCTGTTGATAATCTCTTCTCCTCTGAGTGTCAGCTTGTCTGTTTTGCTTAGCTTTCCATGCAATGTTGTGACTCATTCATTCATTTAGAAATTTTGAACACTTACATATGCCAGAACCTGTGCTAACTTCTGGGGATACTGCAGTCATCAAAATAGGCATGGTTAATTCCTGCCTTTGAATTTCTTATGGTCTTATGGAGAAGACGGGCAATGAAAAGGAAATTATAAAGAATATGTGGATCTTCTTCCCTAATGCTAACATTCAGGGAAACAGGGTGAGGAATGAGAAATTGGCTTCTGGATTTTGCCAGGAGATTCAGGAAGATATCTGATATCTGTCAACCTTGAACTGGTCTCTATTTATTGCATAAAAATATGATTATTTTCTCTTTAAAAATGCCTCAGGAAAAAGTAGAGTCGCAGGTGGCTCCCAGGATTCTGAATGTCTCAGTTGTGGTCCACTTCCAGAAAATTAAGTCCAATTCTGAGGGTCACATTTTTCAAGGGAAAAATGCATTTATCTCCCTTCTAAGGTTGCCAAATTTAGCAAATAAAAATATAGAACACCCAGTTAAATTTGAATTTCAGATAAGCAGTGAATATATTTTTCATAAAAGTATGTCCCAAATATTGCATGGAACATATCTATAGAAAAAAATATTATTTGTTTATATGAAATTTAAATGTAACTGGGCATCTTATATTTTAATCTGACCGCCCTAATAAAGAACTATAGAGAAGACAGCGAGAAAACCTCAATTCTATGTCTCAAAATGGAGGAGACTGGCTTTTTGGATTAGAAACAATGATAGTTAAGAATCTAGATTTATGTAAGGAAGCATTTTCTGAGCATTATTCCCAATAATATATATGGAAAATAGTAAAAGGAACAGCAGGAGGAAAACAAAAATTGAGGTCAAAAGTTTGAGAGGACAGAAGTTTGGAAAATAAATTGCACAACCAGTATTTCCCTTTTGGAGTTCATATTAGGCAGTAGCATCCTAAAAGTGCTGAGAAGTTTTGTAGGAAGCATACCTGGTTGACCTGATTTAACCTGGCTTGCCCACAGAGTTCTATTTATGGGTTTTTGTCTGTTTGTTTTGGTATGTTTGTTTTATAAGGACACCTAGTAACATCGTGCAAACTTACTACTCTGCTCAGCACACTTTGGGGAACGCTGGTATAAAAAATGAAAGGTGTCTTCAAATGTTTAGAGTGTTGCTGGTTAGGGGGGAAGTGGACTTGGTCTTGTAAACCAAACGGTAGAGCTAGGCCTAAATCATGGACATATCTGGGAGGCAGATTTGGCTCCATATGAAGACTAGAACTTTCTAACAATTAGAATAGTCTGAAAGGTAATGAGCTCCCTGTTCCTGGAGACATTCAAGCAGAAACAGAATGCTGTCAGGGACACTGGAAGAAATTATTGCTGTGTAGAAAGTTCTCCGGGTCTGCTGTGAAAAGCACCTTCATATAAAACATGGACGGGGCCTCCACCAGCAAACTTTCTTTAAAACTATGCCCCATGTTCTATATCCCTTTTGCAGTCTAAGTACCTCCCTCCTTCATCCACCTTTAATATGTTTCCTTCCCATCTAGAACCCAAAGAGATTAGACTTCAAAAGTGAATGATCTTTGTTCTGATAGGGCCCTTTTAATACCCTAGCCCAGCTATCTTGGATCATCCACCCTGAGCCTCTGGCAGTGGCTCATAAACTTCAGAGGTAACCTCGAGGTCACAGCAGAGCTTAGTGGCACTGCCCCACATAGTGCCCATGGTAGCGTATAGGATCACCAGGCATTTGAGGCACACAGCATAATGGAATCTGACAGACAATCAAATCCTAACCTTGCCCCTTCCAGAGTCTGTCACCTGGAGAAAGTGTCTTAGCCTCTCTGAGCTTTACTTCCCTCTGGGATAAAACAAGGTAGTGGAGAGCGGGGATAATGATACCTGCATCACAGTATTATGAAAATTAAAAGAGATTAAGAGGACATCAAGGATCCTGCCAGAGTTCCCAGTACATAGTAGACATTCAGTAAATGTTTATTTAATGTATGAATGTGATTGTTACCAATATCATAGTAGCAAACATCCAAAGAAGTTGAAAGACTTCTTTTAGAAATCCACTAATTAGTGTGCCAAGATTTCAGGCCCCTGACAAAGAAATAAGCTGGAAAGTATCGAGATAACTTTCCTTTTGATAATACATTCTTGAGAACAGAAACTAGCACATGTGTATAGAAGAACAGAGTTTTCCTTCCTGCTGTCTAGAAAGAGCACTGGAACTGGGGGCAGGTTGCTTCAGCTCTTGCCTTAAGTAACTCTACAACCTCATCCATTCTGGACTCCAGTCCTCATCTATAAAATTAAGGGGCTGGAGTAGTCCCAGCTACTCTGGAGGCTGAGGCAGGAGAATGGCATGAACCCGGGAGGCGGAGCTTGCAGTGAGCTGAGATTGTGCCACTGCACTCCAACTTGGGCTACAGAGTAAGACTTCTCAAAAAAAAAAAAAAATTAAGGGGTTGGATTCTGGTTTCTTCTGGGTCCCATGAACTGTGCCTTTGAATTGGGTGGTAAACGCAGATATCTAGCAATGCTATTGGTCCACTATTATTAGTAAAGACCACGCCAAACCTAAAACAGTGTGTGTGGGTGTGTGTGTGCACGTGCATGCGCACGCTTGCATGAGTGTGGACGGGCACACACATGTGTGCACGTGTATGGCAATACACAGAATGCACAAGATGCTTTGACATCACTTAGATTGTCCCCTGCTATTGTGCCTGTTTGCAGGTTTGGCAAATAGACCCCAAATTAGTTGTGAGGGAGTGAGATGACCACTGACTCAGAATGGGGAAAATTAAATTCAAGTCCCAATCCTGACTGTGCTGGCAAAGTTTGCTTTCTGCCTCTGGGGGTGCAGAACTGAAGAGAGCCCCTTGTTTCCCTCCCCATCTTTCATGGAAAGGATTTGGTTCCAGGATCTCCCAGTTCTGTGTCTCTTGGGAAAGTGTCTCTGATCTATTTTCGTTTGAATTTGCATGTTCTCCACATGGATTATCATCTGGCTGACTCGAGTTTTGCTTATTTCTTTTGTTTGATCTGCTCGGGTTTCATAACGCAAGCTCTAAGGCCAATTTTAGCCCTTCTTGGATTATGAGAGTGTCAAAATTAAGATATTGAAGAATTTGTCATGGTTTCAGTCAAGGATACTTGTCTCCTCCGCCCCCACCCTCCCTGGTGAGCCTTTCCACTTTGGCCCAAGTAAAAGCCTTCTCCCTCCCTAGATCCCTCCCTAAATGGAGTCTGGTTTTCACATTAGCTGAGAGGAGGCCCTGAAGTCAGAAATCCTCGGCACATGAGTCACTTTGTCTCTTTGTGCCTCATTTCCCCCATCTATAAATAAGTGGAGTCTCGCACTTTCTCATCTCCCAGTGTTGGAGGGCTCTCCATGGAGGTGGCTTTGTGCAGACCAAGGGCTCCTTCCTCGCTGGCACACCCTGCCTTCCAAGGTGGATTCTCTTGACTATCAGGGCCCAGGGGGATTCTCTAATAAAACAATGCATCTCTCTGTCTCCCGGCTTCCACTCCTGGCCCCCTCCAAGGCCCCTTCATTACTGTCTGTGTGACCTTTCTAAAACGCAGCAGGTAGCCTTGGCTAAAAAGCCTTCAGTGCCCTGCCGCTACCTTCAGTAGAAAGGTTTCAGCAAATGAGTTCAAAAGGAAGCACGGTGAAAACTGACACAGAGAACTAATAGCACACCCAAACACATGCCAGTGTACAGCCTAGATCCATTTATTTGAATCTATAAGGTGGAAGGCAGTGTTCTGAGAATAAAGGGAGGAATAAGACTTGGCCCCTGTGTCTGAGAAGCTTACATCCTTTTAAAGCTAAGCAAGTATATAAAAATAATAATGTTTTTACTTTTTTAAGTATTGGAAGTACCTTAGAAATCATTGACTTTGCCCAACTGCCCCATTTTACAGTTGTGGAAACCGAGGTCATAGAATTGGTAAATTACGAAGAAAACTGTGTTTCCTAGTAGGTCTCCCTGCCTTCACTCTGCCTCCACCACCAGGAGTCTCTGCACCCAGTCATCTTTCTAAGGGGTGTGCCATCCATCACTCCCCACGCAAAACCTCTCTGTGCCCTCCAATGCAGCTAGACTGAAGCCTGTGATGTCAGTGTGGTCAGATCCCTGCAACCTCAGCTTGTGTTCATGGCACACTGTGCTTCTGCTACCCTGGCCTTCTCTCTGCTGTGTGAACACACTAAGGTTTAACCCTTCCCGTTGTCTTGGAGGGGAAAATTCTCCCAGATATTCAGGCTTCTTTGTGTCATTCAGTCTCACTCAGCTCAAAGGGCACTTCCTCTGGGCTGCCCTAACCCCCACCAGACACCCAAACTAGATGCACAACGCTCGTCACTCTTTCCCATCAGCCTGATTGGATGCCTCTAAAGCATGTACCACTATCTGTACCACTGCTCATTTATTCATTGTTCATGTTTATTGTTTGTGTCCAATCACTGACAGGAAGCTGCAGGAAGGCTAGGATTCGTCTCTATTTCCAGTGTCTAGAACATAATTGATTCATAGTTGATGCAGAAAAAATATTTGTTGAATGACTGAACAAACAAATACATATTGAAGGAAATTCAAAAATGCAGGATAGTATAAAAATACAAATAAAAATCACCCATAACTCCTAGTTCTGGTATTACTTTTGTTAAAATTTTTTAGTATTTCTTTTTTTCAGGTCTCTTTTCTATTTGTGTACATATGATATTCAGTATGCATTTAATAAAATTGGGACTACTGTAAATTACAGTTTGTCTCTTGCTTTTTTCCACTTATTGTATGGTATTTACATGTGTTAGGAAATAATGTTTTTAAATGCTATTTTAAGTGTTGCACAGTATTTCATACACATTTTTCAAAATTAAGCATTTCCCTATTGTTGGACCCTGATAACTTAATTTTTTTTTCTAATTGATCTTCCCTCTCCAAACCATTCTAATAGCACTTGGCTTTTATGATACTTGTGGTAACTGTTCCTAGCTGTGAGTAGTTGGGTAAAAGACATTCATTTCTTTCCAGGAAATATCTATAGACCCGTCCTTAATTTTGTATGTTTTCTGTGGTCTCTTTCAGTGGGGATTGACTTGGTTCATGACCCAGTTATTAAGTCAAAGATTTGTGGTTAGCAACGAGTTGAGTTTCTAACATTTCCTGGTTGAAAGATAAACTAACATGAATGGAGGGATAGAGGTAAGTCCCAATCACATTTAATGCAGACTTTTAACCAGGAACATTTTCCTGTTGAAATTAATCAACACTCAGGAACAGAAAAGTAAAGAGTTTCCAAATCCTCATAGACTTATAAAATCTTAGCGAACTGAAAGGAATATTAAAGGTAACTAACTAACTCCCTCACTTTAAGCAGGAAGCTAAGACAGAAGGGGGCACCATCTTGCCCAGAGTCCTACAGCAAATAATGGTGGAGCCAGCCCAAGAAGAGACAGCAAAGCCCTTCACACCTCAGGCCAGAGTCATATCCACACAGATGAACTGAGGTTTTGCTGCATAATGAGTTTCAGGCTGTAGGTGACCAAGTTAAAAGACAGAAATTTAAATTATAATGTCTTAGAAAAATCTATTGAGGAAGAAGTGTAGTTGATTGTCCAATTATTAAGCTCACATAATTGGGATACCCTTCATCCTAGTCTCCAAATTTTTCTGAAGATGCACCCCATTAGTAAACATTTGTTAACATACCCTTAGTATCTGTGTATGTATTGTGCCCAGATTATACACATACCACTGTAATAATATGCTATGTATATTTTTAAACATACAAAAATAAACATTTTACCAGAGTGAAGAAAAACAAAACATAGTTGTTCTATTACTTTTCCTTTATATCAGTAAGTTGTCTTTTCTGCTCCCTGAGGGGCCTGCAACACATTTTGGAAACTGCTGCACAACATCATTCTTTTTCACACAAAGGGTCATAACTTATTAGTGAGGTGTGAAATCATTTCAGCAAGTTGCAGCCACCATATTTTAAATGAATTGTCATACAACAGATAAAAAATAATAAATTGATTACAGGTGGTAAGGATGACTGTTGTTTATGGCACATTTTTTCATTTACAATCATGTGTCACTGAATGACAGGGATATGTTGTACAAACATTGTATTTAATATTTACACGAACCTAGATGGCATAGCCTACTACACACCTAGACTAAATGGGATAGCCTATTGCTCCCAAGCTACAAACCTGTACAGCATGTTACTGTCCTGAACACTGTAGGCAACTGTAACACAATGGTAAGTATTTGTGTAGCTAAACATATGTAGACACAGAAAAGGCACAGTAGAAATATAGAATAAAAGATTTAAAATGGTACATCTTTACAGGGCACTTACCATCAAGAGAGCTTGCCAGTCTGTAAGTTGCTCTGGGTGAGTCATTGAGTGAATGTGAAGGCCTAGGGCATTACTGTACACTGCTGAAGACTTTATAAGCACTGTACTAAATGTATACACTAAATTTGTACATTAAACTTATAAAGAAATATTTTCCTTTCTTCAATAACAAATTAAACAGCTTGTTATAACTTTTTACTTTATAAACTTTTTGACTTCTTAAAAATTTTTGACTCTTTTGTAGTAACAGTTTAAAACACAAATTGTTTTGTGTTGTACAAAAACACATTGTGCAGCTGTACAAAAGTATATTATTTCCTTATATCCTTATTCTATAAACTTTTTTCTATTTTTAATTATTTTTTTACTTCTAAATTTTTTTTGTTAAAAACTAAGACACAACCACACACATTAGTCTAGACCTACACAGGGTCAGGATCATCAAGATATCATGAGGTGATAGGAATTTTTCAACTCCATCATAATCTTATGGAGCCACCATGGTATATGTGGCCCATTGTTGACTGAAACGTCATTATGCCATGCATGACTGTGCTTGTGGGAATGGGTGTATGTGTGGTTTGGATGGGGGGAGGTGGCATACTGGGTGGCTCTGTAAAGTGCAAATCCACCCAAATCAGCAATTTGATATTCTTATATTACTTCCATAATCTCTAACCTCACCACCCATCTTCAAATTTAATCCACACGACATCCCTATGATAAAGATGTTCCTACACACATCATGTAAGGGATCAAACTGTGGCATAGGTTAAATAACTTGCCCAAGTTTCAGATCATGAGGTCAGGAGATTGAGACCATCCTGGCTAACACGGTGAAACCCCATCTCTACTAAAAATACAAAAAATTAGCCGGGCGTGGTGGTGGGCACCTGTAGTCCCAACTACTCGGGAGGCTGAGGCAGGAGAATGGCATGAACCTGGGAGGCAGAGCTTGCAGTGAGCCTCAGATTGCACCACTGCACTCCAGCCTGGGCAACAGAATGAGACTCCATCTCAAAAAAAAAAAAAAACAACTTGTCCAAGTTTATATGGCCTGGTACAGGCAGGATTTAGGCAACTGAATCCACAGGTGCTGCTGAACCACCAGGAGACCTGCTGCCCAAGTAACTGCAAACGGGGCACCAGGGACTGTCTAGGACCACAGGTCGAGTTCCACCTCTGCCAACCTAGTTTGTTAGCCCTTCCTTCCTTCCTTCCTTCCTTCCTCCTTCCTTTTCTGTTCTTGCCTGCCAGCTTTCCTCTTTCTACATTTCTTCCTCCTCCTTCCTTCTCTCTGTCTCTTCTATCCTACATTAAGTATAAGTTTTTCATGAACTACATTTTGGGAAAGAGTTCATGGAGCTACAGGGGATCTTAGAGATGACCTACTCCAACTACTTCATTTTTGAAGATGAGGAAATGGAGGTCCAGATAAGGGAAGGGTGTCACCATCAGCTTGTGTCACAGCTAAGGTGAGAACCCACTTCCTCTTCCTCCTCATCCATCAGTCTTTCCTCTGTACCAGCTTTATGCTGCCCTATAAACAGTCCACACTTAGCAGAGTCTGCCCCTGGGCTCTCTTTCCTTGAGTACTAAGAATTCATGTTAATCCACATAGAGAATTGAGAGATCAGAGCCTTCAATAAATGCCAACCAACATTTACAGTGTATTGTCTGTCAGCACAGTGCTGTGACAGTGCTGGGGATAAAACAACACAGACGCCAGGGCATCAGACCCTACCCCCACGCTGCTTTATGTACTCTCAGGGCACAGGGACGCTTCATTCTGTGCTCTTATCACACTGACTTGTGTCATCTCTTGACTGTCAGTCTCTCCCACTGAACTACAAACCTTCTGAGAGCAGAAGCCCTTTTTCTTTTATTGTTTTCTCAGCATTTCATATCCTATTGCACAAATCAGGACTTGGCACATAATAGATGCTCCATAAGTAATGGTTGAATAAATGAATAAATACATAGTACCCGTATTAGTTTGCTAGGGCTTCCATAACAAAATACCACAGCCTGGGTGGCTTACACAATGGAATTTTATTTTCTCATGGTCTTGGAGGCTGGAAGTCCAAGATCAAGGTGCCTGCAGGGTTGTTTCCTCTGAGACCCCACTCCTTGACTTGCAGGTGGCAACCTCTGGCTGCCTCTTCATATAGATTTTTCTCTGTGTGTGCACACACTCCTCGTATCTCTCTGTATGCCCTAATATCCTCTTCTTATGAGGACACAAGTCAGAATGGATTAGGGCCCACCCTAGCAGCATTGTCTTAACTTAATCTCTTTAAAGGCCCTACCTTTAAATATGGTCACATTGTGAGATACTAGGGGTTAGGGCTTTAACATATGAATTTGGAGGGAATACAATTAATTCAATCCGTAACAGCCTCCTAGCCTTAACTAGCTCACTGTAGCACACAAAAACATAATAAGACAGCACAATAACTGCTCTAGTAAGAAAGAAAAAAGCCTGGTGAGACACATATAATGGTTCCATCTAGGCACCGGGTCACCACTAGCCTGTGGCAGAGCTAAAGTGAGAACCCACTTCCTCTTCCTCCTCATCCATCAGTCTTTCCTCTGTACTAGCTTTATGCTATAATTATAATAGCTGCATCACTGGGCGTCGCCATGTACCATGTATTGTTCTAGGCATAGAATGTATTGCCTCAGATAATCCTTGCCAGTATTAAATGTCCACAAATATTGCTAGTGCCTGCAATGTCAATCACTGTGCTAAAGCTATATCATAGTGGAAAGACTCTCACTGCTTAATAGGAAAATGCAGATGCACACACACTCAAACACACACACACCAGTGGTATGCTGTCTCTGCCCATTTCTGCCAGGTTTATAGCTCTCATAATATTTGTTCCTCAGCCAGGTAATTTAGTCGGTTTCCAATTAGGAAAATAGGAATCATTCTAGGTCTTTCAACATCAGAAATTTAATGTAGGTAATATTAATATCAACACTTCGCAGGTGAAGAAACTTAGGAATAGCCAGTAAGTAACTGTTCAATTCACACAGCTAGTAGATTGCTGCTCCAGGGCTTAAACCCATTATTCTGGCTTCAAAGTCCACTCTTTTAAGCGGAACCCCATAATTCCCCTCAATAGCAGGAAGTCTTATTTTTTTTTATCCCAACCGGAAAAGGGATCTGAGACCATAGCAGAGAGGAGAGAAATTAAGCAGAGCCGCAAAGTGGGGTAAAGAGAACACAGAGAACAGACACAGAGAAAACAGGATGGCATAGGTCCAGGTTCATAAGCATCTGGCTGAGCAGGTGGCATAGAGGGGTAGTGAGTAAGGTGAGTTGACCAGTAAGATGAGAATGGAAAGGTAAGCTGGGGCCAGAATAAGCGAGATCTCATTTGATGTGAATATAAAATTGGGCTGGATTCTCTAAATGCTGGTAAGCTAATGATCTTGCAGTGAGAGATCATTTAATCTTACCTCCTCATTTTGCCAATCAAGAAACTGAGGGCCAGAGAGAAATGACTTGCCCAAGACTACAAAGCAAGTTAGTGGCAAAACTGGGGCCAGCAACCAGGTCTCCCACACCTAGTACCATCCAACTCTGTTAAACAATTCCTGCATAAGTGTATGAAAACTGAAATAATTTAAAAGAATGGCTCTTTCCATGTTTTCCCATGTCTTTCACCCAGTTTTCACCCCCCATTTTTTTAGGTGATTAAACTTTTTCCTAAGTTTCAGCTAATTAATATCTTCCCAACTAAAATAACTACTGTGGTTCAAAGCCAGAATGATTTTATAGAAATTGCTAATGATGCAGTTTTCCTGTGTGGCTCAGTTGTATGTGGCAGAATGGCTCACAGGTACATTTTATAGACTAGAAGTGCCTGTATTTCTTCTGTTTAGGTCTAACAGATACGTAGAGATATGGAGATAAACTAAACAGCCACTCTGGCTGGGTTTGTTTTACCAAACAAACATAGCAAGTCCGCAAACATTTGCTGGTGTGTGGTATATGCCAGGCACTATGTTAGAGTCCCAAGATCCAAAGATATATGAGCTCACTTCCAGATGAGCTCACTTCCAGATGAAAAGGCTTTCACTGTTTAGTAGTAAAATGCACATACATCCACATACACACACATCTGATATGCTGTCTTAGGGCTCCTCAGAGTAGTGATTCCCTAGCCAGTTGACTCAGTCTGGGTCCAACCAGGAAAATGTAAACCACTCTAAGTCTTTCAAAATAAGGAATATAAGGAACTGGATGCACAGGTAATGAAAAAGCTGAGAAGCCAAACGAGATGGTGAAGCACCACAGATATTAGCAACAGCAGGAAGATGCTACTGCCCCTGAGCCTGGAGGGACACAAGAACAGGTAGTGTTACCAGATTTGGGAAGCCAGGACATTTATCAGGAGTACATGAAGCACTGATCACTGAGCACATGAAGCCATTGCTGGAGATGACACCAGAGGCAGAGAGAGAAGAGAAGAAACACCCAGCTTCTCCCCTCCCCTCCTTCGGTCTTTTATCATTGACTCCCATCAGCCAAACCTGCCTTGAAGAAACAGGGTAAGAGATCCTGTAGTGTGCAGGTCCCTGGGATGTTGAGCAGAGCTGGAGAATCATGAGGAAGGGAGCCGAGAGCAAGTGGCAGCTGCATGGCACACCAGGTGAGCTTGGGCAAAGCACTTAGTCTCTCAGTCTTAGTTTCCTTGTTGATAATTTAAGAAGAATAACATCTCTCAAGTTTGTTATGAAACTAATGTGAAATAAAGTATGTGTAGGCATTTTATAAGCTTCAAAAAGCATGTATACAAATGTAAGGACTTTAATTCTTTGTTTTAATTCAATGTTTTAGATTTTAGGCTCTGGGGAAAAAAAGAAGTGAATGGTGTTTTAGTGTCACCAGGAACTTCATAATGCCTAGATAATTATCTAAGTAGAAGAAAATATCCTTTAATTGTACTGCTTGTTATCTCACTCTGTCTCTCTGGTCCATCTGTGAAGACCACTGAGTGATTTTGAGGAAATTGGCACATAACTGAAAGGATGTCACAGTATACTCTCGATCCTATTTGGAGATGTGTCCATGGCTTTGAGTCAAAAAGTGACAAGAAATAGGATTCTAGAAATTACTTCAAGACCATTTATTCCACTCTTTTAATTTCAAAGAGGACCAGAGGGGAGAAGGGATATGGGCACATGGCACAAGCTCAGTAAATCTCTCTTAAAGGAATTTACACAATGACACATGCCAATTTCTTTGCTGAGAGAGACATAGAGCCCTGGAAGACCCTCACTCCTTCCTTGACTGGCCCTCTCTTCCTTGGACTTTAGGGTTTCAAATCAGTCTTATATAATAATAGTTTGTACTTTCAATTTTTCCTTCTGTTTCATTATATTTAGGCTTCCTTTCTTTCCTTTTAGTCTTTTATCTCTTCTTTCTAATCACTTTGACTTGACTCCTCAATTTCATGGACTTTTTCCTGTATACTATGCTAATGGACAATGAAAGCTTAGCATTAAGCTATTTCTATTTCAATTTGAGAGAGTGCAAGATTTTTCTCAATAACTCAATTTCCCTTTGTATTAGATCAGAAAGTATAACAAACTCTTTGAGACTAGCTTTTCTCCCAACTCCAGGGCTTCCAGTGAAAATCATAAAGTATTATTTCTTTTTTTTTTTTTTTTTTTTTTTTGAGACAGAGTCTCTCTCTGTCACCCAGGCTGGAGTGCAATGGTGTGATCTCGACTCACTGCAACTTCCACCTCCTGGGTTCAAACAATTCTCCTGCCTCAGCCTCCCAAGTAGCTGGGATTACAGATGCCTGCCACCAAGCCCGGTTAATTTTTTGTATTTTTAGGAGAGACGGGGTTTCACCATGTTGGCCTGGGTGGTCTCAAACTCCCGACCTCAGCTGATCCACCTGCCTTGGCCTCCCAAAGTGCTGGAATTAGAGGCATGAGCCACCACACCCAGCCTGATCCTTTTCTTTCTACTGGCACAAAGTCCAGGCCACAGCCAGAACTGCTGACTAAATACTGGGGTACTCACACCTGGCCCATAAGAATGGCAGTAATTCTATCTGATACAATGTGGTTTGACCCTCTAAGCAAAAGTGATCCTATCTTCTTTAACTTTTTATGCGTTTCAGGGGCAGTTGTTAAATGAACAATAAAGTTTAGGGTGTATTCCTCACTGTGGAAAGACTGTTTTGATTGCCTCTAAGTTTCCTTCTAGCTCTGACATTTAAGAAATCAGTATTATTCCACCAAAGAAACCCTATTATGGTCACAAAGGCCGTAAGATAGTAATGATCCCCTGAGTGACTCATGGAATTCCCAGTGGTCCACTGTGAATTGACATTTTACGGGTACAGAGGCTGTGGCATCTTAAAATGTCAGAGCTGGAGGAGCGTCAGTCATTATCTGCTACCAGTGCATTCGGGAGTCTGGGACCTGAAGCTTATTGGTATCTACTCACTGAATCCTTCAACGGAGATTTATTTTTATTGTTCTCATGCCACGTGCCAGGCATTGTACTAGGTCTTGAGGTACAGTAACAATTAAGATAGATGAGGTACCTGACTTCACATATACCAGTGAGGCAAAATGCACGATAACAAGGAAAAGATAATAAAGTTTGTAATATTTGCTTAAAAGATATAAATAATGTCATGGATTTATTCACTGTGTTCAATGGACAGTGAATAACTTGGGGGGAGGGAGATGACTGCAGAAGTGACTCTTAAGACGAGATCTGAACCTTGAGAAGAAACCAGCTGTGGAAACCAGGGTTTAAAAAAAGAAAAAAAGATAGGCAGAGAAAATGAGACATGCAAAGTCTCAGAGGCAGGAAAGAGCTTGGTATATTTAAGGAGTGGACAGGCAGCCAATCTGGCTAGAATTAAATAGAAGAAAATTAGTATGAGGAGTGGCTGGAGGAGTTGGCTGGGGCCAGATCAACCTCATAGGCCCTAGTAAGGAGTTTCGGTTTCATTCTAAGAGTGGGAAGACTGAAGGCTTTTCTGCAGGTAAGTGACATGATCTGGTCTACATTTCTTAAAGACAGCTCTGAGTGCAGTAAGGAAAATGATCTGTAGGAGAGAGAATGAGGCTATCGCAATAGTCCAGACCAAAACTATCTATCTATCTATATCTCTATCTATCTATATCCATATCTCCATAGGGATATACATAGATATATGGATATAGATATCTATATAGATATAGATATAGATTAATTTCAAAGAGGACCAGAGGGGAGAAGGAATATGGGCACATGGCACAAGCTCAGTGTGCCATATATCGATATATATCGATGTATATCTATATAGATACAAAATTGGAATCAGTGGAGCTGGGAAGAAGTAGAGGAGTTTGAGATATATTTAGGAAGCAGAGCCTATAAGACATGCTGATCACTTGCATACATAAACTGAGAGAACTAGAGGTATAGAAGACTTCTAGAACTTGGAGAAATTGGATGAATGGATGTATTGTTATTGATGTAATGAACCTTAGAGGTGGGTGGGATCAGAAAGATCTATTTGCTTTCAAAGGAAATGGGGAGTGGACAGGTATGTTGGCAGCATAAGAACTGGAATAACAGCACATCTCATTCATGCCTTAAAAGAACGTGAAACTTTGAATGTACAGCAATGGTATTCAATAGGTATGACTTTGCCCCTAAAGGACATAGACACCAGGGATGTTGCTAAATATCCTCCAATGCACAACACAACCCTCACGACAAAGAGTTATCTGGCCAAAAATATCAATAGGGCTGAGGTTGGGAATCCCAACCTTACAGGTTGCCTTTTTGGCATTTATGCAAATGAAGTCCCAGAGAAGATGATTCTGGAAGGTGTCACTGCAGATAGAGTGTGAGGAAGGGGCCTGGATTAGCTTCTGTGGTAGAGGCTGGTGGGAGCTGGTGAGTTATGGGGTTTGCAGAGTTTTCCTGCGAGTGGAACAGTCTCCAGGAGAGGGTCTGAACCCTCTGGGGCCTTGGAAAGAACAGAACATTGATTGAATTCAATTAGAAGGCCCTGGACGCAGTGGGAGATGAGGTGGATATGCCGTCTAGTGAGAACTCAACTAAGCAAAAGGATTGATGGCTGTGAGTCTGGGCAAAGTCAAGGGTTTCCAGGGGAAGAAAAGGAGCATGGGAATCCTAAGGGACATGGGGAGAGGGAACGGGAACTCCTGTTTGAATCCAGGCTTCTTGGGGCAGGTGTTCAAACTAGAAGTCATCTAGAGTCTATTAGTTCTCGTGCCTGCCTACACAGTAAAATCACCTGGGGAGATTTTCAATGTACTAATGCTCCAGCTGGGCCCCACCCCAGAGACTGTGATTAAATTAGTCTGGATTAAAATTCCAGCACTGGAATTTTAAAAGCTACTCCAGATATTCTGGGTTGAGAACTACCCTTCTAAGCATTGTACACTCTGATGCCTATGGGGCCAGACAAGTAAAGGAAAAGAGGGACAGGGTAGGCCCTGCCTAAGTGGGCAGCCTCTGCTCAGCCGTTGGCTGCTCTTGCCTTGTAGAAATCGGCACTGTGTTGCCAAATCTTCCTGTCCTCTTGTTTTTTTTGTTTTGTTTTGTTTTGTTTTGTTTTGTTTTGTTTTCTGAGAAGCCTAAAATCCAGATTTTTAAAATGTTGGCTCTAAATATTTTAAAATCCCATGCCAAACAAAACATGACTGCAGAGCACATATTGGGCCTCTGGGCTGTCATCTAGCAACCTCTGACCCAGCCCAGTGGTTTTCACACTTTTTTTTAACCACAAGAGGTTTTCTCCAAGCAACTTGTTTTGTAGAACTGTTATAAATTAAATAAACTTAACCAGAACCTTGGTTTAGAGCAGGACAGAGACACACTCAGCCTCTCCTTCTAGCCCAAGGCGGTTCTTAATGCTGCTCCTGAGACCTTCTGGTTCTTGGGAACTTCTCTGGTCCATTTGCCAGATGAGAAAACCGAAGTCTTCATAATACAGTCCTGGAGCAGAACCTGCCCCACAGGGCCACTTAGAAATATGTGTGGGGACCTTTGGAGTTGTCTCAATGACAAAGTTGGCACTACCTGGCACTCAGTGGCTGGCAGCCAGGGATACTAAACTTCCTGCAATGTCCAAGACAATAAAGAATTACCCTACACAAAATGCCAATCACTCCCTGCTGGGAAATATCAGATGCAGAAGTGGAGACCCAAGAGAGGGAACATCATCTGGCATGATCATGGCAAATACACTCTAGAACTTTGGCCTCTGCCCCAACGACTTAAGAACTTTCATCTGCACCCATAAGGAGGGGTCACTGGCAGAGCTGAGTTGGCCATACTCCAAAACACAGGAGAAAAAGAGATATTTTAAAATTAAAGCCAAGTAGCCTCTTGAGGTGGGACAGCCATTATGTTAAAAAGCTAAGTGCCAGGTTTTGAGAAGCAACTTGGAAGGAAATGGGGACTGTGATATCTTCGGCCTGGGCCAGAGGCCAGTGGCTGGTACTGGAAGGGGGCAGATCAGCTGCAGCAAGGAGCAGGGGTGCTGGGACATGCTGGAGTCAGGGCAGCTGCACAGGTTTGTTGGCTCCATGGGTCATTTAATCCCTAGGCCAAAATATGCCAAGTTCAAAAATAGGATGTGGGAGTAAAAGGTGAAAGGAGGGTGTCCTCAACACTCCAAGGAAATAGAGCCAAAAGAAAAATCATCTTCATATTTTTGTCATCACAATGCCACACATTGTACAGAGTTTCACTGTTTGTAAAACCATTACAACAGGATCACCTTCTCAAGAAGTGCCAGGCAAGGGGAGAAGTATCCCTATTTTACAGGCAAGGAAATGGAGCCTCAGGTTCATGCTTATCTGGCGCCTACCCTATCTTTTTCTTTTTTTTTTTTTTTTTTGAGATGGAGTCTGGCTCTTTGATCCAGGCTGGAGTGCAGTGGCGCGATCTCGGCTCACTGCAAGCTCCGCCTCCCGGATTCACGCCATTCTCCTGCCTCAGCCTCCCGAGTAGCTGGGACTACAAGCACCCACCACCACACCCAGCTAATTTTTTGTATTTTTATTAGAGATGGGGTTTCACTGTGTTAGCCAGGATGGTCTCGATCTTCTGACCTTGTGATCCACCCACCTCGGCCTCCCAAAGTGCTGGGATTACAGGCATGAGCCACCGCACCCAGCCTCTGGCTTCTACCCTTTCAAGATCTGAGTTTATTTGTTCATGCTTACTTTCACCATCCACATGATGAAGGTCAAGAGAGGTATTCCCATTCTCGGTGTGTAGATTAGACTAGCAGTTCCCAAACTGTGGTGGGCATCAGAGTTATCTGGGAAACTTGGTAAAAACACAGCAGGCCCTATCCGATTAGAAGAAAGGAGCCTGTGTCTCCTTCACACTATCAGCACTCACTCCAGGTGATTCTGATCATCACCAATACCCCAACAGGTCTAACCCAGGTCAACAAGACAAGCCCACTTACACAGTGCTTGGATGTCACAGCAATGTCAAGTTACTACATGGGTCTAAATATTTCTCCTCTCAGCCAGTGATGGAGCTGAGGCAACATCCAGTGGTGTGCTAGTCAGCCAGCTCTCCATGACGGGGGATCCCTGACTTGTAGTATTCGTCTATTTCTATGGTGTAACTACTGGGGTCATGGCCAATTTCAAAGTACTGAGGTGACATCACTGAAGATGGAGTTGAGAAGAGGTGCACACAATTAGCTCTTTTGAGACAGTCTGAGCCAGCTTCAGCATGCATCTTTCAGGTCTCATCTTCAAAGATGGTGATCTTTCCCCTAAAATATCCAGAGCTGGGATGTGGGACAGGCTCATGACAGTAACAAGGAGCACATGTTCTATAACATCATTTTCAGGGGACAACAACATCGATTACTGCTATTCTACCATTATCTTCGAAAAGCAATAGACATAATTTTGAATTTCAACTTTGTGACTATTGACTGTGTGATGTTGAATGAGTCTCAACCCTCTCTGGGCATCATATTTCCCATACTTAAACTAGAAATAATAATACATTCCTCAAAGAAAAACCATAAAGGCCCAAGGATGTGATATATGTAAAATATGTAAGAGTACTTGGCAACTAGTTGTACACAATAAAGGTTTGTGCCATTCTCGTCCTCTCTCACATACTTCACATTTTGAAACCTAGAAAGGACCTCATCACTCTTCCCATGTAGATGCCTTGCTAGTGAATCAGAGACTCAAGAAGGGCAAGTGCTTTGCTCAACAAATTACAGGCAGCTGGTATGGAAGCCACCCGACATGAAAAAAAAATTGTCCCTAGGTTATAGTCTTCTTTCTGCAGACCAATCTGGGAGTCAAGCTGTGGAAATTCTACATGTTTGCATTGGAATGATTTTGTCACAGTCACTATCCTTGTAAAAGTTTTGATAGAGATGTCTGGAGGTATTTTGCCTTAGCAGCCTGGGCTTCGGAACTGGGCTTGCCCTGTAGCAGGTCACTTGCACCTTTCTGCCACAGATGACGGAAACATTTAAAGTTATGGATTGTGTCTCTGCATCCTCTTCCCTTCACACCAGCCAATGTGTTTTTCATTTCTCTTGGCTGGCTCAATTTCCCACATGTTCTCCCAAGCTCTTCCTCTCCACTCCCCAGGGCTTCCCACCACAAACCTGCGTGCTTTGGCGTCTTAGTAGGAGGGGCTGCTGAAATTCATACCGGATATGCCTTTGGCTGTGTTTATCAGCCCCAGCCCAGGCTCCCTTGGCTGAAGGTGGCTGAAGCAGAGGGCTTTGACTATTCAGGTGGCCCCAGCCTGCCTGCACCCTATCCCTGAAAGCAACCTGCCCATTCGGCCTGAGAGGATGGAAACTTCCAGCTCTGCCATCTGTTCAGGACCTCCTGAGCAAAGACCTTCTCTTCTACACATCAGTTTCCTTAACTGTGAAAACAACAACAATAATAGTATCTTTGTTTTATGTGAACCACTTTGCTTTTCACAGTAATCCCTTTACCGGTGGCTTCCCGTTTAATCTCCATTACAGCCTGTGAAGTAGGGGATACTATGACGGGCCCATAACATGCAGAGCTAGGACAACAGCCCCGGTCTGCTCATGCCAAGAGTGAGCAGGAAATTTTGCCCTGTCCATTAGCTGTCTCTTTCATTTAAATGAGAAGGATGGGCTGTGTCTCTATTTTGCCATGTAGAACCTGCTTCATTTGCTTGCCTCCTCTTCTTCGCTCCTCTCTTTCCCTCTCTTCCTATGAAAGTAGCTTTGCTCTCTGACAGCCCTGGGGGTAGCTGGGCACACACAGCGTATGTGAGAACCTCACAGAGCAGAGGGCTAATTAGAAGGCATTCACTCTTTAACTCCCCATCTGAATTCCTGGTTAGAAGAGGCAACAGAAATTTTCCTGCTCTTTTCTGTTCTTGTATTTTTCCTTCATCTGTGTACTTGTGCCTTGCTACCAAATACTCCTTTTGGACATGGGATGTACACATTTGTTGTGTTTTTGTTTTCTTTCTTTTCCCTTTTTTTTTTTTTTTTTTTTTTGGTAGGGAGTCAGACAGAACAAAAAGCATTTGAATAATTCAACAGTTCCACAGACATCTAGGCTGAACGGGGACAACAGAGAGAACTTGCTTGTCCCATTTAACTGTTGCTTAGGAATGTAAAGAGGTGAGCACTTAGAATCTAGAAAAAATTTTAGGAGAAGTGGTTTCCCAATGCATCCTGAATGTCCCACTCTGTACTCTACTTTCTCCATCAGTCAAAGCCTTCTCTGTATCTCTAATTGGAATTAACTTCTCTTTTCTAAATGCAAACCCTATCTCGCAACCCATTGACCATACTTCCTTTGAGCACTTCTTCCTTCTCTGTGTCACTGACCTAGTTTTCTTGGATTGTAAATTCTTTTATTGTAAAGACTAATTTTTAATCTTATTTTTTGTGTGTTCACCATTGCAGCTCCCATCATCACCACCTAATAATAATTATAATGATAGCCGCTTCCATGTATTAAGCGTTGCTCTTTGTCAGAGACTATTCAAACAACATCTTATCTAATCTTACATCAGCCTATTGAGACATGTAATTTTACTTTTAAATAACTTTCCAAGAATTATGTAAGTAAGAGGCGGAGCTAGGATTTCCAACTCAGGTTTGTCACATTCTTTAATTCCCAAGCTGGTGTTTCCAAGTTCTGTGATATTCTGCAAAGCGCAGTGCGTGAGAGAAAAAGCCCTCTATGAGAAATTCCACTCTTGTCTTACTAAGATTCGGCACCATCTGAAAAAAAAAAAAAGAACAACTAAAAGGTCATTTCATCCCACCCTCTCATTTCACTGATGAAGGTTTTAAGACAAAGGGGAGAAAGTGAGCCAAACCTAGGTTGCCCAGACGGTGGGTAGCTCAGCATAACACCCAGCCTCACCCCATTTCCCCTGCTGCCTCCAACCTCTTGTTAGGCCTCTCACTTTCCTAAAGAGTTTATGATATGATATGCGGAACAGGAATTGCTCAGTATTGAAAAGCTTAGGCAGGAAGAAGGTGTGGGCAAAAACGTGTATCATGCTTCATGATCACACTGTATAGGACACCAGGGACACCCAGCTTCCCTGAAGTTTTACTTTCCCAAAAAGTTGTGCGTAAATGAGATGCTGGCTTTCCCTTTCTGGTAAGTCAGCCTCCAGTGGGTGAGTCAGGTTGGCTCGTGGCTGGGAGTCTGTGTCATGGCTTTGCCTTTGTGCAGGTTGTCAGTTGATTGTATGTATATGGACTTTAGGATATACAGATGATATATACATATCATCGCTTACTGTCTGGCTTACCATCGACTGTTTATACCAGATAATTCTTTGCCATGGGCCTGCCTTGTGCATTCTAAGATGTTGGATAGCCTCCCAGGCCTCTACTCACTAAATGCCAGTAGCACCTCTCTTCCCCCAGTTATCACAACTGAAAATCTTTTAAGACATTGCAAAATATCCCTTGGGGGAGAAAGCACCTGTATTAGTCTGTTTTCACACTGCTATAAAGAAATACCTGAGACTGGGTAATTTTCAAACAAGAGAGGTTTAATTGATTCACATTTCTGCCTGGCTGGGGAAGCCTCAGGAAATTTATAATAATGGTGGAAGGCAAAGGGGAAGCAAGGCACTTTCTTCACAAGGTGGCAGGAGAGAGAGAGAGTGAAGGGGGAAGCACCAGGCACTTATCAAACAACCATATCTTGTGAGAACTCACGCACTATCAGAAAAACATTATAGGGGAAACTGCCCCCATGATCCAATCACCTCCCACCAGGTCCCTCCCTTGACATGAGGGTATTACAATTTGGATTACAATTCGAGATGAGATTTGGGTGAGGATACAGTCAAACCATATCTGGACCTCTGGCTGATTTGGTCTCATCTTCCTCTGAGTCCTTTGGTGAGGAGGGAAATGCTAATTGGTGAAGAGAGCAAATATCCAAAACTCCAGCTAGAATATTTATTCTAAGGATGCTCTGTCTGGGATTTCAAAATATTTTTATGGTTTCCATGTATTGCATCCCTGCATGCCTGCTGTGCATCCAATAGTAGCTAAGTGTTTTAACTCAGTTGTTCCACACAAGAATCCTGCAGGACAGCTATCATTGTTTCCACATGTATTCATTGGGGTTCTCCAGAGAAACAAAACCAATAGGACATGCGTGTGTGTGTGCACACGTGTGTGTGTTTTAAAGGAGATTTATTTTAAAGAATCAGCTTATGTGATTATGGAAGCTGACAAGTCCCAAGATCAGCAGTTTGCAAGCTGGAGACCCAGAAAAACTGATAATGTAGTACAAGTCCAAACATTGGCAGACTTGAGACCTGGGAAGAGCCAATGTTTTAGTTTAAGTCTGTCAGTAAAAAGAAACCAATGTGCCAGCTCAAAGGCAGACAAGCATGGGAATTTTCTATTATAGGGAGGAAGGTCAGCCTTTTTTTCCTATTCAGGTCTTCAATGGATTGGACGGGAACCATCCACATTAGGGAGGGCAATCTGCTTTACTTAGTCTCCCAAATCAAATGTTAATCTCATCCAGAAATATCAGCACACACAACCTTAGAATAATGTCTGACCAAATGTCTGGGCACCCAATAGCTCAGTCAAGTTGACACATAAAATTAACCATCACTTGGCCGGGCGCTGTGGCTCACACCTGTTATCCCAGCACTTTGGGTGGGTGGATCACCTGAGGTTCCTTAGGAATGTAAAGAGGTGAGCACTTAGAATCTAGAAAAAATTTTAGGAGAAGTGGTTTCCCAATGTATCCTGAATGTCCCACTCTGTACTCTACTTTCTCCATCAATCAAAGCCTTCTCTGTAAATTCTTTTATTGTAAAGACCGATTTTTAATCTTACTTTTTGTGTGTTCACCATTGCAGCTCCCACCATCACCACCTAATAATAATTATAATGATAGCCGCTTCCATGTATTAAGCGTTACTCTTTGTCAGAGACTATTCAAACAACATCTTACCTAATCTTACATCAGCCTATTGAGACACGTAGTTTTACTTTTAAATAACTTTTCAAGAATTATATAAGTAAGAGGAGTTCAAGACCAGCCTGGCCAACGTGGCGAAACCCCATCTCTAATAAGAGTATAAAAATTAGCTGGCCATGGTGGCAGGTGCCTGTAATCACAGCTACTCAGGAGGCTGAGGCAGGAGAATAGCTTCAACTTGGGAGCCAGAGGTTGCAGTGAGCCGAGATCGTGCCACTGCACTCCAGCCTGGGTGACAAGAGCAAGACTCCATCTCAAAAACAACAACAACAAAAATGAATCATCACTCTATGGTTAAGCTGGGTGTCAGTGCATCTTATGGAAAGAGCCACAAAGCTAGAAAGCAGCAGATGGAAATGTCAAGACCAGGTTTGTGCTCTTAACCTCTATATGAGCTTCTCAACCCAGCAGATTTGTGCTGGATGTGTGCCGTACTCTCTCGAGTGCATGGGGGAAATAATAGAGCTTGAGAGCCACTGCTCTGTGCACTGCCGTTCATTGGTTGACTGTCTCAGAATCACTGATTATCAGGGTGAGAAGAGAACATCAGGATAATCTAACCCAGTGAAACGCTGATCTGATAATCACACAAATAAATGAGTAGTGTGCCTATAGTGAGTACTCTGATGGAATGGTGCATATGATTGGGAAATAGACCTGACCTGGGTCAGGAGAGGCTTGCTGAATGATTGAATGGGTAGGGGTTACATGGGTAGAGAAAGTAGGAAGGCATTTGAGGCAGAGAGAACCCTAGGGTAACAGGGAGAGGGCAACTTGACCCAGCTGGCTCTGCAGAGTGGGTTCTTCAGATTGCTGCAAACACACCTCAGACAGGCATACTGGATGTGGGGTCTTGGAAGTCCTATAGAATTGGGGTTGAGAGTGAGGAAGGGTGACTGTAACAAAATCACAGAAACCCATCCAATCCCACCTCTCATTTTAAAGGAGAGGAAACAGACCCAGAGAAGTTACTTATCCCAGAACATACAACAAAGGTAGTGTGAAAACTTATCCCAGAACATACAACAAAGGTAGTGTGAAAACTTAGATCTCTTGCCTCTGTCTCAATTATGTTCCCAGGTACCATGGGACCTCGCCACATTGCCTGGAATCGCCTGACCCTCCCTTTACCCCACAAGGAGTCCCCAGCTTTTGGAGCTTCAGAGTTCTTGTCCAAGTCTCACACAATCCCCTGAAGAGTGGTGAAAATACTCTCCAAAGTCGCTGAACCCTGAGCACAGGACCACATCCCAGGAACTGCCACATAAGAAAGGGGGAATCCATGCATGGACTCAAAGTACTGAATCAGCAGCTGGAAATACTAAAGTAATTCATGACCCATAGAAGCACAAGTCAAAAATGGTAGTCTGCAGGCCGGATCTAACCCACAGATGTGTTTTGTTTGGCCACACAATCTATCGAAATTTATTGCCACCATTAAAAACTTAGATTTCATATTTTTAAAAAAGTTCTAGCCTGCATTCCTACCTGACAACAATTCCCTGGAGCTGCTGCCTTCCCCTCCTCACATTCCTTAGGTGCCCACCTGCTTACTCTGTTCCCAACCCCAACTCCTGAAGTAGCAGGTGGCGTCTGCAGCCCAGGGCTTTGAAGACATGCAGCACAGTGTGCCTGCCCTGCCCTGCCTCATGACAGCTTTTCAACAAGCTGCTAATAGTGACCTTGGGATGGCCCCTCGAGTCTGCAGGCCAGCTAACCCCAGTCCCGTCAGCTGCTGCTCCCTTGATAGGGCTGTGGTCTCCTCCTGTCCTGTCACCCTCTTTCTAGACTGTGTCCCTCTGAAAGGGATGCATTCAGATCCAAGCAATGTGCTCCCCCAGTGGGCTGACTTAGGTGGAAAAGTTAAAGAAGTCATTTTATATTTATACACCATTCAATTTCAACTTGGCAGTCAGAGCAGCACACACAATGTCAACGCAAATCGAAAGAGGCCTCATAACATACAAAGTTGATTCTCTCTTATGATTCTAGCTAAGTAGAATAAACTCCCAGGGGAAAACATCAAATCATTTCCTGAGACTATATACAAGCAAATCTCTAACAATGTAGGAGGAATGACAAGCATCTTGAAAAAAATTTTTCTGTTTATAAGTATAAACAGAGACAGGACTCTAAGGAAAATACTTGTAAAAGTCCTTGTTAAATGACAGCAATCTAACTGGGTGTATGAAGTTACTGCTGGTTCTCTCTGCTACCAGAATGAACTCAGATGAACTGTTTTAATTGTTTTGCCCTTTGAGGTTAAAATTGCACAGGTAGAAAGCAAAAAAACTAATGGCATTATAGAAAGAAATGCTGGCCTGGGGATCTGGTGCCCTGGAGGCTTTCCTTCAATCTGCCTCTGACTATTAGGAGCTCATAGGTGGGTCACCTGAAACTCTGGGCCTCAGTTTTCTCATTGTGCAATGAGATTGTTGAATCATATTAGAGATTCCACAAATGAGAGCAGTGCATCCAAGACATAAGCCATTTCTGCATAACCTTTTCTAGAGATCCCCTGACCCATTAATCATGTAATTAATGGTCCTCATTAAAATGACTTCAGTTCTAGCATAATGTTTTAGTTCCGTCCAGGTGGAAACATTTACAAGCCCACAGGTATGATGTGTTAACTATTATTTAAGTACATATTAAAATACTCAGGAATTAAAATTAAAAATAGCATTTGTCCATGTACCACCTAATGAATACGCAATAAATGTTGAATGGATGAATGACAACTACTGCTGAGGTCAGTCACGTGTGCCATACACAGACATGAAAAAGATAATCAAAGATGCTTTGTGGTAGAGATGTTTTTTGAATGAGGCCTTGGGGTCAGATAAAATTTCAACAGCACAGGAGACTATACTGTTACAGAGTTAAACACACAGGGGCTCTGGAGTCCAGCATCTGATTGGGTTTGAAATTCTAACACCCCTCATGTACAAGGTGTGCCTCTGTGCAAAATTCTTAACTTCTCTACACCTCAGATTTCTCATCTGTAAAGTAGGGATAATGACAGTACCTACCTCAAGGACTATATGTGAGCATTAAGTGATAGAAAGCACATAAAGCACTTAGCAGAGACCCTCAGTAATTGAGCCTTGTGGTCACATTGTCGTCATCATCATCATCATCATCATCACCATCATAGCAATCGACATCATACCAATCATCATTGTCAAGCAAAGTGGACAGGACATTCCACAGGGAGGGACTTGAGGAGTGGAGCACCCAGGAGGCAGCCAGCTTGCCTGTGATTTCCACGGGACCAACTCACCTGAGCTATTCTCAGCTAAAGTCTGCGATCCTGATAACAGACTTCAGTAGCTTCTGGGGAGTGTTGTAGCAGGAATGATCAGCCCCTTGCCCTCATCGGTCGGCTCTGTTCGGATTGGCTGCATTAACCCATACTGCCCAGTGGTCTGGCTGTGCATTTCCTCCTCCAACAGTGGGGACGCTCACTCTGGAACCCAGTCTCCAGAATGCATCAGTGGAGAACCCCTGCATCTACAGACCCTGAAAGCAGATCCTCCTCGTGGCTGCATTTCTCTTGAAGAGAGCTCATAAAGACACCCAGCAGCCACAGTGCCAATCAACCTCAAAGATGGGGTCAGGGTGCAGGAAGAGCCACAGAATTGACAGAGGCTGTTGCTGAACTTTTGCTCCTAGATGGGGCCAGTTAGTCCTGCACATCTCTGCAGCAGGCATCTCTTGGTGCCATGAGTCCTGGTGGGCCTTATTGATTCCTTATTCATTTCTTATCACCCCATGTGAATCAGATTCAGTTGCTTCACATTTTCTTCACTGCTCTTATCACTGCCCGATATTATATTACAGTTGTGAGTTTTGCACCTCTTATATTAAGACAGTGTCTGCCACATAGTAAGCACTTAGTATTTGCTGAAAGTTGTAAAAGTGCATCAATGAGTATCCCACAGTGCCGGGCACATAATAGATATTCCATAAATTGTTGTAAAATAGCATTTCCTCTCTGTCCAGGGAACAGGGATGAGGGTGGTATAAATGGGGAGCATTTTGTTCAGGGATGTTTTCTGGATGTGGCATTTGAGCTAGACCTTAAAAGATGGAGTACAATTCCACAAGGAAGGCTTAGTAGTTGGGCATTCCAAACAAAAAGGACAGGTGTTTAGACATGGAAAGCATTAGGGACATTTGAGAAATTGGGAATAGCTCAGTTTAGCTGGCAGACTGGAAATACAAAGAGGAATTCCAAGAACCTATGCCTAGAGAAGCTTCCCCAGTATTATAAAGGTTCTCAAAGGCCATGCCAAAGAGCAGGGGCCTGGCTCCCTCAAGCAGTGGAAAGTCAATGGTGGTTTTTAAGGAGGTGAATAATGTGGGCTGACCGATGCTTTAAGAAGATTAATACAGCAATGTCTTGAAGAGTGGTTTTGAGGTGGAAGGGAGACAGAAAACAAAGATCTGAAGCCAAAAACATGGATAAAGTATAAACAAGACTCAGTGTAACACCAGATGTTGATTTAACACATAAGCAGGGAAGAGGAGGGTCAGAAATGAAGTTGAAGTGACTGCATGGCTGACTGAAAGAAGGATGGTGCTGCTGCAGTCTGAGGAAAGAAGTCGGAAGGAGGAGCAGAGGGGCTTGGGGGTATGGAAAGGAGAAGAGTGCAGTCTCATCTTGTCATGACCCAGATTCCCCATTTGGTGAATGCTTGTAGGCATAAAAGCACCAAAGTCTCACTGACTGTTGGAAACAAAGACCAAAACTCCAAATGTAGATAAGGAATGGACAAATTTCAAGAGTCACCTCCATGGAAGCAGACTACCTAGGCCTTAGGGTCAGCATAGTTTCTAGAATTGGGTAAATCTAATCCAAGCTCTTCCTCTTCTTACGTGTATGACCTTGGGCAACTCTCTTAACTCATCCAAGACCCTGCTTTCTCATCTGTAAAATGAGAATGATAATAAATCTACCTTATAGAGTTTTACTGAGAATTAACATATGCATGGTATTTAGTACTGGTAAAATACTCAATATGCATCAACAATTATTAATATTATCTTATTTTTATTTGAGGCAGAGGCTGCAAATACAAATGCCTTTATAGGCCAACTGGAGAGAAATGAATTAAGCTAATTCTCCACCTAAAAGGAACGTGGCTATTCACCTTCAGCAAATTACTCCACCTGGGAGTTTTGATGAGGTTGTCACACTGTACGATATTTTTAAGAGAAGTTAGAAATCTGGACTTTGGAGGGATAAAATTTTCCATTTTAAAATGTTTACTCTAAATTTAAATTACAAGATAATATTGTGGCATCCAACAGTGTATGAACTGAACAAAATGTGTGTGGGGCTGGTATAGCCCATGGGCTGCCATCTGTGAAATCTGATTTAAGACAGGCTTCCGGCTTGAGGCAGAGATCCTGGGAGACCTTTTGGAAGATAAAGCTTCCCCTTCATTCTCCTGAGATATTAGGCTCCAACATCTCTACATGTCAAACAACAGGCATGCGGTGGATGACCCGATGCCCTCTAGGCCTGAGATTCTGAGATCGCTAGTGTCCGAGGATGTCCAGTCTGGCCTTGATGGCATGAAGAGATCAGATGGGGAAGGCTTGAGGGTTGAGTGAGATGGCCAGGGAGGCCAGGCCTGGTGGTAGCCTCATATGCTGCAGCAGGGAGAAGCCTGTAGGTGTTTACCTGCTGTGGATAAACACAGGAGAAGTGTTGAGGCTAGCTAGAGATGAGAAGCAGGGTATCTGACCTGACTAGTTAAACACTTTACTAAGAACTACAGCTGAATCAAACCAAATCTGAATATGAGCCTGTGTGTGTGTGTGTGTATGTGTGTGTGTGTGTGTGTGTGTGTGTGTGTGTGTGTGTACCACCCACCTGAGCTGGGGCGATAGAGGAGAACGGGCCTGAGTGTGTATCTGCTTCATCTGCTTGCTTTTTCTCAAGTTCATTCCTGTGTGACAGAACTTTCTAATCTCTTGTACTCACAAAGCTACAGCTGATATTTCCAGAAACCTTCATAGCACCATTTCCACCACACCCCTCCTCACCACCTGAACCCTTACCCCCAGGTTTTCAGGGTCTGAATCTGCAGCCAGGCTTCTGGGTTCTAGAACCCAGAGTGGAGATATAGAGAATCCTATAAGCAAGCCTGAGTGTTAGAGCCTCCAGCAGGCTCAGACTCTCCTGCCAAAGGATGGCTGCTATTCCAGTGCCTGCATTGCAAAGATGGACAGGTCAATGCATGCCCAGCAGGGACAGAAGAAACACTGCCATTGTCCCAGCCGACTGATGCTGAGAAGGCAAGATCATTTTTCATCAAAGTGCCTGGTTAACCCAAAGTGAAAGTTTGGTTTCCTCTACCTTACTGGAATATTTGACTTTGAATCCACGTTTACTTTCTACCTCTGGGTAGATGTATCCTGTGACTCTGTGACAAATGATATTTACAAAAAGAGGTTTTCAAGATATTTTTAGCAATGGAACTCTTTCTTTAAAATGATATATTACACTAAACTCAACATATAAAATATGTTTTGTAATTGAGTGATTAACACATTTGAATCTTTATTAGTCCTGACTGTCTTGAGAAAAATACAACTCAAAATGGTCATATTACTCAGATGATGCCGGATGTCTGATCCTAAAGACATTTGAATCTTTATTCTTGGTGGTCAAGTCAATTTGAATCTTTATTCTTGGTGGTAAAGACTTTGTTATTTTCAAAATCTTACAAGGACCTAACAGGAAACTTTAGGATTCTTTGGAGTATGTTGTAAAAACCACTGATATAGTCCTCACTTTCTGAGGTATTGGGGTTCTAAGTGAGGAGAAGGCATACCTCTCATCTTTAACAATGTGAAATGAAGATGACAGAAGGGAATCACAGCATTTCATGGCATTTGACTGATAACATTCGAATAGGAGGTAAGTAACTTTGTATGTTGGAAAGAGAAAGAATCATACAGAAAAAAAGTCAGGGCCCTGTGTTCTAGTTCTGGCTCTAGAGAGTGTTGGCTCTAATCATTTGAGAATTGGCACTCACCATGTGCCACTGGAGAAGGCCCTTCTTGTCTGTGGATGCAGATTCTCCATTTGTAGGCATCATCTCACCTGAATGTCTAGGCTGCTGCTCAATGTGTTGGCCCAAAATGCTGCACTATCACAAAACTCTCCAGTTACATTCAGTGTGCCACAAAATAGACCGATCCTCTCTACACACCCAAATGTATGTATTGATACTAAGTTGTACAGAGTGATTCCATACAAAACAATGGAAATGAACCATTGGAAGGTTTCTAGTGGTTACATGAGGTACAGAAGAGTAGCAAATGTGGCCACAGTTACAAGTGCCAGCCTGGAGCCAGCCCTAGATTTTAGTCCTGACTGTATCAACTACTGGCTATGCGATCCCAGGCAAGCCACTTACCTTCTTGCCTTCTCCATAATAAAATGGAAACAGCATGGCACCAACCTCCCAGGTTGGTAAGTTAGCTGATTTACACAGCAACACGGGGAAGCCCTCAGGCTTTGATGGTGCCCAGACCTGGATTCAAATTCCTTTTCTTTCACAAATAAGCAAAGTACTTTGTAAACGTCAATTTTCTCATTTGTCAATAAGGATAATTATTAAATCAGTTAATATTTGTAAGACACTTGAGTTAGAACTGTACTTGTGATATAGTGAACACCCCTGCCCCGTGCCAAAAAAAACAAAAAAAAGGATGTGGCCAAGTGTAAAGAAACTTTGAAGGAAATAGTGCCAGTTATAGAAGAAGAAGAGCCCAGCTTGAGAATGAGGACTCAGCTTTCACTCTGGCTATGCCCCAAATCCTGGGTGACAACCAGGAGTGCTCTTGTCTTTCTGAGCCAAAGTCTCTCCATCTGTACAAGAAAGATGGTGCACTCCACAATCAGATTCTGATATTCTCTGGTTTTATGGTGGACTCTCACCTTCCAGTTACAGCACATGGAGGGATGTGGGAATCAGTGTCAAGCACCACAACCCAAATGTCTTTAGGATCAGACATCCAGCATCATCAGAGTAATATGACCATTTTGAGTTGTATTTTTCTCAAGACAGTTACAAAATTGACCTAGTAAATATAAGAGAATATTCTTCATATCCACAAAAAAAATGTGATCACTCCCATTTTTCTTGAACCACTGACAGCCTCAAATTTGGAGACACTATCAGAAGAGGGGGGACCCTGAAGTAAATGGAGCACTTAAGCCCCATCTGAAGATGGCATCTGTATTCAGCAATAGTTTATTGTTGCCAAAACAGAATGAAGGCCCAGTGCTACTAAATATCACAGATTTTCAAGAAAAGATGGAAATCAGATTTCTGGGTGTATGAAATCTTGGGGTCATTAAGAGACAGCACGTAATTCAAAATATTTTAAAGTTCATGGGTAGCATTTTGCCATTCAGGTATGACCAGTTGATGGGTAGCATTTTGCCATTTCAGGTATGACCAGTTCCTAAAACATATCAGCAGGGTTGCATGATGGGGTCCAATGTCCCCTACCTCCACCTCCCAAAAAGGAGGATCCACAGGCAAGTCCTTAGACCAAAGAGAATGCAGGATCTTCACTCCAGATCATGCATGCTCACCACAATTGGTAGGACCAGAGTGAGTATCTGACCCACAAACAGCTCTCCATGGCCACTGTTTTCAAACTTTAAGATCCATAGAAATCACTTGGGAATAAAATCATCTGGGGAGTTTGGGTAAGATGTCTCAGGAGCCACCCACGGGAATTCTGCTCCATCAAGTCTGAAGGGCGCCTCAGGAATCTGCCCAGATGGTTTCTCAGCCTCCCTTGGGGAAACTTATCTCAGGTCTAACCAGGGGCCAATGACTGTAGAAGTTCTGCCCTACGTGGAGACTCAGTGCTGGAGGGTGATCAGCTGAACCAATTGCTGCACTGAAGGGGAACAGACTGAAGAGTGCTGATTTGCCTCTTCTGGGGAGCATGGACAGAGACACACTCATGTTACTCACTTACTAGAAGTTTATTTTAAAAATTCACAGAGAAGTAAGGAAACCATCTGAGCTGCAGAAACCATCTGAGCTGCAGAGTCAAGCCCCATGGAGTACACGATATTGTTCCACCACTGGAACGTTTTTCACTCTTGTCTAATCTGTCCATAAGCCTTGGACTTCTGTGTTTCTGCCTCTTCTGATTATGAACACTATTCTTATGCCTTACCCTATCTTACTGCTCTCCAAGAGAAAAGGTCTGATTGGTTCAGCCAATCACCTGCCAGAGCACAGTGTTCCTATGGACAGAGCATCAACACCTCAGAGGCTGCTGACCAGCCCATAGCTAGTAGGCTTTGGGTTAAGTTATTCTGTATTGCATCAGCTGTGGCCAGGATTCCAAGGTCAGGTGATGCGAAACATCCCAAGCCGTGGGTCAGGAACCTCGCAGAGTAAGGCTAGAGGATGGTAGGCTCCTGGCATGGCCAACTGCTACGATATCGGGGTGAAGAAAGGTAACCAAAATAGCCAAAGAGAAAGAAGCCCCATGAATATGAAGAGACAAATGTCCCAATAGGAGCATGATACTTTGGCTGGTGACAGATGCTAGACATGGAGAACAGACCAGCCTAGTGGGTGAGTCTGCAGGTCCTGAGTTCTTATCCCAGCTCCACCATTCTCTGGCTGTGTGATCTTGGGTAAATTACTCGGCCTCTCTGAACTTGAGCTTCCCAGTCTTTCAACAAAAATGATTATAATGTCTCACAAAGGGGTTTTGAGAGTTAAATGAAATACTGAGGATAAAGTCTTTAGCACAAAGCCTGGAGTAAAATAAAAGACAATATTTAGTTTAAAAGAGAAAAAAAGAAACTTACAGTGAGTTTCTTTTCTCAGAATACAACCTTGGAGAAGAACAGAACAACATTGCAAGAGGAAACCCAAATTCTGCGGAAACATGAGCTATTGTTGTTATTCTCCAAGTACGTAAAGTAGATGTGGATTAAAGGTGGCATTTGGGGTGTTGGAGGCTGGAAGGAGAAAGAGCATGAGATCGGTAGGAAACCTGGACACGTGTCCCCACTCTGTCACTTTTGTAACTAACTCCGTAAGCAGCCAAAAACAGGGCCCTTCGTATGCCTGGGCTTCACTTTCCCCATTTATAAAATGAGGGGGTTGGGCCATCTGACCTCAGAGGGCCCATCTATCTCTGAAGCTCCAGAATCTCATAAGGATCAAGAATGGCAGAAGAAGAAGAATCAAAGATCTAGTAACTGACTCCAGATTCTAGAAGGGCTGGGTTTTTTTGCTTTGTCTTGTTTGGGGTAAATGCACTCTGAAAGGTAACTTTGGGCTGGAAAATCAGTCAGATTTGCTGGGATAAGAAGGTTCAGGTGGGACCCAAGGATGGTCTTCAAGAACATGGAGGGGATGTGCATCTGGAAGCAGGGTTAAGCTGGTTCTGTGTGATCTGAGGTTGGAAGGCAGACCCCATCCCATTTCAGAGATGACCAATCTGACAAGTAAAGGAGTCTTCCCCCCATGCTTCAGAATACATTCTCTAGCTTCATTCAGGTTTCTATTCAAATATCAGCTCCTCAGGTATCTACTCCTAACCCTCGCCCTAACTCAGTGCCTGTCTCTAATGCCAGTCGAAAATGCCACCTCTGTCACTCTCTAGGCCCTTACCTGCGTTTGCCTTTCACACTGCCCTACAGACCATCATATGATATCTGACTCGCTCCAGGGAATGTCAGCTCCACCAGAGCAGAGCACTTGTTTGCTTCAACTGCTGAATCTTCAGTTCTTAAAAAGGGCTTTGAACATAGCAGATTCTCCATAAATATTTGTGGACCTCTCCCCGCAAAAAAAAAAAAAAAAAAAAAAAAAAAAGAAGTCCTACAGTCAGTATAATATTCTCCTCTGTCCTGGTGAATAGAACCTGAAATTAAACACTTCATTTCTAATTGTAAAAATTCAGAACCCAACCTGTTGATGAGGAAAGAAAATGGAGGAGCAGACAATCGTCCCCTTATTACGGAAAAATTTCCCCTCTACACTTCCCCATGTGGAAGACCAGCAGGGGAACTGCCCTGGGCAGGGGAGACCATGTGAGGATCTGAGCTGAGAACAGGTGTTCTCATCTGCAGCAGATTGTAACCTGTGAATTATCTCCCCCTTTATTCTGGAGGCACTGTGCTGGCCTTGAATGGGGCTTTGAAGGCCTGAATATTCAGGAACTGTCCTGAAATTTCCCCTCTTCCGCATCCAGCAGGACTGCAACTTTCAGGAACTGTCAATTGTCTAGGGAATATAAACAAAAGAACAAAGGCAAAGTTGGCTCATTAGAAGAGAAGCAATCTCAGATTGAACTGAATATAAAACCCACTTGGAATTTAAACACCAGAGTGGTATGTGGGAGGAACAAGGTTACAAACTCTGGGGAGAGGTCCTGATAAACCAAAGCAATTCCATCCTGGTTCTCAGTCCCTGTTCATAAAAATTTCACAGAAGGGGGACAAGTCTCCAGAGCTTGAGCTTCTGGCATAGCAACCCCGCTGCCAGTTGCCTCTGTTTGCTTTGAGATATCAGAAGGGAGACTCCAGGCAAGCTGGCTTTGATTTGTCTAAATATAGTCTCTTTTCTGAGAGTACAGTGAATCAAGCAAGGGGTCCTGGGGCCAGCATGGTGTTTGGCATTTTTACTTTATGGGCTGCATGACGTTTGGCACATTCCTTCCCCTCTGCAGGCCTCAATTTCTCCCTCCATTGAGAAAGAAATCCAGGCAGCATTTGAGCTCCTTTTTCTCTATTCCTTCAAACCTTATTGTCCACAGCCTCCAAGGCTTCAGTGTATTTTCCTGACCTGTCCTTTTCATCCTCTACACTTGCTTTTCTGTTTGCAGAGAAACTGTTCCTGGCTTAATGTGGAATTGAACCCCAGAATGCAGAACAGCTCTGAGTCTCAGTCATAGACACCCAGGAGGACTCTCACTGCTGGTCAGACAAGTGCCTGGACTTTGGGTCGCCATTCCTCTCTCTTTTGACACCACTGCCTGTTTCACCAAGTTCCCCCCATGGCATATGACAGCATGATGCCCCAAGGGAGAAAAGCTGTCAAGAAGGGCCCTGAGTCTTTGGCATTGGGCTAGAAGGTGGCGCTCTCCTAGCATATGACTCAGGCTACAAGGGGATGCTTGCCTGCTGAGCACTGTCAGTTTCCTTGCTTAGAAAATGGAAATAAGAAGAATCCTGTCCATCTCAGAGGACTTTATGGGAATCAGATGAGAAAAGAGGTTCTGGGGAAAACTTCGATTTGCTATTTAGATCCTTGAGTCCAAGACTCTCAGCCACTGCTTTGACCTCCTACCTCTCCGGCATGCTATCTCTTCACTTCACCCACCCTGGTAGCCTCTCCAGCAATAACAGAGCAGCTCACAGCATGGGCTCTGGAGTCAGGCTGCTGGGTGTTTCCCACTGGCTCTAATCTTACCAGCTGTGTGACCTTAGGCATGTTAACTCACCTCTCTGATCTTCAGTTGTCTCATCTGAAAGTGGGGATAAAACAGAACCTACCTCAAGGGTTGCTGTGAGATAATGTATGAAATGCACCTGGCACAGCACCTACAATACATTCATTCCTGCTGCTATTAGTGTTACTTCTTTGAAGATCCACAGCCTGTTATCACTAATAGGATCAGTGGGAGACTGAATATAACTAATGTGACTAGTAGGCGTCCTGAACACTGGCAGCTCTCTTGAGGTGTGGTCCACAGAACTTTGGCAGTCCTCCAGATCCTTTCAAGAGGTCCACAATGCCAAAATTATTTTCAGAGTCATACTACTTGGCGTTTTTCACTGTGTTGACATTTGCACTGATGGTGCAAAAGCAATGATGTGCAACTGTGCAAGTGGTCATTGTATTCTTTACCACTATGCATGCCCAGAGATGGGGGGAAACCCAGTTTCACTTAACAATGTCTTTTATTAAGCAGTAAATATTGTTATTTTTATTAAATTTTGACCCCATTTTTACTTGAAAGAATGACTAACAGACAAACTATGATTATTCAGATGTGGGCATGTAGCAGACATTTCCACAGAAATGAATGAGGTAAGCCTGTCGCTTCAAGAAAAATCACTACCAATATTTGTTGCTAATGATAAAATTCAAGCTTACAAGTAAATTTTAGAAAGCTTATGTCTGCCACCGCAAACTTGTCAGTTTCCCAATACTTGAAGATTTTGCATATAAGATTTATAGTAATATTAATTAATGTGATTTTTTTGTATTATAGAATGAAATGTGTCAACATTTGGAAGACCTGCGTAACTAATATTTTCCCTATGATTAATGTATGATGTTACAAAATCATGCAGGGGTAAAAGATCCTTTGAAAGTGTAAGTTGGACCAATGGATTATATGTAATCAACTAAGGAAAAGTTCATTGATAAGGTTCCAGATTTTGCATTGAAACTAACCTTTCAGAAACTGCCACAAGTTTTTGTGTAATATCAAAGAAGAATATCCATGACTACCTGAGATGGCCATTAAAATATTCCCCCTTTTTCCAACTATGCCTCTGAGTGAGGTCAGATTTTATTTATATACTTCAACAAAACATCACATTGTAATAGATTAAATGAAGAATCAGATGAGAATCAAGCTATCCTCTATTAAGCCAGATGTTGAAGAGATAAGCAAACATAAAATAATGCCATTTTCTGAATATATTTTTTTAATTTTGAAACATTTTCATAAGGAAATGTCAATTATGTTCCCATGTCATGGGTGTATTTTTGTTACTTTCATATGAATTAAAGCGATAACTTTAAATTTTATGTTTTAACTTCTTATTTGGTAAATATCACTAGATGGAATCTACATGAATGAAATCTATGTGTAGTTCTCAATCATCTTTTTAAGAGGGTAAAGAGGTCTAAGACCAAGAAGCTTTAGAACCACTGCTGTAAATGTTTGAGAGAGAGATGGAGAGCAAAAGAGGGTAAAGAGAAGTTCCCGTGCTAAGCATAGGAAGTGACAGGCCTGTTGTGTGCTCTGTTCCTCAGCTCACACCAGGAACACTCTGGAGTTCCCTGTCCAACACAGAGCCCCACATCTTAGCAGGGATACTGACAAACTGAACATTATTCCAAAAAGGGTAACTGGAGGATAAAAATTATGTCCCCGGAGGAACAATGGAAATAAGTAGATAAACACCCTGAGGCCGGGCGCGGTAGCTAACGCCTGTAATCCCAGCACTTTGGGAGGCCAAGGCAGGCAGATCACTTGGGGTCAGGAGTCCCAGACCAGCCTGATCAACATGGAGAAACCCTATCTCTACTAAAAAATACAAAAATTAGCCAGGGGTGATGGCATGCACCTGTAATCCCAGATACTAGGGAGGCTGAGGCAGCAGAATCGCTTAAACCTGGGAGGCGGAGGTTGATGTGAGCCAATATCATGCCACTGCACTCCAGTCTGGGTGACAGAGTGAGACTCTGTCTCAAAAAATAAATAAGTAGGCCTGGCGCAGTGGCTCATGCCTGTAATCCCAGCACTTTGGAAGGCTGAGGTGGGCGGAGCACGAGGTCAGGAGATCGAGACCATCCTGGCTAACACAGTGAAACCCCATCTCTACTAAAAATACAAAATGTTAGCTGGGTGTGGTGGTGGGTGCCTGTAATCCCAGCTATTCGGGAGGCTGAAGCAGGAAAATCGCTTGTACATGGGAGGTGGAGGTTGCAGTGAGCCGAGATCACGCCACTGCACTCCAGGCTGGGCAACAGAGCAAGACTCTGTCTCAAATAAATAAATAAATAAATGAAAATAAATAAATAGGCACATATGTACCATGGAATACTATGTAGCCATAAAAAAAGAATAAGTTGATGTCCTTTGCAGGGACACGAATGAAGCCGGAAATCATCATTCTCAGCAAACTAACAGAGGAACAGAAAACCAAACACCGCATGCTCTCACTCATAAGTGGGAGTTGAACAGTGAGAACACATGGACACAGGAAGAGGAACATCACACACCAGGGCCTGTCGGGGAGTGAGCGGAAAGGGGAAGGAGAGCATTAGGACAAATACCTAATGCATTTGGGGCTTAAAACTTAGATGATGGGTTTATAGGTGCAGCAAACCACCATGGCACATGTATACCTATGTAACAAACCTGTATGTTCTGCACATGTATCCCAGAAATTAAGGTAAAATTTAAAAATAAATAAATAAATAAACTTACTCTGGGAACAAAAAGGCAAAACTAAAAATAAAATAAAATTTATAGAACTATAAGAGCTTCTTCAAATCTTTGAAAGGCTGTCAGAAAAATGTTGACCAAAGGGTTGTATAAGAATGGCCTCAAATATATATTTTGGTACACCAATATTTTTTCTTCTGTTTTCACCTCTGTCATTCTCTAATGATTCTCCCCGCTCTAAAATGTTGTTTCTAGTCTCTTCTCATTCCCTTCTCTTTTTCTCTTTCTTTTTCTAGCTTGCTTTCTTTTTCTCTCTCTGACCCCTTTCTCTCCTTCCCTTCCTTTCATTAAATTTCTTCCTTAATTATCCACAATATATAATAAATACATTTTTTTCAAAAAGTTTTGTTTCTTTTTTTTCTTAAAAAGGTGTGAGTAGGAGGAGAATGAGGAAGAAGAGGAGGGAGGAAGAGGGGAGGGCCCAGGGGGAGGAGATGGGGGAAAAGAGAATAAAGGGGAGGGAGAGGAAGAATAAACAATAATGATCTTTTTTTGTTCCCCCTCTGTAACCTGATGTATTTAATAAGACAAAAGTGTGAATGATGGTGGTTCCCAGGGCAGGAGCAAGAGCATTTCCTCCCAGCATGGAGAGCAGGAGGGTGAGTAAGGCTGAGCCTTGGGCTTTGGGTGTTATTTATCTCAGGTTCATTAGAGAGAAAGAAAAAGTCACAAAACAGTGAGTGTGGATGTTTTACAGACAATGTGAGGCAAATAGAATAGAGAATTTTAAAATATTTTTAAAAGACTTGTAACAAGATTCCTCTTCTAGGAAAGGAGCTTAAGGAAATAATCTAATATATAGGCATAAAACTATGCACAAGAATGGCTGTCACAGTATTAATTAAAATAATGAAGAACTGACATACCCTAAGTGTACAACAATAAATGATTAAATTATTTCTGAGATACAAATATAAATTAAGACTATTAAGCAATCAATAAAAATAATTAATAGAGAAATAAATAATGGCATGGGGAAATACAAGATAATGTTGAAATTTAAAAAATAATGAAGATACCAAATTAAATATATGTAGTAATTTAGTCAATATATTTTTATTGAGCTGCTACTTGCACTATAGCAGATATTGGACATTTAGTATTGTGCATAATCCCTGCCTTTATACAGTTTAAATTCAAATAAAAAATATAGTTTTTAAATAATTAATTAGACAAATAATTAGTTGCATGCCTTTTGCTCCCTGTTTCAATAAATAGACATGAATTTGTAAAAAGCTATAAGGAATGATAAAATATTAATGCTGGATTTTTAGATGGTAAAGCTGTAGGTGCTTGATATATTCCTTGTAAGTTACATATTTTCCAAATTTCCTAGAATAAGAATATATTACTTTTAAAATCATCTTAAATGTCAATGATACTTAAGAAAAAATATCTAAGGAACACACTCTTGCAATTAATTTCTAACCTTCAGCCTCCCTTCCTTTCTCCTTTACATCATTAGACACCAATGACACCTTCTGCCTCTATGACCTACCTAGAAAACCAAAACAGGCAATGGCCTTCATTATTTTTGAAAAAAGTGCTAGACAAACAGAGTTTGAGGTGTCAGGTATGCAACAAGGCAAAAGACTGCCCCTTTTCTTATGGAATTCAAAATGTGAAGATAGGAACAGACGGGTAACCAGTGCAACTGTTACTGGGCACTGTGCTGAGCACTCCATGTGCCTCATCTCATTTACTCTTCACTGCAAACTATAGAATAGATTCTGGGTTTAGACCCATTTTACAGATGAGGAAACTGAGGCTCACTGAAGTTAAATAATACCTTGCAGGTGGCAGAGCTGGAATTCAGATTCCCATGGCCTGACTCCAAAGCCCAAGCCCTAAGTAAATCATGAGGAAGAAGACAGAGCTGTGAGTTAAGCTGTTCAAGGTCCCGCAAGGGAGAGGACCTAGCCCAGACCTAAGTATGAGGGGAATCTTCCTGGAAGAAGCAACCTGTACCTGAGACCTCAAGGGTTGCAGACAAGGGCCTGTGGACTGATTCTGGAAAATGAAAGCTCAGTAGGACTAGCATGTGGAATACTGCAGGGGATTAGGGGGAAGGCAGAAATGAGGCCACAGAATAAGCAAAGAACAAATCATATAGGTCCTTGAAAACTCAGTTAGGACATTCCATCTTTATCCTCAAAAATGTTGGGAATCACTAAAGTGTTTTAAGCAGGAAAACATCAGGGTCAGTTTTCCACTTACAAAATATAATTCTGGCAACTTGGAGAATAATTTGGATGAATCAAGACTGAAGGCCAAGAGGCCAATTAGGAGGCTATAGTCATCAATCAGTAGAAAGATGATGGTGGCCCAAAGCAGGATAGAGGCAACAAGGAGAGAGATAGGATGTCTGGTCCCAGAGGTATTTTGGAAGTAAAGTTGGCAGATGTAGAGGAGGTGAGACAAAGGCAGAAATAGGATGCCAAGATGTTTCTCTAATAGTGTGCCAATCAAAGTGCCAGTCGTTGAGAAAGGGGACATGGGAGGAGGCTGCCATTCTGTGGAGCAAAATCAGTTCACTTTAGGACAAGCTGGATTTGAATCACCATTGTGACATTTAGTTGGCAATGCCCAGTAAGAAGGCAGATATAAGAGTCTGAAGCTCAGGAGAAGGAGCTGGGCTAGCAGTCCATCTATCTAATGGTTGAGCCTTGGAAATGGATGAAATTCCCTTGAGAAAGGTGTGTATGAGAAGAAAAGAAGGCTTATGATCAAATCTGAAAAACACCAGCATGTAAAGTCGGGGGAAAAAATAAGTCAAAACAAACAAACAAACAACAACAACAACAAAGAAACAGGAAATGAGCAGCTGCCAGGAAGGTAGAAAAAAAAATGCCTACAGAGGACAAGCGTGGTGTCATGGAAGCTGCAAAGAAAATTTTTCTGGAAGGCAGAAGTGGTCAGCAAGCAAAGAAATGTTAAAAGGATTTAGAAACAAGGAAGTTGTCAGTCACCTTTGGGAAGCCAGCTTCAGTTGCAAAGTGAGGGTAGAAGCCAGACTGGAGGGTAGCTGTCCAGCAGGAAAGTAGGTGGGAAGAAGTGGAGATAGCACATGCAAGCACCTGGAAGCATGGCTGGAAAGGCAAGGAGAAAGAGGGAGCAATAGCTGGTGGCGAAACTGGACTAAATATTGGTTCCTTCCCACTTCACAGTTATCATGATTTGATAGATGAACTAGACCAATTTCTCTTTGCATGAACTAAAATTGATAAGTGGCATTACTATCAATCAGGAACCACTGAGCTTCTAAATCACCTGATTTCTCTAGGAAGATACCAAAAATAAAGATCATGTACAACCTCACAACATTTGATTTAGATTCAAGAAAGCTGCAATTAACCCTTTGATTCTATGTAATCATAAAATTTTATTATTATTTTGATTATAATAACATCAGCTAACATTTGTGGATCACTCACTATATGCCATGAACTGTTCTAAAGGCTATGCATATAACTAGTTTGATCCTCACAACACCATGAGATAAATCATTATCGCCATTTTACAGATGCAGAAATTGAGAGAGAGTTGAAGTAACTGGTTCACAATCACAATCGCATGGCAAGCAAGTATTGGAGTCAGGATTCCTTAAGGGTGCTTCTCCCTGACTTATCCCAGGGACAGGGGAGAAAAAAAATTGAAAGGGTCCGGGGCAGAAAAGATGAAATAATTCTGAGGTTGCCAGAACACTTCCATTCTAGAAAAGTCCTGGCATGAAAGGAGAACAAACTGGTCTGTAGGTACTCTCAGCTACTTTTCCCTAGTGGGTCTGGGGCAGACAATGGTATTTCCTGAGCCAAATGCTCTAGGCCTTGCTGGCACCAACCACTTAAATATGTTCTTTGAAATTCTAGTTGTCTGAAGGCTGGAGCACAGAGGTGAGCTGAATATCCTAAAAGGACTACTGAAGAGTGGAAAGCACAAAGTCCTTCTTGTAAATGGTCATCCCAGCTTGATTCCATATCTGCACAGCTTTCTACCATTTGTTGAGGGCCTATATACCATTAAGTCATTTTGTCTTCATGACAAGCCTAAGGGAGGCAAGCCTAGGGAGGAGCTGTGAACCCTGGATCTTTACACACCTTCTCCTCTCTTTTTGAAACATTCTTTCTCCTCTCCATTTTTCTTATGTGATTGGTTGGCATCTGGCTTATCATTCCCTATTTCTTGTTTTACTGGGTTAAAGGGAAGGAGAGTCGTAAGAATCTTAAAAATATATTTTTATTTGGTTTTGAACTAAATGAGATAATGATCTATGTCTCTTCTTAGGAGGAAGAAACACCAATATTAACCCTTCACCAGCTGCCTGGACGCATCAGAAATACTCAAGGATAAGCGACACCCAGGTTTATGAACCTTGTATTGGTCAGATTCAGTCAGGGTAGATTTGTTATGATTGTTATGAAATAAGAGAGTTGTAATATGAATTAAACGCTATGCAATTATGGCAGAAACTAGGAAAGTGAAATTCTGAAAGTGGTATTTAAAGGATCAGGAAAGGATTCATAGTAAATCTGAAAAGTCAAAAGTCAAGCACATACAGCAACACAAGTGGGCTCATAAAGGGGAAGTGCAGGAGATGTCTGTGGGAAATCATTGCCTCTCAGAGGCAACTGCTCTGGGTGTTGCAGATGAGATGATGGGCCTGGAGCTGCTGTTTGTAAAGAGGAAGAACTGGAAGTGCTGGAAGCTACCAGGTACTGCTATGCCTGTCACTCCATCTGATCACATGACCTTCAGAGTGATAACGGCTGCTGCTTCACCTCTGCCTTCCAAATCTTATGCAAGTCTCTCTCTTTGTACAACTCTGGCTTGAGACGATAAAGGAAACCATACCTAGTTTCTGATTAAACCAAGCTGACACAGTAAAATCCAATTTATCCAATTGGTAAATCTCCTTTACCAATGAGAAGTAAAAGACAAACTAAAGTAAGGGTTGACTAACATGAGCAGGGATGTCTGACTAACATGAGATGGGATGTCAACTTAGAGTCACCTTGCCTTTTCTTACACCTCCTGCATGCCCAGTGTGTCAGCACATTTTCTAACACTGTACCATTATCTCCACAATGGCATGCGCATGTATCCCCTCTTCTCCCCATGGTCATTAACCCTGTTCAGATTCTCCTCACCTCTCATCTTGAAGACTGAGTGTCTTTCGAGTCCTCCACTCACCCTGCTCTCTCTGGCCTCTTCATCTTTTGTGCTTGATCTTTCTTCTGCCTGGAATGCTCTTCCCTCCTTTATACTTGAGGTCTTAGTTTAAAGATCACTGTATTTTGGAAGCATTTTGGATCTCTCAAAAAATCTGAGTTAGATACCACACTGATTTGCTTCTCTATTCTAGTACTTATTACATTTTAGGTCTTATTTAATTGTCTGTGTTCCTCTCCATTCCCACCAACTAGGGCCTGACACATAGGGGTTCAATAATTGTCAAGTGATTGACAGAATGAATGAATGGATGGATGAGTGAAAAAGTCTCTCCATTTCCAGTGTGTATTCTCTCTAATATCTTCTACATTCTACACTGAAATTGTCTTTTTGAAAGCCTGGACTTCTTCAGTGGCTTGTCATTGCCAGTGGATAAAATGCAGACTTTTCATCTGTGCATTCAAGAACTACCACATATAGTCTCAGCCTACCATTTCTTTTTTTTTTTTTTTTTAGATGGAGCCTTTCTCTGCTGCCCAGGCTGGAGTGCAGTGGCATGGTCTCGGTTCACTGCAACCTCTGCCTGTTGGGTGCAAGAGATTCTCCTGCCTCAGCCTCCTGAGTAGCTGGGATTACAGGCACCCACCACCACACCCAGCTAATTTTTGTATTTTTAGTAGAGATGGAGTTTCACCATGTTGGCCAGGCTGGTCTCGAACTCCTGACCTCATGATCCACCCGCTTCGGCCTCCCAAAGTACTGGGATTTCAGGCATGAGCCACCGCACCCAGCCCCAGCGTACCTTTTCTAAACGTCTCCCAGGATTCTTCCATAAGTATCCTCTATACTTTAACCAAACTTATCAATAAATTGTTCCCTGAAGAAGAGTAATTATTTGCAATAATAATTCAAAAAAACAACTTTTATTTATTGAGCATACACTATATGTTAGTCATTGTAGTATATATTTTATCTATTTTATCTTACTGAATTATTACAATAATCTTGTGAGGCTTTCATCTCTTACCCTTATTTTAAAGATGAGAAAACCAAAGTTCAGAAAAGATAAGTCACTTGCCCTAAGTCACTTGGCCAAAATCACATAACTAGTAGGTGATGAAACCAGTATTTAAATTCATGTATTATCCAAAGTCAAGACTATAACCATTCCACTCTACCATATCTTCCTGCAAGAAGTTTTCAATAACCATTTGTTGAATTATTTAATTAACTAGGTGACTAATATAACCTATATACTTTGTATAGCTTATCTCATTAGCATTCACACAACAGCTTTATGAGAGAAGCTATTATTATTCCCAGATTACAGATAATAAAAGTGAGACTCAAAGAAATAAAGTAACTTACTCTAGGCCACACATTTCAAAAGGGAGAAAACTGGGAAATTGAACCCTGGTTTGTTTGCCTCCAGGTTGGCGCAACTAGCCACTATGCTACACCACTCCTAGTTAAAATCACCTGTTGCTGGAGCTGGACTGGTCTCAAGTTACCGTCTTGTCTCAGAGCCCTCACTCAATGGATATGAATAACAATTCCCAGGAAGGCTAAGTGGCAGCACATGATTATGGTAAACCAGGACTATGGCTTGGTGTCCAGTGTGTTTTCATTATAAAATCTGTCTTCTTTTCTCACCAAAAATTTATCCTAGATGAGAGCCAAGGCTTGCCCATTAGACAACAGGGAACACACCCAGCCCACTCAGTCTTTGCTCATGCTGTACACTTTGCCTATTAAAATTCAACTTTACTCTGCTGGTCCTGAGGACGTCTGTTTTCTGTTTTCTAAGAATATGAGAGATTTTGAGTCAGAGACACATCATAACTATCTTCCAGGAGCTTCAAAGCAAATAGAGACTTTACTGATAGGAATGCTGTGACCATTAGACAAAGGTTCCATGAAAACAAGCTCTCAAGACTTTCTATTTATACAAGCACTGGAGCTGGTGAGTTCTGGAAGTTGAATGTTTAACCTAAGTGGATCCTAGGGAATTGTCACCTTCCTGGAGGAGTGAGAAATTCAAGAAGAGCTGAAATGCTATAAGAGCTGGAGCCCATCTACCTGGAGATTGGAAGTTGAATGGGGCTGGGGTATAGCACAAGAAAGCAGAGAGGTGGCAAGAGGGTTTCAGACTAAAAAGACAATGAATTTTTTTCACTCATTCAATTATTTCTTTTGTCAAAACATATGTATGATGCACCTACTATGAGCCACACTTTGTATGAGAACTTAAAACAGAACGGCTTAACCTAGGCTAGCATCTCAGAGAAAACTCCTGTATTAGTCCATTTTTATACTGCTATAATGAACTGCCCAAGACTGGGTAATTTATAAAGGAAAGAGGTTTAATCAACTCACAGTTCAGCATGGTTTGGGAGGCCTCAAGAAACTTACAATCATGGAGGAAGGGGAAGGGGAAGCAAGTCACCATCTTCACAAAATGGCAGGAAGGAGAAGTGCCGAGCGAAGGGGGAAGAGCCCCTTATAAAACCATTAGATCTGTGAGAACTCACTCATTAGATCATGAGAACAGCATGGAGGAAACCATCCCTATGATCCAATTACCTCTACCTGGTCTCTCCCTTGACATTTTGGGATTATGGAGATTACAATTCAAGATGAGATTTGGGTGGGGACACAAAACCTAACCATATCAACTCCTCTCCCAAGGAGAGGAGTTTTCTCTGAGATCTGAAGCTAGGAGATTGGGTAAAAACAGAGAAAACATTCCAGGCAGGTACAAATAGCAGCTGTAATGGAATGGCCCTGAGGTGAGAGAGAACATAATACTTTGGAGGAACTGAATGAAGGCCACTATGCATAGGGAAATATTACGATGACATGGGATAATGGATTGGTTAGCAGGTTCAAATTGTGGAAAGCCTTTTAGTTTATTTTATGAATTTTTATAATTAGGAAATGGCAGTTTTAAAACTTGGTCCAAATATTCTCTGATACTCCTCCTATTAAGAAGAGCTTTCCTTCCCTCTCCTTGAATTTGGGCCTTGTGGTGCTGTGCCAGATTCTGGCCTCAGGCAAGTCTTAAGAAATGGCACCTTCTACTTCCTGGCTTTGGGGACACTTTTGGAACTTAGCCATCATGTTTCTAGGAAGCCCAGGCAGCATGTGGACGGGAACTAAGGTCTCTGACTCTGAACTTGCAGACAATAGCAGCATTAACTTATCAGCCATATGAGTGAGCCATCTTGGATGTGGATTCTCCATTCCCTAGTCAAGCCACTTCAGCTGATGCTGTAAGAAGCAGAGATGAGCCTTCCCTGCTGAACCCCACCTAAACTGTAGATTCTTAATGTAGATAAATGATTGCTATTATTTTCAAGACAATAAAGTTGGGAGTACTTTGTTAAATAGTAATAGATATCAAAAATATAGGTAAATGAGAAGCCATTGAAGAATGTTGAGTTTTAAGAAGTTTGTTTCTCATTATAGTTTTCTCTTCATATAACGGAGTATATCACAGCTTTTTAATTCATAGAGTTGCTCTGAGGACTGAATAATATAGTAAAAGTAAAGTGCTTGCACAGTGTTGGGTGTTGAATAAGCCTTCAAGAAGTGTTACTTATTATTGTTAATTTTAGAGTTTAGAGGAAAGGATGATAGAAAATTATTCCAGGAGTCAAAGGATAAGTTATTGGTTACTTGTACTAGAATGGCAAAAGTAGTGATAAAATGGATGGATTAGGGAGTTATTTAGGATGTAGAAATGATGGGCAGTCATAATTAATGGATGTGGAAGCTGAGGGAGAATAAAAACTCAAGAATAACTGAAGGATTCTGGCCTTGGAACTGGGCCAACAAGTGTAGCAGATAACTGCTGAATTTGCTTTCCAACATCTTTTCACCCTGCAGGTAATTTTTCCCCACTATACTGCTGAGAAATCAACCTGCCTCCACTCTTAATCCATTTGGTTTGAGCAGAGTGGATCCACTCCACTTCCTCCTTCAGGTTAGACATACTACCCAAGCCTTAGCCAATCTCCCAGGCAAGTGGTTCCAGGATTGGCACATGACCCAAACAGGCCATTCGGAGCCAACAAGACTCAATTTTAGGGCATTTTATTTGTTTGAGTTTGGAAAAGGAGTCTCTTTATCTTTACTTTGGAACTTAAGCCTGTAACTATTAATATATAAAACTAGAACTATTGCAGTCATCTTACATCTGACCATAGAGCCAACACTGTGTGAAAAGAGAACAACTAGAAGGTGATGGCATTGTTTGAGCTCTGTGTCAAGCTATACCACTTGAGATATACCAGCAGACCTTTTAGTTATATGAGCTAAAGGGTTTCTTTTTTTCTTTTGCTTTTTTTTTTCACATACACCAGTTTGACTTGGGTTGATGAACACTTGCACTTGAAACAGCCTACACTGATACATTAGTGATGCAAGGGAAAACTGGAAGAGAACAGGTATTGTGTTACAGCTGACTGAGATATTGGTGACTATAGAGAGAAGTTAGGGTTCAGCATAAATTGGAGTGAATTGAGGCACAATTGGAAGTGGGAGAAATAGAAATGAAATGCCTAAACCAGTCAAAGAATTGTGGTCATCTCACACTTTATTAGTCATCAGAAAAATGCAAATAATATCATAATGTGACACCATCACACATCTACCAGAATGACTAGAACCAAAAAAAAAAAAAAGACAGTTTCAAGTATTGGCAAGGATGTGAATTAGTTAGAATTCTTACACACTGCCAGTGGTATTGTAAGTCTATGCAACCACATTGGAAAACTGATTGGCAGTATCAGTTTACTACTCAAGCTGAATGTATGCATACCCTGTGATACTAGATGTATAACAAACAGAAATACATGCATGTAAGCACCATAAGATGTACAAAAATGTTCATTGCAGGTCTACTTGTAATAGCTTCAAACTGTACACTAATCAAATTCTACTTAACCATAGAAAAAATTGTGGTGTATTTTCTCAACAAAATACTATACAACAATGAAAATTAATGAACCACAAAGCTCAAAAGCAGGCAGAAAAAATTTATGGTGCTGTAAGTCAGAATATTCATTAGCCTTTGGGAATGTGGTCTCTGGAAGGAGCAATGGCAGGGAGACTGGGATGCTGGTAATTTCTTATTTCTTAATATGAGTTCTGGTTGCACAAGTGTGATCTCTTTGTAAAATTTTACCTACAATTTGTACATTTTTCTGAATATTTTCTATACCCCACTAAAACTTCAAAAAATAAAAATGTGGGTATGAGGAGCCATTAACCAGTGGAGTAAAGTTGGAAAGGAGGCTGGAGAGCTGAAAGTGGGTTTCATGACTAGCATCTTCAAATTTTGGAATCCAGGAAACGGGAGAGACTAAATGAACATAGAAATGGGTGACCTTCCCTTAAGAGATGCCAATCCTTGATGTTGGGGAGCCCCATGTTGACCCTTCCCTGATAGGGCAAAGCAAGACCAATCAAATGGAGCTGCCTGCCGTCCTCTCTAAGAATCCAGCCCTTGTCCTACAGTTGGGAGCTGTGGGAGATGCAGACTTGTTGATCTGATAGGCTAGGATCCCTGAGAAGGTTGGACACTGCCTTTTGGGAACAGTTTCAGTGAACTTTGGAGAGTCTTATGGGGAAAACAGACAGAGGCATTGGTTTCTTCAGACCTCAGACTTGAAAATTCTCCAACCAAGTCTCATTGCCTCTAAAGAAGACGGAATTTCACTTAATTTCCTGCAGAATAGATGAAAGAGGCAGAGAGGGCTATGTATATTCCATGAACTCCTAAATTCCAATTTCTTCACATCTTTTCCAGGGCCATTAACTGTCCTTCCTACAGAGTCAGTTCAGGCTCACCTCCCTTCTCCTGGAGTTCAAGGAGTCTCTAGCCTCCCTGCTTCGTGGCTGACAACCTCCTTCCACAGAATAGTCAGAAGAATTCTTCTAACATGCAAATCTGATTGATCATGCCACTCTCCTTCCTACAAACTTTAATGCATCCTCCATCTTGAGTTTCAGCCCAAACTTCATCAAGAAGCACAAGGCCTGCTGACCTAGCCCTTGACCATGTTTTCTAACATCATCTCTGGCCTCCTTGTTCCCTCACAATCCAACACGTCAGCCATGCCCAACATCCCAGAGAGCAGGTAGAATGCTGAATGTGGAGGTCGTTTTACACTTCTGTGCTTTTAGCCCAAACACCCTTTCTTCTTTGTTTTCCTGTTGAATACTTATTTAGCTTTGAAAAACCACACCTAGGCATTCTTTATTTTGGGAAGCCTTCCCTGAGAGCCTCTACTCCTTCCTTTCATTCTGATTTTCTGTTTTCTTTCACTGTACATGTTACAGGGTTCTGTATTTATTCACAATGGTGTAGCTTTCCTATTAAAACTCCAGATACTCAAGTGGCCAGGATTTTGTCTTGTTTATCTCAATCCCTGATTCTTACAATGGCATTTGGCATGTGATAGATTCTCAAGAAGGTTTTGATAAACGCACTCTTCAAAGCATAACTCTATGTGTTATCATTGAACTGTAACTTTCAAGTGACTTTTTTTATCATTCTTATTGTTGTGTGCATACATGGTTTAACTAACTATGATGATAAGCATAACTAAAACTTTATAACTGCTTTATGAAGGGTGTTATTTCATTTGATCCTCGCAACAGAGAGCCTGGTAGAATGGCCTCTTTCTTTTCTTTTGTTGAGATGGATTTTTTATTTATTTATTTATTTATTTATTTTATTTTTTAAATTTTTATTATACTTCAAGTTCTGGGATATATATGCAAAACATGCCAGTTTGTTACATAGGTATATACGTGCCATGGTGGTTTGCTGCACCCATAATCCTATCATCTACATTAGATATTTCTCCTAATGCTATCTCTCCCCTAGCCCCCAATCTCGTGACAGTCCCCAGTAAGTTATGTTTCCCTCCCTGTGTCCATGTGTTCTCACTGTTCAACTCCCACTTACGAGTGAGAACATGCGGTGTTTGGTTTTCTGTTTCTGAGTTAGTTTGCTGAGAATGATGGTTTCCAGCTTCATCCATGTCCCTGGAAAGGACATGAACTCATCCTTTTTTATGGCTGCATAGTATTCCCTGGTGTATATGTGCCACATTTTTCGTTATCCAATCTATCATTGTTGGGCATTTGGGTTGGTTCCAAGTCTTTGCTGTTGTGAACAGTGCAGCAATAAACATACGTGTGCATGTGTCTTGATAGTAGAATGATTTATAATCCTTTGTGCATACACCCAGTAATGGGATTGCTGGGTCAAATAGTATTTCTGGTTCTAGATCCTTGAGGAATCGCCACACTGTCTTCCACAATGGTTGAACTAATTTACACTCCCACCAATGGTGTAAAAGTGTTCCTATTTCTCCACCTCCTTTCCAGCATCTGTTGTTTCCTGACTTTTTAATGATCACCATTCTAACTGGCATGAGATAGTATCTCATTGTGGTTTTGATTTGCATTTCTCTAATGACCAGTGATGATGAGCTTTTTTTCATATGTTTCTTGGCTGCATAAATGCCTTCTTTTGAGAAGTGTCTGTTCATATCCTTTGCCCACTTTTTGAAGAGGTTGTTTTTTTTCTTGTAAATTTAAGTTCCTTGTAGATTCTGGATATTAGCCCTTTGTCAGATGGATAGATTGCAAAATGTTCTCCTATTCTGTAGGTTACCTGTTCACCTCGATGATAGTTTCTTTTGCTGTGTGGAAGCTCTTTAGTTTAATTAGATCCCATTTGTCAATTTTGACTTCTGTTGCCATTGCTTTTGGTGTTTTAGTCATGAAGTCTTTGCCCATGTCTATGTCCTGAATGGTATTGCCTAGGTTTTCTTCTAGGGTTTTTATGGTTTTACATCTTATGTTTAAGTCTTTAATCCATCTTGAGTTAATTTTTGCATAAGGTGTAAGGAAGGGGTCCAGTTTCAGTTTTCTGCATATGGTTAGCCAGTTTTCCCAACACCATTTATTAAATATGGAATCCTTTCCCCATTTCTTGTTTTTGTCAGGTTTGTCAAAAAATCAGATGGTTGTAGATGTGTGGTATTATTTCTGAGGCTCTGTTCTGTTCCATTGGTCTATATATCTGTTTTGGTACCAGTACCGTGCTGTTTTGGTTACTGTAGCTTTATAGTATAGTTTGAAGTCAGGTAGCATGATGCCTCCAACTTTGTTCTGTTTTGCTTAGGATTACCTTGTCTATATGGTCTTTTGGTTCAGAATGGCCTCTTTCAAACCCAGTCCCACAGACAGACCAGCAAAGAAGTCTCAAAAAAAAAAAAAAGGAGGAACTATTGGAGGACCCCTTGATATTTATTGGTCTCTCAGCTTTTAAAAATTTATATTTTAGATATTTTATAATATACACAATAGTACATTAGTGCATGTTTGCAACTTATAAATGAATAAACATATATGGTGGGGGAGAGCTTAAAATTGGTTCACTGATAGAGTGCATGATCAAAAAGGTTTGGTGACACTGTGTTAGACAGCACATGGGCCTCTGTGTTTCAGTACTTGAGCAAGGAGACTTATGTAGTCTGCCAGCTGGATTGCAGGGTATATATTTTATAGTTTGGTGACATTTCTCTGCCTAGGTTATGTGCCTGAGCTCAATTCTCATCTTCCTATTTTTCTTATTCCTGTTTCTCAATTACTAGCAGTGATAGCAGTAGCATTTAACATATATTGAGTACTCACTCTGTGTCAGGTGCTATGCTAAATATTTCCATATATTATCTCATTTAATACTTATAATAGAACAGAGAGAAAAAAATGGCAGATAGGAGGCAGAACTAGCTTGCAGCTCTCATCGGATGGATAGAGCACCATGTGGAACTCACATCATGAACTTGTGCTCCAAGAACTACTGAATTCCAAAGATAAAGGACATAATCTCTTGGGAGCTCCATGGTCCCACCCACCACCTGAGAAACCCAGATACTTATCCAGAAGACCTTAAGGCAAGCTTGCATCTTCCCTATACTACTGCAGCTGATACTTTTTTCAAAACACCACCTCCGGACTGGAGGCCAACCGACACAAAACTAGGGTGCTAAACAAAACTACAATCAAGGACCCTAACAGAGTCCACTTCACTCCCCTGCTACCTCCACCAGAGCAGGTGCTGGTATCCATGACTCAGAGACCTGAACACAGATCACAGGACTCTTTGCTTACACTCCCCAGTGCCAGCCCAGAGCCTGGTAGCTCCACTGGGTGGCTAGACCCAGAAGAGAAATAATAATCACTGCATTTCAGCTCTCAGGAAACCTCATCCCTAGGGGAAGTGGGACAGTGCCACATCAAGGGAACACACCGTGGGAAAAAAGAATCTGAACAGCATCCCTTGAGTCCCAGATCTTCCCTCTGACACAGTCTACCTAAATGAGAAGGAAACAGAAAAACAATTCCAGTAATATGACAAAACAACATTCTTTAACATCCTCAAAAGATCACCCTAGCTCACCAGCAATGGATCTAAACCAAGAAGAAATCTCTTAATTGCCAGAAAAAGAATTCAGAAGGTCAATTATTAAACCACTCAAGGAGGCCAGAGAAAGGTGAATACCAACTTAAATAAATTTTAAAAATAATACAGGATATGGATGGATAAATCTCCAGAAAAATAGATACCATATATAAAAAACAATCACAACTTCCAGAAACAAAGGATATGTTTGGAGAAATGCAAAATACACTGAAGAGTCTCAGGAATAGAATCGAACAAGTAGAAGAAAGAATTTCAGAGCCTGAAGTGGGCTTTCAAATTAACCCAATCCAACAAAGACAAAGAAAAAATAATTTTAAGAAAATGAACCAAGCCCCCAAGAAGTTTTGGATTATGTTAAACAACCAACCTAAGAATAATTGGTGTTCACAAGGAAGAAGATAAATCTAAAAGTTTGGAAAGCATATTTGAGAGAATAATCAAGGAAAACTTCCCTGACCTTGCTAGAGACCTAGCCATCCAAATACAAGAAGCTCAAAGAACACTCCGCAAATTCATCACAAAAGGATCATCGCCTAGGCACACAGTTATCAGGTTACCTAAAGTCAAGATGAAGGAAAGAGTCTTAAGAGCTGTGAGGCAAAAGCATCAGGTAACCTATAAAGGAAAACCTATCACATTAACAGCAGATTTCTCAGCAGAAACCCTACAAAGTAGAGGGGATTGGGGTCCTATCGTTAGCCTCCTGAAACAAAATAATTATCAGCCAAGAACTTTGTATCTGGCAAAACTAAGCTTCAGGAATGAAGGAATGATACAGTCTTTTTCAGACAAACAAATGCTGAAAGATGTTGCCACTATCAAGCCAACACTACAAGAACTGCAAAAAGGAGCTCAAAATCTGGAAAGAAATCCTTGAAATATACCAAAATAGAACCTCCTTAAAGCATAAATCTCACAGGACCTATAAAACAATAACAACATGAAAAATAAAAGATATTCAGGCAACAGCATGATGGGTAGAATAGTACTTCACATATCAATACTAACATTGAATGTAAATGGCCTAAATGCTCCACTTAAAAGATACAAAATGGCAGAATGGATAAGAATTCACCAACCAAGCATATGCTGTCTTCAGGAAGACTCACCTAACACATGACTCACATAAACTTAAGGTAAAGGGGTGGAAAAGTATATTCCATTCAAATGGATGCCCAAAGTTAGCAGAAGTAGCCATTCTTATATCAGCCAAAACAGACTTTAAAGCAAAAACAATGGTTTAGTAAGACAGAGGGACATTATATAATGATAAAAGGAATGGTCTAACAGGAAAATATCACAATCCTAAATACATATGCACCTAACACTGGAGCTCCCAAATTTATAAAACTATTACTATTACACCCCATGGTGTAATAAGAAATGAGACAGATGGCAAGAAAATGATAATGAGGCACTTCAATACTCCACTGACAGCACTAGACAGGTTATCAAGGCAGCTAACAAAGAAACAATGGACCTGAACTATACCCCAGAACAAACGGACTTGGCAGATATTTACAGAACATTCTATCCAACAACTGCAGAATATACATATTCATCAGCACAGGGAACATTCTCCAAGATAGACCATAGGGTAGGCCACAAAACAAGTCTGAATAAATTTAAGAAAATAGAAATTATATCAAGTACTCTTTCAGACCACAAGGGAATAAAATCAGAAATCAACTCCAAAAGAAACTGTCAAAACTGTACAAATTCATGGAAAGTTAATAACCTGCTCCTGAATGATCGTTGGGTCGACAATAAAATCAAGATGAAAATTAAAAAATTATTCAAACTGAACAATAATAGTGATACAACCTATCAAAACCTCTGGGATACAGCAAAAGTGGTGCCAAGAGGAAAATTCATAGTACTAAATGCCTACACCAAAAAGTCTGAAAGAGTGCTAATAGGCAATCTGAGGTCACATCTCAACTAACTACAGAAAAAAGAACAAACCGAACCCAAATCCAGCAGAAGAAAAGAAATAACAAGGATCAGAACAGAACTAAATGAAATTGAAACAACAACAAAAAATACAAAATATAAATAAAATGAAAAGCTGGCTCTTTGAAAAGATAAACAAAATTGATAGACCGTTACTGAGATTAGCCAAGAAAAGAAGACAGAAGATCAAAATTAGCTCAATTAGAAACAAAATAGGAGATATCAACTGATACCACAGAAATACAAAAGATCATTCAAAGCTACTATGAACACATTTAGGCACACAAACTAGAAAACCTACAGGAGATGGACAAATTCCTGACAATATATTACCCTCCTAGATTAAACCAGGAAAACATAGAATCTCTGAGCAGACCAAAAACAAGCAATGAGATTGAAATGGTAATTTTTAAATTGCTAACAACAACAAAAAAAATCCAAGACAAGATAATTCACAGCTGAATTCTATCAGACATTCAAAGAAGAATTGGTATCAATCCTACTGACACTATTCCACAAGATATAGAAAGAGGGAATCCTCCCCTAATCATTCTACAAAGCCAGTATCGTCACCCTAATATCAAAACCAGGGAAGGACATAACAACAAAAAAAAGAAAACTATAGACCAATATCCCTAATGAAAATAGATGCAAAAATCCTCAGCAAAATATTAGTGAACCAAATCCAACAATATATCGAAAAGATAATCCACCATGATCAAGTGGGTTTCATACCAAGGATGCCAGAATAGTTTAACATATGTAAGTCAATAAATGTGATACACCACATAAACAGAATGAAAAACAAAAATCACATGATCATCTAAATAGATTCAGAAAAAGCATTTGACAAAACCCAGCATCCCTTTATGATTAAAACCTTTGGCAAAATCAGCATAAAAGGGACATATCTTAAGGTAATAAAAGCCATCTATGACAAACCCACAGCCAACATTATATTGAATGGGAAAAGTTGTAAGCATTCTCTATAAGAACTGGAACAAGAAAAGGATGCCCACTTTCACCACTTCTATTCAACATAGTACTGGAAGTCCTAGCCAGAGCGATCAGACAAGAGAAAGAAATAAAGGGCATCCAAATTGGTAAAGAGGAAGTGAAACTGTCACTGTGCACAGAAGATATGATTGTATACCTAGAAAACCCTAAAGCCTCATCCAAAAAGCTCCTAGATCTGATGAATGAATTCAGTAAAGTTTCAAGATGTAAAATCAATGTATACAAATCAGTAGCTCTGCCCTACACCAACAGCAATCAAGTTGAGAATCAAATCAATAACTCAACCCCTTTTACAATAGCTGCAAAAAATAAAATAAAATAAAATAAAATTCTTGGGAATATACCTAACCAAGGAGGTGAAACACTCCTACAAGAAAAACTACAAAACACTGCTGAAAGAAATCACAGGCAGCACAAATAAATAGAAACACATCCCATGCTCATGGATGGGTAGAATCAATATTGTGAAAATGACCATACTACCAAAAGCAACCTACAAATTCAATGCAATGCCCAACAAACTACCATCATAATTCTTCACAGAACTAGAAAAAAACAATCCCCAAAGTCATGGAATTTTAGGAACCATGGCTAAATACTGGAACCAAAAAAGGAGCCCAAATAGTCAAAGCAAGCTAAGCAAAAAGAACAAATCTGGAGACACATTGCTTGACTTCAAACTATACCATAGGCCATAGTCATCAAAACATCATGGTACTGGTATAAAACAGGCACATAGACCAATGGAACAGAATAGAGAACCCAAAAATAAAGCCAAACACTTACAGCCAACTGATCTTCAACAAAGCAAACAAAAACATAAAGTAGGGAAAGGACAACCTATTCAACACATGGTGCTGGGATAATTGGCAAGCTACATGTAGAAGAATAAAACTGGATCCTCATCTCTCACCGTATATAAAAATCAACTCAAGATGGATCAAAGACTTAAACCTAAGACCTGAAACCACGAAAATTCTAGAAGATAACATCAGAAAAACCCTTCTAGACATTGGCTTAGGCAAAGAGTTCATGACCAAGAACCCAAAAGCAAATGCAACAAAAACAAAGATAAATTGATGGGACTTAATTAAACTAAAAAGCTCTGCACAGCAAAAGAAATAATCAGCAGGGTAAACAGACAACCTATAGAGTTTGCAAACTTTGCATCTGACAAAGGACTAATATCCAGAATCTACAAAGAATTCAAACAAATTAGCAAGAAAAAAAAATCCCATCAAAAAGTGGGCTAAGGACATGAATAGACAATTCTCAAAAGAAGATATACAAATGGCCAATAAACATATGAAAAAATGCTCAACATTACTAGTTATCAAGGAAATGCAAATCAAAACCACAATGCAATACCACTTTACTCCTGCAAGAATGGCCATAATTACAAAATCAAAAAATAATAGATGTTGGCGTGGATGTGGTGAAAAGGGGACACTTTTACACTGCTAGTGGGAATATAAACTAATACAACCACTACGGAAAACAGTGTGGAGATTCCTTAAAGAACTAAAAGTAGATCTACCATTTGACTCAGCAATCCCACTGCTGGGTATCTACCCAAAGGCAAAGAAGTCATTATACAAAAAGATATCAATCAAGTGGATAAAGAAAATGTGATATTTTATATATATAGTATACAGTATATACACATATAGTATATAGTATATATATATATAAATATATATTCATACACACACACATATACCATCGAATACTACTCTGCCATATAAAAGAACAAAATCATGGTATTTGCAGCAACCTGGATGGAATTGGAGACCATTATTCTAAGTGAAGTAACTCAGGAATGGAAAACCAAACATCATATGTTCTCACTCATAAGTGAGAGCTAAGCTGTGAGGAGGACGCAAAGGCATAAGAACAATACAATGGACTTTGGGGACTTGAGGGAAAGGGTGGGAGGTCAGGGGGTAATAAAAGACTACACATTGGGTAGAGAGTACACTGCTCAACTGAGAGGTGCACCACAATCTCAGAAATCGCCCCTAAATAACTTATCCATGTAACCAAACACCACTTGTTGCCCAAAAACGCATTGAAATAAAATAATGATAATAAAATACTCATAATAATTGCATGAGGTAGGTTTTATTATCCCTGGTTTACAAATTAGGAAACTAAAGTGAAAAAACTTGCCCAAGGTCCCAGAGCTATGTGGTGGAGCAGAGATTCAGTCCTACCTCTTGAATAAAAAAGGTGAAATTGAAGAATAGTTCTGGATTCAAACACAGGTTTTGTCATTTATTAGGAAAGCTATACAACAGTATTGTCTTTACTTAGAGACAACTGACCCGTTGTTTTAATGTCTAGTCTAACCCTGTAATGGCCCTCCTAGCCAGACACAAACGAAACATGATGCATATGGAATTCGGCGTTTCGGAAAGATGTGCACGCCTCACAGTACCAGTGGGAAACTACTCTTGTAAACAGCATAATTTTTAACCACCACTACCCCCACCACCACTCCCATCATGGCAAAATGCCCAAAGTCATTAGGCAGTAAGTACGTCAGTGTTTGACGTGAGTCTCAAATAAAAGTGCAGCAAGCCAGTATGCCTTGATTTCTGATGGCAAGACCTCACCGAATTGCTTATTTGAAGCCAGCACCAGAAAGAAGGGAGAAAGGGGTGATGGATTTTCCAAGGCAGGCAGTGAAACAGATACCAGAGCAACTGAGAATGACTCTAACTACCTACTTCTCTAGCGGCCTGGGAACACATCCTGGGGCATGGCTTTTTATGATCTGGTGTACTTCCTTTATGCCCTGAGATTTCCCTGTGGATCCCGGACCCTCAGGAATACATCATACAAGGCTCAGTCTTCTACCTAACATCTGCGTTTTGCACATTGCTACGCAGTTATCCCATCTCCCAACTGCCTGTTGGCAAATGCACAACACTTCAATCTACCCAGGTAATGCTTAGTGGGGAAATAGGATGTCAATGAATCCAGAGAACCTGTGATGATGACATAATGACTTGGCCAAGGTCATCCTGTGATGAAATGAAAAATGAAACTCAAGCTTGGTATCTGTACTGACATCTGTGGATAACCCATTAGTTTTTGGAACCTGACTTGGACACCTTAGGAGTGTCGGGTTCACACTGTACTTGAGGAGCTTAACTGAGACTGTGTCTTCTTTTTTCCTTCCCTCTTCTCTTTGAGAAATGTGGTCTGGCAAGGAGCAGAGCAGCTTTTTCCCAGGCATTCAAGTTTGAGTTGGTTTATTTCTGGTGCACTGGGTGGGATAAGCCAGGAGACCCAACTAGGATACCCCATCCTGCTGCTAGGAATAGAAGTAGGAGGCATCCAGTTTTCCACTGAATGGGAGCCCAGGCTGAGTGACTACAACAAAGCCTCAAATTAACATAGATCAGCAGAGGGGAAAGTGCCCCAGGCAAGGATGGTGAAGTAGATGATGACAATGACAAAATAATAATAATAATAATAGCAGCTAGAATTTATTGCATTTTACATGCGTTAGCTCATGTAACCTAACCTAACATTATTATTGATACCACATGTGTACATTTGTGGAAATACAGGCACAGAGTGATTAATTCACTTAAGTCATACAGCTCAAAGGTAGAAGAGCTCAAAATCCAATGTCTGACATTAATAGCTGAGTTAAAGGATATTCTTTTAGACAGCAGAAACATTTTTATAATTTTTTTTTATAAATGCAATCTGACCTAACACCCGGATGACCCAAGGTTCATCTATAAAATAAACAAAACCAGAATGGCCCAACTACCATTCTGGTTGGAGGGGAAAAAGGGAAGAGGAGAGGATGCTGAAGCCTCACTTGCTTGGCCCTCCAACTATGCCAGTCCTGGAGAGGAAGAGGAGCTTCTGTAGAACACAGTTTTTAAACCGCTGGTCTTGTCTGTCATCACCATCACCCTCCTTTTTTTTTTTGAATGACTACATATATTTTGATATATTCAAACGCCAAAAGTACATAGCAATGGAAAAGATGCACTATTCCTACATGAAACAAATAAATGAATTTCACAGAACATCGAGTCAAAAAGCTACATATAAAAGAGTATCTAATGTTCGTTTTCATTATAAGAAATTTCAAAAACTGGTAAACCCAATCTATGGTGACAGAGGACACGAGGATGACTGACTAGCTTTGAGAGCATCTCTTATTTTAAAAAGTAAGAAAATAAAAGTCTAATAAAGGAAATGACTTAATATTTGATTTAGGGTCAAAGTTGAATTCAAAGTTTCCATCTCCTACAGTATTTTTACAAATACCCAATTTCTTGCAAATATTTACTGAAATCTTTCTGCTTGCTAGGTGCTAGGTGCTCTTCTAGACCCTGAGCACTCAATAGTAAATAAAAAAGATAAGCTCATATTCTCATGTTGTCTGTATTCTAGTCGGGCGATATTGGCTGTAAGAAAATCAATGAATACATGAATAAATCAATTAAGAAAATACCAGATAGTAATAAGTAAAATGTAGAGAATTAAAATAGGTAAGAGATTACAAGTGACTATCTGGCTAGCTCAGATTAGATGATCAGAAAGAGGTGACTTTCAAGCTAAGACCTGAGGGACAAGAAGTGGCCAGCCACATGACAAGGAACGTGTTCCAGGCAGAAGGAACAAAGTGCCGAGGCCCTAAGGCGTGAAGGAACTTGTTCTGGTTGTGAAACAGCACTTGGTCAGTATGGTGGAGCAGAGTGAGCCAGAGAAAGAGTGGTACAAATTAAAGTCAGAGTGGTAGGAGGCAGCCAGAACATAGAGGGATTGCTAAACTGGGAAGAAGTTTGAATTTTCTGTAAGTTGAATAGGAAAGCCACTAGAGAATTTTTAGGCAGGTGAGAATGACATGACATGATTATGTTTTGAGAAAGTCACTCTGCCTGCTTTGAAGAGAATGGATCATAGCAAAGCAAGCATGGAAGCAGGAAGATCTGTTAGAAAATGAGTGCCTAAATCCAGACCAGAGATAACAGTGGCATGAACTAGAGAAGACTGGGAATACTAGGGATATAATTTGGAGGGATTTGTTTATGGATCAGATATAGAGGAAAAAGGGAAAGAGAACTTCATGAAAATTCCAAGACTTGATTTGAACAACTTAGGGATTGTGGAACACTAGGAAAAAGCACATATGTTGGGAAGATAAACCAAGAATTCCCATTTCAGCAAGCCAAATTTATGATGCCCATCAGACATACATGAGAAGAAGCTGAACATCCAATGGGATACAAATGGTGTCCAAAGGAGAGGTTAAGATTGGGTTTAATTTTAGGAATTCTCACATATGTATGATAAGTAAAACCATGGAGCCAGATGAGGTTACCTGGATGAAGAGGAGATAGAGAAGCTGAGCAGTGATCTGAGGCATTCAAACATCAAGAGAGAGAATGAGGCAGGAGCCAACAGAGGTCTCAGAGAAGGCATGGCCAGAGAAGAAGGAACGAAGGAGAGCATGATTTCACAGCAGCCAGAAAAATGTTTCCAGAAAAGGGAATGATGATCCATGATAAATACTACTAAGGCATCAAGTAAGATGAGAAGAGAAAAGTGATTTGGATTTAGCACTCCAAGCATACTCAGCGGAATGGGGGGACTGACCGCAGTGGGTGGAGGAGCAAATGTGAGATAAGGAAGTAGAGAAAGATTATGATGACCCTTTTGAAGTAGAAGGTGAGACTCAACTCCAGAGGTGAGGCTCAGACACCAGGCCAGATCGAGGACTAGCTGAAACAGGGAAGAGGCAAAAACACCTCTCCATGAGACACATCCACCAGTGCTATATCAGTTTACCACTGCCATGGCAACACCCAGAAGTTGCTGCCCCTTTCCAATGGCAACAACCTGACAACCCAGAAGTTACTTCCTATTCTAGAAATGTCTGCATACTCTTCTCTTTAATTTGCATATAATTAAAAGTGAGTATTCACACTTTAATATATGCAAATTTGCATATATGAAATATAAATTTGCATATATTAAACATATGACTACTTACTTTTAATTATATGCAAATTAAAGAGAAGACTATGCAGAAGGCGCTCAGAATTGCCTCTGAGCTGCCACTCTAGGCACATGGCCTATGGGGTAGCTCTGCTCCACAAGGAGCAGTAACTCTGCTGTTACTATACACTGCCACTTCAATAAAAGTTGCTGTCTAACACCACTGGCTTACCCTTGAATTCTTTACTGGGTGAAGCAAGAACCTCCATGGGCTAAGCTCCAGTTTTGGAGCTTGCCTACCCTGGATTACTTTCAAGAAGGTTTTCTGTGGAAGAAAGCCGAGAAATTAGATGGTAGTCTAGAGGAAGATGTAAAATCAAGGAAGTTCTTCTTTCTGTTTGATATTGCTTTTAATTGGAGACATTTGTGCCTGTTTTTAATGTTTATGGGATTAATCCAATAGAGAAGAAAAAATGAGATATAGGAGGGATTTTTTTGCCCTTGAGAGGGAAAAAAGCCATTGAGAATATAAGAGTAGATGGAATCCAGAGTGATAGTGGAAGGGGCTTCATTTTTCGTAATGGAAAAGTAATATTTTTACCAAAAAAAAAAAAAAAATCACATTGTACAGGACTTTTCCAAGTGTACTTGGCTTTAGCAATCATCCTCTTCCCCAAGCCATGTGGCAACAAAGAAAAAAATCCCTACATACTTCCAACTACTTCATGTGGGGTACAATACTGCTCCACTGAGTACCAACTAACAATTTTCTACCTGTTCCCTCTTTCTTGCTTGTCCCCAGCACTGGGCACCAAGTCTCAGGGCCAAGTAAAGGGATTTTTAAACTGAGAAAGGGATCAGGGGTTCTGGGGAAATGTGATACAGCAAAGTTCTGCCCTGGGATCAAGACCAACAGCTGGTAAAGCCCAGTTGGTAAGCGATTCTGAACGCCTCCTGAGAACCATTGCAACTTCCCAGTTAGAATAGTTGTCCCCGGCCTTCAAGATGTAATGTTCCATTCCTCTGCTTCTATCTATGATAGAGTAGCTTGTAACTTCCACAAGAACCAGTGAGAAACCTGGATGAAATACAAAATTTTAAAAATCTGTTTGAAGCCATCAAAGAGCAACTAGGACTTAAGAGACAAGATTATAAAGAGGATATGAGCCCCACTTCTGTTTTCCCCCTTGGGACATTTGCTGAGTCTTAAGCTGTCAGAGCAAGAGGCTAAAAGGCCAAGCAGAAAGTGTTGGAAGAGCTCAGGAGAAGTTTTAGCAGGCTCACAGTGCTCTGGAAACAAAAATTGGAATCCAGGAGCAACCAAGTAAGAAACGGTCCTGATAAACACCTAAAGATCTCACTTAGAACCCCTGGAGGGCTATAGGCTCACCACAGAAATTAGGCAGAGATAAGGCAGTCTTAACAAAGGCCAAAATCAATCTTTACTCAGCTGAGTCCTAATTGGATTGAATTACTCTAACTGCCTGCCAGAAAAGAAAATCTGTCATCTTGCATATACCAAATACAACTTATATATCAAGAAACAGTACCAAAAAGAAAAACAGACAACAGAAAGCAATCCTGAGGTATTCCAAATACGAGTTATCAAACACAGACTTTCAAATAACTGTGATAAATATGTTCAAAAAAGTAGATGACACGCAGAGAATTTCACTACAGAATTGAAATCTATAAAATGAAATCAAAAGCATATTTTAGAATTGAAAGATCCAATAACAGAAAGTCCTCTCTGTTCTGTGACCACATTTCCTCAATGTCTATGCTTGGTGGAGGAATCCACTCCAGGTGGCAGGGGTTGGGGGCAGGAGAAAGAAAGAAAAGAAATATTGGCTCATATTTGCAAGGGGCTCCAAACAACTGGCTTTTTCCTCTGCCCTCCAAGTATTGGACTGGGGCCCTGGTCACGAGACCGCCAAGTTGGCTTGAGCAGTGGTTCTAAAATGAATTTTTGAAAACAATAAATAAATCTTAGGATGTCATAGACATGAATCAGGAGCCAGTGAGGGAGACAAGGGGCTCAAAGACTTGCTTCCTCCTACCTGGCTGACATCAGCTGCCCCTTATATTCAATATCCAAAGCCCCTTTATACCTTCTCAGTGAGTGGTCATCTAGCCTTGTCTGGAGACCTGTTGGGGCAGGGCAGCCCAGCAGTTTATGAGTTAGCCCATTTTTTTTCCTTCTGGATACCATCTAATAACACCTCCCCAGGATCTTGTCCTCAAGTGTCTAAACCTCTTGTACTATTTACATGGTCCTTTGCGGTCTAGTCCTGCCTCTCTCTCCAGCCTCATTTCTTCCCACACCTTATGCTCCACATTCCAGCCACACTACATGTCTTCCAAATCCTCACCGTACCAGGCTCCTGTTTCCAAGGCCTTGCATATGCAGTCTGCCCTTCCAGAATGCTTTTACCCATCCACCTTTGGCTCACAAAATTCCTACTTCACCTTTGGTCCTAGCATTGATGTTATACTTTGGAGGAAGCTGCTAGTAATTTTTCCCCCAATCCAATCTAGATTAAATGTTCCTCCCAAGTTTTCCATAGCACCCTATAGCTCCCCCATTACAGCAAGTACCACCTTGGATTGTAACTGCCCAATCACTTGTCTGTCTATAGCTATGTGTAGGCAAGGACCATTGCCTGTGTTTTTCATTGTAGGCATATAGCCTACAGACTGCCTCGTGTATTCCAAGGGCTTATTAGGAAGAAATAAATGAATGGGTGGTAAAGCACTTAGCACAGCACCTGCCGCATACCTCGCATTCATTCATTATTTATTGATTACGGTCCAGAGGCTTAGGACAGCTCCTAGGTCTGTCATTAATTCTAGGATTACTGGTAATAAAGTCACCTCTCTCTTTCTTGGTCCAGGTTCTCCATCTGTAAAGGAAAAGCACTGGGTCAGCTCCCAAAAGGCCTTTCCAGATTTCCTTTCTGTCCTTATGCACTAGGGAGCCCTATATCGGCTAGGCCCTATATGGCAAGGCAGAGAGAGACCCAGAGCCCTGAGCCACAGCACTGTGTTGGCAGCACTGACAGATCCAACTTCTGGCTGCCAGCCTCTCACTTTGAGTCCACTGCCAGCTTGGCTGGGAGACCTGCTGGGAACTTACAGGAACATTCTGAGGAAATGCAAACTTCACTCATCAGCAATAGGGAGCCTGTGTGAAAGGAGGCCTGGGGTGTTGCCTGGGGATATATGCCTGAAGCCAAGTCCCAGATAAATACAGCTTCAGTTCTCTGGGCCCATGGAGCCTGTTCTTCTCAAGGAGAGGCCTAATGTCTTAAATACACAGCCACTGGCTCCAGGCACAGCATTTCCTAACCCCTGTGGGACTCTATTTTATCTGTGCTTAACCCATAATGGCTTAAACAGGTTTAGAACAAGCTATCTGCCTCCAGGTCTGGAACTTTAAAAAGGCCGAATGGTGTGATAGACGGAAATGCTTCACTCTGGGAGGACCAAGGCCCAAGTCCTACCTGCCTTGGCAAATAACTCACTCCTAATGTGACTCTAAAAATGGCCCTGCCCCTTTCTGTGTCTCAGTTTCCACACCTGTGAAATGGGAGTGTTCTCCCATAGCCCCTGGGCCGCAATACTCAGATTCTTTGACAACTATGAAGTTTGTCCCTGACACCCAAAGGAATCATGACAATGGGAATGCCTCTGTCTTCACCTTTCATTATAGTTATTTTATATTGCTCTTTCACCACTGTCTGAGTTGGGCTCCCAAACAGATCTGTGAGACAAATTAGGAGACACAGAATAAACCATTTAATTTCTGTTTCTTAGAGGAATATTAAACATTTGGCTTGCAAGCTTTTAAGACAGAATCATAGACCATAAAACTATTTAATAAGTACAATGTACTAAAAATATCCTTTACTGAGACAGATTGGTGAAATTAAAAGAGCACCAGCTTAAAGATCAGGAAGCCAGATGCTGTTCTCTGCTCAGGCCCAGCCTCAATCATGTGGCCCTGGGCAGGCACCTCCTCAACTTGACCTCAGTTTTGCCCTTTTTACAATGGTATCTATAAGTTCTTCTTGGCTCTGCTATTCTGGAATTATCTTATGTAGAATAAGTCTTCCCAAGCTGTGTGGGGCTTTTCCTGGTAGATTTGAGGGAAGTTTTGTTCTGTTTTGTTTTATTGTTTGCTTACCCTGCTACTGCCAGTGAAGTCAACACTACAAGCAGACAGTAAGCCAGGAAACATTTCTCCCTGTCAGGTCAGCACATCCCATTAGGTGGATCTGGTGCTCAAGTTTATTAGATCAGGAGACCGATGCTGGGGAAGGCTCACAGAGTGGTCTGAGTCAGTTGCTCTACCATGAGGTTGGAGTGTAGTAGATTCAACATCCTGTGTACATCTCCTGATCAATGGCCAATCCCATCTTCCAGATTGGAAATGAAACCCACAGTAGTTTGAAATCTAGTTGGTGTCCCCCCAAGTACTTACCAGCAAAGTTATTATTTAGCTCATTACTTCCTAAATCATACCAGTGGAAAAATTAAGACTCAGGGGCATGAGGGCTTCTGTGAGATTGGGCACACCAGATTCTGAGGTTTACAGACCTTGGATGCAGGCTCTTCTCGAGTGAGGTTGAGTAGTTGCACCTGTGCTCTGCACCCTACAAATGACAGTCAGTGTTAAGATCATTTACAAGGGAGTTTTAAAAAGAGGAGAGGCTCATTGGAGAAAAAGTAGGGAAACAAATAAGAAGGTAGAAGAGAAATTCAAAAAAAGCTAGAGGGAATGAGAGTATGTACCATGAAACACTTAGAATACCTCAAATTAGTCTCCGAAAAAAGAAAATAAAGTTTCCAAAAAGTTTGGACAATACTGACTACTTTATCTCACCTCTTGGAAATTTATATCCTGTAATAGCACATCAAAATCCTTGTAAAGTTCTGTGATTTAAAAAAACAAAACAAAACAAAACAAACAACCATTTAAGCTTAACCTAGTACAAGCAAACTTTTTGATCATGGAATCCAGTTTTCTTGCAATGCTTATCAACAATCCTGGAATACAGTGTCAGAAAAACTGATCTAAGGAAACCCAGTATGCTGGAGTGAAGAGGTATAAAGAGGAAACTGGTCCCTGTCTGTAAGGAGCTTACAAAAGAGAGATGAGAATTGCCTAGATGAAGAATCTTACGGGTATTAAAGTTAAAGATAGAGAGGGGATCGTTATTATCCAGGTAAGCGGTATAGGCAGCACATGTTGTGCTTTCATTGGTTTATTCACAAGTTTCTGGACCACCTACTACATACAGACACCATACTGTGCCCTGGGATTCACCGTGAGGGCAAGGAAGACTGACCTCTCCACCTCTATGGCTTAACCTCTAGTGGGGAGAGAGAGAGAAAAAAAAAGTAAGTGTAGATGTAAGTAAATATAGAATTACATGTTGTGAAAAGAACCCTGAAGGAAATGAGGAGCAGGGTTCTCTGATGAAGTAAGGGGGACACCTGCCTGCTCTGGGGTCAACAGTGATGGGCTTTCCAAGGAAGTGACATTTAAGTTTCAGTTTGAAAGATGAAAAGAAGCCAGGCATGATGCAAATGGGGCAAAAGGATCAAAACATACTTCATAGAGCAAGTTGAGGCTGTGGGCTTGGCTCAGAGCCTAAGTAGGTTAGAGAGGGAGAAACGGGTATGCAGTCATTTCTTGATTTAAGCAATGTGCTATCGAGTCTCTAACATGAGCCATCAAGCCAAATGTGCAACAGTGAGCAAACTGACAGGCCTTGGCTTTTCTAGAACGTTCTATGGGAAAAGATGCAGAAGCAGCATAAGCATGTAACAAAACAAGGTAACTTCAGATATTGAACAATGCTATGAAGAAAATGAAGCAGAGTAATGTGATAGAGAGTGGGGTGGGGGTGCGGGGAAGAGACAGTACTTAAAAAGTTTATCAGAGATGGCCTCTCTCTCCATTTGGTACTTGAACTGAGATCTGAATGACAAAAAGGAGAGGGCTATATAAAAAGCTGTCTGGGAAAAACACATCCCAGAGAAAGGAAGAGGCAAGACCTGAGGTGGAGCATAAGTTCATGTTCTAGGAATCCAAGGAAAGCTTCTAAGTGACAGGAACAACATGACAAATGACAGGGAGGGAAGAAAGTTACGTTTTCTTTAACTATCCTTTGCTAAAATAGAGCTCTCAAGCACAGAAGTGAAGAATTAAATATTTGGAAAAGTAGGCTGTGGCCCCATTGTAGAAAACTTGAATGTCAGGGTAAAGAGATGAGACAAGTTCTCTACATGTTTTCTAATGTCACGTACAAGACATTGTTCCCAGGCACAGCACACTCCTACTGGCTTATCCACAAGTTTTACTACTTTTATTATTACAATTACACTTTTTATTATTACCCACCAAAATGCTGTGGGGTAGGGGGTGTAAGAAACCGCAATAGTTTATGAATAACTATTTATAACACTTTAAAAATGGCAAATATGGCAGAAATTGCTTCCTGTCCCCCAATATCTACTCTTTCATTCTTCCCCTGTAATATGGCTGCCAAATTTCAAGTTGAAACACGGCTACATTTCCCAGGATTCCCTGTAGCTAGGCTCAGCCATGTGACTAAGTTCTGCCCAATGGGATGTTGTAAGCAGAAGTAGAAAAGTCAGGTTCTGGATTGTGTCCTTAAGGGAGGGGGCGTATCCTTTATTCCCCTCCATCTTCTCCCTGCTATCTGGATTATGGATCTGATGGTTGGGTTTCCACTCAGGATGGTGACATGAGGGGACACACCTGAGGATGATAGAGAATTGGAAGAAACCTGGATCCTGGATGCCTGTGGAGGCTCCATACCAGCCGTGAACTGTCTACATGAAGAGTTTCACATGGCAGAGAGGTAGACTTCTCTCTGTTTAAGCCACTGTTCTTCTAGGTCTTTGTTAAACGCATCTAAAGCTGGATGCTAACTAATATAGTCACTTCTTACAAGTTGTAGCAATAAATAAAATAAGCCTATTATAATGTAAATGAATTAGAAGGTATGTATTAAAAAGATAGCCTTGAACCCATTTTACATATACATTTTTAAGGTAAAATTTTCACAAATATCTGTACTTTCAAATATTTTCACATTCACTTACAACACAACTGACAAAAAATCATAGCATCATTTGTGTCATGACACTAAGGTAGACAATGCTGTGTATAACACAAATTGGTAACTCCATGAAGCTGAGGACAGCTGCCTCTCCAGAGCAGCTGGAACTGGGCTCCAATTAGAAATCACGTGATTCCTTAGCCGGGCACAGTGGCTCATACCTGTAACGCCAGCACTTTGGGAGGCATAGGCAGGAGGATCACTTGAGATCAGGAGCTCAAGACAGACCTGGGCAACATAGCGAGACCTCTACAAAAACTTTTAAAATTAGCCAGGCATAGTGGTGTGCTACTATAATCCTAGCTATTCCGGAGGCTGATCCCTTGAGCCCAGGAGGTCAAGGCTGCAGTAAGCTATGATCGTGTCACTGCACTCCAGCCTGGGCGACAGAGCGAGACCCTGTCTCTAAAAATAAATGAATAAGTAAATCATGCGATTCTCATCAAAAGCGACGTAGCCTGTGGACTAACTTTGGCATCTTACAAAGTTAAACATAATCTCCACCACATGACCCAGCAATTCTACTACTAGGTATTTGCCCAAAGGAAATGAAAACATTTGTCCAAACAAAGAGTTGTACATGAATGTTCAGAGAACTTTATTCAAGTAGCCAAAAACTGGAAACAACCCAGATGTCTATCAGCAAGAGAATGCATAAACAAATTGTCATATGGTACACGCAATGGAATGCTTCTCAGCAATTAAAAGGATTGAACTACTAATACATATAGCATTGTAGATGAATCTCAAAAATTTTATGGATGTCAGAGTACATCCTGGATGATCCCATTTATAGATCCTAGAAACAGCCAAACCCATCTGTAGAAACAGAAAGCAGGTCAGTGGTTGCCTGTGGCTGCAGGAGGAGTGGGACTGACTGCAGAGGGGCACAAGGGAACTTTCTAGAATGATAGAATTGTTCTATATCTTAATTGGGGTGGTGATCTAACAAATGTATACCTTGGTCAAAACTCTTCACTGTACGGTGAAAATAAGTGCATTTTCTTGTATGTAATTTACATTTTAATAAAGTTGACTTTTAAAGTTATTTTGAAAAATTACCAAACTAAACCAAGAAAAAAATGCTTTAAAGAAAGAAGGTAAATAGTGATTTTAAATATGAGTCCTAATTTAATGTCAAAAGTGGATATTCTGAATTGCAGCAGTATTTTTAAAGCAAACTGTTTCTCACATGAACACTCTGGATAGCTGTGCTCCAGGAAGAGAGGCAGTAGGGACTGATTTCCTGAAAAAACAGCTCCAGGAGCTGCCAGTGGATAGCAGGGAGGTGAGGCAGGAGTGCATGGAGGAGCCAGACTTGATTGGGTATGACACACCCTAGGGCAGGGCTCAAATGATCTGTGAAGGGCCAGGTGTCTTTTGTTTCTGTTGCTTGTTTGTTTATTTGTTTTGTAAAACTAAAAAAAAAAAAAAAAAAAATCCCATCTGCTAGAGGTCACAGAAATGAAAGTTCAACTTATTCTCCATGTATGTGCTAATGTCATCGCAGATCATAGCAACGTGCACAGATTGGCGCTGGTGCACAGAGCCACTTTCAGCAACACTGCCCTGGGGGTTCCTGGAACTACTTGGGGTGCACTCTGGAAGAGACCAAGGTCCCATGTAAGCAAACAGAGGCAGAAGTCAGAGACAAGTGGGTCATGATTATGAATATGCGGTCCTGTTTGTCCACAGTGCGTGGTGAGGGCTGAGGAAATGTGCTTACAAATATTTCAGAACAGGTACAGGAGGCTGACAAAACGCTGTTTTGGAAAGACTCATCTGGCAGCACACACCAAGGCTGGTGGGGCACAAACAGACTTGAATCCTGGAGACTGATGAGGAGGTTGATGCAACCAACCAGGTGGGAGATGGGTGACCGGGATTTGAACCATAGTAGAAGCTGTGGAAAGGAGGAAATGGAAGGCAGAAGATGAGGAAAGGAAGGGTCAACAATGACTGGTGACTTGTCAGGGGCCTGGGGGATGGAGACCAAGTCAGAGCTGGCCTGTGACACAGGAAGGAGCAGGTATTCTGAGGAATGAGGGGGAAAATGGGGAGAAAAACTTGAGTCTATGGCCTCCATCTGCTCTGGGAAATAGGAAGTGGGTTCTTGGGCGTGCCAGTGCTCCCTGACCTGGTGGTTCCTGAGGGCTGACTCTGCCTGCCTTGGCCTCCTGCCCAGCAATCCCTGACCCACTGCCGCCCACAGCACCACCCACAGTGGAAGACAAAGGGAGACAAACAGAGGGGTGCCTTTGTGCATGCCATTTCCCCGTGCCTGGCATGCGAGCTTCCTCCCACCCATTCTCTAACTATGACTCCTCCTCACCCAGGCCCAGCCTTGATATCACTGCAGAAGGAGCCAGGCCCCGCTGTATGTGGCCATGACACTCAAATGTATTACAGCACACATGTCCCATCACGAAGCAGCTGCTTATATGTCCATCTGCCCTCCCACAATGCAGGTTCACCATAGGGGTTGGATCCAGCTTGCATTTCACCAACCTTTAGCACAGTGCCTGATGCAAGTCACTGTGCTCAGGAAGCAACATAAACAAGTGAGGATGGAGCACATTGAAGGACAGACAAACACAGGCAGAAAGGTCATGTGAAATGGGCTCAGCTGGTGTGGAGGTGAATGGGAGCCAGAGGTCACACGGACTCTGCTTTTCTCCACCCTGTGATACACGTATGTTAACTATTATTTGAAACTGAACTTCTGTCATTCCAGACAGTTTAGCAGCTGCTCTCTGAATAAAAACACAATTGGAAGAGACCAAGATCCCATGTAAGCAAACAGAGGCAGAAGCCAAAGACAAGTGGGTCATGATTATGAATATGTGGTCCTGTTTGTCCACAGTGGGTGAGAGGGCTGAGGAAATGTGCTTAGAAAGATTTCAGAACAGGTACAGGAGGCTGACAAAACACTGTTTTGGAAAGACTCATCTGGCAGCACACCAAGGATGGTGGGGCACAAACAGACTTGAATCCCAGAGACGTGAAGCCCATCCGCAAAGACACTATTGTCTGGATTTGGACAGCATCACTCAGAGCAGTCTCACCCTAAAAAACCTTAGGAAACTGGACTGAGGCTGGAACTGACCAGTGAAGGGGAAGTCACCACCTTTAATCTGAGAGCAAGCAGTAAAAGAGAAGCTGGAAAATCCTTCAGTTCCACTGGCGCTGAAGTGATTGACATGACTTCACATCACTGACTGAAGAGGTGGAATAGAAACAGGTGGAATTGTCATAGACCTGGAGATAGAAGCCCAGTTTCAATGTGGGGTTGCCCACCCCGGGGACGGGGAGTGGACAGCACTCCAAGAATGGTCTGGGGTTTATGGCCTGGTTCATTCTGATGGGTTTGTGCCCTTACCGTAGAGGATGTTCATGTTTTGAGTATCACCCCTACCCACCACCATTTAGCAGGAGTTATCACAATGATTTCCTAATCCAGAGAAAAGGCTTCTGCAATACAGAGAGAAAAGGGATTGAGATCCCAGAGGGAAGTTACTAGAACAACCAGAAAGGGAAGCTTTCTATTGGAAGCAAGGATTTCTGGACACAAAACTTTCAGTACTGAAATCAAGGAAAGTCTTGCATAAACTGGCCTAGTTGGAAGGGACCTTAGAGATCATTGCCCAACCCCCTTTTTCATAAATACAGCCCCAGAGAGGGCTCACATTCACACAGAGCCTGTGGCAAGGCTACACCTGGAGCCCAGGTCTCCACCTCCACCTGCAGGGCCCTTTCCCCTGGTGGTGCTTTCTTTCAGTGCCACCTTCTTCATTTCCATAATTACAACTAATTTCTTGGTACTACCCAAAGCAGGGAGTTTTCTAACATCGAATTGTTAGATAGGAGGGATGGCAATGTCTCCCACAGTCCTGTTTCCAGGTGAGGAGGGTCCTAACGGAGCCATAGCTCATCCCACAAGTCCCTGCTGCCCTGCTCAAGGCAGGCTGCACCTCCCAACTCCTTGACTTGCTCTCTGGCAGCCTCCACAGTCTCTTTGAGTAAAAGAAGGCTCTCACCGAAGCCTGAACCAGAGAGTTTGCCTCTCTCTTTTCCTTGGGCTGCAAACAGGTACAAACAAAGACCCAAAATAAATAAAATTCTTTTTCTGTGCCACCCTTAGCACAACAGGGTGAGAGGGGAGAGAGCAAATGCTTAACTGGAAAAACTCAGGGACAAATCACCTGGAGCTCCTCCATCCACCTGCAGATGGCACCTCTGGTTTTCCTATCCTCTCACTCCTTAGAGGAGTGAGTAGTGAAGTGAGCAAATGATTTCTGACCCAGCCCTCCTGGAACCGGTGGTCCGAGAGTGCAAGGCCCTGGTGTGAGGAGTCCCACGCATCTGGAGATGCATGCTTCCCGAAGGATGATAAGATCAGCCTGATGGACGGACAGCTACACCTCCAAAGACTTTCAAAACAAGAGCACAGAAAATGAGCAACTTCTCCTGCCTCTCCTAAGCCCCAGGCTGCCTGTTTACAAATTTTCTCTCCTCTCTCTTCTCATGCCTGAATCTGTTCAGGAATGTTACATCCCAGCCTTTCTGGGATGACTACACGTCACAGTGGCAGCCATTGTAATGCCTCACATCCCGGAATGTGGCATCCCTGAATGAGTCAGGCAGGAGTGCCGGCTGTGAGAGAGGATAGCCTGCCTCATGCTGCTTCATCCTGGGATCATGGGGCTCAGGCTACTAGATGATGCATTTCAAGATTCCCGAAGGCAACATGCAATTTATTGTCCAGTTTGATGGAGAAAAACAGAGAAGTGGGACTACAACAATAATAATTTCACTTTCATCACCTTCTAATTTATAAAGTCCTTTCATAGCTAGGCCCTCAATTGACTGGTACAATAAATATCCTTGTGAGGAAAGCAAGGCTGGTAAAGCGCAGAGGCTGGAAATGCCTCAGGCCTTGTGCCTGGTAAGGAGCAGACAGGACCAGCAGCTGAGATGTTGGCATCATGCAGACTTCAGGGCTCTTCCCATTGCATGGTCCATGTCCTTCCTTCAGAAGCAGGCATGCTGCTTAGTCTGTAACGTAGACTGGCAAATGCACGGAGGTTTTTCCAAAAGGCTGAGGTAGAGGCATTGCACACAGCAGTCAGAGACACCGACGTGGGGGTTGAGTAGCCCCCAGCTGAGTCCTGGCCCTGCTTTCATTGACTTTGACCAAATGATGCTACTTAAATTCTGACCGTCAGTATCTAGTTTTAAAATAGATACAATAATGTCTACATCATAGATGTTTACATTAAGAAGATAAGGTCTTGGAGACAGTACAGCATAGTGGCTGAGAGCTATAGCGCTGGTGTCAATAGACCTGGATTCAAACCTCAGGTTTGCCTCTTGCTAGCAATAAGTCACATCACCTCTCTGAGTTTCAGTTTCCTCATCTGTGACATGGAGATAAAACCTCTACCTGTTTCATAGGGTTGTGAGGACTAAGTGTGATAATATATGCAAAATAGCTTATCTAAGTGCTTGGCAGGAAATAGGCACTTGATAAATACTTGCTGAATGACGAACTGAAATGACTGGCAAGGCTGGGATATAAAACAAAGACTGAATAACTCCAGAGCTGGGGCTCTTAACTTTCATGGAATGCTGGTTCTCAAACATGCCAAGCACCTCCCACCAGATAATTGGGGTGAGAGGCATTCTTGCAATAGCTGGGTAATTATCCTCAAAGCCCCTTCCAATCCTTAAGCATCCATGAGTTCACCTACTCTCTTGGATGCGTCCCAAAGGCCTTCAAAGAAGAGGAACTTGGGGAAGGAATGTAACCTCCATAAGAGCTATGTCTCCACACAAGGGGAGAATTGGGCTAACACACACACACACACACACACACACACACACACACACACACACAGAGGTATATCTGGCCCCATTCTACCACCAAGATGAGAGGTTTCTGTCTTAGAGACCGTAGAGAGATGCTGCTGTATGAGAACACTGAGGCCCAGAGAGGTGAAGCAATTTTCTTAAAGCTGCACAGCCAGAGAGTGGCAAAGCCAGAACTGGAATTCAAGCCTCCTGACTTCCAGCCCCAGGCTCCCTGCCACTGCCTCCCTATTTACACAGGCTTTCATAATCATTAGGGCACAGAATTAGTTCAGCACTAAGCTTTCAAAATCCACATGGTCCCTCCCATAGGTCCTCTTGAGGACAAAATCACTCAGGGATAAAAATGTATTAAGTCTTTTGAAATGGCAGAGGAGGGTGTTCCCTCACATAAGAAATCCTGAGGACACCAGAGTTGAAATACTGATTTGATCAGCGGATCATCTGGGCCCCATCTCTTGTGCAATTTTTGTCTTGTTTGGTATTCAGATGGTGGAAGTGTCAGGCTTCTGAGCCAATGCTCTCTGACAAGTGCATTTTACATGCCTCTGCAGCCCTGACCGAGGAGTGGCAGGCCTGAATCAGTTCTCACCAGAGGTTCGGAGAAATAGGTTGCTCTGATCCCCAATCAAATCTATTAGGAGTTGTCCCACCAAACAAGCCTGTGAATTCCAAACAGTGGCTACGTTCTCACTGCCCTTCCCACCTAGGTCACTGGCCTGGCTGGACGACAGATTCTGGAGCCCCAGATTGTCAGTGCTGGGCAGAGGCTCAGACATGTTTTGACGAAACTCCATACCTCTCAGCTGCAGGAACTAAGGCCCAGGAAGAGGAAGGGACTTGTCCGAGGTCACACTGTGGGCTCGAAAAGTGAGAGTTTTGTTCCTTTGGCCCACAATCTCCTTTGATCCTAAAGTGGTAGCCTGAGAAGTTCAGATAACAGAACATGTGACAAAGAAGCCAGAGCTCCAGGACAGTGAGGAGAGAGAAGAGGCACCAAGCAGCCCCTTAGTGACTGAGCTTCTAGGAGCACCTGGCACCCAGAAGTCCCTGTCCCCTGACAGTGCAGGTATCCTAGTGCCTAGAGCCAGATGCTTACATAACACGAAACCACACCTACATCAAACACACACACACCAAAACCAGAAGTGACCTTTTCTCCTCTTCACGCCTCCCAGCATCTGAAGCTGGATCTCCTGCCCAGATATGTCAGCTGGAGAATGAACAGCTTAATTTGTGATTGGAGACATGTAAGTTAGATGCAAGGAAAGACAGTCCCAAGTTTTGGAGCTGAGTGACGTTACTAAGGAATTTCCTTCTTTAGAGAGTAGTTTAATTTCAATGTTGGGTATGGTTATCCGAGAACATATAGTTCCAGAATTGAATAATCTATAAAGTTTGCTTGAACTGAGTCATTTGCTTCTGTTGAGATTTGAATTGGAGTCAGAGAAGTTTTTTGTTTTGGTTGCCAGGAGTGGAGTCTTACCCTAATATATAGTCCTTGGAAAGACCCACTTAGACACAAACAACAGCCACCACCCCTCCCATCCAAAAAATTAATACTTGGATGTGGGTCAAAACTGAGCACAGAATAACAAAACACGTGCTGTTTCCTAAAGTCACCTTCAGGAGCTGCTGGTATAGGAAAACTTTTTGTCTCAAAGACAAAGAATAGCACAGGCACCTCCATGAATCAGGCTCCAGAAGCTACTACCCGTCCCCCTTCATGAATCAAGGTACGAAAACTTCAGACTTTTGTGAGAAAATGTTTTAAAACAAATCCTTGAAGTTTAAAAAGAAAAAGAAAGGTGTGCTTTTCAGAAGATTATGCAATGTTCTAAACTACAAACAGCAGGAAAATTTTGTCCTCCCCAAACTCTAACCTGAGCATGCTTATTCTTCCTACTGTAGACTCTCCGCGATGGTAAAGGACCAACGAGGTACTACCAGGAAAGAGTTAGATACACAGAAATCACTCAGTAAATGTTTGTGTTACAAATAAGGTCAAGAAAGTGAGCTTTTTATGCAATTTAAACTAAAAAGTCATCCTGTTCAAAGCTTGGAGAGGTGTAGGAGAAATGAATGTCTGATCTAAATTGACTTTCAACCAAGACTGAAAGTGGCTGTTACTGATCCTAAGCACCATAACGCAACTAACATTTATTGAGTGCCTCCTGTATGCCAGGCACTGGGCTAAGTGCTTCATCTTGGCTACCTTATTAAATCCTCAGGATAACTCTGTGAGCAGGTAATTGTTATTAGCTCCAAATTACTGGAGAGGGAATTAAGGATTATGGAACTTGAATAACTTGCCTAGTAAGTAGCAGAGCTGCTACTCTGGGATCAGAACCTATGCCTTCCAACTTCACAGCCTGTGTTTTTTAAACCATTATGTTCTACTCCCTGCCAATTTTAAAAGTCTCTTATAATTGAGTGAATTAGGGCACTGGAAGAGAGGGTTTTTTTTATTTTCACAAACTAGCAGGGACTACACTTTAAGCTCATCGTGTGTTGCTGAGTGATGAAATTTGTCTCTGAATCTGGTTCGGGGAGTGCTGGCATTCTTCATTCCACAAACATAGGTTCATTCATTCAAATCCATATCAGCACCCAGAATAGGATTTGTACTAAATATAGGGTATGTGGAAAGAAAAGACAAAGGGGCTACCCTCAGGGATTTCCCAGTCTAGTAGAGGGAACTGACTTGTTAATCAGTTACCACCATTCCATTGGGTAGCTGTGGTTGTAGGTTTGTGTGCAAGGTCCTTTGAGGACCAGGGCCAAAGGAACAATGTAACATGGTGGTTATTTAAGTTCATAGATTCTACAGAAAATCAGGCCTGAGAGCAAATCCCGGCTCCGTCATTTAACTAGCTAGGCAAGCCGAACAAGTTCCTTAATCTTCTAAGCTTCAGTTTTTATCACTTTTTAAACGCTGACAGCAATATGGTCTATACCTCGCCCTGCTGTTATAAGAAGCCATCAAGGAAGACTAGTCTGGGAAACCAGAGATGGGTCTACACAAAACTTAGGCAGAAACGTAAGTAGGAAGTGATCGTTTCAGGAGGAAAAACTTTGGACAGAAGCAAGAAGGGGTGAATGTGCATCTGTATCTGTGTGCTCAGGGAAGAAAGTGGTTTGCTATTTCAGAAAAGAGCCAAGACAGAAGCTGGAGATGCAAGAAATGTTGCAAAAGAAAAGAAATGGAGGAGAGAGAGATTAGTGGTATCCAGTACTCCGAGCACAGGTATGCAAAGATATATGTGCAGGGAATTGATTGCAGTGTTGTTTGTAACAGAAATGAATGAATACATGATTGAATACATAAGTAGAAACAACCTCAACATCTAAAGGAGATTGGCTAAATAAATTATGATATAGCCACATCATCATGGAATAAAACTATTTGGATATTTGAAAAATGAGATATGTCTGTATAGACTTACATGGAAAGACATGTGCAGCATAGTGTTAAGTAAAAACGCCAGTTGCAAAAGGGCATATTAAAATGACCTCAAATTTTTAAATACATAAGCAATGGTGTAGAAAAATTTTTACCAAACTCTTTATAGTGGTTACCTCTAGGGATTGGCATTGAGGCAAAAGGGTATTGGTGATATTTCACTTTCTTTTTTTTTTTTTAATTATACTTTAAGTTCCAGGGTACATGTGCACAAAGTGCAGGTTTGTTACATATGTATACATATGCCATGTTGGTGTGCTGCACCCATTAACTCGTCATCTACATTAGGTATATCTTCTAATGCTATCCCTCCCCAGTCCTCCCACCCCATGACAGGCCCCGGTGTGTGATATTCCCCACCCTGTGACCAAGTGTTCTCATTGTTCAATTCCCACCTATGAGTGAGAACACGTGGTGTTTGGTTTTCTGTCCTTGTGATAGTTTGCTGAGAATGATGGCTTCCAGCTTCATCCGTGTCCCTACAAAGGATGTGACCTCATCCTTTTTTACGGCTGCATGGTATTCCATGGTGTATATGGGCCACATTTTCTTAATCCAGTCTATCATTGATGGACATTTGGGTTGGTTCCAAGTCTTTGCTATTGTGAATAGTGCCACAATAAACATAAGTGTGCATGTGTCTTTATAGCAGCATGATTTATAATCCTTTGGGTATATACCCAGTAATAGGATGGCTGGGTCAAATGGTATTTCTAGTTCTAGATCCTTGAGGAATCGCCACACTGTCTTCCACAATGGTTGAACTAGTTTACAGTCCCACCAACAGTGTAAAACGTTCCTATTTCTCCACATCCTCTGCAGCACCTGTTGTTTCCTGACTTTTTAATGATCGCCATTCTAACTGGTGTGAGATAGTGTCTCATTGTCATTTTGATTTGCATTTCTCTGATGGCCAGTGATGATGAGCATTTTTTCATGTGTTTGTTGGCTGCATAAATGTCTTCTTTTGTGAAGTTTCTGTTCATATCCTTCGCCCACTTTTCGATGGGGTTGTTTGACTTTTTTCTTGTAAATTTGTTTAAGTTCCTTGTAGATTCTGGATATTAGCTCTTTGTCAGATGGGTAGATTGTAAAAATTTTCTCCCATTCTGTAGGTTGCCTGTTCACTCTGATGGTACTTTCTTTTGCTGTGCAGAAGCTCTTTAGTTTAGTTAGATCCCATTTGTCAATTTTGGCTTTTGTTTCCATTGCTTTTGGTGTGTTAGTCATGAAGTCCTTGCCCATGCCTATGTCCTGAATGGTATTGCCTAGGTTTTCTTCTAGGGGTTTTATGGTTTTATGTCTAACATTTAAGTCTTTACTCCATCTTGAATTAATTTTTGTATAAGGTGTAAGGAAGGGATCCAGTTTCAGCTTTCTACATATGGCTAGCCAGTTTTCCCAGCACCATTTATTAAATAGGGAATCCTTTCCCCATTTCTTCTTTTTGTCAGGTTTGTCAAAGATCAGATGGTTGTAGATGTGTGGTATTATTTCTGAGGCTCTGTTCTGTTCCATTGGTCTATATCTCTGTTTTGGTACCAGTATCATGCTGTTGTGGTTACTGTAGCCTTGTAGTATAGTTTGAAGTCAGGTAGCGTGATGCCTCCAGCTTTGTTCTTTTGGCTTATGATTGTCTTGGCAATGCAGGCTCTTTTTTGGTTCCACATGAACTTTAAAGTAGTTTTTTCCAACTCTGTGAAGAAAGTCATTGGTAGCTTGATGGGGATGGCATTGAATCTGTAAATTCCCTTGGGCAGTATGGCCATTTTCACGATATCAATTCCTCCTATCCATGAGCATGGAATGTTCTTCCATTTGTTTGTGTCCTCTTTTATTTCATTGAGCAGTGGTTTGTAGTTCTCCTTGAAGAGGTCCTTCACATCCCTTGTAAGTTGGATTCCTAGGTATTTTATTCTCTTTGAAGCAATTGTGAATGGGAGTTCACTCATGATTTGGCTCTCTGTTTGTCTGTTATTGGTGTATAAGAATGCTTGTGATTTTTGCACATTGATTTTGTATCCTGAGACTTTGCTGAAGTTGCTTATCAGCTTAAGGAGATTTTGGGCTGAGACGACGGGGTTTTCTAAATATACAATCGTGTCATCTGCAAACAGGGGCAATTTGACTTCCTCTTTTCCTAATTGAATACCCTTTATTTCTTTCTCCTGCCTGATTGCCCTGGCCAGAACTTCCAACCCTATGTTGAATAGGAGTGGTGAGAGAAGGCATCCCTGTCTTGTGCCAGTTTTCAAAGGGAATGCTTCCAGTTTTTGCCCCTTCAGTATGATATTGGCTGTGGGTTTGTCATAAATAGCTCTTATTATTTTGAGATACATCACATCTCCAACGTTTGAATTATGTATAACAAGAGTTATTTTTATATTATGTTTATAATAAAATTTTTATTAAATGTTAATGCCCCACAGATGTGGAATGGGATATTTTAAAAAGGAGGCGATTGGGAGGTCTTTGGCTACTTATCAAAAAGCAGGGTCAGTGGCAAAGTGGCAGCTCGGAGAAGAGGAACACAGGAGGGAGGAGACAGTGGAGTTAGCAAATGGTGGCTCCTCTGTGCTTGTATGTCAGATGGAAGAGAGGGAGCCAGGGAAGAGAAGAGATTGAGGGGTACTGCAAAAGCCCTTGAAGGGAGGTCCAGGGAGGAGGAAGGGAAAGATAAAATCAATCCAGTGGAAGGGCACATTTAGTAGTGAAGGAAGGAAGGCAGGGAGATGGTGGATGACAGTCTTGAGAGTTCTGAGAGATTCATAGGTGGCCTCAGACTTATCAGTAAAGTGGTGAGGAGGTTATTTCCTGAGATTAGGTGATGTAGAGTGGGGTAGTGGTGGGCTTGGGCTGGAGGCTGGAGGAGATTAGAGTGTTTGACTTCTGACTGTGCTCAGAAAGTGTGGGAGGGAGTTTCTCCTCCTCATTAGCCCCCAGCCAAGGCTCTTCCCACTAGCAGAACTGGGTGATCCTCCCATTCCTGGACTCCACAGTCCAGGTTTCCAGACCTTGTTGTGCCAGCCACCTTTGGCACCCTCCAGCCACGGCTCTTTGTTTTCTATAGCATCCCTGGGGATGTGAAGGTAAGGAGGGGCAAGAGGGTGGGTGGCCTGTGGCTGCTACTGCTAACAATGCTGCTTCCGAGTATTTTGTCCCTAGTGGAATGGGACTTTTTGTTAAGGGAGGGAGACTGGGTGAGGCTCAGTAGAGTGTGCTAGAAGTGCCTGAAAGTCCTCAGAGCCCATCTTTCCTCACACCCTGGGTCAGCTGGAGATTATCAGACCATGCATCTGGGTTTTCTGTCTGAAACTAACCAGTAACTCACTAGTATGATGATTTTATTACTGCTGAAATTGTCCTCAGGAAATGGCATTTGGAATGTGGAAGGAGAGAAGGAGGAAAAGGAGGATGGGTAAGAAATGAGAAGAAAAAAGGAGGAGGTGAGAAGTATCAAAAAATGGGGGAGACAGAGATTAGCAGTATCCAGTACTGCGAGCACAAATCTCAGAAGGAAGTAAAGAGGGAGAGATGATAAAACTGAATGTGTGCCCTGGAGCCAGAGGGTTTAGAGTACAGGGTGAAGCACTTTAGTTATTTACTTTAAGCAATAAGAAGTGGTAGGAGCCTATGATTTTTGCTACTAAGGACCCATCTTCTTCCTGTCATACTTGGAGGCTGGCTCAGGAGAATGACTGACCTGCACCCAGTTCCTCCTCTGCCCTAGCCCAGGCTTCTAAGGTAGACTTATGTTTAGGAGGAGCATCCATCCGAATTTAAAAACGTGAGTCAGGATAACTCTGCTGAACTAGACTAAAATGACATCTACACCAGATGAAATTCAGTCAGAAGCAGACCAGTACCTGGTGATGGCAAGGTTAAACCTTCTCTACTGCTGTGTTGAGATTCAGAAGGCTCTGGGCCAGCTGCAACAAGAAGAAAAGATCTAAGATACTAAGAAAAGAAGGCTTGGTATCTAAGAATACCAGAGCTGAAAGGAATTTATTTTTTTTGAGATGGAGACTTCCTCACTCTGTCACCCAGTCTGGAGTCCAGTGGCGCGATCTCAGCTCACTGCAACCTCCGCCTCCCTAATTCAAGCAATTCTCCTGCCTTGGCCTCCCAATTAGCTGGGATTACAGGTTCCTGCCACCACACCCAGCTAATTTTTGTATTTTTAGTACAGACGGAGTTTCACCATGTTGGACAGGCTGGTCTCATACTCCTGACCTCAAGCGATCCTCTTGCCTTAGCCTCCCAAAGTGCTGGGAATATAGATGTAAGCCACAGCGCCCGGCGAAAGGAATCTTAAAGATCATCGAAACACAATTCATCCTTTCCTCCTCTGTCTCTGTAGCACTTTTTGCAGATAGCATGATGTATTGTAATTTATTGCCATGCCTCTATCAAAAAACCATATTTTCTCCACTGCTGCATTGTCAAAGCATGGCATCTAGCACAGAACAGGTTTAGTGGATGTCTGTGTTTGTTACCTCCTATCTTACCCTCTCATTTTACTGATGAGTAAAAAATAGTCCGAAAACCTAAAGAGACATTCCAAGCTACTAACTTCCTCAGGCTAACAATACACTGACCAAAGGCTTAGCTCAGCCTGTTGTGTTCAGGTGAAAACATGAAGGTTTTCCACAGTGTCCAGGGAGATGGAGAGAAATCAGTTCCAACACAGCATGTCCTGTGTAGAGGCAACTTGGGAGCTAGGTTTTGGAATGTAAGCTTTTGCTGAATGTTGTAAGCAGAAAAAATTTACCAGTTTCTGACTCTAACCCCATGGTAGAGTGTATGAATCACCATTTTTCAGTTTTGCATGAAGAAAAGCCCCCATCTCCTCTCTAAAGGGAGTAATGAGCCCTTTGAGTCTTCTCAGATGTGTTCAGAAAGTACCTTGAGTAAGGCTTGGTGCCAGTGCCGAGGTGAGAGGCTGAGTTGTGTATCAGGAACTAAAAAGGATGAATCTTTAGGTTAACCCTTTGTATAACAGTCTCTGGCTTTCCTCAGATGAAAACAGAGAAGGTGAACTCCTTCTGCAACAGTATTTGCCAAAATGTTTTCTCAGAACACTAGTGCCCACATATGTTCTTGGAAAGAAAAACATGGCTCTGTGGCCAAGAAAGATGGATGAATGCTACATTCTAAACTTCCTTTAGGGGACTCGCCATGTGCATTAGCACACTAAAGGCACTGAGAAATCCTGCAGTGAGAAAACCAGTTGAACTTTGTTCAACCCAGTATTGCACAAAATTATGTCCCTAGGGAACACTTGTTCCATGTCACACTTAGGACAATAGCTCTCAGATTTTTTTGCTCACAGTACATAAATCCTGGAAGTTGGGGCAGCATACTTGAAACCAGTGATATGTACAATGTGCATATCTTTCTCTAGTCTTCTCTTCTTCTGAGCCCTCACCAGAATCACCTTTAACATTCCATTCATATCAATATAGACTTTTTCCAGGATTAACTTCAAAACTGTTTCAGTCTCTACCCCTACCAGTTCCAAAGTTTCTTCCACATTTTCAGGTATTTGTTACTAGCAACAACGTCACCTCTCAGTACCAATTTTCTATCTTAGTCCGTTCTGCATTGCTGTAACAGCATCTCTCAGACTGGGTAGTTTATAAAGAAAAGAAATTTATTTCTTACAGTTCTGGAGACTGGGAAGTCCAAGATTAGGCAGCCACATCTGGTTGGCTTCCGGTGGGAGTCTTTTGCTGTGTGATAACATAGCAAAAGGCATCACTGGGTGAGAGAGGCACACTGAGAGCCAAAATGGCTTTTATAACAAACCCACTCTTGTAATACTCCATTAATCCATCCTCTCAATACTGTTATATTAGACATTAAGTTACATCAGCTCAACATGAGTTTTAGAGGGGACAAATATTCAAACTATAGCAAGTTCCTTTGACCATTTTTTAATCACATTATTTACTTTTTTGCTATTGAGTTCTAGAGATTTCTTGTATATTTTGGATATTCACCCTTTACCAGATATATGGTTCTCAAATATTTTCTTCCATTCTGTAAGTTGCCTTCTCATTTTGTTGGTTGTTTCCTTTGCTGTGCAGAAGTTTTTAGTTTGATGTAGTGTTACTCATCTGTTTTTGCTTTTGTTGCCTGTGCTTCTGGTATCATGTCCAAGAAATCATTGCCAAGGCATTTGTTATTTTTTTGAAGCCATCTATCAGAAAAATAAGATAACTCTTAATTAATACTCATTAGGAAAATTATGATAAATAAAAGGGCATCAGACAAAAGCAAAGGCCGATGGATCCTATTACTGGCTCTACTGTTCAATGAGCCCTGAGGCTCAATTTCCTTAGCAGTAAAAAATGGGTTAGATTCAGTACCCTTTAGAATCCTTTCAATGCCAATATTATTCTGACTTCTAAAAGAGGCAAGAAATAATTTTAAAACTAATACGTAAAAGAGAAAGTGAAGGATTATTAACAAAATCAATATTTAATAATTATTTATTTACCATTAACATTTATTGGAAATGTTACAATGTACCAGACATTTTTCCAAGCACTTTGTATTTATTATCTATTTAGTCTTACAGCATTCCTATAAGCTAGGTGTTATTATTACCTTGTTTTATAGATAAGGACGCTGAGGTTTAGAAAGATTAAGTGGCTTAGCCAACACAACACTGTTAGTAAGTAATGGAGCTGGGATTTTAATCCAGCTGTCTGACTCTAGAGCCACTACACTGTTGATTTTCCAAAATACTAAGCTTAAAAATTTTATAACAGATGCTGGTGTGCATATCTTTTTATGATATGAAATGTGTGTGAAATACAAATCTAAGAAAGGAAATATAAACACCTAAAGGGGCAAGATTTCTAAAGGGTCAGGTTATAATAGCAAAATCAAATTGTTCAGCCAGAACACAGACGGGAATCTATTTCATGTGTGCCCCCGGAGCCTGACATGTGGATCCCAGGGTTGCTAAGTTGGCACAGCAAGTTTCCCGAGTTGGGTTCAGGAAGCAGTGAGGTAAGCTTCAGGGTGAGTCCCAGAGGGAGGAAACTGGCAGGCATCCAAGGGAAGGTGGTGTGAGCCCGACAATGGAAACTTAGAATCCTGTGTCTCTGAACTACTAGGAAACCTAGAGGTCATTCCATCAAACCTTTCACCCAAACAAGGCACTCCCTTTATAACACCCTGTGGGCGTTTATCCAGCCTTGTCCTATGGATTCCCAGAGATACAGTTTGCTCTACATATTAGACAGCCTGTTTTATTGCTGGACACCTAAAGATATTAGAAAGCTATGTTTCTTTTAATGAGACAAAATATGCCTTATGGTGATTTTTACCAAAGGTCCTCGATCTGCCTCCAAAAAACCTGAAAATGCCATTTGACCCCCTTTCCTATGACAGGAATCAGAAATTAGAAGACTAATTGAGTCTTTTATGACCAACTTAAACTTCCTTGTGACAAGTTTTGTCCCTTCACCATCTCAGTCACCATCCTGTTGGCATTATCATATTGGCCAAGGCCTACAACTCACTGACCATGGTGTCGTTTATGGGACCTAGCCAGGGGCCTGCCACACAGTTACAGACACAGTGTGATTATTTGAACTGAACTAAGAAACTGCAAGAGGAAAATATGGGAAAAATGGTAACCTGGGCCCTTGACAGCATTGCTTAGACAGCATCTAGTTCTATCTCTTGATCTGGGCCCCTTTTCCAGATCCTCCATGGCAAGAGATATTTTCCCCACATGCTGAAGTTGGGGAACATTGATCGCTGCCCCAGACTTGAAAGAGGAGTTTTGGGGATCACCATTATGACATCAGTACCTAGCCAGGGCCTGGCCTACAATAGCTACCCAATAAACACTGAACAAATGAATGAGCAAGAGAAACTTACGGTGCACCTACTAAGTTCCAAGTACTTAAGTATGTTCTGCTTATGGTACATATTAAGTACTTAAGGTACATACTACCTTATTCAAACCTTACAACTTCATAATTAAAATATGAACATACCCATTTTACAGATGAGGTAACTGAGAATCTGAGAGGTTAAGAAACTTGCCCAAAGTGACTCAGTTAGTAAGTGGAAAAGCCATGATTCAAACCCAGACTTGCCTTTCTCTAAAGCCCATGCTTTTAAAAGCATCACAATATCTCCTGAAGGAAACAAGGAAAAACAGACAGGATGCAGATGGAAAGACAAAGTGACTGGAAAAAGAAAATGCATGTATTATAAGGTAGTTTTGTGAACTGTGAAATTTTCTGTTACAGGAAGCATTGAGGCCTGTCTGTGTGGAAGGAGGACCCTCTAGACCAGTCCCATTGGGCACCCTGGCTTCTTGGCATTCGCTTCCTCCATCCCTGGCATTTCTTCTAGGCCCTTCCCACTTCCACTGTGCCCTTTGAACACTAGCAAGAACACCGCTGTCTGGTTTTATCCCAAGGCAGGCCACAAGGGCTTTACAGGGCACATGTCCTGTGCCCAGCTTCATGAGTAACACCTACACTAAAAGAAATCACAGCCGGATTCCAATATCCCAGGTGTGTGTACGCTAACGGGGACACTGAGCCACAGAGGCCATGGTGGACTGGGTAATGAGCCAATGTTTACATCAGACCTGTGCTCACCAGCCATTATTTTCAAAGCAGCCAGAGAGATCTTACTTAAAAAGCAAATCAAATCTCACCACTTTCTGTTCTGCTTGAAACTCTCATGGCTCTCCCTTGCATATAAAATATAATCTAAACTCCTGTGAGGTCCACCAGACCTCCCCCGACCACCACCTTCCCAGCCTCATTTCATGCCCCCTCAATTCCTGCACTGGCCAATTTTCATTGCCTCCCTCCTCCCTGCCTCAGGTGCATGCTAGTCCCTCTATCCAGAATGTATTCTTTCCTATGCTCCATGGGGACAAACTCTTGCCCCTCCTTTGAGTCTCTATCTAAACCTCATTACCTCAGTGAAGCTATCCCTTAGCCCCAGGCCAGGTTGTGGTCCCTGGTTATAGTACCATAAAGCACCTCTATTCCTTCACTACCCACTTCCAATTATTTGTTTAAAGTTTATCTTCCCTGATAGAATCTAAGCTCCACACAGGTATATCTGATGTGCTTACCATTCTCTCCCAAGAGCTGTAGTAATCATGGAGGATATAGTTGAGGGTTATGTGGGTGTTCTAGCCCAGCCACTTACTCTAGTCAGTTATGTGCCTCAAGCAACTCCCTTCTGACCTCTCGGCCTCAGTTTCCCCAACTGCAAAATAAGACAGCTGGGCTGAGTAACCTCTGAGTTCTCTCATGATTCTAATGTTCCAGGTTTGACAACTTGAGGACCCTTATGCTATAGCTTCAGCCTAAAGCAAAATAATTTTAGAGCAATGCCACTCAGGAAGGAAGACCCTGGGAATGTAAGTCCCCTCCTTGGTGTAGGCCGTGTTTACATAATAAACCCAAGAAATCATCATAAATCATTCCAAGTGGAGCTCCCTGGGTTGAAGCAACAAGACAAAAATACCTCTGGGCTCTGTTCCTCTGGGCCCCCACCCAGCTTAAGAGAAACAGGGCCAGCCAGCACTGTGCCTTCTGAAAAATCAGTGGTCAGAATTTTCTTTCTGTACAGGGCCCCTCAATGCGCCCTTCTCTCCTACCCTTTGAACTTCGATTCTCTTCTAGTGCCTTTCTGTTTTCTAGTGCCTTACAAAGAGAAAATGTCCTGAGAAGACCAGGGACTGAGTTCTAGGTCAGCCACTGCTGAGATGTGTGTAACTCTCCATAAATAATTCCTTCCTTGTGATCCATAGTCTCAGCTCTGTTGCATAGGGGTTATAGCTGGCCTCTAATGACATTGAAAAAACACATGGGGGAAATATTTTTTAAACCTTAAAGGGCCATACAAATGCATGGATTGCTTTTGGCCATTATTTCTGACTTGTTCACTAACTAAAAGGTACTCAAGAGGCCACCTGGAGTTTCTATTTTATCTCTAATTGGAGAACGAAAAGTTTGGTCCTCAGGTCAAAAAGTCTCAGGCATCTGGGTAGCAGGTGGTTGAATTGCCCTGGACTGGCCCTAAAGGCAGATCTAATTCAAGGCTTCAGTATGTGCCTGAGTTTGGGTCAGGAACCATAACTTTAAACCAGCTTTAGTCCCAAAATTTGCTACCAGGTTCAAGAAAGTCTTTTAGGCCCTGTGGCCTGAAAAGGTTTAAAGTAGCAGTGTAGCTGAGGGGTTCAGAGAATGTACTTTGATGCCAGACAGGCCTTGGTTGAGTTTCTCTCTGCCACTTGCCAGCTGTGTGAGTTTCTGTTTTCTCTTCAAAGAAATAGAATTCACTGCTCTCATTATGGAAAGTGCCAATGCATGTGAAGCATGTAGCTTAGTATGCATGCAACTGGTTAGTCATTCAAAAAGTCATGTTATTGTTATTGCCCTTTGTATTCCAGAGCCAGAAGCCATACCCCCCACCCACCCTAGCCTTGTCCAAATTCCCTGAGTATTCTTTCCACTTCCTGCCTTGTCTAACCCTGGCCTTGCTCATCTTGTTTTCCTCTCTCCAACAATTCTACAAGACAGATACTTCCACATTTACCTTATTTTACTTAATATTGCTCAGGACATACCTCTGCAAGCAAAAGTTCTGGAAAAGGAAGTTTCTTGGTCAACAAGTATACTAAATTCAAGTGCCATTACAGAGACACCTGGGCATCTAAGCAATAGATGCTGAAGAAATAGATGCCCGGACCATTGGAGGCTGAAATTTTTTAGATCTGGCTGTGCCACTATGACAATTGCCAAGATATTTAACATTCTCCAGCCTTTAGGCTTCCTAGCTGTAGAACTAAAACATCAATTTTAAAAATGTATAAACCTTTTATTCTAGCTAGACGAAACTCTTTCCCTCTAATAAATCTTTTGCAGAAGCCCAATATATAAAATATTTAACCAAATACAATCTGCTACAACTGTAGGAGGGGAGGACAGACTCGTGCCTGATGCCTTTTCTCATCTTCTCCTGGTCTTGCCCCTTCCCCTCATCCCCAGGGCAGCCTGGAAGCTCCCATGCATATCCATAAGGCTTCATAGAGTTCCATTTATGTGACCTCTTTGTGCCTTATTCCTTACCTGTTGAAAGAGGATAATAACTAATTCTAATTCAAAGAAAAATAAAATGAGTTAATATAGATAAAGCCCTTGGCACAGTGCCTGGCCTAATATAAGTGCTCAGTAACTGTTGGGTGTCACTGTTATTACTGCTGCCACTTGATTAAGGTGTCTGCCAGCCAGAAGCATTAGGCACCTGTGACCTTTAGAGGCACCATGAAAACACGCAAATGTACGGAGATTGTTAATTGCCCCCACCACTCACCACCCCACTCCATTGTCTTCATGGACACAGTTCGAAATATCATGTTATTTCACAAGACGGGCAAATTCTGTTTCTACTGAAAGCATGTGTTTTATAAAACAATATTTTGGTCACTCCTTGATTTATTTGGCAAACATTTACAGAGCTCTCATTCTGTGTGCCAAGGTTGAGGCTAGGAATATAAGTTGAGTCTAGAGAACTCACAATAATGATACCAGTCTATGTTTTGTGGCTGGTGACCCATGCAGTCATTCAACCTGCAAATATTGTGCTTAACTGTGAGCCACACAGTATGCTAAGGATGCAGCCACAGTCAAGAAACACCACTTTGGGAGGCCAAGGCGGGTGGATCACGAGGTCAGGAGATCGAGACCATCCTGGCTAACACGGTGAAATCCCGTCTCTACTAAAAATACAAAAAATTAGCTGGGCGTGGTGGCAGACGCCTGTAGTCCCAGCTACTCGGGAGACTGAGGCAGGAGAATGGCGTGAACCCGGGAGGGGGAGCTTGCAGTGAGCCGAAATGGCTCCACTGCACTCCAGCCTTGGCGACTGAGCAAGACTCCTCCTCAAAAAAAAAGAGACACCAAGCCCCAGCCCTGCGGAGCTTGCTTTCTATGGGGTAGAGGTAGAAAGGGCCCTAGAAATGACAGGGAAGGGAAGATCCACAGGTGCCAAGGATTAGGAAGGTGGAATAGGGATGAAAAGTCAAGACTTCAGCAGAGCTGGATTCAAGAGAGGAATAAGGATGTAACCTCAGGTGAGGTGGGACTACAGAGAACAGCATGTACAAGTTATTTATCCAAGAGATTTCCAAGAACACTATTGTTTGCTTCCATTAATTTGCTCCGAAGAGGACATATTCTACTTTTTTGGGCACCAACTTTTTAAAAAATAACCTCTTACATAAACAATTATTGAAGGGACATTTGTCATAAGCAAATCTTAAACTCATTCTAGAATTAATCTTCTCTATGATTAATAGACCAGAATCTTGTTTCACACAACTTTCATTCTGGGAAGTTAATTTGAAAAAAAAAAAAAAAAGTCAATTTCATTTAAAGGAAACTGAGCATGACTTGAATATGGTACACAGGAAAGAGCTAACGATTTGAATAAGAAGACCTGAGTTTGCATGCCAGCTTCTTACTAATTGGAAACTTCCTCTCTCTGAACCAGTTTCTTCTTTGGTAAAACTGGGGAGGGCAGATCTAACACCCACCACAAAACGGGAATATCCTATGAAAAAACAGGTGGGAACACAACCTGTAGATGTTACAGCATACATAAGCCATTTGTATTTATTTTAATAACTTCCTTTCTCTGTTCCTTTGTTTTTCTTGTCCCCATGCATAATGAAATGATAATAACTGGATCATTTTCATCGCTCCTGTTTCTTTCCTTTCAAGAACAAAGGATAAATATCTAACAATGGCATTACAATTCTTTTGGGGCTCAATAGTGTCACCAAGGAATGTCCAATACAATCTATCAGCAAAGCCCATTCAAACAAAGAGCCTCTTTGGGCTGCCCTAAGATCCAAAAAGAGCAGGCTGGGCTCTCTCTTGTCAAAGACAGCCATTCTGAGCTAGAGTCCAGCCTCCAGACCCCTACTATCTGCCCCTAGACACCTAGGAGCTTTCAGTTTATTCCCACAGACCCCATGATAGAGCCTGGTTCTGCCCTTCCCATTGTCCTCTCTCCCATCCCCACCACAGCAGCTCTTCCCCAGACCGCACATTTTTCACATCTGAATTCACCACTTATTGCCTCAGTGTGTCCTCAGTCATGTTGGTTAAGGTCTCTGTGCTTTGTTTTTTAAAATTTCTATAGATACAAAATATTTGCAGTACCTATAATATTTTGGGGTACACATAATATTTTAATACATGCATAGAACGGGAATGATCAAGTCAAGGTATTTAGAATATCCATAACTTTGAGTATTTATCATTTCTATGTGTTAGGAAAATTTTAAATCCTCTCTTCTAGCTATTTTGAAATATGCAATACATTGTTTGCTAACTATAGTCACCCTACTCTGCTATTGAACATTCGAAGTTATTTCTTCTATCTTGCTATATGTACTTGGCATTATTTTAATCCATAAAAAGGACATGATGAAAGAAGTTACCCCCATAGGATTGTTTTCAGCAGTAAAGGTTGTTATTCATTTTAAGGACTTCACACAATTTGAGGCAATTATAAATATTCAGGAAGTATTTCCTATTACCAATTTTTCCTTCTTTCCTCCTCCCTTCCTTCTTTCCTTCTTCCCTTCTTCTCTCTTCCCCTTCTTTTTTCCTTCCTCCCTCCCTCCTTCTCTTCCTCCTTCCCTCTTTCCCACCTATTTCCTTCCTCTTCTCTTTCTCTTCTTTCTTCCCTCCCTCCCTCTCATTCTCTTTCCCTCCCTCCCTCTCTCTTTCTCTCCCTTTCTCCTTCCTTCCCCCTTGCTTTCCTTCCCCCTCTCTCCTCTTTCCCTTCTCTCTCCCTCCTTTCCTCTTTCTCCCTCCCTCCTTCCCAGCTGCTCTTCCTTTCTCTTTTTCCTTCCTTCTTTCCTTTCCTCTCTCTCTTTCTCCTCCCCTCATTTCCTCCCTTGCTTCCTTCCTCCCTATTCTGCCACTAACCCTTACTTCCTCCTTGCCTTTCACTCTCTCTTCTTTCTGTCTCCCCTCACTCCCTTGCCCTTGCCTTCATGTACCTCAGTCCCTACCTCCCCTTACCCTGACAGCCTCCCCAGGCCTGAGCCCATATGGAGTTGGCTCCCACAGTGGCTCTCCTGCAGGAACAGAGTCAGGCTTAGCTGCTCCCAGGGCTGGGATCTATCAGCCAAACCAGTACTTGACTTTAGGGTATTTCTAGGACTTAAATTACATTTGTGGAGCCACTAGCCATTATTTTTGGGAATTCTAAGAGGCCCAAAGTCCCTGAGGACTGAGAGAAGATAAATGTTGTATTGCCCATCTTTGCTTAAAAGTGAGCAAGATTGATTCTGGTCATTTTAAACAGTTCTTTTAATATCTGGGCAACTCTCCACTAAGTCCTCTCCAATCTACTAGCATGAGGACTCAGCTGAGTCCTGAAGTTCTTCTCATCCTTCTTCTGTCCCTTGTTTCTTTCCCAGCCTGAATCTGGCATCACGCCCTGACACTCACAGACTTTTCTCGCTCCTCTGCTGAACTCTGAACTCTCAGGGACATGAACAGGGACATGTTTACAATGCTTTAATTACCCTGAGATGCCTTAACTCAGAGAATTTGGATTCAAAAGGACCTAGGTTTAAATACTGCCTTTGGCACTTTGTTCTTATGACCTTGCACAGATTATTTAATTGCACTATGTCCATTTGCCTATTTGCTCACTCAACAAATATTCATTGAGCCTCTACAACATTCCAGATGCTGTGCTAGTTATTAGAGATGAAGTGGTGAACACGGCAGGCATAGCCTTTGCCCACAAGCAGCTGAGAGTGGAGGAGATATCTAACAACTGAAATCACAAGCAAATGAACAAAAATAATAAGTTGTGATGAGTACTATGAATAAAACATTCCGGAGCTAGGCTAAGCAATAACAAGGTGGGAGAAAGTAGAGATACCTATTTCAATACGGTGCACAGAGATGGCTTAGAGCTGCACTGGCTTAGAGATAGCCCCAGTGCTATCCATATTTTGGCCTAATACTTATTTGTTGGAGTATGGAGGGACTGTCTTGTGCATTGAATGACATTTAGCAGCATCCTTGACCTCTGCCCACCAAATGCCAGTAGCCATCCCCAGCCACACTGTCACAACCCAAAATGTCTCCAAGACATTGTTAATGTCCCTGGGAAAGCATGAGAGGGCCAATCATCTCCAGTTGGGAAGCTCTGGCATAGAGTATGGGCTTTGCTGTTGCACAGATTTGGGTTTGAGTCTCCCCTCATTTATTTACTTGCCATGGTGACTTTGAATAGGAAACTAAGCTCTCTAAGCCTCAGTTTCCTCACAGGTGAAATGGGGATATTATCAACATCATCTTGTAATGTCGTTAGAGGAATAAATGAGATAGCAACCAGTCCATAGTAAGTTCTCAATAATATGGTGATTATTGCCGACACTATTATCATCACATATGTCTCTCCAACTGGCCACTAGCCCCTTGGGGACAGGAACTGGCCCATAATCACATGCTATAGTTTGGATATTTGACCCCTCCAAACTTCAGTTTGAATGTTGACCCCCAGAGTTGGAGGCGGGGCCTCATGAGAGGGTGAGAGGTATCTGGGTCATGGGAGCAGATTCCTCATGAATGACTTTGTGCCTTCCTGAGGTAATGAATGAGTTCTCACTCTGCAGTTCAGGTGAGAGCTGGTTGTTTAAAAGGGCATGGCACCTCTCCCCTCCCTCTCTCTTCTTTCACCTCTTACCATGTGACATGCTGCCTCCCCTTCACCTTCTTCTGTGATTGGAAGCTTCCTGAGGCCTCACCAGGAGCAGATGCTGATGCCATGCTTCTTGTACAGTCTATAGAATTGTATGCCAAATAGACCTCTTTTATTTATGAATTATTCAACCTCAGGTATTCTTTTATAGCAACACAAATCAACTAAGACACCAGATTTATACCCCCAGCTCACAGCACAGAAGCCAAGACACCTTACAAACCTGGTAAACCTCTGCAGTGAAATCTAATAAGTCCCCACACAGACTGGATGGACAGAGAAGGCAACCAATGCCAAGTAAATGACTGTGACTTTGATTTGACCCCAGGCAATTCCAGTCTCTGTGCTGCCCTGCTAAGAGAAGGGAGAAGGTTGCATGAAAGCTTATTCCCCCGACAGGGAGTGGCTGATGAAAGATTATATTGCCATTGGTCTTCCTCTTCTCCTCTGAACAATTGCAGGGGCCTTTCCTCTTCCCATTTGGCTGATGTGAAACTCCTGATTCTCTTTTGCATAACAGATTTCACCTCTGTTCAGCCTTTGTGGCCCAGCCAGTAGACCAAAGGGCATTTATTTCCATATTTCCCTGCTGATCTAGGGTGACCAGGTTGACACTTTGTTGCCTCTCTGGTTCTTTCTGGGCACTCAGTGGAACTAGGATAGTTCCTATCCCCACAGAACTGAGTTTAAGCAGAGAGACCAAGTCCAGCTTCCTCCAGCCCCTTTGTTATTCCTTCTTTCTATCTCTCCCCACCTCATCACCCTTAAAGTCCTTACAGATCTAACAGTCCAGGGTTCATTTATCTTTATAGAGCCCTGAGAGATTCCTCCATGGGAGAGACAAAAGCAAATCAGAAGGGCATTGGCCTTAGCAGTTTCCTTTCCTAAAAAATTATTTCAAATACTTTCCAAGACCTTGCTTGTCCCTGTGCCTGGCAATACCTACTCAAGTCCCCTACTGCCTCTAGATCCTGTGTTGACGCAATTTTGGCAGGAGAAGATTGGCTCTGATTTTAAAAAGAGTATTTCCTGAGAAATGATAATGTATGAGATTCTGTTCTGGGCCCTGCAATGGCTACAAAAATACTAGGCCCACTGATCTGTGAGTTCTTGTAGCACCTGCACAAAAGTGATCAATATATGTTTGTCGAATGAGGACATGGCCCTAAAAGGAGAGATGAGAAGACAAGCATCTGTTGAACACCTGCCATGTACTAGGACCTTATTAGGCATCTAGGTACAAAGGTGAACAAGATATAATCCTGTAAAAAAACTGAGACCTGGTGGAGACAGGTCCGTTCACAAAAAAATGTAATATCACTTGATAAGTGCTGAGAGAATGCTATGTGTATGCAGCAGGGTGATACTCAGCCCAGCCTGGACTTAGGGAAACCTTCCTAGAAGAGATGATGCCTGAATTGAGTCATGAAAAATGGGAATGAGTTAGCATAAAAGATATCCTAGAAAACAACCAGAGACATGAAAGGGCATATGATCTGCTGGGAACTGCAGGCAACTGGGAATGACTAAAATGTCAAGGAAAAGGTAGGAAGAGGCAGAGGATTAGAAAGCAGACACAGTCAGGGCTGGGCACTGGAGGGAACTGCCAGGATTCTGCTGCCCTGCTGCCTCTCCTTCAGGGTCTGTATCTGCTGCAGGGAGCCCCTGGCCTGGCCTGAGTCCCCTCCAGCAACTGAAGGAGGTGGTGCCCTGAGGGCCTGGCCATCTTGCCCCTCTGTGGGTGACACTGAAGGACAATATTCACTCCTTACTGGGTTGTCTGAGGGTTTGTCGGGCCTGCTTCAACTTCTTCATCTGCCTAGTACTGTGTCCTCCCCAGTCCTTTCATAGGTATTGATTCGTATAAACATTTTCCACTACAAGCCCCATCTTCACATCCACTTCTGTGAACCCAGCTTGCACCAGCCTTGGATGCCAAACCAGGGGTTTGGATGCGTTTTGTCACTATCAATATTCAGTTATTGTTCCTTTGCAACACAGACACTCCACATGTGGTCTGCCCAGATTCGAACATTCTTCAGTATATAGTGGTTACCTAGGCCATGGGCTGGGAACAATTCCCAGAGAACTGGCTGTAACCAGTTAGTTATACAGAATATCCTTTTACTCCTTTCCCACTTTTAGGTGAGAATTTGTCTTCCTCATTACCCATATCTCTAAGTGGAAGAACTTCATCTAGAAAACACTTGTCACATCTCTTCCAATAGCCCTCCTCATAGGTGGAAAAGGGAGTTATCTGACTGATCAGTTTAGGAGAAGAGATCTGAGGTTCTGGTTCTGGGTACCCTCTCTTCTCTCAGGATGGCCTCCCAAAGGAAATGAGACCACCATTTGGTCTGTGCTCAGAGCCATGCAGAAAGCTTGTTGGGCCCATGCTGTCCCCTCCAGGAAGACGTTGGTGGACATGCCTTCCAGGACTGGGTGGGGAGCATTTCCAAGCCCATTCAGCCCCACAGCTAAGCAATACTCCCCAATCTAGCTTGAATCAGCAAGAATGATGACATTTTGATCTTTGCCAATCTAACTCCACTATCTACCTGACACTCAGTTCTGAACTTGGGCAGGGAAGAGAGATGTTATTTTTCAAGGCCTCTAAAATAACCCAACATTCACAATCCAAAAGCTTACAATGTCTTAATGTATCAATTTATCAGTACTCAAGAATATCAGTAACTGCTATTGCATACATAAATGGTCAAATAAATACATATTGTTCTATCTAAAAGATAGACTCCCACCAATAAGATTAGGTTTATATATTCTATGGAGGGCTTCACTCAAGCTCACCAGGGACAATGGGCAGGAGCTATGGGCATGAGGCCATGGACAAAGTGGCTTAAAAACTGCTTTAAACTGCATGAAAGAATATTGCCTTCACAGCAATCCAGAGCATGTTTATACAAGGGAGAAGCTAATGAACTTAACGTCGGTGTATTTTGCATTAGGAATGCAGCTGAATATTATGAGTGTGAGGACTATATAAGACATTTCTAAAAAGATTAAAGGGTCTTTTCCTCTAGTATAGGTTTAGAAAAAAAATCAGACAAGCCTCTTTCTTGGATCACATACCGGAAGTTAAACAGTGGCAGGATGTCATGGTTTGAAGGGCCATAGACCTTGTTCCTGACCTGATTCACCAACACCAACTGGCTAAACGACCTCTCTCCAGTCATTTTAACAATCGCAGCTTCAGTTTCCACATCTGTCAAATGGCTATGATAACTTATATGCTCTCACAAGGGGTGTTAGGAGAACCAAGTATAATGTTTCATTATAGATCATACTAAGTGATATCATTGACTGGTGCTGTGTCCTGAAAACATTGCTAAGCATTTTTCATGGACTTTCATACTTGATCTTTCACCTTAAGCAGCTGATATTTTCCCTGCTTAACAGATGAGGAATCTGAGGTGCTGAGAGTTTAAGTAATTATCCCAGGTTCTCATAACTAGCAAGGGTGAGCTAAATCTTGAGCCCAGATCCCTGATTATCTGACCCCAAGGCCTGTACTTTTAACCACTCTGCTCTATGCCTTATATATTAAAAACAGTGTTGTAGAGTGGGAAGAATACTGAGTATTAGGTGTATTCCTAGCTCTGCCTCAAATGAGTCATTGGCACTCTCCAGGATCCCATGTGTGGAAGATATAATAACGGCCTCCAAAGATATCCACACCCTAATCTCTGGAACCTAAGAATATGGTATGACACATGCCAAAGCAGAATTCAGGTTGCAGATGGATTACTGTTGTTAGGCAGCTGACCTTAAGACAGAGTATCCTAGATTATCCAAGTAGGTCTACCTGAATCAAAAGGGTCCCTAAAAGCAGAAGAGGGCAGCAGAAGAGGAGGTCACAGTGATGTGATGTGAGACAGACTCACTCTGCATTGCTCACTTTGAAAATGGAAAAAGAGGCCATGAGCCGAGGAATGCAGGCAGCCTCTAGAAAGAAAGGCAGCCCTGCTAGCATCTTGATTTTAGTCCAATGCGATGCATATTGGACTTCTGACATACCGAGGTGCAAGATAATAAATTTGTGTGCTTCAAGCCATTAGTTTATGGTAATATGTCACAACAGTGATAGAAAGCCAATACACTATGCACCTGTTTGTCAAATGAAGGAATTGGGCTTGAAGTTGATTTCTACGGCTTTTGTACCTATGACATCTTTACCAATAGTTTTTTACTCTTTACTCATAAACAGTTCCTTCTAAAGCATGGGAAAGAGCACAGATATAAATGACAAGCAGTTGTTCCTGGAATATAACAGGGCATAGAGCCAGAATCTCAACACATGCCTACCTCCTCCCAAACAAAACTGCTTCTGCTACTCTCAGCTCCCCAGGCACCAGTCATCTCCCCCAGACCCCTCTCCAGGCCTGGAGTCCGCCGCAGACTGGCAGGCTTTGAGCCTAACACCATTTACTGTTGTGAAGCTGCGTTATTCATGCTGCTTGACAGACACTGTCCAAAGTGCCTATTTTAAAATATGAGAAATGGAAAGAAACATGGAGCACCAAGAACAAGAGTCAGGGTTCTCTCTCTCTCTCTCTCTCTCTCTCTCTCACTCTCTCTCTCTTTCTCTCTCTTTCCCCCAACTCTATCCCCAGCTGATCCACATTCTGGCTTTATTCCAAAACACTTGAGCCTCTTCTGTCCAAAGCATAGTCTCATTTTATATTTTCAGGAGCCATGGGAGACTGAGGGAAAAGGAGTCAGCCAGGTATGAAGGCTGGTGGTGACTAACAAAAGGCTGTTACCTAGGGGACAAAAGTATTCAATCATCCTTTGTCTTTGTTTTTGTTTTTTGTTTTTTCCAACATGTTGAGATAGACAATAGAGGATGGGGTATAAGAAGAGGAAGAGAGAATAGAAAGTTCTGAGCACAGAAAGGGAGGAGATATGAGGTCAGCATCCCTCCAGGCTGTAACTCCTGGAAACCTCAGGTGGAGATTCCTGGCAGCAGTGCGTGGCCTGAAGATCTCTGCAGGGTAATTTCTACAGTCTCTGTCACTGACTATGACAGTGCAATAGGAGCACAGGATGACAGACCTTTCCGACTGCCCATTTTCATACCCGCTTTTTTATTTTTGCCATAGCACATACCCTCTCTACCATTCTTTACCTTAAATTCTTCTTTAAGTGACATTTTGCTTTAAGAACTCTTTTCTTTAAAGGACATTTTTAATCATTGTCTGTTATTAAAATGCCTAGTTTTAGATGAGATTTCTCCCCAGTTGCTCACCCTCTTCAGTCCTCTTGTCTCTCGAGGCTCCTGGGAGGATGATAACTCCCTATACCTCCCGCCTCCTCCTTGAACTCTGCCTTGAGTTAGGTGGCACCTCATGATGGTTCTGGCTGGGAAGAAGAGACTTGTGTCACTTCCCAGCCAGCCAGAGCAATTAATTACTACTGGGAATCTTTCCAGTGCTGCTGCTTCTGACAAGGAGGCTGCATGTTCCAGGTGGAGATGCTCAAGGATTCACCTTGTACCTGGATTGCTAAGTCACCAGCTGAGAGTAGTTGTTGTAGAGCTGTAGTTTTTCAAAGTGTGGTTCCCAAATCAGCAGCAACAGCATCACCTGGGAACTTGTTACAGATGCAGATTTTCTGGCCCAACCTAAGAGCTACTGAGTCAGAAACTCTGGGCGGGAGGGGGCAGCAATCTGTGTTTGGACAGGGGATTCTGGTGAAAGCAATGGCTTAGGTTTTCTAAGGCCTATAGGGTCATGTGGCCCCACAACAGACTTTCTATGAGCATGAAAAAAACTTTGTTGTATTAAGCCATTGAGATAGCTGGAGTGTTTTGTCACCAGGATATAACCTAGCTTATCCTGATTGATACACTACTAGAAATGAAAAACAAGTATACTTTGCCAAAAATAGAAGGTAACTGTAAAGTGCAAACATCATAAAAATAGTTCTATTAAATTTGATGGTTATCACCTGCTAAAGGCTTTCAGCCTGGAGTCTACTCAAATTTCAATAAAAAGGGAGATCAGCACATTTTAAAATGTGGTTAAGGAGATGTTAGCATTAACCTAAGACTTTTTCCTTGAGGAAGAACTGACTCAGAATTGGAAAGGGAATATTGACTCTGCAAATCAGTGCTATTCAATGACTCACCATTTTACTGCCTGAAATCATCTCAGATACCACTAGTATTATGTGAACTACCCTTTCGGAAAATTGATTGGATCAACCTCTTTGTCTTGTGTTTGTGGAAAGCTGTGGTCCAGAACTGTGAATGTCCTTGTCCATGGTTACACAGCAAATTAGAGGCAGAACTCAGACAAGAACCCAGGTCTCCCACAAGCCCTGATCATGGGCACTTATTTTCCCAACACCCGACAACCTTCAGTCTTTCAGCAGCCATACATCCCCAATTCAGCTCATGGTATTACTGCAGAAACCCAGGCCCCTAACATGACATGCAGGGGGTTGCTGAAAGGAATGGTCAGGGAAGGGATCCTGAGGTCAGGAAACTCAAAGGCAAATATAAAGCCCCCTCTGATCTCATTTGTGCAGAGAACTGTGGAAGTGGGTAATTAAAGAAAACATAAAGAAACAGCTAGTATAGTGAAGGAGAAACCAGGAGATGGAGAATGAATTCGTTTCCTGTGGCTGCTGTAACATATTCCCACAAACTTGGTAGCTTATTCTCTCACTGTCTTAGAAATCTGAAATCACTATCCCTGGGCCCAAAGGTGGACCAGCTCAAGGGGAGAAACTCTTCTTTGCCTCTTCCAGCTTCTGGTGGCTGTGAGCATTCCTTGACTTGTGGCTGCTTCACTCAACTGTCTGCTTCAGTAATCTCTAACTGCCTCTATTTTGTAAGGATACTGGGATAGCATATAAGGCCTGCCTGGATAATCTAAAATAATCTCTTAATTCTCAAACTCTTGGGAATTTCATCACATCAGCAAAGACCATTTTTCCAGATAAGGTATTATTTACAGGTTCCTGAGATTAGGACATGGCTAGGTTGGTAGGTGGGGTGGGGATGTGTGCATTCTTCAACCTACCGTGGAGAGTCTAGTTCAAGGTCTACCACCAGCTCAAGCTGACCTCTTAGGCAAGTCCATTTCCCTCTCTGAGCCTAGGTTTCCCTCTGGTAAAATGAGAGGGTCTGCATGAGATGATTCCAGAGGGTTCTTCCAACTTTGGCAGTAGGAGTTCCCTGGATAGTAGGAGGTCTCCTCTATGCCCCTAAAGGGCACATGCAACCCAAAGCAAGAGGTTCTCAAGGATTACTTAATGGCAGAAACTAGAGCAGAGCCCACATCTTTTGACTAGTAATTCCTCAATACACTGACCACCCTCCTCCACTCCTTATACCTGCCTCCACCCTCTCCTCCTTATACTGGCCACTCTCTGGTGGCCACTGAAAAACTACTGTGGCCAGCTCCCAGAGAGGTGAGATGCCACATCACAATGAGGACTTCAGAGAACCTGCCTAAGTCCTGAGGTGTGCCAAGGACACCTAGTCCTCACCTCCTCCAAGGCCCTGGGACATCATGAAAATAAACAGAGATCTAATTCATAAATCCTTTGGGGACAAAAATAGGCTGAAACAAAAGGAACTGGTGAAAGCTCCAGAGCCCCTAGAGTTGGGTTTTTGAAAAGAAGCTCTAAAGCCCTGTCTTGACTCTTTCCTAGGACTGGAATAGAGTAATGCAAGCACCCCCAGGGCCTTGACCTGCCTGGACGATTGGCTGTGTGGAGGGTGAAATAAGTGTAGATACTAATCATATTAGGAAAAATGAACACATTTGTTAATATTGAGTGCTGGCAAACGTTGGAAAATGGGTACACCCATACAATGCTAGTGGGAATGTACATTTGTACAACCACTTTGAAGAGCAATTTGGCAGCATGTACTAAATTAAAAGGTATATGATCCTATGATTGAGTAACCCCACTCCTGGCATTGCCTGTGCTAGAAAAACACAAACAATTGTACCAAGAGGTATTCATAAAGCTATCTGTTGCCACTTTGCTGTCAAATGCACTCCCTGCTCTGTTCATTGCTGGAAACTATATTCCCAGGATTCCTTGCCCACTGGCTTCTGGGCAGATTTGGTCAATGGGAGGCACTGGTGAAAAGCTAGAGGGAGGAAAAGAGAAACTAAGGTGTTTCTTCCCTTCTGTCCCAGAGCACCTTTCACAGTCCTAGCTCCCAACACAGGGCCTGCCCTGACTTCTGTGCTCTGCCAACACCACTTCCTCCTAGGAGTGCTCTCCAGCTGTAGGGGGGGGTCACATCTTCCTGTTGTTCCTAGTCTCTAAATAGCCTCACCTTCCTACTTGGCTTCTCAAGTCTCTTATCCCCTTGGTGACCAATTCTCTGCATTAAATCCCCTCTGTTTGAAGTGCCTAAGAAGGTTTTCTGTTTTCCTGACTAGACGCTAACTGATAACAGTGTTTGTTTCAGCATTATTGGTAATGCTGAAATTAGCAAAAAGTTAGAAATATCTCAGATGGAAGATGGCAGAATAGGAACAGCTCCGGTCTACAGCTCCCACCGTGAGCGATGCAGAAGACGGTGATTTCTGCATTTCCATCTGAGGTACCGGGTTCATCTCACTAGGGAGTGCCAGACAGTGGGCGCAGGTCAGTGGGTGCACGCACCGTGCGCGAGCCGAAGCAGGGCGAGGCATTGCCTCACTTGGGAAGCACAAGGGGTCAGGGAGTTCCCTTTCCGAATCAAAGAAAGGGGTGACGGACGCACCTGGAAAGTCAGGTCACTCCCACCCGAATATTGTGCTTTTTGGACCGGCGTAAAAAACGGCGCACCACGAGATTATATCCCGCACCTGGCTCGGAGGGTCCTACGCCCACGGAGTCTCGCTGATTGCTAGCACAGCAGTCTGAGATCAAACTGCAAGGCGGCAGCAAGGCTGGGGGAGGGGCGCCCCCCATTGCCCAGGCTTGCTTAGGTAAACAAAGCAGCTGGGAAGCTCGAACTGGGTGGAGCCCACCACAGCTCAAGGAGGCCTGCCTGCCTCTGTAGGCTCCATCTCTGGGGGCAGGGCACAGACAAACAAAAAGACAGCAGTAACCTCTGCAGACTTAAATGTCGCTGTCTGACAGCTTTGAAGAGAGCAGTGGTTCTCCCAGCACGCAGCTGGAGATCTGAAAACGGGCAGACTGCCTCCTCAAGTGGGTCCCTGACCCCTGACCCCCAAGCAGCCTAACTGGGAGGCACCCCCCAGCAGGGGCACACTGACACCTCACATGGCAGGGTATTCCAACAGACCTGCAGCTGAGGGTCCTGTCTGTTAGAAGGAAAACTAACAAACAGAAAGGACATCCACACCAAAAACCCATCTGTACATCACCATCATCAAAGACCAAAAGTAGATAAAACCAGAAAGATGGGGAAAAAACAGAACAGAAAAACTGGAAACTCTAAAACGCAGAGCGCCTCTCTTCCTCCAAAGGAACGCAGTTCCTCACCAGCAACGGAACAAAGCTGGATGGAGAATGACTTTGACGAGCTGAGAGAAGAAGGCTTCAGACGATCAAATTACTCTGAGCTACGGGAGGACATTCAAACCAAAGGCAAAGAAGTTGAAAACTTTGAAAAAAATTTAGAAGACTGTATAACTAGAATAACCAATACAGAGAAGTGCTTAAAGGAGCTGATGGAGCTGAAAACCAAGGCTCAAGAACTACGTGAAGAATGCAGAAGCCTCAGGAGCCGATGAGATCAACTGGAAGAAAGGGTATCAGCGATGGAAGATGAAATGAATGAAATGAAGCGAGAAGGGAAGTTTAGAGAAAAAAGAATAAAAAGAAATGAGCAAAGCCTCCAAGAAATATGGGACTATGTGAAAAGACCAAATCTACGTCTGATTGCTGTACCTGAAAGTGATGGGGAGAATGGAACCAAGTTGGAAAACACTCTGCAGGATATTATCCAGGAGAACTTCCCCAATCTAGCAAGGCAGGCCAACATTCAGATTCAGGAAATACTGAGAATACCACAAAGATACTCCTCGAGAAGAGCAACTCCAAGACACATAATTGTCAGATTCACCAAAGTTGAAATGAAGGAAAAAATGTTAAGGGCAGCCAGAGAGAAAGGTCGGGTTACCCTCAAAGGGAAGCCCATCAGACTAACAGTGGATCTCTCGGCAGAAACCCTACAAGCCAGAAAAGAGTGGGGGCCAATATTCAACATTCTTAAAGAAAAGAATTTTCAACCCAGAATTTCATATCCAGCCAAACTAAGCTTCATAAGTGAAGGAGAAATAAAATACTTTACAGACAAGCAAATGCTGAGAGATTTTGTCACCACCAGGCCTGCCCTAAAAGAGCTCCTGAAGGAAGCGCTAAACACGGAAAGGAACAACCGGTACCAGCCGCTGCAAAATCATGCCAAAATGTAAAGACCATCGAGACTAGGAAGAAACTGCATCAACTAACAAGCAAAATCACCAGCTAACATCATAATGACAGGATCAAATTCACACATAACAATATTAACTTTAAATGTAAATGGACTAAATGCTCCAATTAAAAGACACAGACTGGCAAATTGGATAAAGAGTCAAGACCCATCAGTGTGCTGTATTCAGGAAACCCATATCACGTGCAGAGACACACATAGGCTCAAAATAAAAGGATGGAGGAAGATCTACCAAGCAAATGGAAAACAAAAAAAGGCAGGGGTTGCAATCCTAGTCTCTGATAAAACAGACTTTAAACCAACAAGGATCAAAAGAGACAAAGAAGGCCATTACATAATGGTAAAGGGATCAATTCAACAAGAAGAGCTAACTATCCTAAATATATATGCACCCAATACAGGAGCACCTAGATTGATAAAGCAAGTCCTGAGTGACCTACAAAGAGACTTAGACTCCCACACATTAATAATGGGAGACTTTAACACCCCACTGTCAACATTAGACAGATCAACGAGACAGAAAGTCAACAAGGATACCCAGGAATTCAACTCAGCTCTGCACCAAGTGGACCTAATAGACATCTACAGAACTCTCCACTCCAAATCAACAGAATATACATTTCTTTCAGCACCACACCACACCTATTCCAAAATCGACCACATACTTGGAAGTAAAGCTCTCCTCAGCAAATGTAAAAGAACAGAGATTATAACAAACTAGCTCTCAGACCACAGTGCAATCAAACTAGAACTCAGGATTAAGAATCTCACTCAAAACCGCTTAACAACATGGAAACTGAACAACCTGCTCCTGAGTGACTACTGGGTACTTAACGAAATGAAGGCAGAAATAAAGATGTTTTTTGAAACCAACGAGAACAAAGACACAACATACCAGAATCTCTGGGACACATTCAAAGCAGTGTGTAGAGGGAAATTTATAGCACTAAATGCCCACAAGAGAAAGCAGGAAAGATCCAAAATTGACACCCTAACATCACAATTAAAAGAACTAGAAAAGCAAGAGCAAACACATTCAAAAGCTAGCAGAAGGCAAGAAATAACTAAAATCAGAGCAGAACTGAAGGAAATAGAGACATAAAAAACCCTTCAAAAAATTAATGAATCCAGGAGCTGGTTTTTTGAAAGGATCAACAAAATTGATAGACTGCTAGCAAGACTAATAAAGAAAAAAAGAGAGAAGAATCAAATAGTTGCAATAAAAAATGATAAAGGGGATATCACCACCGATCCCACAGAAATACAAACTACCATCAGAGAATACTACAAACACCTCTATGCAAATAAACTAGAAAATCTAGAAGAAATGGATAAATTCCTCGACACATACACTCTCCCAAGACTAAACCAGGAAGAAGTCGAATCTCTGAATAGACCAATAACAGGAGCTGAAATTGTGGCAATAATCAATAGTTTACCAACCAAAAAGAGTCCAGGACCACATGGATTCACAGCCGAATTCTACCAGAGGTACAAGGAGGAACTGGTACCATTCCTTCTGAAACTATTCCAATCAATAGAAAAAGAGGGAATCCTCCCTAACTCATTTTATGAGGCCAGCATCATTCTGATACCAAAGCCGGGCAGAGACACAACCAAAAAAGAGAATTTTAGACCAATATCCTTGATGAACATTGATGCAAAAATCCTCAATAAAATACTGGCAAACCGAATCCAGCAGCACATCAAAAAGCTTATCCACCATGATCAAGTGGGCTTCATCCCTGGGATGCAAGGCTGGTTCAACATACGCAAATCAATAAATGTAATCCAGCATATAAACAGAGCCAAAGACAAAAACCACATGATTATCTCAATAGATGCAGAAAAAGCCTTTGACAAAATTCAACAACTCTTCATGCTAAAAACTCTCAATAAATTAGGTATTGATGGGATGTATTTCAAAATAATAAGAGCTATCTGTGACAAACCCACAGCCAATATCATACTGACTGGGCAAAAACTGGAAGCATTCCCTTTGAAAACTGGCACAAGACAGGGATGCCCTCTCTCACCACTCCTATTCAACATAGTGTTGGAAGTTCTGGCCAGGGCAATTAGGCAGGAGAAGGAAATAAAGGGTATTCAATTAGGAAAAGAGGAAGTCAAATTGTCCCTGTTTGCAGATGACATGACTGTATATCTAGAAAACCCCATTGTCTCAGCCCAAAATCTCCTTAAGCTGATAAGCAACTTCAGCAAACTCTCAGGATACAAAATCAATGTACAAAAATCACAAGCATTCTTATACACCAACAACAGACAAACAGAGAGCCAAATCATGAGTGAACTCCCATTCACAATTGCTTCAAAAAGAATAAAATACCTAGGAATCCAACTTACAAGGGATGTGAAGGACGTCTTCAAGGAGAACTACAAAGCACTGCTCAAGGAAATAAAAGAGGATACAAACAAATGGAAGAACATTCCATGCTCATGGGGAGGAAGAATCAATATCGTGAAAATGGCCATACTGCCCAAGGTAATTTACAGATTCAATGCCATCCCCATCAAGCTACCAATGACTTTCTTCACAGAATTGGGAAAAACTACTTTAAAGTTCATATGGAACCAAAAAAGAGCCCGCATCGCCAAGGCAATCCTAAGCCAAAAGAACAAAGCTGGAGGCATCACACTACCTGACTTCAAATTATACTACAAGGCTACAGTAACCAAAACAGCATGGTACTGGTACCAAAACAGAGATATACATCAATGGAACAGAACAGAGCCCTCAGAAATAACGCTGCATATCTACAACTATCTGATCTTTGACAAACCTGAGAAAAACAAGCAATGGGGAAAGGATTCCCTATTTAATAAATGGTGCTGGGAAAACTGGCTAGCCATATGTAGAAAGCTGAAACTGGATCCCTTCCTTACACCTTATACAAAAATCAATTCAAGATGGATTAAAGACTTAAACGTTAGACCTAAAACCATAAAAACTCTAGAAGAAAACCTAGGCATTACCATTCAGGACATAGGCATGGGCAAGGACTTCATGTCCAAAACACCAAAAGCAATGGCAACAAAAGCCAAAATTGACAAATGGGATCTAATTAAACTAAAGAGCTTCTGCACAGCAAAAGAAAGTACCATCAGAGTGAACAGGAAACCTACAAAATGGGAGAAAATTTTCACAACCTACTCATCTGACAAAGGGCTAATATCCAGAATCTACAATGAACTCAAACAAATTTACAAGAAAAAAACAAACAACCCCATCAAAAAGTGGGTGAAGGACATGAACAGACACTTCTCAAAAGAAGACATTTATGCAGCCAAAAAACACATGAAAAAAATGCTCATCATCACTGGCCATCAGAGAAATGCAAATCAAAACCACAGTGAGATACCATCTCACACCAGTTAGAATGGCAATCATTAAAAAGTCAGGAAACAACAGGTGCTGGAGAGGATGTGGAGAAATAGGAACACTTTTACACTGTTGGTGGGACTGTAAACTAGTTCAACCATTGTGGAAGTCAGTGTGGCGATTCCTCAGGGATCTAGAACTAGAAATACCATTTGACCCAGCCATCCCATTACTGGGTATATACCCAAAGGACTATAAATCTTGCTGCTATAAAGACAAATGCACACGTATGTTTATTGCGGCATTATTCACAATAGCAAAGACTTGGAACCAACCCAAATGTCCAACAATGATAGACTGGATTAAGAAAATGTGGCCCATATACACCATGGAATACTATGCAGCCATAAAAAATGATGAGTTCATGTCCTTTGTAGGGACATGGATGAAATTGGAAATCATCATCCTCAGTAAACTATCACAAGAACAAAAAACCAAACACTGCATATTCTCACTCATAGGTGGGAATTGAACAATGAGATCACATGGACACAGGAAGGGGAACATCACACTCTGGGGACTGTGGTGGGGTGGGGGGAGGGGGGAGGGATAGCATTGGGAGATATACCTAATGCTAGATGACGAGTTAGTGGGTGCAGCGCACCAGCATGGCACATGTATACATATGTAACTAACCTGCACAATGTGCACATGTACCCTAAAACTTAAAGTATAATAAAAAAAAAAGGAAAAAAAAAAAGAAAGTGACCATGAAAAATAAATTCGCTGGGGAGGGGGGCTCCATGCTGGTGTGGCCAAGGCTGAGAGCTCTCCCTTCTCTGTTACAAAAGGAGATAAGCAAGTGTTAGCATTGCCTTAAGTCCACACTGGCATCTCCCAGACCTTCTCCAGGGACAGAAGCAGGAGTAAGTTTCTCATCCCATGGGCGACCAGGGCCATCTCCTCCCACCAGTGGCCCCCACTCACAGGGAGCTGGCAATGCCCTACCTGCCTGTTCTCCAGATGGAGAAACAGGCTCTGAGAGTTCAGAGGTCTTGCCCAAAGTCATTGATTTTGATGATTAAAAAGAATAAACACAGTGTTTCCTGAGTAGCAGTGATTGTTATGCCTTGCTATTTTAATAAAGATTCTATTTTCGTAAAAAAAAAAAAAAGAAAAGAAATATCTCAGATGTTCACTATTTGAGAAATAGTACAGAATACTCTGCAGCAATTTTTTAAGTTGACATAAATCTGCAACATGGAATATGTACTGATGGAAAAAAGAAAGTTGCAGACCAGTATGTCCTGTAGTGTTTGATTAATGTTTATTCTTTAAAAATAATAAACCAATTGCATATGTATTCTATAGTTTTATATAATCTTTAGGTTTATATATAAATTGATACATTTACAGAAATATCTGGAAGGATTTATGGCAAACTAATTGCATTATTTCCTTTGTCAGGTACCTAAGATAGAAGTGGAGTAGGAGAACCCTAACTTTACTATATTGTTTAAAGTTTTTACAAGAAAAGTATATTTATGTATTACTTATGTAAGTAAAAATTAATTTCAAGGTAGATAGCAAAACAAAAAAAAAGACATAGAATGGGAAAGTTATGTTGAAACTACATTTCGAGGCATCTGATGTACCAAGATAAGAGTTTGCACTTAATTCTATAAGCAGCAAGAAGGTATGAAGTGTGAATGGTCATGACATGACCCAGTCTAGGCTATGATAGTGCCTCCTCCTATGGTTGTCATTGAGGATCGCGTAAGTAAACATAAATAAACCACCCAGACAGCATTTGACATATGGTGAGTACTTTGTAAGTGTTAACTACTGCTATTGTTTCCTTCCCTTTGCTCCAGCCACATGAGCCTTTTTTTAATCTCATGAATATGCCAAGTTATTTGAGGCCTCAAAGTTTTCATACATACTGTTCCTTATTATTTCTTTTTTCCCTCTCTTTCTCATCCTTCAGTGTTCAAATTAATATTACCAGCTCAGTGAGCCTTTCCCTTACCTGCACTTCTAAGTTGTTTCCCTGGCCCACTATGTGTGTCTGTGTCAAAGCATCCTGTTGGCTTTTATAGAACACTTGTCCCAATCTGTAATAAAGTCTGTGGAGAATAGGAATTGCTACTATTTATGGAGCACTTACTGTGTGCAGATATGTTTTTATGTGCTTTATATAAACTAATTCACTCCAACATCCTAATAACCGTTTTAAGATGGCATTAGTATTATTCTTATTTTACAGATAAAGAAACTTATGAATAAGATAGAAATTTGATCAAGATCACAGCCTGTAAGTGTCAGAGCTTGGATTCCAGCCATTAGTACACCATAATACTTATTGAATGATGAATCAATTATGAATACAAAGCACTTTATAGTACTCTTGATGTCCTCATAATTAATTAATCCCATACATAGTACAAGTTGTTTCAGAATAAATGGGAGTGATTAGCCTAACTGATAGAGTCTCTAAGGGTAGGTCATATCCCTTAGGAGAAGGAGGCAGCTATTTTCTATGGTGAGGCAGTAAATTGAGCTTTGTGAAGCAGGGCTGATGGCAGAGTTGCAAAAGAGGAGCAGAGTGTGCTGGCAGAGATGTAGGAAACTCACCAGGCTCCAGACCACATTACCTGGTTCTTCAGAGACGGCTCCCTGCCAAGCCCAGTCACAGCCAGAGCTCCAAGAAAGGAGTTCTGGAGCAGTGAGAACTGGCTGCCCTGAGAGGGATGCCAAGGAAGTAAGAAAAAAACAGCCCTTGACTCAGACCAGGGAGATTTCTGTTTAATCCTGGCCTTTAGAAGCAAGACCTCCCGGAAAACCACACCTTTCCCTGAGTCCCTGTTAGGTGAATCCCAGCAGCGGCGAGCCATGACTCTGTTGTTTGCAGATGTCAGGAGGAAAAATAACCCTAATATAAAGGCAGCTCAATTAACTATCTTCTCCTCCTGTGCCTGGCACCTTATGGGAGCTTTAGATAAATTATCTCCTTTAAATCTTTTAACAACTCTAGAGATTCCCGCAGCATTCATTTGCTCAATAAATAGGTATCAAGCACACGCTGTGTTGATGAAGTGGGCACTATTTTTAACTCTGTTTCACAGATGAGGAAAAAGAGATTTAGAGGGATTAAGTAACTTGCCCAACTTAGACATTGGCAGTTAGAACTTGAACTCAAATATACCTGATGCCAACCCCCCTTCCTTCCCTCTACTCTGAATTACCTTCTAAACTTGAAACCAGAATTTATTTCTATTTATGTATCAGGTACTGTACAATAATCATAATTAGGAATTATTCAATGAAATAATGGTTCCTTGCTGATAATAAATATTCAGTAAAGATTAGTTTGTGTTATTCTACATATTATATATTTATACATTGTGATGGTTAATCTAGGTGCCAGCTCGTCTAGGCCACAGTTCTCAGCTATTTGGTCAAACATATCTGGATGTTGCAGTGAAAGGATTCTTTAGATGAGAACAACACTTCAATCTGTAGACTTTGAGTGAAGCAATTTGCCTTCAGTCTTGTGGAAGGGCCTTATCTAATCAGCTAAGGGCCTTCAGAGGAAAAAGGATGAGGTCTCCCAAGGAAGAGAGAATTCTGCCAGTGGACCACCTTCAGATTCAAACTGCAATATCAGCTCTTCCCTGGGTCTCTAGCATGCCAGTTAACCTGGCAGGTTTTGGGTTTGCCAACTCCACAACCAAGTGACCAAATTCCCTAAAATCTCTCTCTGTGTCTCTGTGTATAGAGGTACAGATAAAAATAGAGGCAGAGATAGAGATATCTGTAGCCTGTAGATATACATCCTGTTGGTTCTATCATCAGAAGCTTCGCTACTACAAATATATATTCATAATAATAACAGTAATTGGATGAGCAGATAAAAGGAATGTCTATATGAGATGCAAAGAATGTATACTGCCTGAATTCTTCTAGAAATCCAGCTTCTAATGAAAAATATTGCCTATGATATTGCCTACAATTGTCACAAACAGGTCCCCTTGTATGAAAAGAGCTGATTTTCCTAATATAGTTACAAGATCCATATTTTTTTCTCAGACAGTCTCGCTATTGCCCAGACGAGAGTGCAGTAGTGCAAACACAGCTCACTGCAGCCTCAAACTCCTGGGTTCAAGTGATCCTCTCGCCTCATCCTCCAAAGTAGCTGGGCTTACAGGCATGCATCACCATTTCTCCTCTCCCTCCACATTTATTTCCCCATGCACAAATTGAAGACCTCATGACATTTGCATGACAAATGCAGGAATGAAGGAGGGGTGCACTCTCAGTCTGAGCAGGATGGCTGGCAACCTTGCAGGTAGCTGCAAAAGAGCACCTGTCTGAAAGCCAGGATCCCAGCATTGCCACCCACCAGCTGGGTAACCTGGGCCAGATCTCTTTCATGGTCTAAACTTTAGTTTCTTATGTACTAAACAAGCAATAATAGTCAATATTCTGAGGCTTATTGTAAAAATTAAAATAAAATCCCACATGGGATAGTATTTTCTGAATGGCAGTGTTTTCCTCAAAGAAAGAGCAGGCCAAGCTGAGGAGTGAATAGAAGCTGTTTCTGGGCTCGGGTCGGAGCAGGGTCAGCCCTGGCAGTGTTATGGGGTCAGTGCAGATGGTTCACAGCCACGGCTCATGTGCCTCGCGCTGCTAAACAGGGGAACATTGATCTGATCACAACCCCTTTGATGGCACTGCTTTCAGGTTCTGAAATACCCAGTCTCATTTTCCCTTCATAATAGCCCTCCAAGGGAGGCAGCCCAGGGAAGGGGGGATCCTCATGTCTACACCACAAGTTGGAGGCAGAGCAGAGCCCATGAGACTCAAAGCCCAGCATCTGTCCTCCTCAGCAGAAGGTAAGGGCACTGACGTTCAGAACTTAACCTCTTGACCGAGGGGCCAGTAGAGCAAAAGGACATCAGCCACAAACTCTCCCTCCAAAGTTGAGTGTCTCACCACTGCAGGGGAACTGGGAGACAGATAAAGACTGGAAGGAGAAATTAATTTGAAAGAACAGGAAAGCATCAGCCAGATCCTAATCAGAGAATCAGGCTGCTGGCAGAACTGCAAGTCATTTATCAAACGCCTCCTGAAACTCAATGTATCACTTTTCCTCTTATCTTAGGATTTGGGGGAAATGAAATACATTTTTATATGACAAAATTCAGCCACTAACTGACTCTATAACATTGAGCAAGTCATGGAGCCTCTCTGAGCATCTGTTTCTCTTCCTCAAAATAACAAAGTTGTACAAAATCAGAGTTTCCCAAACTTCAGGTATGAGATTTCTGGGATCATGAGTTTCCATACATAAGCACCACAGCTGCTATTTTTAACCTAATATTGCTTTTTGCAGGTATTTATTGTAAAAGGAAATGATCACCTCGTAAATGTAAAAGCACAACCTTTGGGGTTCATAATTTATTATAATGAATACATAGTTCTTGCAACTGAAAAAACTCTCACGTGCCAGGCTCCTTCAAGCATCCCTCAGACTCTCGTTGGAAAACTCTTGGCCTAGATGATCCCTGAAGGCCCTCCAGCCCTGGCATTCCACTGTGAAAATCCCAGATCCCTGGCAGCCTGGATAACCCCTGGGGAAGTTTTCTGACAGTGTGCATGAGATTAGCTCCCTCTGCATGTTCCTATCAAGGCATTTATTGTGCTTTTCTGTAACCCTAGTGAAGTCTGTCATCCCTGGTAAAGGCAGTGGCTGAGCGTATTGCCCATCACTGGGTTTGAGTAACGGTGCTGGCACAGTGAGCCACTTAATAATGTTACTTCACATCTCCAAGACTCAGTTCCTTTGTCCACAAAAATGAGGTTAATTGTTCTTCAGTAAATGGAATCTCAAAACCAAAAAAAATGTCAGAATTCACTTGGGTGGGGAAGGCGGAAGAGATGTAAAATGGTGGCCCAGAAATGTTGGAGTCAAGAGAAGAATTTGCCAATTGGAGGAGAGGAGCATGTTTAAAAGCAAAAGCAAAGAAGCCACCCCACTCATGGCACTCAGTATGATTATAATGACTCCAGCTGATACTTAGTTAGTGGTTACTATTGTGTGAAGTGCTTTTTAAGCTTGATTTTATTTAGTCCTCACAGTCATTATTATTCCCACTTTACACAAGAGGAAGTTACAGTCCATTGAGATGATGTGTCTTGTCCAAGAACACAACTAGAAAGTGGCAGAGCAGGGACTTGAACTCAAATGACTCCAGGAACCATGTTCTCATCCCCGATGGCAGGGGGTTACTGAAACAGGTTCTGTGATCACTACTCCTGCAGGTCCTGAGCTAGCTGCCCAGTCTGCTCCACAGGCTCTGTCACTTGTCCTATGACCAACTGAATAAGATTCCTGATAAGACATTCACAGCACAGGCCTTAGCTCTCTTGCAACAGTCAACTTCCTTTTGAGTCTTCTCCCCTCCTATCTTTTCCTTCTGATGCCTCATGAATGCATCAATAGATTAATGTACCCTGGCCACACTCTTCATTTTGTCACAGGAAGCCAGTACCCCTTCTCCTGCCAAGGAGTGGCAGTGACTCTGGGTGACCTATGCCAAAAGCAACTTGGTGGCTTCTTAATGGAGTTCCACAGTGGGGCTTCAAGGAAAGAGCCATGCCAAGAGAGGGAGTCTGCTTCATCTTTACTATACGGTCGGTAACTCGGAAATGACCAGCCTGTCTTACAGCTCTAGTGGAGGTCAAAGGAGAGAGAGTGAATAATATTCATGTACACACATGAAGTATACATGAAGTGTACCTGTCAACAAAATTCATATGTACAACGAAGAATTACACTAAAAACAATGCTTTTCTCCAGCACTTATAACTACCTCTTCTCCCTTCTTCTCTTCCATGGGTCCTTTCTTCCATTATTACTGATCTCCTGTTTCTGTCATTTTTATTTTGTCTCCCAAGTCCCTCTGAATTCCATCTCCTTCCTCTCCACCAATGCAAATTATAGGGCATCTTTAGGCCCTAAATCCAGTTGCTTGTTCTCTCTGATCCAACAGGTTGGGTCAGTGATTTGGCATGACTTGGAGTAGCCACCAGAGAAAAGAGACCTCTCACCTTAGTGCTTACTTACCTTGCCTTGGTCAAAACTGAGTCCTCATTACCTCTCTCTCTCTCCCAGAGATCTCCAACCATCCTGGGACAGGTAAAAGCTAAATGGGTCAGCATCTCCACAGTTAGTCTTCTCTGTTCACAAGCCTCTCACCAGGCATCCACGTCAGGGTGGCCATAGCTCTAAGGACCATTGCCCTCAGTTGGGTCTGCCCTGGGCCAGCCTGCAACTGCCCTACAAATGGGAAAATTATAGATGAGCCAGGAGACTGGAGCAGCAGGTCAAGGAGATAAGGGCTCTGAATGAAATATTCCTTGCCGAGGGCCAAGACTTTTCCATGATTCAAGATATCTCCACCCGAGCTCTTTTGCAACCCAGAATGAGGGGGATCAGAGTGTTCCCAACCCCACAGATTGTTGTCCTTGGCAGGAGCCATGGGATTGAAGCCTCCTCAGCAATGGCAAATTCAAGGGCATTAGACATTTAGCTGCATTTGGGGGACAACGGGCCAGGGCTCACCTGTCCCAGATGGGCAGTGATTATAAACCTGACGATAAATAAATGCTTTATCCTGAAGGAGCTTAACTCTGAGCTTTGAAATTTAATTCTTTATGCCTCTGCCACAGATCTTCTCCTCTCCCCTCTCTGGAAATGAAGGCTGTAGATTTTCTACAATATCAGGGAACCTGCCCCGATAGTCACATAGGTTCTTTTCTATTTTCCCTAAGCATCAGCTGGGTTGAGAAATAAAGGGACAGAGTACAAAAGAGAGAAATTTTAAAGCTGGGCATCCAGGGGAGACAGCACATGTCGGTAGGTTCCGTGATGCCCCCTGAGCCATAAAACCAGCAAGTTTTTATTAGGGACTTTCAAAAAGGGAGGGAGTGTATGAATAGGGTGCGGGTCATGAAGATCACTTACTTCACAAGGTAACAGAATATCACAAGGCAAATGGAGGCAGGGCGAGATCACAGGACCACAGGACTGGGGTGAAATTAAAATTGCCAACGAAGTTTCTGACACCACTGTCATTGATAACATCTTATCAGGAGACAGGATTTGAGAGCAACCGGTCTGACCAAAATTTATTAGGTGGGAATTTCCTCTTCCTAACAAGCCTGGGAGTGCTATGGGAGACTGGGGTTTATTTCATCCCTACAGTTTTGACCATAGAAGATGGCCACACCCAAGGGGGCCGTTTTAGAGACCCACCCTCAGGGGCGCATTCTCCTTCTCAGGGATGTCCCTTGCTGAGAAAAAGAATTCAGCGATATTTCTCCATTTGCTTTTGAAAGAAGAGAAATATGGCTCTGTTCCACCAGCCTCACCGGCGGTCAGAGTTTAAGGTTATCTCTCTTATTCTCTGAACATTGCTGTTATCCTGTTCTTTTTTCAAGGTGCCCAGATTTCATATTGTTCAAACACACATGCTCTACAATTTGTGCAGTTAACGTAATTATCACAGGGTCCTGAGGAAACATACATCATCCTCAGCTGACAGGATTAAGAGATTAAAGTAAAGACAGGCATAGGAAATCACAAGGGTATTGATTGGGGAAGTGATAAGTGTCCATGATATCTTCACAATTTATGTTTAGAGATTGCAGTAAAGACAGGCATAAGAAATTATAAAAGTATTAATTTGGGGAACTAATAAATGTCCATGAAATCTTCACAATCCATATTCTTCTCCCATGGCTTCAGCCAGTCCCTCCATTCGGGGTCCCTGACCTCCCGCAACATACAAAGCTGGATTCCAGGTGTTTTCAATTCATTATTTAATTAATCAGTCTGCAAAGTATATAGTTAGGTATGCCCATCATTTAGGAAAATTAACACACAAGAACCAAAGAACTATACTTTGGTATAGAAATTCACATTACAAATGGGGCTTCTTTAAAGTGAGAGCCCTAAGTATACTCAGGATATGATTTGAATTGTAAAATATCTTTGCTTAACCACAACTCTTTTGGAATACACATAGAGCACACAATGAAGGCCAGTTCAAAGCCTGAGTGTCACAGATCCTTTCTACAAGACGATCTAGGGAAATGGTTCCCAGACCTCAGCATGCATCAGAGTCACCTAGACAGCTCATTAACATGCAGATTCCTGGGCCCTCCTCCAGAGCTGCCTTATCATTATCTCTGGGGGTGGAGCCCAGTAGTTTCTCTACTTAAGCAACTCTCCAGGTGACTGGATGCAGGCAGTCCAAGAGCCACACCTGTGCTAGGTCTTAAAGCTGCAGTACTCCTATGCCTGGAACAAAGCCACCCCACAGCTCCTGGCCCATTGCTCAGTGTGAGGCCATCCATGTGGAAGCCCCCTTTCACTCAAGAGCTGGACCCCAGGCTCCTTTGACACCAGCTGCAAATGCCACACACCAGCTGCCCCAGATAGCTCAGGTACAAGCCCCTCCTAATCAAAACCTCAGGCTTGAAATGCGTGCACAATTACACAGATGGCAAAGCAGAAGGCCACAGGGGAGACGGGACTCACCCAGCAGCAGTGGGCAAGCCAGAGAGCCATGTGGGGCAGAAGGTCTGCTCTTCTGGTCCCTCTGCCAGCCCTGCACAGCCTCCAGGTTTCTGCTACATGGCTCTTCCTCTCAGGATGAACTTGAGAATGAATTAGGTGTTCCTGTTATTATCTGTCTCCAAACATTGTCTTTCTCCTTCACACCAATCACAGTTGGTAGCTATGTAGTATTTTTTGACATTTGTCTTTCTAACTAGACGATGGACTTATTGAGACAGGAGCCTGTTTTGTACCCCAGAGTGTCTAGCACCTAAACAGTGCCCAGCGCATAGTAGAAAGTCAATAAATATGGACAGACAGAAGTTAAAATGATCTCTTCTACATAATAGAAAATAGAAATATTGAAAAAAAAAAAAAAAGAGAGAGAGGTTTGTCATGGCTAGAAACAAGTCTATGCCATGAAGCCCTGGGAGGCAGAGGGAACTTGCTCTCCCTCAGGCCTCAGTGTCCAGACTGAACTAAACAGTCTCTCCCTAGCCTTCCAACTCATAACAGTCTATAGACTTTAAAGAATGGATTGAATAGAAAATGACTGAACATTAGACTTCCACCTCTCTACAGGGGGTTGGGGTCCTAGAGGCCACCCGGCTTTATGGCTTCCCAGCTCCCTCTAGTGGCCAGGGCCATGTTACACTACAATTTTGTGATGGTCTTTGCTTATCAAATTGAGCTGCAATCAGTTATTTAGCTGAGTTAATAAATGAGTGTTATTAAACTGAGTTTAAGTTAGTTTAGAGGTCTGGCTTGAATATAATTAGTAACTTACATACATGTGGAGAGTATTAAACCCATTGAGTTCGTCGTTTATTAATTCAGCATCTCATGGCCCAGTGCCTAATCTATACCTGGGACAGTGCCAGGTGAAAGGATATAGCAATGAGCATGTCAGGGATCTCCACTGCCCATGGTGCTTATATCCTAGGGAGGGAAGGAGATATTCAGAAATTATGCAAAAGTGAGGTGTACACCAGTGGGGTGAGAGTCAAGAAGGAAATATGCAGAGCATTCATGTAGAATACAAGTGGTGGCCCCTCTTCAGGAAGGCTTCTCTGAAGAAACAACGTTTCAGCTTGGGTTTGAAACATGAGGAATAATTATCAAGGCAAAAGTGGGGAGACGGATTGGAAGGAAGGAAAAGGCAAGGAACTCTAGGCAAGAAAGAGCCCCATGAGCTTGAGGTAGTGACAGCGGGCCAGGGTTGCCTGGGTAATGAGCAGAAGACAAGGCTGAAGAAGTAGGTGGTGTTATTATTCCCATCAGTTTCCCACTAATGTGGAAACTGAGGCCCGGAGATGTGACATGAGCTGGTCATAGTGATGCAGCTTCTGGGTAGTGATAGAGAAAAGGGGGCCTGGGGCAGCCAGAGTGGATACTGCAGGATGGAAAGAGCTGGGCCAGGGAGACAGAGGCATGGGGTGGTTTGTGGGAGGGAGGGGGGCACACAGTTCCCAGTGTTCAGACAGCAGTTCTGGGAGGGATTCAGCGGTCATCTAGGCCTCCTTGTCCATGTGCCAGGGGAGAAAGCAGTGAACAGCAAATCTCCTTCACCCACATCCCCAGTACCCAGGCCTGCAGCAGCTGGGTCTGCATCACTGCTCCCCAGAGACACTCCCACCAGGCTCCCGCAGCCTCATGCAAAGCCCCAGTTCCCGTGAGCACCTCCATCTCTCATCCAAACTGTCCTCTCTCAGCCCATGGGCTCTTCAGTCCCAGGCTCTGTTGCCATCACCCTAGGGAGCAGTCCTCAGGAATGAGCTGTGCATGACGGGACCCTGCCCTCCCTGCCACCACCCCCACCCCGCTGCTGCCACTCTGAACTCCTGCCATGTCTCTCCTTTTGAGGTCTGCCCACTGACTGTTCTCCTCCTTCATACCACATTTCCCCATCTCCTAGCCTGGCTCATCCTCCAGATCTTGGCTTAGACATCCCTTCTTCCAGAAGCCAGCACCACTCTCCCTGGAACTCCTCTTCTGAATCCCCCTGGAGCACTGATCACACTGCATATTGGTTTCCTATTTCCTTGTCCACCTCCCCAGCTAAACTTGAGCACCCCCAGGTCAAGGACTACGTCTATCCCATTTTCTCCTATGTCCCAAGCAGCTAACACGGTGCCTGGCACTTAGAAAGTGCCCAGAACTATTTCTTAAATAAATGAATGAATTAAAATAAATGACTCTAAGCTGAGCCACCTGCTTTTTACCACCAGGCATTGTGTTTCTCATCTCCATCTGCCCATCAACCTCTGCCTTCATTATGTCTAACAAGGGGTTCCCTACTGCTGTAAAATAAAGAAAGCAGTCTGCCTCAGCCCAGACAGTGACTGGTCAGTCCTACTCATGGCAACTGCTGGTGTCCCCTAACTTCCCAGGAGAAAGTGCAGTCAGAAGCAATAAGGAGTTGTCTACATTTCAGGCTTGTTAGACATTCTCTCCCCCCAAAACGTGTTTTCCTGGTGACTAGGAATGCATTTCAAAGTTAGATTTTTTTTTTTTTTTACCAATTTATACAGCATTCTGAGGCTTGGCTTCCTCTGAGTGAGGCTCCAAATCATTAGAGACCCCGTGGCTAAAAACCCCATAGGAGACATCTTGTGCAGGGTAACCCCAATATGAACAAGCTTATTCTTCAGCTTGCATGCAAATGAGATCCTGGTGGTTCTGTTCAATCAATGGCATCTAGGTATTGAAGACATACTATGTGCCAGTCTGCATCAAATGATTCTGATCTGTGGAGAAGAGTCAGCTTTATCCCTGCCTTTCACAGAAGTGGCCTTCTAGCAGGAATTGTAGAATTAAGCAACTTATTACAATTATTCAATGACATGCAATGAGATGCAAGCTGAGGAGGATCCCTGAGCACCCTGAAGCTCCCTAGAGTGATGGCAACAGAGCCTGGGACTGAAGTACCTATGGGCTGAGAGAGGACAGTTTGGATGAGAGGTGGAGGTGCTAGGTGCCAAGATAGCTCAGCCTGAGTGTCCTGGCCTGAGTCAAAGTGGCTGCCCTAAAGCTGTGACCTTTGGCCTGAGAGCTAAAGGATGTGTAGGTGTTCACCAGGCTAAGGAAGGGAGAGAGTGTGTGCAGATGCAATGTGTGTGTGCACAGGTATATGTGTGTGCATGTATGTGTGTGCATATGCATGTGAGCATGTGTATGCTACAAGTGTATTGTGTGTGACGCATGTGTCCATGCATGTGTGTGCATGTGTAAGAGCATCTGTATGCCACAAGTATGTTGTTTGTGCATGTGTATGTTACAAGTGCATGTGTGTGTGGGTTGCAGATGCATGTATGAAAACATAGATGCCACGAGTATATTGTCCATATGTGTATGTCCATGTGAGAGCATATGCAGGTGCATGTATGTGAGCATGTGTGTACAAGTATATTGTGTGTACATGTGTGTGCACGTGTGTATGAGTGTACATATGCCACAAGTACATGTGCGTGCAGGTTTCAGGAGCATGTATGTGTGTATGTGTTTGTGTGTCCCAAGTGCCTGCGTACCACTTATAGACACTCTTCAGCCTTTACATCTCCTTCCTATCACAAGGCAGTCATTGCGAAGTGGATTTCAAGCCTTCTCCATATGGTGCAGTGTTTCCAAGCCTCTTTTGGATCATGGATCATTTCAATTAACAACATAACAACAACAGCTATTCCATATTAACTGCATGGCAGTCATTGTGCCAGACATTTAATGTGTGTTCTCTCATTTTCTTCTCCAGCAAACCCAAGAGGCAGGCCTATGGTTATTGTTCCATTCTACAGAAGAAGAAACACAGGCTCAGGGAGAGGAAGGCTCTTTCCCATGGTGGCCCTGAGCACAGGTCTGTATGATCCAAAGTATATGCTCTAATCCACTAAACTCTTTCCTGCCACCAGAGCAAGTGACACACCAGATTGACCTTATAGCAGGTCCCCCTCCCACTGTTAACTACAACATTCTCCTAGCAGTGAATGAAAAGTATTCAATGAAGTTCTGTTCCAGCTCAACCACTGATTCACTGTGTGACACTGGAAAAGTCCCCCATTCTTTGTTGCCCTGGAGCTTGCTGAGCTCTATCACTCTACATGAAGCGCTTAACACCACCATCCACAGATGGCAGGCAGGTTAAATAATCTCATGAAATCCCTGTTTCCTCATCGCTAAAATGGAGCTAACAATGGTGCACTCCTGATAGTACTGTGGAGGGATTGACCAAGCTCATGTGTGAAGAATGCTCAGCCCTGTGACTGCCTCACAATGTATGCCCAATAAACTGCAGCTGTCGCTGATGCTGAGAACACAGGAGAGCCAGAGAGCTGAGAGCACCAGCTTGGGAATCAAGTGGACCTGGATTCAAATGATTAAAATGCTCACTTTGCCTTCTAATGGCCGCGTGACCTTGGCAAAAGTTATTTAGCTGTCAACTTTTCCTTGCTTGTAAAATAGGAATTAAAATAGCACCTACTTCATAGGTGTGTTTGAGGAATACATGAGATAATACACATAGCATTGCCCTATGAATGTTAGTTAACATCATTACTATTTGCACACATTGAGTAATATTATAAATAAGGATTATGTGGGGTCTAATTTTGTTCCAGTTCAAGGTTTTAGAAAAAAATAAATAGAGGTATCTGGTTTGGTCAGATTTACTAGACATTGTACTGTTTGTAAAAAATTTAAAAGAAAAAAAAAAACCGGACCTGTCTCATGGGTCAATAGAAAGTCAATTTCCTTTTGGCTGAGGCCAGCGATTCTGTGCAGTTTATTCTGGTGCTGGCTGGCGGTTTGGTTAGGTTCAAGGCCATGACCATGAGTAAGTGATTCACTCTTGCCAAAAACTGCAATCATGGTCATATTCTAAATATTTATACTAAAAGAAACCAAACCTGCTCCACCTTTAGGGGTCACAGGCACCACTCCCTCACATACTGGAGTTCATTCATTCATCCAACTCAGGCTTATTAACCATTCACCTCATGCCAGACACCAGGCACTGGTCATGCTGGTGGCTAATGGGACAGAAACCTGCTAGCAGCTTTGGCCAATTTTGGAGAAACAACCGAATCAGGGCCCTCAATGATGGTAGCTGCACCTGGGCTGTGCAGGCTCCTACAGAGAATGCAGGCCATCTGTTTGGTGCATATCACAATGTGGTCTGTTCCAGCTGGGAAAGGCACTTGGGGATCATCTCAGGCAACACACACCCTTTACAGCCACTGAGATCTCACAGCTGAGCTAAGATCCTGCTATTCTGACTCCTAGATCAGCACCTCTCCCTCCCTCCTAGATGCCCCAAGATTTCCTCCACTTCATACAGAGCAGGCGGTCTCCAGACATTTTAGCTCACAAACGACTTCAAACATAGTGGTAATGAGAATTGAAAAAGTAATACCACTCGTAACAGTATCTTTCACTTACTGGGTGATTTCTGGGTGTCAGATTCTTCGTTAAACATTTTATATGGTATGCCTCATCTAACATTCAAAGAACATTATTGGTTAGGTCATTATTATCCCATTGTACAGAAGAGGACACTGAGGTTCAGAGAGGAGAAGGGATTTTCCTATGTTAACACAGCTAGAAGTTGCAGAACTTAACTTCATCTGACTCCAAACCCAGTGCACACCGCCACCACACAATATCCCCTCAGTGGGATGCACAGCACAAGGGACCTGCCCTCCTGTATCCTCCTCCTGTGCTTACCTGGCCAGCAACAGTTTGATGTCTGCAGCTAGGAGGGAGGAAGAAAGAGCAGCAGGTGGGCAGAAAAGAGGCTTCAAATCTAGTCCTTGGCTTTAGCACCCACTAAAATCCAGGACTATAACGAGCTTAAGGATGATGAAGAAAGACAGCAGTGGAGAGCACACTGGTGAGGAGATGGATGGGTGGGTCTACAGACTGTTCCAGTGTCTGCTCCAGGTGAAGGGTGGCACCAGGTGCTGGAAGAATACCTGTGTCATGTGACCTGGGGCAAACCATTTCCTATCTACTAGAGAGGGAGCACAGGATAACAATTAAGCCTGTAGCCTCTGAAGCCAGACAACCTAGGATGAAACCCTAGCTCTGTCTCTTACCAGGTGTGTGACTTCATACAGTATTTAGCATACTGGGCGTTAGCTTCCTCTTCTGTAAAATGGGCATAATAATACCTGTCTCATAGTATCATTATGAAAACTAAATGAGTTAATACACAGAATGCCCTCAGGACAGTACCTAACACACAGTAAGAACTATATGCATTTTTGCTAAATGTTTAAAAATTATGTAAACTAGAGGTTATAGTACCCAACTGTTTGAATTAAGATGCTTTTGGCTGCAAAGTAACGGAATATCTGATCCTAAGTGGTTTTAACAGAAAGTTTTTATTAGTATTAGTTTCTCATTAGTATAATGAGAATCGTCCAAATGGAGATGGTTCCAGGCTCAGGGATGTCCCAGGAGCTCAGGATCTTCTTATCTCTCACCCTCCCTTTGACTGTCTTCCACAAGTCATTTCCCATCCTGGCCCAAGATGGCTGCCACAGCTCCAAATATCACATCCCATTACCACAAAGCCAAGTATCACATCCAAATGTCACAAAGCTACATCTAGAAACAGAAAGTAAGGAATAGGGAATCTCTCTTGCACTATTGCTGTCTTATGAAAGAGAAACTATTTCCTAGAAGCCTCTCTGAAGACTTCCTTTTTCTGTCATTAGCCAGAACAGGGTCATGTGACCACCTCCAGGCCCTGTAGAAGGCTAGCAAAGCAATATCCTGGCATTTCTGTCACAATATAGAGCTGGGCTCCACAGCAAAGAAGATGGGAGGAAGAAGAGTAGTTGAATAGGCAATCAGCAAGCCTTGCAAGATAGTCTTGAGAAGGAAATGTGGGGAAAAGTGCAGGAACACTGTGAAAGAGTTAACCACTTCCACTGTACCTATGTAAGACATTGTTCTCAGAAATAATCATATCAATAGCAATGCTTCTCCCTGTGGGTTAGAGGTAGAGTCTATAGAAATGCAGGATGCCCCATCTCTACTAAAATACACAAAAATTAGCTGGGCGTGGCGGCATGCACCTGTAATCCCAGTTACTTGGGAGGCTGAGGTAGGAGAATTGCTTGAACCTGGGAGGTGGAGGTTGCAATGAGCCGAGATCGCACCATTGCACTCCAGCCTGGGTGACAGAGAAAGACTCCGTCTCAAACAAACAAAAATAGAAATGCAGGATGCCAATAATTCTAGGTTGTCCTGTTCTTTCCCCATGGATATGGCAGGCAAGGGAAAAATAAAAGGAAACCGACTGCCCTGACACTAAAACTGACGTTGTATGGCCTCATAATAACCCAGGCCTGGAAAACAATAGACCACCAACTTCCCCTCTCATTTTGGTGGATTATAAATAAAGCCTGGAGGGAAAGTAATGAAATTAGTTTAAGAACAGTGATAGGATTCCTCTGGCCAGGTGCAGTGGCTCACGCCTGTAATCCCAGCACTTTGGGAGGCCGAGGCGGGCGGATCACAAGGTCAGGAGATCGAGACCATCCTGGCTAACACGGTGAAACCCCGTCTCTACTAAAAATACAAAAAATTAGCTGGGTGCTGTGGCGGGCGCCTGTAGTCCCAGCTACTTGGGAGGCTGAGGCAGGAGAAGGGTGTGAACCCGGGAGGCAGAGCTTGCAGTGAGCCGAGATAGTGCCACTGCAGTCTGGCCTGGGCGAAAGAGCCAGACTCTGTCTCAAAAAAAAAAAAAAAAGGATTCCTCTGAAAGCAGAAAACCTTTATTTAGAAAATACCTTGTGGGCCATTCTGTAGTGAAAAGTCAGCCCTCTGCCCATAGTCTAGATCTGAGCTCGGCAAACATTTTCTCTAAAGGGCCACATAATAAATACTGTAGAATTTTCAGGCAATATGGCCCCTGCCACAACTACTCTACTCTGGGTAGTATAGGCAATGACAATGTGTCAACAAATGAGTGTGGCTGCATTCCAGTAAAACTTTATTTTTTTAATTTTTCACTTTTTACTTTTGAGAAGGAGTCTCACTCTGTCACCCAGGCCGGAGTGCAGTGGCATGATCTCAGCTCACTGCAACCTCCATCTCCCGGGTTCAAGCGATTCTCCTGCCTCAGCCTCCCGAGTAGCTGGGACTACAGGCATGCTCCCTTCCCACTTTCCCCTGTTTGTCACCCCACTTCTCAACCGCTCCCTGATTTTTGTATTTTTAGTAGAGATGGGGTTTCACCATGATGGTCAGGCTAGTCTCGAACTCCTGACCTCGTGATCCACCCGCCTCGGCCTCCCAAAGTGCTGGGATTACAGGCATGAGCCACCATGCCCGGCCATAAAACTTTATTTATAGAAACAGGTGGAGGGCCACATTTGGCCCACGGACAGCAGTTTGCCAACCCTGGTTCTACATGACAAGTTACGTAAGACAACAACCTAAGCCAAGGGACTCAAACTCTAGTGCCCATGGGGCTGGAGAGGTAAAGAAGTAAAGCAGGCTGGGTGGGGACTGTGACATGTGGAGAACATATGACTCATGGAAAGGAGGCAGTTGCAAAAACCAATGTAATAAGACCCTCCAGTATTTTAGGAAAACCAGAAATGCAAATATTAAGGGCATCTTCTCATTTTTAAATATTGGCACGCATTCAAAATTTTAAACCTGGTGCAGACCTAATTGAAAAAAAAAATCTGGGGGCCAGCACAGTTTAGCGGCAGCCAGTGTGTGTCCTCTGGCCCAGATCACCCTTCCTGAGCAATGTGCTATGACAACGGAGTACACATGACACATTTGAGTGGCATGATCCAGGAAACTTAGCCCAACGCCAGTCTGACCTATTGCTAATGGAATGCATAACTGCCGCCGTCCTGCCCAGTGGCCGGGCATGTGGGAGACCATTCGCATGCATGACTGCAATGAGCTGCACGTGCACAGCTACTCCAAGTCTGGACCGTAATTCTCTCCCTGCCTCACTAGTCTTCTGCTTTCTATAAGCAGTGTTGGCATAATCAGTGCCCTGTGACATCAGATGCCATGTAATATTCATCATACGGACCCTCCTGACATACTTCAGAGAAGCAATGAGATCATATGAAAGGGACTTAACAAGCCATGAAACCACACAGACATCAAATGGATTGGTTTCTGGCTTCCCCAGCCCCAAGCATAAATTCAAATCTTCCAATAATGAGTATATTCTTTAGAGAGATCCAAAAAACCCCAGAAGCATGACAAACAGGACAGACACAAAGCAGAAGGACTCTCAACCAGATTTCCTCCTGGTACAAAGGCCCTTAAGCTGTGTCCAACGCTGCCCTGCGGAAGCCCAGGCGCCACTGAAAGGCCCCGGGCTGCAGACAGCTCAGCTTGGGACATTCTGTCCTTGGCTGTATTTCAGCCTGTGTTCTCACCTGTTCACTGACTTCTTTGCCTCTCCCTCCAGTTCCTGTAAATCTACAGCATCCTCAGTATTTGCCTTGAGCTTCTCTCTCACTTGGTTCAGCTCTATACCTTCCTGCCTTCTGCCCTATTTGCCTAGGTCCTCCACTTCAAAGGTTGCACTGACCTGCCTTTTCTGATGTCTCTGGACATGCTCCACCTTCAGACCCTCAGCTCCACCGAGACCACCAGCATCAGGCTCCAGCCCATCCTGTGCAAGGCCTCCCCTTTTTTAAGGAGCTAGTTTGATGTCTGCTCATCTTACCAAGGGCCCTACACCCACATCCATAACTTGCTAGTGAAGACATCAACCTAGGTGCCACCTATTTGGGTCGCAAAGATTCCCTCTCACCTCATCTCTGAAGATCACTGAAAACCACTCTTTTGATTCCCTCAGCTATATATTGGGGGTGGAGAAAGGGAGGGATGAGAGAAAGAAAGAGAGAGAGAAAAAAACAATGCAAACTTCCTACCACAAATGATGTTCACCCCATGTCCACTGAATCCTATTCTGTTCAAATTGGGTGCTGAGCCAGCAGTTTTCTAATGGCTCCTCAAGTCTTGTGATTTTTTTCAGGTTTTTCAGGGACCCAGGTAGGAGGGTTAAGGGGGATGCTGCATATCAGAGGTGACTTCAGCAGAACAGCTCCATCGGATCTGTTTTGTATACCATAGTCCTGCATGAAACTATTGTTTGAAAAACTTATTCCACCACTAAAAAATTAAAATTTCTGTGTTAGCCACTGTGACCAGGAGCAGATGGAGCAAGGCAAGCTCCCTTACTGAAGAAGCCCATAGGATAAACTTGAGGTAAGCAATATTTTTGGCATAGGGCAATTTGGAAAGTATTGGGCTAAATTTTTGTTTATAATGAAAAGTAACTTATTGAGTCTCACATTAGGTGTGTCTGTTCCCACAATTTAAGTTATCTACTTTGTTGAATAGAAGAATAACATCAAGGAAGTATTACTTTTTATATGCTTAAGTATGAATGTCTGTTTCCATTTTCCCAGTGGTGATATGGGGGGAAATTTCTAATCTTTCCTTCTGAATTTAGACAATGAAGCATTTCTCAGAGGTGTCATGAGGGCCTGCTCATCACTTGCTTAGTGCATAGACCCTTGGGGGCATCTCCAGAGGATTGCCAACAGGGCAAAACCTCTTAAAGCAGTGCCCAAGCTCCTGTTTTCTTCACTTCATTGTTCAAATTCATATTTCTCCCATGTGGTTTGTAGATACCTCCTAGGGGTTGGTAAGTCCCAATGAGTCTTATGGACAAGTGAGCAGACTAGGCTAGCAGTGGCCAAACAATACGGAGCCTGCAGGGAGAGTTGTGTTCTGTCAGCTGAGCTCAAAGTCTAAAAGCCCTCGCACACCCTCAGCTGACAGTTCAGGCAGTGACAGCTCATTCGGGAAGGAGATTTGCAGTTGTGAACACTGACCAGCTCTAAAAGAATAGAAAAGTAATTAATCATATCATTTTAGAGCTGTGCATTCTCAGACTCTCAGAATCAGAGCCTCTTAGAACCTCAGGCCCGGGAGAAAGCAGAGAGGCTCCAATATTGCATAATGGTTAAGTTCACCAGCTTTGAGTCAGATAGACCTGAACTTGAGACCACTCAAGGACTCTACCTAAAAGGAAATTTACTAGAGGACATGGGACAACTCGCAATAAGGAAGATAAGGTGTAAAACAAACTCAAAGCAGGCAGCAGAAGTTGCAGCAAACTGGCCCACGAACCAGGGCTGTAATCAATTCATCCTGAGCATTTCATCAGCTCTCACACATAGGTTCAGGATTCCAAGTCCTGGGCAAAAGATTCCAATCTTTTCCCTTGTCTCCCCAGGGAGGTTTGAAGAAAGTTTCAGGCATCATAATGGGAGGGGAAAACATCTTGGTTTACCATGCCAACAAAACCATAAACACTAAGGGTGAGGCTCCCAAAGGAAAGCCAGGGGCTGTGGGGAGGTGAGAATGGCTGCCTGGGAGCATAAACAACAGAGATCTACTATCCTGCACCTGCCACAGTGTTGCTCAGAGGACAGACAGAAATGCTCCACACCACGGCCTTAGCATACTTTGGGACACAAAAAAAGGGCCTCCATAAACATGAGTGCCTTCATTTACAACTCATGCTCCTGCATGGAGCTAGATCCCCTCTAGAGCACACCTGTTGAAGCAATTGCCACTAACTGAGACTCCTTCCCCTTTGTAATCATGTCGCCTAAGTTACCCTGAATGCAGAGGCCATTTGCTTGGAGAACTTTAAGAGATTTTATTCATCATGTGGATGGCCCATGCCACTGAGAGTCCAACAGTAAATATATTGGACCAAACCTGGCTCAGAAAAAGGCTCCCTCCACTGGGACTCAGAAAAAGACTCTCCTTCCCTCATCCTCCCTTAGGATTCCAATATCCTCCTTTAGGATATTGGTATAGGGAATGTATTCACTTCCCTATTACAATATCATAAGGGAAGGAAAGTCTTTTTCTGAGTCCCAACGGAGGGGGTCTTTTTTGATTGGAATAGGGAATACATTCCCTATTCCAGTAACCTAAGTAGTGTCCCCCTCCAGGTTCATTAGACTGAGTGAAGTGTTGGGTTCTGGCAGTTTAGCTTCACACACACTCTTAGGTCAGGAGAGAAAATAAAGGCAACACAGCCTCAGAGACCTAATATTTTGTCTTAATATTCCACTAGGTCAGGAGGAGCCTCCTTGGATGCTCATGCCAAACCTCAAAAACTCTAAAAATGCGTGCCAAATAGGGGGACAGTCTCTTGCTTCACATTTCCAACTATGGCCCTATTAAAGGGCTGCTGCAAATATCTGGGGTCTGAAGCCATGTTTGCTTAGCCTGAGGCATATCCTAAGTTCAAAATCAATTGTGCAGAAAAGGGAGGGCCAATGGAAAGTCAGTCAGCTGCTGTCTAGCAAGTCAATGCCACCCTGCCCTGAAGGACATCAGCTGGCCTGACGGGGGCAGAGCTACAGCATTGTCTCTGAGCTTATTTCCATCTCTATTCTGATGTTAGATGGGAGTATCAATATCATAGCTCAACAACGCTCATCTTCAGCCTGGACTCCTCTAGCTCCCTCCCGCTAAGGCAGCCAATCCTAACATGAGCTCATCAACAAACATACACTAAGACCCACTAGAAGCCAGTTGCCATGTGAGGGGTTAAATAATAATAGCTATAGTTTATGGACTGTCTCCTACAGGTGGGACACAGCTTCCAATGCTTTACCCACATTGTCTCAATTCATCATCACAATGGCCCTGTTACTTTCCTCTTTCTGTAATAACTATTCATGCTGTTTGAATCACTGGGAGGTTTTTCATTGCATTGCACAGAATTCTGTTTTCCTTTTTGCTTTTTTTGTTTGTCTTTTGCCCTCAGAAAAGGCTAATAAATTCAACCAAATGGCTGGAGTTGGAGGGAGGAAGCAGGGATGACCTTGTCTGAAAGATGGTCTCAAACCCCTTCTCCTGCCTCTATCCAAAGACAAGCCTTCACCTGAAATATGAAGTGAGGCTGATGAGAAAGTCCAGTCTCTGCCTGTGTTTCACCATCTCCAGTTTCAGAGGCAGCAGCTTCAAACTACTGCTGGAAATCAGAGCCAACTAGGGCCCCAGGGGAAGAAGGAAAGAGAACACAGATTCACCTGAATGAAGGTCAGTGATGGCTCCCCCTGAGTCTGGCAATCTCTCCTGGACCTGAGGAGACCACCTGGTCCCTCAGATCCCCCTGCAGGGGCAGGAATGTCTGAGCCAGGGCATTGTTTCTGTGGAATCTTCCCACCAATGAATCTCCCAGCAGGACCAACTGTTTGGCTGTATTTAAACTGTCATTTAGCCAAGGCAGTTTGCTGGCACACCCAACTTCAACCCAGCAAGCACAACAGGTCTGCAGCTCGCGCCAAAGCTTGTTTAAACATCATTTGAACCAAACAGCCAGTCAATTTAAAAATACTCCAAGCCAAAAGCCAATGAGATTTGAAAACAAGAAAAACTGAAAATGAAAATAAAAGGGAAATATATGAATTTATGTATGTACTCATTTATTTATTAGTTAAACATTGCCTTTTTCCAGAGAGAATCTAAGATGTCAAAGGCCAAGTTGTTTTTTAAAATAAAACAGTACTAGATATGTTCTGTAAATTTCAATGATATCACAAAAATTCAACTTGGGTAAACATTTAAAACACAAAGTGTGTGTGTGTGTGTGCACGTGTGTGTGTGTGCATGTATGTGCGTGTGTTTTAACAGATGAGGAAATTGAAGCTCAGGGAGATTAAGGCCCTTGCCAGAGTCACACAGCAGTGAATGGTAACATAAGGACTGTCCCAAGTCCTCTGCTATGTGTATGGATGCGCACGCACCTACCTATACTTGCTGAGGCCACACTCTTGTTTCAGGCCCAACAGGGTCTGGAATATAAGGGTTTTTCTTCTCTTTTGCTCCCAAACATAAAAGGGATGTCATATCTCATTTTCACCTGAGTCATGCATTTATTCCTTCAGAATCATTTATTGAAGTCCAGCCACATGCCACCCACTGAACTGGACATTTGGGATACAGTGGCCAAAAAGCCACATACAATTGCTGTGCACACAGAGCTTACATTTAAGACAGCTTGGAAGCCAGCAGCGTGTGCTCTGTACTGAAACTGGGGCATTCATATTTATAAGCCCTCTGAGCCAGAAAAACATTTAGAGGTCACCTAGACCAGGGTTTCCCAAAGTCCAACCATTCAGGTACCAACCCCACAGTTTTTGTCATATGTCAATAACACTTTCATATATGTCTTCAAGTGTTCTCATCTACATAAACACATCTGTTTTCAGAGAAAGCCCTCTATCACTGCTGTAAACAGAAAACTGGAATCACTTGTCTAAAATAAAAGGTAACCATAAAAATAAGTAAAACAAAGACAAAACAATATGATTAAATTATCAGCTAAGCACAGTGGCTCCTGCCTGTAATCCCAGCACTTTGGGAGGCAGAGGCGGGTGGATCACCTGAGATCAGGAGTTCGAGACTAGCCTGGCCAACATGATGAAACCCCGTCTCTACCAAAAATACAAAAATTAGCTGGACGTAGTGGCGGGTGCCTGTAATCCCAGGTACTCGGGAGGCTGAGGCAGGAGAATAGCTTGAACCCAGGAGGCGGAGGTTGAAGTGAGCAGAGATCGCAACATTGCACTCCAGTCTGGGCGACAAGAGCAAAATAACGTCTCAAAAAATATATATATATCATCTAGAAAGACACTTGAAGTCCAAGTAAGATTGAGCTTGAAGGCTGTTCTCATTTTGTAAAAACATAAGCTCAGGAAGTGTTGAAGATATTTTAACTCTACACTGAGACTTTCTTCTTTCCTTTATCAAGAAGATTAAAGGAGAATTCAATCAGGCACAACTTTCTATGATTTAATTGTTTTTAATGTTGTGTTAAACAGTCATGACATTTAGGAAATCATTATCTAGTCCAACTCTAAAACCCAGAGACAGGCAGCTACTGGACCAAGGTCACATAGCAAATGAATGGCAGAAAAAACACCCAGTCTCTGTTCCTACAGTAGACTGCAGATCAGCAAACTAACATCTGAATAAACTCTTGGATTTGCTCTTTACCACAATCGAAGACTGATTTGATCCACTTAACTTTTGGATGAAAAACAACTGTAACCCATCTCAAAGTGGCAGATATAGTGATCCCTCTCAATTTTCCTTTTTCTCTGTTTTATCTATCCACTCATTTTCCATGTGTCATGGGTCTTATAACAGAAATATGCTGAGATTTCTAATAAAACCTAGAAAATTTTGTGGAAACCTCCGAACACCCCAAAATTCAAATATAATCCTTAGATAACCTGCTGTAATATGGAATTCAGGAAGAAAAAAATCCCCAGCGCCACCCGACAAGAACTCCTTGTCCTATAAAATCCTCAGTGTGTACAGCCCATACTTGGCAAACTTCACCACATACCAACTATAACTCTTTAAATCAGGCCTGGAGATAAATGAGAAGAAACCCTCTCTCACCCACTAAGGTCACCTGCAACTTGCCTGCCCCTAATCCCCCTCAGAAGGCAGCTTTCAGCAATGTCCCCGGGAAATAGTTGGCTGTGAGAACACACAGAAGCCTCAGCCTGCAAAGGAGGCACATTCTGGAGTCCTTGCACATGGTTTCCTCTCCAGGAAGGTGAGGCCAGGGTTTCCATGTTCTTCTCCCAGGCCAGAATGGAGAAAGAGGAGAAGATGACAGTGAATGACATCTGGCCACTTTTTCTCTTTGAGCTGACACAGGAACACTTTAGGGCTGCTCAGAGGGACTGAAAGCCATCCTTTATGGAGGTAACTCAAGCTCAGCTTTTCTCTGTCTGAGGGAAGGCAGCCTGCTTAACTGCCCAGATTAGACTGTACTGATCTACCTTATTTGAGTGGCAGAATAACCCTGTGCCCTCCAGAACTGGTGCCCTGTGAACACCCAAAAGCAAAGAGAAGTGACTCTTGTTCCTAATGTGGAAAGAGCAGAACTTCCTATGATGCAGCTGGCACTTCCTGAAATAGAACAGGATTTGAGCAAATAGTTTTCACTAGGCGGGTAGGAAAAGCTGCGTGTGGCTCGATATTTCCTTAGTGGTGACTCAGACCCTCGCTCCTGGCTGCTGTCTCATCCTGGTTGGGTCTGTTTTCCAATTATCGCGCTCAGCCCTCAGATTCCCTCTCCCAGGGTCCCCTTTTGCCAGTGTTTATCGTCCCACCAGCCTATTCTAGTTCTGGGGAGGTCACGTCTCTGTCTTACCTTTTATGTCACTTATACTCAGCTACAATTTCTTTTATGAAATTGATTAGAATTTGATCAACAGTTTATGTTTGTTTCCAGAACACCTCCTGTCTGGCTCTGCCTCCTTCCAGAAGAGATGATGATTTATGCTTATCTCAGTCAGAAGCAAGTCTTCCAAATCTGTAATTTGGAACTGTTTTCAAATTTTGGGCATTTGCCCAGTTACTACCAAAATTACTTGGAGAGAAGTGTAACAAGGGTGGTGATTCAGCAAAGACTGCCTTAGACATGCTGCATCACCCAAAATCCATTCCAGACTTTGAGGCCCTGTCTCAAATTGGCTCTTATTCAATCAACATTTAGTGAGTCCTGACTATGAACGACGCATTGTGCTTGGGGTACAGACATAAAAAAAAGCCTGGTCCCTAATGCCCACATTATATGCCAATGTGGAAAAGACTGCAACGGAGTTATCTCAAAGCATGGGGGGAGTCTCAGAGCGAGGTGTGACCTGGACCCTGCCTGCCTCTCCAGCTGCACTCACAGCATCCTCACCATCTTCACTCTGCTTGGTCCCACTGCCCTTCATTCTGCTTCGGGTTGCCCTGCTCGTCCCTCTGCCTAGAACCATCTTTTCCCGTCACTTCACTTGGCTAGCTCCTGCTCATCAGTCAGTCTCAGTTTATGCATCCTCCTCAAACGGGTCTTCCCCAGTCATCTCATCATCCCCTGTAGCTTCTCCACATGCACCCCAGCAGTCTCTATCATGTCACCTCTGTTTTCTCCCTGGAAACATTCTTTCAGTATCTGACACTACCTTGTTTATTTATTTGCATATTGCATATTGCCTGTTTCTCCAAAACAAAACGGAGTCTCCACAGGGGCAGGAATTTTGAACCTGTGTTTATCACTATGTCCTTAATACCTCCAATAGTCTTGGCACACATTAGATGTGCCAACAGTAAATACTTGATGATTGAATGAATAATACTTTCTGTGGGGAAATTGGGAAAGGATTCATAAGGATGTGACTTTAGGAGGTAGCCAGGTGACCAGTTATACAGGTGAGCATCTCCCATAGAAAGGCATGATGCTTTAGGGGAATAGCAGCAGGTACTGCAGGCCACGCAAGTGATCTCGAAGGAGGGTGAAAAATCAGGCAGGGCCCCCATGGTGACGATCTGTGGATGTCAATCTCAGGAGTTTTTATTTTTTTCCACTAGGGCAGTGACAAGGTCACTCATCAGCTAAACCTGAAGGAAGCAGCTAATCATATTTCACAGGAGGTCTTCACCCATACAAGTGAGAGACTAGGGGCTCACGCTGTGAAATTGCCCAGGCTCTTTGCCAGCACCCCTAATAATGCTATCACGACTGCTTACTAAAACTCACCATGTGTCAAGCGCTTCACTGACATCATCTTATTTAATCCTCACAACATCCTTAGAAGAGATCTTATCTTCCCCATTTGGCAGATAAAGAGGAAAAGAGGAGAAGTGATTTGCTTAGAATCTGCTAACTAGAAGAGCTGGGATTTGAACCCAGGCATTCAGACCCCAGAGTACATACCTTACCAGCTTCTATTCCTTGGGAATGGAAAAGTTTTTCTGATTTTGCATGAAAGGGTGCCCAAGATGGAACATTCTAGATTCCTTGCTGTCCTCATTTTCAGGCACCGACCTGCATGTTCATGATATAAATCATTCACCTTCCTGCCTGTTCGGAATGTTGGCATTTTGCCTTCAATCCCCTGCTGCCTACATTCTTCGGACATTCACTGAGGATGGCATGTGTGGCCAGGGCCTTGACTGAGTTACTTAGCTCAGATTTAGTCTCTTTGGGTCTCACCACTTAAGAGCTAATTTCTGTCTTCAAGCATGTCCCAGGGAAGTAGGAGACTAAGGCAAGGATAAAAAAAGTGGACTAAGATTAGTGCTAAGGGAGTTTCTGTGCAAAACATCCATCTTCGAGCCCCTCAGTTGGCTGGACAGTACTCTTAGGGTAAAAACAAAAGTCTTTGTCAGGGCCCTGCCTGGTTATTCTTCAAATCCCAGCTCAGTGGGAGAAAATTTTTGCAACCTACTCATCTGACGAAGGGCTAATATCCAGAATCTACAATGAACTCAAACAAATTTACAAGAAAAAAACAAACAACCCCATCAAAAAGTGGGCAAAGGATATGAACAGACACTTCTCAAAAGAAGACATTTATGCAGCCAAAAAACACATGAAAAAATGCTCATCATCACTGGCCATCAGAGAAATGCAAATCAAAACCACAATGAGATACCATCTCACACCAGTTAGAATGGCAATCATTAAAAAGTCAGGAAACAACAGGTGCTGCAGAGGATGTGGAGAAACAGGAAAACTTTTACACTGTTGGTGGGACTGTAAACTAGTTTAACCATTGTGGAAGACAGTGTGGCGATTCCTCAGGGATCTAGAACTAGAAATACCATTTGACCCAGCCATCCCATTACTGGGTATATACCCAAAGGATTATAAATCAGGCTGCTATAAAGACACATGCACACGTATGTTTATTGTGGCACCATTCACAATAGCAAAGACTTGGAACCAACCCAAATGTCCAACAATGATAGACTGGATTAAGAAAATGTGGCACATATATACCATGGAATACTATGCAGCCATAAAAAATGATGAGTTCATGTCCTTTGTAGGGACATGGATGAAGCTGGAAACCATCATTCTCAGCAAACTATCACAAGAACAAAAAACCAAACACTGCATGTTCTCACTCATAGGTGGGAATTGAACAATGAGAACACATGGACACAGGAAGGGGAACATCACACACCAGGGACTGTTGTGGGGTGGTGCGGTGGGGGAGGGATAGCATTAGGAGATATATCTAATGCTAAATGACGAGGTAATGGGTGCAGCACACCAACATGGCACATGTATACATATGTAACAAACCTGACGTTGTGCACATGTATCCTAAAACTTAAAGTGTAATAATAATAAAATAAAATAAATAGCAAAGAAGACTTAAAGAAAAAAAAAACAATCCCAGCTCAGTAGCTTCAGGGAAGCCTTCTCTTTTATGTCAAACCCCTCTCTATTAGGCTGTCAAAGCAACACCACCTGTTTTCCTTGGCTCTTATCATAGAGGCACTGTTGTATTTATATGGGTGATTATTTGTTTAACATAAGTCTTCCCCACTAGAATGTGAGCACCATGAACGCAAGGACTTGCCTGCTTTTCCTCAATATTCTCTCTCCAGGGCCCAGCACAGGGCCTCTTCATACTGGCTGCTCAATAAATATAGGTTGATTAAATGAACTCAGAGTTGGAAGGCAGTTACTGCATGAGTGATTGAGGGCATTACTTAATCTCTTTAATTTTCTCATTTGCAATTTGGATAATATCTGCTCTATGTCCTTTTGAAAGCCATGAAATAAAATTAAGTGCTTAATAAATTATTAAGTGCTGTACAGATTATTTCTACTAAGGAACTACAGACTGAGTCTATCCCCAGGATTTGGAGCACTTTCAGGAATGTCAGCCTCAAAAACTGGAGCTGAGAGGACAGTGAATAGAGGCACGACATGCTGTTCCTTTGTTTAAATGGAAATGGCCACAGAAGCTTGTAAACTCAGTCATCATTGTGTCACCTGAGGCCAACTGGAAATCTGGGCCTCTCCTCCAGAAGCCATGCCTGGAATAGCACAGGGTACTGTGGTCTTTGCAATTGAACTCTGATGGGTCTGAGGTCATGGTTGTTGTCAGGACAGCTGTGTGAGTGTGTGGTCTAGAGGGCAAAAAGAAGAGACCAAAAGACATGCCTGTGTGTCTCCAGCATAGTCTGAGAAAGAAGAAGCTTTGATGGGCAAAGCTCCAGTACAAATATCCTCAGAATTGGAGACGTGAACTCACCACACTTCTGAGGAAACTCTGCCAGCCGACGGCCCCCATATTCAATTATTGCTAAGTATTTTCATTCCTAACCTCATCCTCTAGCTGAGCTGACCCCTAGTTTCTACTAACCTGGGAGAGAGAACCACAGCTTTGGAGGCTGAAAACCTAGATCAAGTCCTAGAAAATAAACAAATGACCAAATACTGAGTCCCTGCTGTGTGCCAGGCGCTGTGCTAAGAACAGGATGTGCTTTAGTTCATTTGCTCTCCCCAGCAGTCCTCTAATGCAGGCAGAAGTACCCCCAACCCCATTTTACAGATGAGGAAATGAGCCTAGCTGCCTGCCCAAGGTCACACAGCTCAAACATAAGCTTCCTACGGCTCAGTTTCCTGATTCACATAATGAGACAAAGCAACTCATCACAGGATAAGAATAAAAATCAAGTGGACTGATGGCGTTGAGTGTCACATGAGGCTTAGATTTTGGGATCAGCAGCATCAACATCACCTTCAAGCTTGTTACAAATGCGGAGTTTGTGGTATCATTCCAAACTACTGACCCAAAGTCTGCATTTTAACATGATTCGAAGGTGACGTATATGCACTTTAAAGTTTTGAGAAGCTCAGATGTAAGGTTATTAGCCCCCACTATAAACTCTTGAGCTAGCATCCGACTCATTACTGCCTTCTCAATTTGGTTAGTGAGAATCTATCACTCTGTACCTTGATTGCTTCTAGGACAGTTTAACGTGAACACAAATCAGTGGGGGCTGTTGATAACTGCAGATTCTCATCCAGGGGGTCTGAGGTGAGGCCCCAGAGTCTGTGCTTCTCACATGTTCCCAGCTGATGCCACAGAAGACTTTGAACTACACTCTCAATAATGAGGGGTGAGAGGAACCTGGCAAATCAAATATCTGCATCTGCAAAGTGGAAACCAGGCTTTGTGCTTGAATGACATTCATCAAGGAAAGGCACCTCCACCAGGGCATACACGTCTAGAGGGAAGGGAGCATCTCCAGTCTTCCTTGCATTCTCAGCACTTAGCTGAAAGAATGGGCATTACTCCCCTGCTTAACAGTGTCCAGTGGCTTCCTATACACACAAAACCCCACACTGCTCACCAGAGCTCACAAAGCCTGACCCAACCTTGCCCCACTGGCCTCCCTGACCCCTTCATACCTCTCCTCCTCCACTGAAGTCCCACCACACCAGACTTTTTTCTGTTTCTCAAACACACCAAGCTTTTTCCTGCCTCAGGGTCTTGGCACCTGCTCTCCCCTCGACCTGGAATGCCCTCCCTCCAGCTCTTTCCATAGCTGATTCATACCTCAGCTCAAATTTCACCTCCTCAGCGAGGCCGTCCCTGACTGACCTGCCTAACCTGGTGTACCCACACCCCACCCCAAAACTCTCAAACATGAGATTTTTTTTTCTTGCTTAGCCCTTATCAGCCTGAAAATGTTTCATTTGTTTATTTACTTATTGGTAGTTGCTTTTTCTCTCTGATTCTTATGAAAGCAGAGACTTTGTCCACAACTTCTGGTGCACAGTAGGTGCTCAATAAATAGCTGTGGAGTGAACGGATGAATGGACTAACACATCTCCAGGAACTCATAATTTGCTCCTGTCGCTACAACAAAGGAGGGGAAGATGGGCTATGGGAGGCCAGAAGAGGAGCGAGCATTCCTCCTGGATGAGGAGGAGGCAGGGACGGGGAGGAGGGGCCATAATCAGGGCCAGCTCCCTGAAAGAAGTGGTTTTAAACTTCACCTGGAAGGGTGGAAAGGATTTTGACAGGCAATGGTAGGTGGAAACAGCCACTCCAGGCAGAGAGAACAGTTTGTACAGAGGCTCAGAAGCTGGCAAGGGCGGAGGGCTTAGGGAACAGTGCATACAACTGACGGGTGGAGGCTGAGAATTTGCCCCGTTCCTGCCCAACCCATGGCTCCAGGCAGAGACAGCCCTCCCTGCAGGAGTGACAGAGTCTGGCAGGAGTCCTGCAGCTGAGCAGCTGAGGTCAGAGCCTCTCCTCACCAAGCCTCGGCCACACCCATAACCTAGATGACAGATGAGGCATTAGGAGGGGACAAGTGGGTCTGGGGATCGGGACCCACCTCCATCCTACTCCCCACCTCACTCTAGCAGGCAGCTCCGAGGCCCATCTGGCTTCTGCCCTCTTGTCTCTATGGTTCCTTCAGTCCAAGGGTGAGCAAACTTTCTGTAAAAGGCCAGCTGGTAAATATTTTGGGACTGTGGGTCAGATAGTCTCTGTTGCAACTACTCAGCTCTGCTGCTGTGGCATGAAGCCTGCCACAGACAAGACATAAGCAAATGGTGGTTCCAACAAGACTTTATTTACTAAGACAGCTGGGAGGCCTATGTTTTGATTTATGGATCTCCTGCCACTTTTGAGACCCCAAATGCCCTGTGCCGTCTGCCTTCTGGCCTAATCCCACCTCTACAGTCTACAGCCTCCTCTCATTGCCCCCTTGGTTCTTCCCACCCAGGCACCTGGATCTCTAAGGGCTTCTGCAAACACGTGGTTCTCTCTCTCTGTCTCTGTCTCTCTGTCTCCCTCTCCCTCTCTCTCTCTTTCTCTCTCTCCCCTTCTCTATCTCTTTCTCACCTGTGCTCCTTCACACCTGGCTTCCTGCTCCCTGTGGAGTTCCTTTTCTGTCTCCAGTTGTGCCTTTGAAACCCTGACTTGTCCTCACTTACCAGTCACATCACTCTCTCAAGGGAACTTTTCAGATGCTCCAGATGCCAGGCCCTCTCAGGTGCCCACATATTCTCTCTTTACAGAGCTTGGCACATTGCAATTATTTCATAAACCACTTGTGATCATTTGTTTCAGGTCCATGCTTATTTCTAAGTCCAAATGGGAAGAAACCACATTCATCAGCCTTTTCTATTCCATTCCCAGAGCCAAGGACAGGGAGCATGGCACATAAAATGTCCTCAATAAACATTTGTTGACTGTTCCTTAGGTCATGGCCCATAAGACTCGTTCATTCATTCGCCACTGTTGCTCATGCACCTACTATGGACCAGCCATTGTGCTGCACAGGGAAGATACAGGAGTGACACATGCACGGAAGGTCTCTGCCCTTTGAGGAGCTCACATTGTATTGGGGGTAACACATTCTAGAAACTGGATTCTATTAGTCTCAGTGTGTGACCTTAGCAAGGCACCTAATTGTCTGAGCTGCCTAGAAAATAGAGACAGACTGAATTGCCTAATTTAGAGTTTCCAACTACATTTTGAGGAATCCTGGGGTTCTGTAGTGCTTCCTAGGTTCAGCAAACAGTGATGTTTCTTTCCAGGAAGAATTCAATGGCCTAAATAAGCTATTTGTTGTTGTTGTTGTTGTTGTTGTTGTTGTTGTTTTGCCATTTTCTGTTATGGAGTTCCACTGAAAAGTTCACATGTAAAGTAGGTTCCACTGCTCAAGAAAGAGTTGGAAGCCACTTGCTAAGTCTGCACATGGTATGGGCCAGAGTTGAGGAAGGTAGAAACTCTCAGTGCCTCCAAGATGGGGTCAGGAGAAGCTAGCCAGATGTGCATGGGGGAATGACTTTCTGGGAAACAGAAGATGGTGTCCAAGGAAATACACAGATGGAGTGCCAGCCAGAGAGAGAGAGAGAGAGCAATCCAACAGAGATCCAGCAAGATGGGACGGAGACGGGCACTCCCTGGGTCTTGAGCACATGGAACTGAATGCCTGGTCACTGACAGTGGTCAGAGGTCTCGGCAAGAAAAATGAAGGTTCTGGGAGTTCTGAGAGCAATAGGACCAGAGCCTAAGGGAGAGATAGGGGTAACAGGTAAGCAAGATTCCAGTCTCAAAGAAGCTGAGACCTAAATACAAAGAGACAAGACTTAAATCAGAACCAAAGCCCATGGTGGGGACCCGGTTGGTTTCTGAGAGGGGCACCATGACCCACAAATCAGGTCAGAGTTGGAACTGCAGCAAGCTGATTTATGCTTCTAATCAAGCTTCCTGCCCAGAAGTCTCTAAGTCTCCCACTACTGCTTGTCCAAAGTCTCCCGGACAGCAAGAGGGAAGAAGCAGAAACACAGCTCCCTTTACCTGATCCCTTGAGCCGTGTTTTTCCCACTACCTAACCCATGCGATGCAAACTGGACTACGTTCCAAATCCAAATAGGATTTTCTAAGCCTGCACTAGACAATGAGTTGTTTATTGAGTGCTTAGTGAAAGGGAGAAGATAATTTACTCTTAGCTGAGTTCTGGCTCATGTCCTCAGGAACCAGACTGACATTTATGTTTTAGCACCAGCCCATTAGGGGAACTGGAATGGCTTTTTCTGCCTGTAGCTGAGCATCTCCGGGGCGGTCTTAATGGTGATCTTAAAGTTCCGTCTACATAATACCAAAGCTACAGGTCAGTTCAGGCCAAAAATAATAAATAAAAATCACTACTATTAATAGTAAGCTTGTGAGAGCACTCTGCTCACTTTGCACTTTATCCTACTTGCTCCTAAAGATCACCGATCTTGGGGAGGAAGCAGAGGGACAGGCTAACGTGCTCCCACCTCACTTTAGGATTTCCCTCTGCTACATCACCCTGTGGTACTCTTCAAAGCACTTAACACTCTTTAAGCTAATAGTCTATTTTTAAATGCCTTCCAACTAGACTATAAGCCCCACAAGACAGGGAGTGTGTCTTTCTTGGGTAGGGCTTTATCTCCAGTGCCTAAAATCTGATAAATGCTCAGGAAATAGATATTGTATGTGCTGAATGATGTCAATAATGAATTTGGGGTGAAAAAAAGGTGGAAATATGTGCGAGGATATTACTATCATTTGAGTGATAATAAAAATGTCTCTGGAAACAGGATTCCAGTATTTTTTTTTTATTTCTGTAGTTTAAATTTTAAAACATTGAGATACCACCTCACAACTATTAAACACTCAAAGACAACATTAGTAACTGGCTGTGTTGGGGAGGGCCTGAGGAAAAAGGCACTCTCCGCATTGTAGGAGAATACATTGACAAGAGCATCATGAAGGGCCATTCAGCGTCTATCAAAACAACAAATGCATATGCCCTTAGTATTCTGCTATTTCACTTTTGTGGAATTTTTCCTACATATATAATCACAATCACATGAAATGACATGTGTATAAAGTTATTGATTGCAGCATTGTTTACAGTAGCACAGTATCAAAAATAACCAAATTGACACCACTAGAGAACCAGCTAAATAAACTGTTATTCCCATCATGCAAGGAGATACTTTACAGCTGTAAAAATGAATGAGGATACTGTTTGTAGAGTCATATGAAAGATTTTCCAAGATTTACATTTTGAAATAAGCAAGGTACAAAGCAGAGTGTATAGTATGCTATAATATTTAAAATGGCGGGAGAGTATGTCACTGAATTGTTTTTATACACACAAAATATCCCTGGAAGAATACACAAGAAACTAATTTTTTAAATGTGGCCTATGGTAGGGAAATGGGGGCATGCTATTCCTTGTTTAATTTTTCATTTGGGAATCATGAGAATTCATTATTTGTTCATATAGATTACTTAAAAATACTTTTAAAATAAAAAATGAGCTGTTTTAACACCAGTGGACCTTGTGAAAGATAACTTTAGGAGACTGACGCAGCAGAGGCATCATGTCTGCAAGTAGAAGATGTTGGTCTCAGGCCCAGCTCTGACATTGACATTGGCATTGACATTGATGCTGATGTCAAGGTGTTCCCTTTCCTGGGCCTCAGTGTCCCATCTATGGGATAAAGAGGGAGAACTAGCAGGTGTTTTAAATACCTCCTGCTAGTCTCACCTTCTGGGATCTAATCTGTGGCTAGGCTTTACTTAATTTGGCTTAAAGCACATGCTGTATAAAACATGTCCTGTTAAAAGCATTTTGAGTACAGTATTTTTTGTTACTTTGCTTCATTCGTTTGTTTGTTTTTCAAATTGCCACTTACCATTTTTAGTACAAATTCCTTTTGAAAAGCTCCCACTCTCTCCATCTCTCTGAAGAGGGGCACCTGGGTGTCATGAATACACCTGTGGCCTAAGATATGGTAATGGAGGGAACAGACCAGGTTCTGAGTGGATGAAAATAGCTCAAAAGGAGATAGCAAGGAGCACCAAGAAAAAATTTGCTGGGAATAGGAGCATCTTGTTAGATGCATGCTGAACCCCCGAACTCAGTTTATCCAGGTGGAGGTCCCAAGAAACCAAATGCAGCTCCCTTTTTTACAGTTCTGCATATGTGGGAGCTGAATTGCATACTGATTTCATCTTGCTGAAGTGCACATTCCCCTTCCAGTAACAGCAATCTAGCTTCCTATTTTGGGGTTTCCTTCCCCCTACCCCGCACCCCATTAGCCCCTGTCTGTGTTCTCTAGCCCTGAATTCAGATGTCCCAGACTGGTCAAATAATGGTATTCTACTTCCCTGTCACAAATGGCCATCATGTCCAGAGCTTTTGTCCAAAGTGCTAGGGAATAAGACACTCTTTTTTCTGTTCCAGTCAAACACAGGGGAGAGGGAAGATAAGATGTAAACTTCTGGTCACCACCCTGAAACTGCATGAAGCTTAGGAATGAACAGGGAAAGCACATCCAAGAGATGGTGACATCTTTGAGGTACTATCAACCTGCTCCTGGAACCAGTGTGGTTTTTAAGTCACTTGAACCAATACATTTTTTTAAAATTACTTAAGCCAGTTTGAGTTTCACCTTCTGTTTCTCAAAGTGAAAAGAACCTGCATACAACTTCTTGTACATGAATATTGATATCACTTCCCAGATTTGGGACGTTTTCAGCTATTATTTCTTTAGATAGGCTTTGTGTCCCTTTATCTCTCTCTTCTCTTTCTGAAATTGCATTATGTAAATATTAGTTCTCTTGATGGTTTCCCATAGATCCCATAGACTTCTTTTATTCTTTTTTCTTTTTGTTCCTTCGACTGGATAATTTCAAGTGTCCTGTCTTTGAGTTCACTTATTCTTTCTTCTGCTTAATTGAACCTACTGTTGAAGCTTTCTATTGAATTTTTCAGTTTATTCATTATACATTATAAATATATACAATTATTATTTATCAATTAAAAATACATTTTAAAAGGAACAAATGCCATATAAATACCAACTCCACTTGACTTATAGTGACTTCCTGAAGAACTATATTGGGAAAAACCCTGGGGCCTTGTCTGGGCTCATGACTCATGAGGAAGGTATGCAGGAAGAGGGAAAAGGTGAAAATTGAGCATTCCTTGACTAAGTCGAAACCCCTGACTCAGTCTTCTGCCTCACTCTGGACTAGGCAATGCTTCATATATCTCCAAGGTTGGTCTTTCAGGTTGGCATATAGGAAGGAATTTGTCAGCATGTATCCCTGAAGGGTAAATGTCCACATTTGCTTAGATGTTTAGTGGGTATTCCAACCCTCAAAGAGCTGTGCTTGGTGCTGTAAACAAATTTGTTCCCAGTATCTGACCTAAGAGAACTTATACTCAGAAGGAGGCATCTGCTTCCTGCTTCACCTTGAAGGTTATGTACTCCACTCACTTCTTTGACCTCAAATAATTTGTAATCTGCAAATAGTCAAAGTGAGCAATGATGCCAAAAAGCATAATGGGTTATAGAGGTACCATTTACAAAGTGTATAAAACAGGACAGGAAGTGAATCCTAGGGATGGAAGCAATGGAAGATTACTCCCATTATTTTTAATCTGGTTTTCATGGTTCCACCAACCTGGGCAAGCTAATCTGGTTAACTGAGACTCTTCTTGATAGAACTTTTATTGGTTCTGACTCCACTTGACATCCTCAGAAAACAAACACTGAATAAGAATGAGCTACTTTTCTGGAAAAAAAAAAAACTATTCACTCAAAGCACTTAAAATCAAAACACACGCAAAAATATATTACTACTCATTTGAGGGTACCCTGTTATGAAGGTATAATTTATATATAATAAAATTCATTATTTTTTAGTTACAGAGTTCTATGAGTTTTGGCAAATGCATTCAATGCCATCACTACTACAATCAAGATATAGAACAGCTCCATCACTTCAAACAATTTTCTTGTGTCTTTTTTCATCAATTCTTCCTCCAACTCACAGCACAGATCTGTTTGCTGATCCTGTAGTTTTTAAAATGCCATATGGATTATATACAGTATGTAGCATTTTAAGTCTGACTTCCTCTAATTAGCATAATGCATTTGATGTAACTCCAAGTTGTTGCATGTATTGGGTGCTCATTTCTTTTTATTACTGAGTAGTATTCCACTGTATGAATACACCATAGTTTGTTTATCCATTTCCCAGTTTGAAGACATTGGGTTGTTCCAATTTCTGGCAACTATGAATAAATCCACTCTAAACATTTGTGTATAGGCTTTTGTATACATAAGTTTTCATTTCTTTGATATAAATACCTAGGAGTAGCAATTCTGGATCACTTTGTAAGTGTATGTTTAATTTATAAGAAACTATCAAAGCATTTTCCAAAACAGCTGTTTCATTTTGCATTCCCAGCAGCAATAGCCACTTTTATTTTTCAATGTGTGGAATGTCATTTTTATATAGATTTGGCCCACTATCATATCTCCATTAGGGCTCAAAAGACTTCATGTCTGTGCTGGGAGCAAAGTAACCTATAGATACCACTCGATCATTTTTCTGACATGAGACTTACAGAGTATCATCTCTAGGGTGATTTTTGAAAAACACATAAATGCAGAATCTTGGTGTTTAAAAGGAAATTAGAACTCATTAGTTCAACTTCTTTAAGTAAGGCTGTTTTGATCCAATTATAATCAATTTTCACTCACTAAGGCCCTGCTTAATAGCCTATTTTACTGCCCGTGTGAACTTGGGTATGTTACATAACTGCCTTAAACCACAGCTTCTTCATCTCTGCAGGGTTTTTGTAAGAACAAGAGAAAAAAAATGTATCTGAAATCAGAAAGCAATTAAATATTGTGCTAATTAAAAAACAGACATTGCTAGTGACTGTTCTAAAAACCTAATAGCACAAATCATGTGATTACTAAATGTTAGAACTAAAAGAACCTTAGAGATCTTCCATTAGGTCCCAGCTCTAAATGATAGACTTAGTGAGAAAACGGAAGCCCTGGAAAGCCAAGGTAACCCCACTCACTCCCTATTACATCTCCTTGTCTTACTTTTATCATAGCACTCATTTTTCTGCTGTTTCTCTGACCCTTTGTGAGTTAAGATCTGCCAGGGTAGCAACCTCCATCAACTACATTGCTTAGAATGCAGTAAGTTCTTAATAAATGCTTGTTGAATTATCATTTTAAAAGTGAACTTCAATTAGATTATTCATACACAACAGGTTTGAGTACATGACAGATACCTTTTTTGACAAATTATTAAGCCACTTGTTAGGGTGACTTGTAGGCATCATAATAAGCCAAATCAGAGCATAAGAATTGCTCAGTCAACCAAATGTGACGAGCCTAAATCCCATTCCCATGCTGTAATCTCCCAGTCCTGTTCTGTCTTGCTCCTCCAAGGGACACGTTGTATAAACAGCATCAAGTGTTAACTTGTTAAAACAGTTACACCCAAAAAATGCTGAGATTATTTAACAATGCAATAATATGAGGTCATATCAAGAATTCCAAGGAGAGGCAGAGTTTTCAAAGACTCCAGTTCAATGCCAGGGAGCTATTGTTTCTAAAATGATTTTTGGAAAATGAAATATTAATTCCCCAGCTAATGTATTTCATGGTAGTTCATTGTGCTTAATTCTCTAATCTGAAATTCTTTATTTTAGATCCATTCCAAAATCATCTTATTAGTCTCACACTTTAGAAGAAATGTGTAAATCAAATGCTTCTAAATTTAATTTGATTTAAATTATTTTAACCACTGTAACCCCTCTGTGGGGAGAGGAGAAAAAGCACATTTTTGCCAATGGTCTTTGTTCTGAACAAAGATTGGTTCTATCTGTCACCATTGGGAATGTTCAGGAATATTCTCATTGGATTGCAAGTGCCAAGAGGACAAGAACTTTATAAGTTTTTTTCATTGATCTATTGCTACAGCCTGGGGCAGTGCCAGGCACATAGAAGGAATCTAACAACTATTTATTGAGTATGTAAGTAAACTTGAGGAGATAAGGTGTTGAAACTCTCCCAGGCCTTATTCATGAGAGATCAGGCTGAGCTTCCAGCTAACATTTCTATCCCACAGCAGACCTGCATGGTCTTTACATCTATAGTCTTGGGCATATTCCATAAGACTTCCACATATTTGGCTGGGTTTCTCACCTATAGCATTTTCAAAGAGTCTCACTATATATAAACACTGAAATAACTAAGTGCCAGGAATGACTACAGAAACAAAGGGAAACCTTATAACGAGTGTGGTGGAGTGATTCAGTGAAGATCATCAGATTAAGACTGAGAAGAACAAAGCTGTGGTCACTCTCCCACCACTTAACAAGCATGGGAAGCTCACCAAGTCATGTCCTCACTCGAGGCCTCATTCAAAATCTGTGTGTGTGTGTGTGTGTGTGTGTGTGTGTGTGTGTGTGTGTGTGTTCTTTAGATCATGAAACTTCTCATCTGAAAATCTCCACTCTGTGGCCCAGAGTAAGCTTACATAGTGAGTGCACCTAAAGGTGAGCCATCTCCACTTTGGCCACTTCTCCAGATACCCACAAGGAAGTGCCGAGAATGCTGTTGCACCTCCTCTGGCCAAGGACAGAGAGTCATATCATCTGCCCACTTGGAGACAGAGAAGGTGACTTACCTAATATTTTTCCTGCATGTCTTAAGGACAAGGCTGGGTTCTTTTGGCCTTACTGGGTAATAAAAACTCTATGCACACAGGCTAGAAGTTGAGTGGTGGAAGATTCAAGAGAACAAGCTAGATTTTATGAAAAGTGGGTAACAAAGCATCTTTACTCCTTCTCCCATGGACATGAAAATCATTATCAAAAATCCTACCCCAGATGGGAATGTTATCTGGTCTTGTAAAGCTGCCTTACTATCTAGTCCCCAAGATAGCCCCAAGTGAACCAGGCTTCCCAGTGCTCATGCCATTGAGTAATCCCCTCCTATACCAGCTCTAGGCTGGCTTTGTATAACCAATAAAATATAGCAGATGTGACACTGTGTGACTTCTGAGGCCAGGTCATAGGAAGCTTTGCAGCTCCCCGTTTAATCTCCTGGAATGCTAGCTCTTGGAATGCACTCTCTTGGAACCAGCCACCATGCTGTAAGACGGCCAAGCCACATGGAGTCGACATGGCTCACGGCTCCAGTTGATCACAGCCCCAGCTGAGCTCCCAACCAACTGCAAGCATCAACTGTTAGCCCCGTGAGGAAGCCATCTTCGATGCCCAGCCCAGAGGAGCCTTTGATGACTCCAGCTCTGGCCACTATTGGACTGCAACAACAGTAGAGAACCCAAGCGAGAATTGCCCGGGTGAGCCCAGTCAATCCATCAGACCAACAGATGATGATAAGCTGTTTTAAATCAGAAACTTTTGGGGTGGTTTGTTATGTCACTTGTTCCACCTCATGGTTCAAAAACACGATCCCCATAACTTTAATGTTTAAGGGTTATCACTTTGCTTTCTTCTTTGGATTTGAGATGTCATTTGCAAGCAACCTTCTCTCTCACTCAAAATGTTTCCCTTATCTGGTCTAGTTGTGCCCTACTGAGCCCAGACATGAAGGAAATAAAAAAACAACCACCAACCACACACTCATATAACACACACAACACACACAAAACAATGTCTTGGATTGTGGAAGAATTTGCTATTGTCATTGTTTTTTAACGTATTTTCTTTATATTTCCTTGAGTTCCTTTTGGAGTCATTGAATTCCCTTTTTGAGTCTTTTTTCCAAGATTACAGGCTCAAGTCATGGGTTTTAAAAATAGCCATAATCTATTAACGACCTATTACATTCCAGCCACCATGCTAACTGCTTTAGACATATTAATTCATTAATTTTACAATAACTTTGCTATATAGGTATTTATTATCCCCATTTTACAGTTGAAAGAGCCATAGCTCAGAAAGATAAAGTGATTTGTTAATGCTACACAGATACTAAGCACTTTGAGACAAGATTTGAACCTAGGTCTACCTTAACCAGCATAAATATGGCTGAGGAATATCTGAATTCATTCACATCCAGAAATCACATTGTAGTTGTTGAATCCTTTGGCAGGAGCTATACCTTGGTCAGCAGAACTGTGTACCTTGGAAAATCACTCTGAAGGAAGGACTTACATGTGAGTTTTGGGGATTGCAAAGTGTTGACATTTTCAGACCACCTATGTATATTGCTGCAGATGTTGGTACAATTCTGTATTGTCCGGTTTGCACTGATAATAAAACAGTCTGATAAAATCTTATGCCATTCTTCCAGAACATGAATACTGGAACCACTCATTCAAGGGGATCTGGAGAGTGACCCAGGATAGAGTGAGTCACAGGGACCCAAGAGCTTCAACAATCTGGTATTCAGAAGCAGCTGGAATGAACGGAGAGAGAAGAACTATATAGCAACCAGGACATTTGGGAAATGTCCCTATGAATCAATCCACCTGCACTGGGGAAAAATGAGATACATAACAGAAAAGAATGAGTTCTTGGGGTGTGGGGATACACAAGTGTGTGCATGTTTGTGTGTATGTGTGTGTGTTTGATGGGGTGGGGGCTGCTTCTTTTCTAGGAGTCATTTCCAAGCAACCTCTCCTCTCACTCAAAATATAGCTCCCTTAAGCCAGTTTTCCCTGCTTTCTCTCATGGGTGAACCATCCTGGGGAAACTGAGATAGCCCCAAAGTAGGTTTCATGATGGTATGCTCTGGGTGCGCTAGGCTACTCTGTTTTGTTCTTTCTCTGATTTATTCCTGTCTCTGCTTGCACTTGCAGTTCCTTTCTCCTACTAGGACATTGGTCATTTAAAATATATTCATAGTAAGATGACAAACTGTTCCTCTTTAGAAGTACAGATATATGCCTCTCTGAGCCTTAGTTTCCTTAGTTTGCTGTAAATGTTCACACCTCCCATCATAAGCAAGCTGGCCTTTGTCAACAAACACACATACCCACACAATGTTGTGCTGCCAAGTGGTTCACAGGAGAGGATTTGAGGGGAAGACCAGGTTAACCTAAAGACAACCATGCTGATGAAGCCAAGTCAGGAGCAAAAGGAGATCAGAGCAGCTTGGTGGCGAACAGCATGGGCCCTTGGACCAGATCAATTGAATGCAAATTCTGCCCCTGCTACTCACAAGCTATTGGACCTCAAACAAGTTACTGAACTTCTCCAAGACCTTGTTTCCTCACCTATAAAATGGGCATGTTAATAATACCACCCTTGAGGTTGTTGTGAACACAGAAAATGAAATCATGCATTCAAAGAATTTAATCCAATGCTTTATACACCATAAATGCTCAGTAAACATTAGCTGTGTTATTTATTATAGAGTATACAGGATACAAAATATAATAGCAATTATATATTAAATATTTGCAATAAGCAAGGCCCTGAGTTAAGTATTCTAAGTACATTATCTCTTTTAATTTTCACAGCAATTCTATAAGGCAAGTTCTGGGATAACCCATTTGACAGGTGAGAAAACTGAGACCCAGAGAGGTTAAGTCATGTCTCCAAGGTCCCAAAGCTATCTGACTCCAAGCCCTGAGGTCCCAGCCAAGTTCACAAACTTCATTTCCCAAAACCCAGAATTAGATCACTTGTTGAACATCTGTTGACACTTTCCAGGGGACTTTCAAAACCCCAATCCCTCAGAAGCCCCAAAACGTTTAATATGACCCTTTAAAACACCAGGAACATTCACAGCAAAAGACCAATAACTACACATGGGGTAGAAATTAACATATGTAGAGGACTTTTTCTTCTCTATACAAAAGCTTTTACCCATATACCACATTGGATGTGAGAGTGAATATACTGCAAGAATGTACTTCCTGCAGCTGAAACCAGCAGGGCAAAGAAGGTGCTTTCACTAGGGTAATGTGTACCCCTTGCTGTGCTCTGAAGAAGAGGGTCAATTTCTTTGTGGGGAGTAGCAACACAAACCATCCAGCCAGCAATTAAATCTACAGTTCCCTCAACAACAAAGCTAACTTTAGCCATATGGGCTCATCCTGTATTTCCCAGGACCCAGGAGTCTTTGGAAGTTTCTTGAGTGGGCTTCCACCTTAGCTTTTGCTTTCTGTCAGATAATACAGTGGTTATATCTGAAGGGTTTCCCCCAGGAGCTCCAGTTCTTTTAGTGGTAGTAACATCAAGTAGTCTCCAGACATTGCAGCTGGGTGGTTGAAATGCTTGCTCTGGGAGGGGTGGCCAGTCAGCTGGGGTCACAAAAGCCTTGTAATTAGAATCAGTGTGACTAATTTCCAGGTAGAATGAGAGGCTCTTGCAAACTGCTTTTGTAGAAATTATACTCACTGGTGTCCAACCTGCCCTGAATCACTCTATACTCACAACAGAAACAGCTGGTGTCAGAGAACTCTACAAATATGGCAGATCATCACATGGGACTTTATCCATGGAGGTGAGCCTCCTCTTGCACTGGAAGCTGGTATGCTGATGATGTCATGGTGGCTCAACTTTCCTGGTGTCTAAGGGGAGTGTCAGAGAGCAACCCTAACATGTGTTGGGTGACCATGGGTAAGGCTTTCCCTTTTCTGGTTCACTTTTCATATAATAACAACAGAGCTGAGCTAGAGGGTCTCCAAAGCCCACCAGCTGCCACTTTGTATGACATAAAATTATCAGAACATGAATTCAATCACTAGGTAATAAGAGGTAACAATTGAACATTTAGCTGTTTCATCCAACAGCCCTATGAAGTTGATATCATTAATACTTCCATATTACAGATGCAGAAATGGAGGCCCAGAATGGTTAAGTGCCTTGCCCAAGGTCATGCACACAGTGGGGATTTTTACCCAGGTAGCATAATCCCAAGGTTTATGCTCTTAACCATTCATAATATTAATGAAAACACTAAGAAACCAACAATGCATACAAAGGGTTCCAGATCCTGCTTTTCTGGATGTCTCCATTTTTATCCATAAGCAGTATGTATGTCAGTTCTCAGGCATCACCTGGAGGATACATATATAACACCTACCTAAGCCCTAGCATGTCAACCCTGGACAGGTCCTGACAGATTACCGAGACTGAGGTTTTTAACTCATCATCCTTGGGCGTGCATTAAAGGGTCCATGAGGCCTTTGAAAGTATGTGTATGGGTGTGTATACATAATTCCAAGAAGAGATTTCATTGGTTTTTTTTTTTTTTTTTTTTTTCAGATTTTCGAAGGGGTCTATGAACTTTTAGGGCAATCTTTTGACAGTTGGTAAAACTGAGACCTCAGGTGGGAGATGGACTTGTCCCAGTATACACAAGGAGTGACAGAACTAGGTTCAGACCCCAGATCACCTGACCCCAATCCCACTGCTCTTTAACTACATCACACTGAGCTAACTCATCCCTGCAACATGCACCAAGAGTCTTCCAGGATTAAACTGCTGGGTATAACATGCACAGCTCATAGGGTTTGGGTATGGCTTGGAAAATCATCATGCTTCACATATATCATTGACTTTAACTTTGGTCCTCTGTATCTCATCATTTCCTTGAAGTTTGTATCATTGATAGTTACCTCTGATCTGCCACTCTGCCCATCTTCTGTGAATGAAAACTTAGCCCACAGCGTTTCATTTAGATCTGGTCTGGGCTGCCTTTACCTGGCCTCACTCCTGGCTTCCATAGACGCTTAAGGTGATTAGGCATTTGTCCCTCACCGTTTCGATTGAAATAATCAGTTCAAAATAAAACTGACAACAGCTAACCTACACAAAGAATGTGTTAATGAGCAAACATTCACAGGGGAATCAAATTATCCCAATAAAATTCAAATCAATCAAATTTAAACCAGGAAAATTTGACTTAGTAGAAATAAAACTACGATGGAAAATTCAGTGGCAGAAGCTAAAATTTGACCTAAATAAATTATTGTCAATAAATTATAAGCCATCATTGTAAAATTCCAAATGCAAAAGAATTCATCTCCATAAAATGATTTTGATAAAATAGAAGATGGAAAAAGGTAGAAATTGTTTAACTGCTCTGTATTGAACATTTATCTTGGAGTAAAAATGATTGAGTAAGCATTAATTAAGAAAATACTTTCTTGATAAAAATTCAGCCATTATTGGTGTTTTTAATGTTGTAGTTATAAGCATGGAGTCAAAACACCCTCAGCAATATATCACGGAGGTCAAAACGTCTGCCAGACTAAACATAGGTTCAAAATGACAGTTCCAATAAAGGGAGGTCACAACTTCCTGTGACTGTGCTTGGTAAGTGATGGAGGCAATCATTTACAGATGATGCTCTGACAAGGGAGGCAGACTGAGACCATCACTGTCACATGCTCACTTGAATAGCCAAGCATCTAGCCCAGATTACATTCCTCTAAGCATGCCTTAACCCCACAGGTTCAACAAAGAAGTGTTCATTAACTTCTTCGCCCAAACAAGTACTCTTCTGAAATGTCTGTCAACACAATAACAATAATAGCCAACACTTATATAACATGGGCCAGGCACTTTACATATATTCACACATTTGATCCACACAACAATCCCATGAGATAAGTACTATTATCATCTCCATTTGCCAATGATAAACATGAAGCACCAAGAGCTTAACAACTTGCCTGAGGTCACACATTTCATAAGCAGTGGAGCTGTTCAGTCTACTACCATGCATCCCAGACAGGATGTTCAGGTGAACAAGATCTATCTAGCTTAAGTTCCATAAAATTTATCAAAATTTCAGCTGAGGTTTTATGCAATACTTGCAATATAGATAAGGCTTGGACTGGTGTCCTGAAGCTGCCACTCTCTATCTACAGGACTTTGGGTAAGATTAATCTCTTAACCTCTTTGAACTCATTTCTTCACATGTGTTATGTGAATAACTATACAATGCAATTACTTCTTGCAGGTAGGAGAAATTAAGAGAAGTCAATGATATAATAAGAGTATAACCTTTAGTACAGTGTTTGAGGTAAAAGTGCTCAAATCTAAGCTGTGATGGTAAGAATAATAGGTAAGTTTATCAGAGGACTCTGACTTGCCCTGGAGCCCATAGGACTTATGAAGACAGGGACTGTCATTATCTTGCTCACTGGATTGTGAGTTTAGCACATGAGAGGTGTTGAATATTGGTTAGTTGGTTGTTTCATTGGTTGGGTATGTGGGTGGTTGGGTGGTTAGATGGTTGGTTGGTTGGTTGGTTGGTTGGTTGGTTGGTTGGTTGGTTGGTTGGTTGGTTGGTTAATTGGCTGGTTGGATAAATGAATGGATGGATGGAAGGATGGATGGATGGATGGATGGATGGATGGATGGATGGATGAATAGATGGATGAATAGATGGATGAATAGATGGATAACCGTCTGCATCCTCTGTCCCAAAGGAGCTAAACTCAGACTTTTCTTCCTAGTCCTTTGCATATATGCATCCAATCTCCCCCAAACAGACTGACAGATACTCAAGGGCAAGGATGAGGTTTTTATCCACATCCCACAATACCATGAACTTATGATTTCCCAAGGAAAGAGACTTGGGATTATGAAACAATACTCTGGACCACTCAGGCCTCAAAATACCTTAAAGGTACTGCCTATCCCCTGGATCTTTATTCCATAGAACATTCATCACTGAAGGGATTTCCTGTGGTATTTGGTGCAATAAGGCTTATATAAGCCAAGGTCCCTGCTCCCTAGATTTTCTATCATCCCTCCTCCTTAAGACAAAGGGAAACATTCAAATGTTCAAAAGAGAAATATTTATCTTGAAGATCCTAAGTTCTGAAAGAGAAAACGTGTATCAGAATTACATAATTATATAAAGCACTGATTTTCCAGGTCAGACAAAAGTGATTTTGAATCTCTGCAAACATCTGAAATACTTTAAACCTTGATTCTATCACCTGAAAAGGGGAGATAAGGTCACCTTCTTTGGAGGATCATTTGGAGGATCAAATCCTATACTGTGGGTAAATTACTTAGCACAACCATCATTACAGCTTCAGTAAAAGACCATGATTATCCCTGGTCAAACTACTATCTGTTTGAAAATTAAGAAAAGACCTACCACAGCTATAGCAACTTATTCTAAACAAACAAAAATTATGCTTATTATTCTCAATAAACTTTTGCTGAATACCTGCTATATATGTGAGCAGCCCTATCACCTGATTTCTCAATCACTCATGAGCAATAAGTAGTTATATTATAGTTTTAAAACTTTCTCCCTGAAGGTCAAAACCCAAGTCCAACATTTCATTCCTTTATTTTTTTATTCACCCATTCAACAAATCTTTATTGAGAGCCTGCCATGCATCAGACACTGGGCTGGGCTCCAGAAATACAGAGCTGAGTGACCCAAATAAGATTCCTGTTTTCATGGAACTTCTAATCTAGGTGGTGCACATGGATTATTAAAATAAAAAAACTCACATAAAGTACACTTTTAAACTATGATAAGTGCTTTGAAGGAAAAGTACAGGGACAAATGAGCACAAGCAAAAGGGAGATGCTAAGGACATGAGGAAAAAGAAAAAAGAGACCAACTGGCCGGGTGCCATGGCTCACACCTGTTACCCCAGCACTTTGGAAGGCTGAGGTGGGTGGATGATTTGAGCCCAGGAGTTTGAGACTAGCATGGGCAACATGGTGGAAACCCATCTCTACAAAAACTACCAAAAAAAAAAAAAATTAGCTGGGAGTGGTTGTACATGCCTGTAGTCCCAGCTACTCGGGAGGCTGAAGTGGGAGGATCACCCAAGCACCTGAGTCTAGAAGGTCGAGGTAGCAGTGAACCATGGCCACCCCACTGCACTCCAGCCTGGGCAACAGAGTGAGACCCTGCCTAAATAAGAGAGAAAGAGAGAGAGAGAGAGAAACAGACAGATGGACTTTATACAACTTGGAAAGAAAGAAAAGAATGCCACAGGACTTGGAAGAGGATCAGAATATCAGTTTATATAAGCTCTTAGGACTGTAAAACAACCGGAAATGAAAATCCTCCAAGTAATCTTTCTGTTTGCTATCCTTTCCCTCCACCCACTACAGCCCCAAAGCTACATGTTCTAGAACAGACAAAAGTTAGTTTTGTTTTGTTTTATGAATAAGTAGCTTTTTGGTCACCAGGATTACCACGCAGCTGTTATTTCAGCCTAGCCCGTGGCAGCTCCCCTGAGGAGGAAAGCAGATGTAGCCATTGTCACTGCTTGCTGTCTGGTACAATGTTCAAAGAATTCAGGGGCATTCCTATGAATGTCTCTATGAAGTAGATGTCAGATATATCCCCAGATGAACAAACATCAGAAGTTCTCTATGTGCAAGAAAGTTCAATAACCAAAAAAGTCACCTTCACACATATTTGGCCCGTGCAAGGAAGATCAAGTAGCTGAGAGTCATACAGATCATGTTTAACTATGGTCCGCTAGATTTGGAAGGTTAAAATAAAAGACAGAAGCGAGGTATCTATTTTCAAAATCCTTTTCATAGATAACAGTAAAATGTGTGACCCTAAATAAAAATACAGTAAAATGGAAGGTTAGGGAAGTAGATAATTAAGCATTCCTGAATACTAAGTGAGTAAAAAAAGTGCTACTACCAACATTTATGCATAAGAAACAAAGCATCTGTACATGAACATGGGCTCTTCCCAGGCTATTTGTTTTGCAACACATATTTGGATGAGAAGGATGTTCCTAATAGCTTTTTCCATGATGTCAAAAGTAGGCTATTCTCTCATGTTCATGATCTTCCTTCTGCTACCACCATTGGAGCTACGGGTACTATGATGGGTGAGACCCACGAAACTCCACCTGGCTGCTTCCCTTCCTCAGATGTCCATAGTCTTCTACGATTGGCTCTGGAGTCTCTTGCAAGTTTCCCTCATTCACCTCACTCCCAACCTGGAATCTTCTTCAAAACATAACTTACTGATCTTATAATTTGTTTTGACCAATCACTACTATAGGTCAAAGCTTTCTGTTCCTCCTTCTATTTTCCATTTGGGAAATGCAGTCTCTCTTTTTTTCTAGGCTAAGTTACCTGACTGTGGTCAACAATAACACCAGTATTTCTTTTTCAAGACCTCCTGGAAAGTCAGTTCTCTCCAATCCTGTTCTAAAGTAACCAATTTTGATTGATTCAATTACACCAGAATGATTGTGTTGATTTCAGCCCAGTATTTCAGGCTGATGAAACAAGTTTTAATCTAATGCTTCTATTCATGATCATATTAGTGATAGCATTTCTCTCAGAGATGTGTCACCTGACAGAAACACAATATAATATAATGGTTTCATTTCCTAGCTCCAGCATCAGAGGACATGACTTCAAATTTCACCTCGATCACCACTAACTGTGGACTTAGACAAGCCACATCAATTCTCTAAACCTCAGTGGAGATAAAAATAATAGTAACTACACCAAAATGTTGTGTGATTACATGAGAGTCATCACAAAGGTTTTGCATGAGACTTAATGCATAAAACACATTAACCTCAACTGTTATTTTTATTTTGAGATGTACACACTCTCTGGTCTCAAAAAGAAGTAAGATATCCATCAAATAATACATAGAAAAGAACAAAGGCTGGAGCCCTCCTGCACTTTTTTAGAGACCACCCTCCAGGTCAGCACTTTTCAAACTACAGGTTAATGAGTGAGAAATTCATTTGGTGAGTCATAAATTTGATATTTTTTAACTAGAATAGAATGTTTTTAAAAATGAATAGAACAAAACAGAATGTATGAGTGCATTTCTCTATGTTGTTGCATATGCACAAACATATGCACACGAGGATAAACCATAAAATGCATTTCTTACTGTGGGCCACAACAACAACAACATAACAACAAAAAAGGATTTGACAGCCACTACCCTAGTCTGATTCAGAACTATTAATATTAAATACGTTCTTTACCAATGATACACTATTTAGGAAGACATCACTGCCCCCTACTGGAACTCTTGGATTTCTCACAGAAAAGGACAGCAATGGATTAGCCTGTCTTCTCATTAGCCATGTGACTTCAACCATCCTCTCACCTACCCTGTCTGGAAGTTCATCTCAAAGAGCCTCATCCCTCAAGCTAGTGTGATGCCCTGGATAAGGAGTCAAAGGCAGCACTAGAAGTGGCAGCTGGGTTCTCACCTTTGAAATCGTTTTGAAAGCACAGCATCCTTCCCTCTCACCTGCCTCGCAGTCTGTACTGGGAAGCCAAGCCAAGCAGCCCCACTGTGCAGTCCTGGCCACGCAAGTTATTCTTGATCCTGCACCATGGCAGCTGGGGAGAATCCCCACCCCCTAAGCAGTCACTTGTCTCTGCTTCTCTGGGGAGAAGACACCCCTTAGAGGAGGGTGAACGAAGTGCACATTCCCAGAGCCAGCACTTCCAGCAGCCTCCATCCTCAAGTCCCCTGAGTTCTGGAATAATCAGACAGAGTTGGGAGAGTGAGGGGGTACATATCAGGAAATATATGCTGTCCCACCGAAGAGGGAAGACCGCCAAGTGAGAGGCCCAGTAGCAAAGAGCACCCCTAACATACACACCCTCCCGCTTAACGGTGTGGGACCCAGGAATAGATGTGCTTATTAAGAATCTACTCAGTTCTGCTTCATTGTGACAGCTACCACCAATTGACATTCATACCAAGCCATCCATACATCTCGTCTCAATTAAAAGTCTGAGCAGAGGAATAATTGAAGCTTAAAGAGGTAAAGTAAGTTGCTCAGGTCACTCAGTGATGAAAAGGAGAAAGAGCTTCAGACCCAAGTGTCCCTGAATGCAGGACCAGGGTGCCTGGCCACACCTCCAGGTTTGGCTGCACTTCTCAATGTCAAGGCTTACATGCCTCCAAAGATGGATTTCCTTTTTAGCCATTTCCTTGTCTATGACATAAGTAAGTCTGATATAATTCTGACAGCCCTGGGCTCAGGGAAGTTAATTAATTTGCAGAAGGTCACACAGCTAGTAAGAAACAGATTCTAACCTAAGTATGCCCAACTCCAAAACACATTACATTGCCCCCACCTGAGCTGCCACCTGAGTGAGTGCAGAGCCCATTCCCTTGAATTTCTTCCTTCTTTGCCGCTTGTCCACACATCTCAATGGGAGCAATTAAAAGAGGAAAAGAGACCAAAACTGACAAGGTCATGAAAAACAAGGAAAGGCAGAAACCGTCATAGACCAGAGATGCATAGGGAAATATGGCAACTAAATCCAATGTGGGATCAGAAGAACATTAGTGGGGAAAACTGTTGATATCTGAATCAAGGCTGGAGTGTTGTGTTGCAATCGCCAAGTCCTAATGTGTTTTCTACCTTCTCCACTGCTGCCCTAATCTAGTCTCATGCTGCTTCTAGAATCATCTTTCCAAAGCACAAATCTGACCATGTTTCTTTCAACTGCTTATAATCCTTCTATACCTTCCCCTCAACCTCCAGGTAGAATCCAAACCCTCTTTGCTTCCCTGAATCTGCTCCAGCCTCACTGCACTCAGAGTGACCTGTTCTCAGAAAACATCACCCCCTGTCCACCCTCTGGACCTTTGCTTGACACATGCACTGTCTGTCAATACCAACCTGCTGGTCTGCAGTTAGAATTAAGTAAGTGTCCCTTTCAGAACTCAGTTTGGATATCACGTCCTCCAGAAAGCCCTTCCTGATGCCCGTAACCCTGTCTGGGTAAAATCCCTTCCCCGCAGTGCCTGTAACATCCTGTAACTAACACCAATCACAATGCTTCTGATACTGAATCATATTACATAATATATCATTTGCCCCTTTCCTGTCACCCAGCTGAATCCCCACTTCCCTGAAATGTGTGCCCAAACCTGGCATTGAATGACACTGACCCTCCTCAGAAGGAGCTCAGTCCTCTTCCCTGCTTACTCCATTTCTCTGAGTGTGCAAGGAAAAAGTGGTTGTTGCTAGTCTGTCATCTACACTCTCTGCCACTTATTAATCTCTCTGTTTTCAAACAATGCCAGATAAGGCCTAGGCTGGGTGCTTGCAATGAGCAACAGGACCTAGCTTGAAGTTAATGCATTATTTTATTTTCATTGTATTTGCCATTATTTACATAATTCTGTTTATGGAAAACAATACAAGTTTTTCTTCTATATAGACTAGTCATCCCTTATAAAAATAAGTTAATATGAGTAAAAGAAGTAAATCAATTTAGAAAATGTTTTGTAAAGGCTCTTTGGTGCATATCGTGATAAATGCATGCATACATACACACACGTGTACATATACACACACAACTGTGAAGGAAGCCCTGAACAGCAGAAATCCTGTCATTTGTGCAACTAAGTCCTTGAGTCATGAGACCCCCGCCTCAAGTACCACTGTCTTTGCCACTAACTACCAATGTGTCTGGGAGAAAGTTACCCTTCTGTTCCTCAGTTTACTCACCTGTAAAAAGAAGATAATATAATTGAGCTATAAAAATATATTATTTCATCTCTCCAATACTATTTCTCATCCTATTCATACAGTATAAAAATAGCACTGCTGAAAAACCCAGAGGTGAGGTTCTTTTATCAGAGGACAAATATCTGAGATGTGTAGAGGTTAAGTGACTTGCCCAAGGTCGCACTGCAATTTAATATCAAAATCAAGACCAAAATACAGGTTCCCTTTAGTGATAGGCTTCCTGATCCCTCATCCTAACACCCTCCATTCCTGCATATTCCCTTCCCCAAATAAACTTCTGCCAAATGAGGTGCATTATATTTACAAAGAGGAAGAAAATGAACACACACACACACACATACATATATATACACATGCACAATATAAAGGCATCTTAAAATAATGGAAAAGCAAATAAGAAAAGGACAAAAGCAATATTGGATTTCAGAATGTTAATACTGTTGGACAGGGAACTAGTATACCTGAAAGCTGAGAAAACATGTTACAGGGTTTTCCACAATGTTGCAATGCCCTTCTTGTTCTTTATTTAGATTAGATGTAAGGAGCCAGCAGTCACACAGCCCATATAAGATTTGAGGGAACAATTAGAATAAAGAGGGTAACTAGATCATGTTTGGCTATGATACACTTATTTTTTTAAATGTTTAAGTAGAGACCAAATCCAATCACCACTTTACTCTCTGTGGATCATGAAAAAAAGACAGCATCAACATGTTTCCAAAGGGAATAGCTGGCCCACATTTCAAAAATGAAAATTTTAAACACTTTTTAAAAGAGTTTTAGCAAGCGGTTTACATATAGAATGTAGTAATTGCAATTATATAGCACAATGTTTTTCTTATTTTAAAAAAATAGTCTTACCCTTGTCTTTGGAAACATGCTAAACATTTTTATAACTGACCTGGTTATGGGTAAATTCATCAGATTTATAGGTAAATCAAAGTGCACAGAATTGGGAAATTTTAGCTAAAATTTCCAAGGAGATGTAACATGGATAGAAACAACGCTCTTCACGTATGTGTGTGTATGTGTATGCATATGCAAATGCATGTGCATATTTGCAGCAATTGAGAAAGATCTGTCCAAACAGAAGTTCAAGTCAGAAGACACAGAAGTTTCAACTGATTATAAAGCTCAATGGAAGCCAAGGACAGATGTGGCTGCTGGGGAGAGGAAGAATCAAATTAAGTATAGTAACATCCCTCTGTACTCTTCACCCACCGGCCAATATCAAAAGCCTCATGCAGTTGTGGGAACTGCTCTTTCAGAGAAACAGAAACAAATCTGGCCAGAGGAGAGTGAGTGGTCAGTGGGAAAAGGGAGGGGATCTGTAACCTGAGTCAGATGGGGAATGGCCAGTGGCATGGTTTCCAGGGCTGTGTGAGCCTTCTTCAAATACACGATATGTAACTGTTCTGGAATGTGTGTGCCCCTGACTGTCTCCCAGGAATGTTGTTGAAAGGACTATGCACGGGAGATTAGACTGAATAGCCTCAACCGCAACGTCCCTCCCAGCTTGGGGCTTTTACAGCTTGTGGTGGGGGCAAAACCACATCTATTCTCCATGGTAGTAGATTAGATAACTTTACTAATTAGACAACTGGAAGCTTCTCCTTCCTGGAGAATACTCTCTAGAGTAGACAGCCTTTTGACAACCAACCACATCTCTAAGAGAAAATGTGTGCCAATTAGTAGACAACCTTGATGACTAGAAGATGCAATGGCGGCTCAACTCACCACTCCCATCTCACCCTTTCATACAACCAATCATCTGGTCAGCCCAAGAAGCTAGAAATTAAGGGCAGATGGTCTGATAATAAAAGCTAAGCTGATGGGCATCAGATGCAGGGAATTATGGCTGGTATCCTTGTGGTTCACAGAAAAGGAGCAAGGGTGAACCACCTGCATCAGGCTTGCTTGAGTTGCTTTCTAAAAATGCATGTTCCTGGGATACATCCCAGATCTACTGAATCAGAATTATTAGAGATAGAAACCAAGAAGTTCATGTTCCACAACCTCACCAGGTAATAGTTATGCACACTATCTGAGGGCTCTTGCCCTGCAGTGGTGCTTCCCATACTTTAGGGTGCATTAAAATCACCAGGAAAGCTTGGACGAGTCAGCGTTCTGGGATCCAGAGATTCTGATTCAGAGATCATAGGTGGGGCCACAGATTTTCATTTCAAACAATCTCACAGGTGATGCTGATGCTGCTGGTTAGTGGACCATATTTTCAGTTTGCTGAAATTAGAGAATTCCCAATTTCATTATCAAAGAACTCAGATACTGTGGTAGGTCACTTCTGAAATGATCCCCAATGATTCCTCACCATCTGGTATTCAAGCTGTTGGTAAACACTCCCCTCTTGTGGGAGCTAGACCTAGTGACTCATTTATTATGAATTGAATAGGCAAGACTAAGGAGATGTCACTTCTGTGATCAGGTTATAGAAAGAGTCACTCCCTTTTCTCCTGCTCACTCTGGTTCTTGCTCCTCTTGTTTGCTCCCTCTAGTGAAGCATGGTGCCATGTTGTGACTGCCCTGTGGAGAGGCCCACGTGGCAAGTGGCTGCAGGAAGCCTCTGGCCAACAGCTAGCAAAAAACTGACTCCTAACAACAGCTGTGTGGGTGAGCTTGGAAGCCCATCCTTCTCTAGTTGAAGTTGAGATAACTGCAGCCCCAGCTGATTGCAGCCTGTGAACCACCCTAAGCTGGTGGGCTCAGCTAAGTCATGCTTGGATTCCTGCCCTTCAGAAACCATGAGATTATAAGTGTTTTAGGCCACTCAGTGTGCTATGCAGTGATGTTATTAATAGAGATGCTTTGTAAAGCAGCTGCCCTGAAATCAATAAGATGCCTTGTAGTTGGGTATGGCACATGCCTGTAGTTCCAGCTACTCAGGAGGTTGACACTGGAGGATCACTTGAGCCCCGGAGTCTGAGGTCGCAGGAAGCCCTGACTGTACCACTGAACTCCAGCCTGGGCAACAGAGGAGAAACTGTCTCAAAAAAAAAAAAAAAAAAAAAAGACATGTATTGGTATTCTCTCCCATCCATCAAGTCCTCCATCTCATCTGCCCCCATTGTGGATGAGACAAAATGTGTGTGTAAATGTAACTGGACAATATTTAATCATATACACTATTTACATGTAATTTATGTCATAATTTTCTTAACATTCAATTTCCAAGCCTTTGCTCTTGGAAAGCTTCCCTGGAGCTTCTGGGAGGTTATGTGGGAGCACAGCCTTATGGCAGGAGGAAGATGGTGAATCCAAGTCAGGTTTCGTGCAATCCATCTGGCCATTCTGAGGCTGTGTCTTTTGAGCTAAGATCCTGGTGAATTCTCTCCTGTCAATCCCTGTGAGCATGAGGAGTGATACATACTTTGGTTCTGAAGAAAGAAATGGAAAAAACTACAGGTTCCTCTGCTGGCAAGGGGAAGGGGTCTTTCCCTGAGAAAATCGGTGAAGAGCACAAATTCCAATCTGCTTGCCTTTGCACCAGTGCAGTGACTGATTTCCTCATTGGGGGAGGAAGGAAGGCTCCTGGAGGGCAAGATCCCTCATCTTCTCCAGAATTATGTATGGAGAAAGTGCTTTTCAGAGGCTGTTTGTGTGGAAGGCAACAGTCAACCGGTAAAGGCTCCAGATGCAAAGCCTGGAACCAGGAATTCTCATCGCTGCACCATCAAATCTTTCTGTGGCCTGCAATGAGCCCTTCTCCTCCTGGACTTCATTCTTCTTCTTGTGAAATGAGGGGGCTAGGCCAGGTAAGGACTCGGACCCTCCCAATGAGTATTTAAGAGCCTAGGGCAGTGGGGTCAGAGTCTGGCCATGCCAAATGTCCAGAGACAGGACAGCTTTCCTCAGAGGGCCAGGCCACCACCACTCAGCCACCGCGCCCTCTCTGAGGAGCACCCGGAGGGCCTGCTGTGCCACAGGGGGCTCTGGCAGATGTTGTCCAGCCTGCTCCTAATGGTGTCCTGAAGCTCCTCATCACCCAGCAGGACCGCTGCTGCCAGGGCCAGAAGGAAGTACTCAGTGGCATCATGGGCATCCTAACCCCGTGGTATGGGGGCAAAGAAGAGACAGCATTAGCAAACACTTCCAGGACAGGCTAGGAGGCTGTGCTGGCCACTCTAGTTTTTTTTGTTTGTTTGTTTGTTTGTTTGTTTGCCCAACATCCAATCCCCATCTCCTGAGTCCTTAGGGAGCCCCTCTCTCCCTCCACTGTGGTCCTTGGGACATTGCTAATCACAGTGCCCTGCACTCCAGGCACAGAGGTGGTCCCTTACTGAGGCTCAGCCAATCATGAAACATCATTGCCCTGGGCACAGTGCTTCAGGGATGTGTACATGACCCAAACTTGGCCTACATCTGCCACTCCCTGGGACTTTCCACTGTGTCTCAATAAGGAAAATAGTCCCTCTGAAGTGGCAGGTTCAGAGGTGGACTTGAACCTGCCAGTAGCTAGAAGGGGAAAAGGCCAAGAAACAAAGCAAAGTAGAAACATACAGAGTCAAGGAATACAATGAGAGGTGGGGAAATCCCTGATGATGATTGAGAAACAGGATCCAGAGCTATCTGCAGTTAAATTTGTAGCTCAGCCTTCACATTCTTTGAGCCAGTAAGTTGCCTTTTTTGCTTAAGGAAGTTTGAACTGAGTTTTTCCCTTTACAATCCGTGGAGTTCTTGGTTGACATGATCAGATCACACACTTTGTCCCTGAACCACTTACTGGGAGCTATGGGGCAGAGGCAAGATGGCTAGAGGGTGCTTCACTACCCCCGGCCCTCCCTACATGGTAAAGATGAGAAACAGATGCTTCTTTGGGTGAGACTCAAAAAGGCTGCCTGGTTTCCATTAACCCTCATAAGTCAGTAATTAATTCAGGCCAGAAGCAAAGCCTGGCAAATAAGAAAAGGACAGCAGAGCTGCCCTGAGGGTTCCCTGGGGGCCAAACACAGGAGTGACTCAGAAGCCACTATATTAAGAGATTAAGGGTTGTGCTTCAGGGGACAGGGACCTCTAGTAAAAGGAAGCCAATCCTAGGGACACAGTTTGGGGGTCAGGGTTGTAACAGAGATTTGCAACCAACACAACTCTAGAAGTCACCAAAATAATAAGAAGTTCTGGGGTGGGCATAATGGCCTACTACACCTGTAATCCCACCATTTTGGGAGGCCAAGATTGGCAGATTGCTTGAGTCCAGCAGTTCGAGACAGGCAACATGATGAAACCCCATCTTTACAAAAAATACAAAAATTAGCCAGGTGTGGTGGTGTGCACCTGTGGTCCCAGCTTCTGAGGAGGCTGAAGTAGAAGGATTGCTTGAGCCCCAGATGCAGAGGCTGTAGTGAGCCAAGATTGAGCCATGCTACTCCAGCCTGGGCTACACAGCAAGACCCTGTCCCAAAAAAAAAGCAAGCAAGCAAAAAAAGAAGTTCTAGATTCAGCAAGCAAGAGAAGCAGGGATAAAACCTTCTTAAGATCTAAGTATACTTAGTTTAAAGGCCCCATACCTCGTTATCTCAAACATGTTAATATGCACCCACATTTCTCATAAAATGTAGCTTTACATTACTTTATAAGAAATGAGTTGCAGTTGACTAGTTGGTCTGTAACATTTTATGGACAAACTCTTAAGTATTCATTTTGATCTTCATTTTAGACCTTATAGTTCTTTTGTTTTGGGGTCTTGTATATTTCCATAGGCCCTTGAGAGACTTACAGGCAATGTGCCTGTAGTATCTGACAGATAAAGAAGCCACAGACATGGTGGCAAGGCAAGGAGAAAGAGGAACCATGGTCTACTCCTCAGCGAAGATGGGAGCACCTTTGAGATCTTCAGCAGGGTTAAGTGGAAAGAGCTTCCATGTCCCCTGTAAAGCCACTCCTCACCCTATGAGACAAGACTTCTCATCTTGGCACTCTGGTTTTCTCAGCTCCACCACAAAGGCTCCTCATTGTCTTTGAGTCAGGAAGGAGAATGGTTGGGTGGTGGCTGTCAGGAAATCTGGGAAGTCTGGCTCTTACCTTCAGCTGGCAGAAGGTGAGTCTGCCCAGGCGATAATACACCTTGGCATAGTACAGGGCCTCCTTGGGACTCTGCAGCCATGGTGGACAGAGGGACAGGGTCTTCAGGTAGCAGTCCTCAGCCATCTCATACATGTGCAGGGAGTAGTACACTGTAGCCAGGCGGTGAAAGGCCACCAGCTCTTGCCTCTGATCTCCTAAGAATTGGAAGACTGAGAGAGATATCCTGCAACCAACACTTTGCATCATTTGTTCACTCATTCATTCCATAAAACTTTTTGAAGGTCTACTAGATGTCAGGGACTGTGCTGGGGCATAGGAAATAAGACAGAAGAGGTGCCTGTACTCATAAAGCTTATTGTCTCACATGACAGACATTCCTTAAATAATCCCACAAACAAATGTAACATTACACATGTCATAAATGCTACAAAAGAAAATGCAGGGCTCTATAAGAGTGACTAAGTAGAGGATGGGTCAAGGTTTCCTGGAGTGATTCCCAGAAGAAAATTTTCTCCTTATTGCAGATGCTACTGTAATGCAGGATTCTGAGAAAGAATTCTTCTTAAACCCTTTTAATGGGACATGGTGACAAGTCTAGCTTGATGGAGTAGCTAAGAATTGCAATAAATCACTCTGTATAATAAATGTCTTCCTCACACAAAAGTCTCTCTCTTCAGAGAATTATCTTGGGTACCACCATGTAGCAGTCTCTCCTTGGCCCCTTTACCTACTGTCAGTCTCAGATAAGCTACAAACACCTGTTCACACTTAAACCATGCTTTAGAATGCTGGTTTCTAACGGGTCTATGACTTGTTGTTTGGTGGATTTGTTTTAATACAGAGCAATCTTTTACAGGGAACAAAGGCTTACAATCATGTCTTTGGAATATTTGCAAGGTGGCTGTGGGATACCATCTAAAAACATCACTTTTAAGCTTCAAAGAGCCAAAAGCCAAAATTAAAAAAGAAAATCTAAGAGAGAGAAAATTCTCTGATATGGAAAAATCAGCCACAGGGGAAGTACTTATATAAAGGATGCATACAACCTCCCTTCAGCTCCCATCCAGTGAGGGATAAAGAGTGCTCAGAGGAACTGCCTGGGGCCTCCAAGGCCTTTCCTGAGATTAGCACACAGTCACTCAGATGAGATCCTATGCAATAAGGAAAAAGGTAGGGAAAAGAGGGAAGGCTCTCTCAAGAATGCAATTAGACAAAATAAAGTCCGGTATCATCCACACCCGATGCCCTTGAAAATGCCCAGAAGACCCTCCTGGAATCATCACAGAATATTACATTTACCCTTACATCTAATCAAGGCTTCTCTATCAAACCTGCTTTTCTTCAAACACCAACATTCAAGATGAGGGGTTTTTAAATCTTTTTTATTCTGCCATTTATCTGTTCTGATGACTATTATTGTTTCCCACTAGCTTTTGACATAAACACAAGATATTCAGCTATGTTCTGAGTTAGGGTAATGGGAACCTGACCTTCATTTACATTTTAGCTTCATGGGAAAATGCACTTTTAACTAAAAATTAACTAATTTAAAATTCAGGGCACAGTCCTTTTGCAATGGGAACATAGCTTATGAAGAGAATAAAATATCATTTACTTTACACTTGGGGAACAACAGCACCTGTAATATAATAATAGTGTGGCACAGGCAACACTTACCAAGGACTTACCATGTACCCAGGATTGTGCTATGGCTGTTACATGGATAATCACTGGTCTTCATAACAACTACCATGAGGTGGGCACTATTTTTAATCCTGATTTGGTGATGACAAGCTTGAGGCTTATAGAAGTTAAGCAACTTGCTTAACTAAGGTCTCTCTGACAGTTGGACCTGGGATTTGAACCCACACAGTCTGACTCCAGGGCCTGCGGTGTTATTGCTTTGCTGTCTATCCTTGACTAATCACCCCTCTCATTCAACACACCCAATAGTGAAGACCACCCACCTGTGACTGTGCTGAGCCTGGCGGCCAGGGTGGCAAATTCCAAAGCCTTCTCATAGCCTTCGAGGCTAATCTGCAGCTCTGTCAGCTTATTGAAAATCCGGAGCTCAGTTCTCACCGCCTTCAACCTCCTTGCTAAAGGAACAGCTCCAGCCTAGGAACAGAAGCCCAAGGAACCTTAGTCTAGCTAGGAATCCTCAGTGCATACCATAGCTAGGAGACTTATCTTCTACAGGCAGGGGTTGGGGAACGGCAGTGGACTAAAACAAAGGGGAGTCAGCCATGTTTCCCTGTGTGCCTTTACTCAACCCTCTCTCTCCTGATCCTTGCTCATGATGTTTTGCCCAGATCTTAAAGTAGAAGAAGTAGAGGGCATTGGGCTTCCTATAATTGGGGAAACCTGGAGTAGGAAAGGGAAGCGGCTTTTCCCAAGGTCACGTGGAAAGTCGTTCCCTTCTCAGCTGTGTGCTCCCCTAGCATCCATGGTGCTATCTATGAAGCACACATGAGTACACGCATAGTGTGGGAATATCTCAAAAAGTGGTCATTTCTATGTTTTTATCATGATAGAATTTTAGGCAAATCACTTCATCTTTCTGAACCTTAGTTTTCTCATCTACAAAATGCATATGAAAATAAGCCCCTCAACAGTCAGAGACGCGTTCCCTGTTCTTCCCCACCCCTAGCTCAGTGCCTGGCACAGACTGGGTATTTGCTAGCATTTGATGACTGAATAAACAACTGAACAAATAAATAAATGAATATCTGAATGAATAAAATTTTACGATCAAATTAGATAATGAGGCTTCCTAAACTTCAGTTGGTGATGAACAACAATCACAATTTTTGACATATCTGCTTAATATCTGGACATTCATTTAATTTGTGTTATTCTTAACATCAACTCTTTTTCTTGCCTCATCCTTCGCAATAATATCTGTGAAGTCATAGGTTTGATGAGCTTGTATTATATATTTTTAATTTTAAAAAATATATTTTAATACATGCTTATTAAAAATATGATCAAACAAAAGCATTCATCTACATAACCCTTTAAATAATCTCCCACCACACCCCCAGTAGTAAATGGGAAACACTGGTAAACTCAAAAGTGTGCTGCAGACCATAAAGTACCATGCACCCAAGAGTCTGAGATGGTCTTGATCTCCTGGACTCAATTATTTTGATGTATTATCCGAAGAAGGATAACTTATCAAGCCTGAGAATGACTAAGTTTATCAGAACCTTCCCTGAGCTCCCACTAGGTTGAAGAGAGAGTGAGTAGGTGGGCACTGGACAAGAAAGAGAGAAAAATGAAATACAAGCAAGAGAGGAGAAGAGGGACTCAGGCCGAAGTCCAGCCTGACCCTTCCCATGCCCGTGCCAGGACCTGTCTCAGCAAACTGCACAGCTTGGACTTACTCGGTAGTACTCCACTGCATGATGCCTGTGGCGGGTCCCATTGAAGAACACATCACCTGCTTCTTCATAAAGTTTGAGAGCCAGCAAAGGCTCCTCTGACTTCAGGGCTGTCTGGATGGCTGCCTAGGTGGGACAGAGACAGCTGTTAAAGGCAGAGAGGAGGGCTTCCTGACCTCCACAGGACTGGCAGAGCTAAGACGCAGACCACCTAAATCAACTAATCCTCTGCTAAAGTCCCCCAAATCCTAAATGTCTTCACACTCCTAGGGCTGGTAAGAGGACTTTAGACATTCTCCAGTCTGGCATTTCCCCATCCTGTTATGAGAGATTGCTTTTGGTGGTGCTAGATTATTTTTAACAGTATATAGAAAAACATTTTGTTTTACTAGTTAAGTATTTATTTTAATGTGTTTTAGAAAAAAAAAACTAATAATGCATCCAACCTGCAACTTTAGATAGTATTGTGTAGAATAAGGCTAAGTGTAGAAAAAGCTACGTTGATTTGATGTTGAGTCAAAGAAAAAGAAGTAAACAATGGTATAGAAGGTACATGTATATAGCAAAACTATGAATTTAATATGTAAATAACTGAAATGGAAAAATAGTGATCCACTTCAACATCTTACACTTTCCAGATGGAGATAGTGTGGCTCAAAAGAAAACAGAACCTCCCCAGCTTCATGCCAATAGTCAGTGGCAAACAAATGTTGGTGTCTTCCATCCCAGTACCCTAACCTCCACAGCTTCTTTATCTCTAGCAAGCTATTTTGGATTTCATCTACACAAAATGTGCTAAGGAAGTTGAAGAGTAAAGAATATACCACTGCACCTGCAGCACAGTTACAGGACCTCAAATAGCCTCAGGTCCAGAATGATTCACTTCCATGGAATTGACCCTGCACAACATCAGTTAGGTGGCAGCCTGGGGTTGGGTGAGGCCTGGGACCAGTTCTGGCCAGTGAACATTTCATCACTGGGGCAAGATGCTGCAGTTGCTGTGTTATTGCATGGGCAGCTACAGAGAGAGAGAGGGGCAGTGAGATGGAATCCTGGAGTCAGGAGGCTTTGCCACCAAAACAATGCACAATCGGAACAGTGCCCTCTGGGCTTCAGTCTCCCACAACATGAAAGGAGAAGACTGAATTGTCTGCTCTCTGGAAACCCTTTCAGCCCAAAAATCGCAAGGCAGATGGCGTAGAGGCTGAGAGTGAAGGCTCTAAGTCACACTGTGTGCAGTTCTCAGCTCCACCACTTACCAGTTGTATCACCTTGGGCAAATTACTCAGCCTCTCTGAGCTTCCTCTGTAAAATGGAAATTATAATGGAAAATCCTACTGCGTTTATAATGAGGGTTAAACTACGTCATGCAAGTGAAGTGTTTGGCAAAGTCTCCTGTACATAGGAAGCATGCAATCAGGGTTATGCAGCTATTAAGTCTCAGTAGAAGTGAATTTGTGCAAGTTTATGTGCTAGTATAAGGAGAAGTAAAAAGAGAGAAAATAAAACATGGGAAAGAAAAAAACCGGTATATTTTTGTAGAATTAAACATCTTACATATCACCACAGTATTTAACATCGATATTGTACAGATAGTAATAAAACACTAAAATATAATGTATTAAACATTTACTAAGTTCTGAGCACTTAATAAATGCTTACTATGCATTTACTACTATGCAAGTGAGATATATAATTTTTGTTTTACTAATCCTTATGCTAAAAGATAGAGTTCAGTTCCCCCATGAAGAAACTGAATCCCAGAGATGTCATATGGCAAGCCCAAAGTCACACAGTCAGTCCATATGTGATGGCCCTGGGATTTGACTCTAGGCTTTTCTCTCTTCAAAGCCCAGGCTTTTAACCACTACACTGTACCACATCTCTGATATTAAAAGTATGCAAACAAACAAAAAAATAAGAGAATAATATTGTTAATACCCCACATACACACCAACCTTGCCTCAAACTGCAGCAAAACCCTAAAGTCAAGGTGTATGTTGAGCTTTGGAAAGACAGGTATAGTTAACGGGACAAGTGACGTTACAGATGGTATGTGAGACTCCCCTCACATCCTCCCAGGGTGCACACATGTGTATGGGTCTCAGCGACTGGCCCTTTGCTCCCTGTATTCAGCTTGTCAGACCACCCTGGTTTCCACCATGTGTTCAGGGAGCAGCCCAGTGTTGACCCTTTCTCCACAGGCTTAGGGTGAACATCATCCCTCTCTGGTTCCCCCTGGTTGATTTGGAGGGTACAGCTGCCTCCCCAAATGATCCAAGTCAACAACTCCCAGAGAGCTCTGCAGGAGGCCTACCTGCAGGCACAGCTCCACCAGCTCGTCTTCCTGCATGAGGTAGTGGAGTCGCCCCGCCCCAAGCCAGGCCTCAGCAGCCTTGTCTGTCTCCCCCAGGTCAATGAAGATACGCAGGCTCTCCTTGATGCATGTGAGTGACCTCCTGAGGGACCTGGGGACAGACATGAACTTGTGAGGTGTGAAGGCTCAAAGGGGCCTTAGGGTCCACTCAGCACAGGATGAAACAGAAGCTCTGAGCAGGAACAGCCATGTCCCACATCACACAGGGAGGTGGGCCTGATTGAATGCCAGCTCTACCCCAATCAGCTGTGTGACTTTGAGAACGTACAGGATCCTTCTGTGCCTTGGTTTCCTTATCTGTAAAACAGACCTATAATTGTGCCCACCTGAGCGGATTGTTGTGAGGATGAAATTGAGATACAACTAAGTGCTTAGAACAGTGCCTATTACGTCCTTGGCACCTGATGAATGTTTAAAGATCACTTATAATTATTATTATTATTACTGATGCATGGTCCATCAACCCTTTTACTGCTCTATAACCTTTTTTGGTGTTATGCTATTGAAATGGTTTGGCTGTGTCCCCACCTAAATCTCATCTTGAATTGTAGCTCCCATAATCCCCATATGTCGTGGGAGGGACTCAGTGGGAGGTAATTGAATCATGGGGCCGTTACCCCCATGCTGCTGTTCTCATGACAGTGAGTCTCATGAGATCTGATGGTTGTATCAAGGGTAGTTCCCCTGCCATTTAAGATGTGCCTTTGCTCCTCCTTTGCCTTCAGCCATGATTGTGAGGCCTCCCCAGCCATATGGAACTGTGAGTCCATTAAACATCCTTCCCTTTATAGATTACCCAGTCTCAGGTATGTCTTTATTAGCAGCATGAGAATGAACTATTACAGTTACTAATACAAAATAGACACCAAATGCATACCTATTGAGTGAATGCATGAATGAGTGACAACAGTGGTAACTTTAAATCATCGAAAAGATTTTGATGTTTTGTTTATAAAGAAAAATCAAAGTAGAGTGAAAGTTTTAACAGGTTGGTGCTTAATGGGGTGCCCTTTAATTATTTGGAAAATTGTATTTTGTAGAAAACTCTCCCTCCATGTCAATGGAGGGACCAATGAAGAAATGAGACATAGGTAATATATTTTCTCACAGACGATTCAGTATTCAAAAACAAGGAAGGAACACTGTGCATCATCTAGATAGTAGTTCTCAGTCCTGGCAACAACTAGAGTCACCTGGAAGCATTTTAAACGTGTACACTGCCACACTATTTCCCAGTGTGTTGCAACTTTATGATAGCCTGAGCACCAGGGTCTCGGAATATGGCTCAGGCACAAGCACTGTGTCTAAGCTCTCCATGTAATTCTGTCATGCAGCTTGGCTTGAGACTTGCTGATCTAGTCCAATCTTCTTATTTTATAGAGGAAACAAGCCCAGAAACTGGAAATAACTTACATATGTTTGCACAGTACATTAGGGGGAGATCCAAGGCCAGAACTCCCTTCTTCTGAGTAGCAACCTAGGACTTGTCCCATAACACTCATACTTCCCAAAACATGATTTGTGGCCCACCTGCATCAGCATTTCATAGGGAGCTTATTCAAAGCACAGATCCCCCAGAGCTACCTCAAATTGACTGAAAAAGATTCATTACAGTTGCAATCCAGGAACCTGAATTCCTAAGACACATCCAGGTTACACTCCTGCACACCAAAGTTTGAGAACCACTGCAGTAAACCATGCAACTCTTCCCAGAAATACCGATCATCATCAATCACATCTATGGACACTTAAGTAGAAAGTCCTCAACAAACGTGGTTACCACTTGATTATGGACCTCTCAGCCACCAGGCCCCTTTGTGCACCATGAGGGAAACAAGCATTGCTCTCAACTCCTAAGGCCCGGATCCTTATTGGCAATGAGGCAGCTGTTGGCCTTCTGGAGAGAGTGCCAGGCATTTGGCCCTTGTAAGAAAGAAAAAACCCAAGCTTTCTCTTCCTCCCTGCTCTTAACATGAGATTTATTGACATCCCAATGGGCGCTGGCCACTCTTTCTCAAGTTTTAAAATGTGAAACTTCCTCTGAGAATACAATGAGCTGAAAAACTCCACACCATGCTGCAGTGATCACCAACCTCCTCAGCTCAGCTACAGTAACCACAGGCATCTTTCACTATAGGAAGCCCTGCCTTTCTCTCCCCACTCTGTACCCTGCAAACTCAAGCCGGGTTGAGATTCAGCAGGCCTGGCCTCCACAACTCTCCTCACTCTCACTAGAGCAGTTGATGAAGACAAGACCCATAAATCTCATCCTCATCCTATTTCCTGCTCTGTTTTTTTATGTTCCCATTTACTGTCCTGGGATGCCCTTGGGCTACTATAGTTGTTTTCTCCAGACCTTCAGGGAACAAGATTTAGGTTATTACAGACAGGCCAACTGACAGAGCCAGCATTTGCTTCTGGCACTTTCTCCCTCTGAGTTCATTATGACTGTGGAAGAGAGGAGATCTCTATTTCTTTCCAAGAAATGCCCCATCAGGGGAAGACAAGACTTACAGAGACCTAGTGGCTCACACAGCACCATTGAGACTCCTTGCAAATGGAAGATTTTCCAAAGACAACTGACTCTCACCAAGACTTGCACATGATCTATGATCTCCAGTAAAAAAACAAGTGCTTCTGTGGTCTAAAACTGGGCAGTAGTCCAGCTTCCTTGGTTCCTTCCTATCACCACTCACCCCCATTACTTTACATCTGCCAGTGGCCAAGCAGTGTCACCTACCAGTTGAGCACCAGATGGCCCAGAATGCCAATTCCTCCAGCCGCCACCCACAGACTCTAGGTTTGGTTTGGCTTCCAAAGCCAAAGAAGCATGGAGCACTGCTGGTGGGCCAGCACTGCATCAGCCTTGTGTATTTCTGGTTCTCCTGTGCCTGTGTTCCGGCATGTTATCTCCTGTCCTTTCCAATCTTGACTCTTCTCTTTCTCTCATTTTTCCTGTCCTCAAGTTCAGTCTCTGGGGTTAAGTCTTTGTTTCTTCTTCCCTGCCTGAACATCAGCCATAAGCCCATGGCCAAGTGACCCCAATACACCTGCATTTCCAGACTTCCTCTTACCACCCGCTGCTGGGGCTTCCCAGGTCCCTGCCCTGCCTGGATGAGTCTGTCTAACCTCTGGCCAAAGCCCAGCCTCCACTAATTGGTCATGTCCTGTTTTGATGACAAAGATGGCCAAAAACTGAGGGCTGACTCTGTGTGAGGTGTTGGATGTGTACTTTCAGTATACATTTTCTCATTTAATCCCCATAGAAATCCCAAGCCATTAGAATTCTTAGCCCATTTTGCAAATAAAGAAATCCAGTAGGATGTTGTTGTTTTGATTTGTTTTTTGAAACGTATCTAAGTTTTCCTGCACATTTCTAAAGCCTTATTTTGAGCTCTCAGCTGCTTTGTCTTATAAAAGTAACAATGGTAGTATTATTACCTGACATCTATTGAGCACTTAGTATGTACTAGGTGCTTTACACGCAAAATCTCATGTAATCATCACAACAGCCCCAAGAGATCAGTACTATTATCATATTCATTTTACTAATAGAAAAAAAATAAGGCTTGGTAAGGGTAACTATCTTGGACCAAGTAATAAGCCCTGTTTAAACCAGGATCTAACTTTCAGAGTCTGACCCAGAACCCTTACATTTACACCCTCCAGCAGTGCCGAATTTCTGGCTCAGATATTAGCACTTGGGAAGACTTTTGTTTCATTTACCACTTTAAAAGTCCTGAAGTTTTAAAAGACATAAGCTATTTTAAACCTTGAACAAAGTTTTCTCATGTGTGAAACTGGGGTGGTAGTGTGCATTATAGCCTTGTGATCAGATGATGACATTTCAGGAAAAGCAATTCTTTCCTTATTTACAACAAAAATGAGAAAAGAATTGCTTCTGTGTTAGGGATTAACATATTAATTATATATTTTAAAACGTAGCACTTTTTTCAGTTCCAGAAAAATAAGAAGCATAAATGTAAGAATAAAAGCCAGACGGCTGGCGCGGTGGCTCATGCCTGTAATCCCAGCACTTTGGAAGGCCGAGGCGGGCGGATCACGAGGTCAGGAGATCGAGACCATCCTGGCTAACACGGTGAAACCCCGTCTCTACTAAAAATACAAAAAATTAGCCGGGCGTGGTGGCGGGCGCCTGTAGTCCCAGCTACTTGGGAGGCTGAGGCAGGAGAATGGCATGAACCCAGGAGGCGGAGGTTGCAGTGAGCCGAGATCACGCCACTGCACTCCAGCCTGGGTAACAGGGCGAGACTCCGTCTCAAAAAAAAAAAAAAAAAAAGAATAAAAGCCAGGAGCAATGACTGCTAGGCTACTGTTGTATTCACATGCAAAGAATTAATCATTATTTTGAGAGGACCTATTATATGCAAGGCATCCCTTCTTTCTAAAAATAATAATATGCACATCCTTTGTGGCACTTACCACAATTTATACGATAACTTTAGTGGCTATTTATACGTTTATTTTCTGTACTATTCTGTTATCATTGTGAGCTCATGGACTATTATCACCCTTGTTCAGTTTTTAGCACAGTGCCTGGGCCATAGTAAATGCTCGGTAAATATTTGTTGAATTGATTTAATAGATTTAATAGAGCCACAGAGTTCTCATGGACCCCATCCGGCTCAGTTCTATGGCCAGTCTGTGTTGTGTCACCTCAAGACAGAAGACAAGACTCCCTAAGATCCCTCCCATTGAGAGACTGCAAACCTTTATCAAACTAAATTCTGTAGTTGTCCCCTGGAAGGCAGAGAAGGCATGATCCTGCAGATATTAGACAAAGGGACAGAAAAGTGTCCCAGAGTAAAAACCTGAAGGCTGGGACAAAGTTTTCACTATCTACCTGTGTGCCCCCCGCCCCACACACACACACCATAACCCACTTCTAAACCCTAGAGAAAATCTTTCAAATAAAAGAAATTAAAATCAGTAAAAAGGCAGCATAAGATCATAAATTGAGAAGTCAAGGATCTGAGCTAGTACCAGTGAAACCAAGTGGTGAAATTGTCTGGACTCTCTGTGGCAGGCAGGGAACAGACTGATGAAAAACGAGGCCCCTCCATACAATTCTACAAGGTTTCACTCTATAGCCTTCCACACCTATTTCTTTTGCCTAGGGCAAAAATTAATAGCTGGGTGGACAGAATACATAGAGTGCTTAAGACTATGCATTTTAGATCAGGAGTTGTTAAACTATGGCCCATGAGCCAAATACAGCTTTCAATCTGCTTTTGTAAATAAAGTGTTATTGCAACACAGCCACATTTATTCACTTATGTATTATCTATTTTCATACTACAACTGCAGAGTGGAGTACTTGTGGCAGAGATCATATGGCCCACAAGGCCTAAAACACTTACTATATGATTCTTTATTTGAAAAGCTTGCTAACCCTGCTCTAGATACACACTGTTTGGATATCAATCCCTGCTGGGAAGGCTCATGCAAGTTGTTTGGCTTCTTTAGTTCTCAATTTCCACAATTCTTTCTACGTCAGAGGGTGGTCCTGAGATTTATATATGGCTTAGTAAACAATGCATGCTCACTGAAGGCTATTATGGCCATAATTTTCACTATGGATGTTCACTGTACAGGTCTGGATACCCATTGCAACCCCCCGCCCCCATGCCCACCAACCTCCATATCTCCTTCTAGGGAAGAAGTTGAGTCTTCTTTGCACCTATATTAGTCCATTTTCCCACTGCTGATAAAGACATACCCAAGATTGGGTAAATTATAAAGAAAAAGAGGTTTAATGGACTCACAGTTCCATGTGGCTGGGAAGGCCTCACAATCATGGCAGAAGGTGAAAAGCACGTCTTACATGGCAGAAGGCAAGAGAGAGAAGGAGAGCCAAGCAAAAAGGGTTTCCTGTTATAAAACCATCAGATCGCATGAGACTTATTCACTACCATGAGAAGAGTATGGGGGAAACCGTGCCATGATTCAATTACCTCCCACCAGGTCCCTCCCACAACACATGGGAATTATGGGAGCAATAATTCAAGGTAAGATTTGGATGGGGATACAGCCAAACCATGTCACTACTCATAGCCAGCTGATCACCAAAACCTGTCTGTTAAATCTACAAAATGTCTTTCAAATGTGTCCTGACCTCTCCATGGCTACTGCTATTCCCTCCACCTAAAACCTACCCTTCTCCACTTTTCAAGATATTACTTATCCTTCAAGGGCCTCCTCAAATGCTACCACCTTGATAAAGTCTTCCCTGACAGATCACCCCCATCCTTTGCTGAAAGCATTGTCTCCTTTCCCTACAAACCTCCCCCTACAGAAGCCTGCCACTTCTTCCATGAACACTTCCTGCCTTTGCTTGCTGTGGCTTTGAGCTTTGTGAGAATGCAAATCCCTAGAGGGGAATTTAGTTGAAGAAATCTGTCCATTACATCAAGACCCACTTAATAAATTCCTCCTAAGCAATCTGTGCCAGGAAAAAAATTGCTCCAACAGATACATGTGTTTATGTTCTTTTGTCAGACAGTGAGAACCTCATACAGCTTTCCCCTTTTTACTCAGCTACCAGGAAGCTTAGTACTAAATTACAGTAACCACCCCCGGGTGCATAGAAACACCCGTTTATCTGTGTCTGTAGTTGGTCTTTGTTCTTGTATTTTTTTTAATGTTCTGTAGGAGAAGGTGATTTATACATGCTAAATAAATATAGCATTACAGCATGTTCTCTTTGTTGAACTGGTCATTCTGCAAAGGGACAATGACCTTATGTGTACAGGGGTTTCCTCTGACACCTAAAATATTTCCCAATCTTCCATTCAATATCACTTATATTAGTGGTAAAGCAAAAGTGGATATTTATTTCCTCCCAATTGTACAAATAGGAATCTCAGAGTTTAAAACTATAAACTATTCAAATTAAAAATCCTAATCTAGATCAATTTACAGAACAATGGAATAAAAATTTCCAAAAGTTTACTCCTCCATAAAAGCAATGAAAACAGGCAAAAATTATCCAAATAAAATGTTTCAGAACTCTGGATATTAACCAAAGGTTTGCAAGGAGTGTTTATTTAGGAAAACGGCGGAATCTTGTTACGAAAGTGAGCTTCATTGCTTTTCAACTTGCCTTAGAGACATCCTGCTTGTCCCTAGCTCTGTGGTACACTTAAAAACCAACAGCCTCACAATAATGGTAGCTGGAAAAACCAGCAACCTAGCAACCACTGAAGGAGACAATGAGCTTGAAATACCCCAAAGTTCCATCCCCAGAGAACTGTTACTGTTTGATCTGTTTGGAAGTTCCCTGGAAGCCTCTGCTCACAGGGCTTGTTTTCCTTTAACCTCACTCAGAGCTCACTCAGCGCAGAACAGCCTTTTCCCTGAGGCATATGTCAAAAATAATTAGTAGCAATTGTTTAATATGATCACTGCCTTAGGTGGTGAAAACATGTGGAGCAAACAAGAAAAGGTCAAACACACACACACACACACACACACACACACTAGGAAAAGTTGGGAAATGAGATGTCCATAAAAAGTTTTAAAAGTTCTGACATATTCCTGGGAATCTAGAAGACCACATGCATGTACAGGGCTGTGAGCATGATCAGGAAACTGCTAAGATTTTTATTTTTAAAAAATGTTAATTATTACCCCAGGGTAACCATTAAGAAAATAACTGAAAGAAATACAGGACAAGAAATAACAAGGAAATTAAAATAGTATACAAGAAAAAATCTATTTAACACAAAAGAATGCAGTAATGGAGAAATAGAAAAACAAAAAGATATAAGCTATTAATACAGAGAAAAAATAGCAAAATTGCAGACAAAAATCCTACCTTACCTGTAATTAAATGTAAACGTATTAAACACTCTAGTTAAAAGACAAACATTGAAGAATGGAGAAGAAAGAAAATGTTTCTACTACATGCTGCCTACAAGAGACATACTTTAGATTCAAAGACACAAATAGACTAAAAGTATAGACCACATTAACAGTAACCAAAGAGAGCTAGAGTGGCTATGCTAATATCAGATAAAAAGACCAAAATTGTCATTAAAGACAATGAAGGACATTTTATAATGATAATAGACTCAATCCATCAGAAAGGCATAATTATAAATATATATGCAGCACCTAATAACAATGCCCCAAAATACATGTAGAAAAAGCTGACAGAATGGAAGGGAGAGATAGACAACTCAACAACAACTAGAGGTTTTAATAACACACTTTCAATAATGGATAGAAGAACTAGACATAAGAACACCAAGGAAATAAAAAATTATAATTAGACCTAAAAGATATTTATAGACTACACCAAACAACAACAGAATACACATTCTTCTCAAGTTTACATTGAACATCCTTCAGAATAGACCATATGTTGGGCCACCAAACAAATCTCAGCAAATGTAAAAAGAATAAAATCATGCAAAGTTTGTTTTCCCACCACAAAGAAATGAAATTAGAAATCAGTAACAGAAGGAAATTTGGAAAATTCACAAATATGTGGAAATTAAACAACATACTCCTAAATAACCAATGAACTGAGTAAGAATCACAAAGGATATTAGAAACTACTTTGAGATGAATGAAAATAAACACAGCATACTGAAATATATAAAATGGCGTAGGCACAATACTCAGAGGAACATTTATGGCTGTAAATGCTTGTATTAAAAGAGAAAAAAATCTCAAATCAATACCTAATATTCCACCTTAAGACACTAGACAAAAAGAGCAAAGTAAACCCAAAGCAAACAGAGGAAAGGAATTAATAAAGATGAGAGCAAAAATAAATGATATAGAGAATAGAAAAAAATCAATAAAGCCAAAATTTAATTTGTTTAAAATGTTTTTTTAATGACAGATCTCTGGCTAGTCTGATCAAGAATAAAAAGAGAGAAGAGTCTCAGGAATTAAAGTGGACATTACTATCAACTTTATAGAAATTATAAAAAGGATTATAAAAGAATAATATGAACAATTGTATACCAACAAATTAGTTAATTTAGATGAAATGGACAAATTCCAAGAAAGACAAAAACTACCAAAACTGCTCAAGAAGAAACAGAAAATCTAAATAAACCTATAACAACTAATGATATTGAATTAGCAATTTTCAAAAACAAAACAAAAAAACTCCTTACAAAGGTAAGTCAAGATTTAGAAGTCTTCACTGGTGAATTTCATCAAATGTTTAAAGGAGAATTAACACCAATCCTTCACAAACTCTTTCTTTTTTTTTTTTTTTTTTTTTTTTTTTTTTTTTTTTTTTTTTTTTTTGAGACGGAGTCTCGCTCTGTCGCCCAGGCTGGAGTGCAGTGGCGGGATCTCGGCTCACTGCAAGCTCCGCCTCCCGGGTTCACGCCATTCTCCTGCCTCACAAACTCTTTCAAGAAATTGAAGAGGAAGGAATATTTCCCAACTCACTCTATGAGGGATCAAGAAGTGAAATGACAACCCATGGGCTGGGAAGAAATATTTGTAAATCATATATCTGATAAGGGACTTGTATCCAGAATATATAAAGAATGTTTACAACTCAAAAATCAAAAGACAAACAACCCAATTTAAAAAATGGACACGTGAATAGACATTTCTCCAAAGATACACAAAGGGCTAGAAGCAAATGAAATGATGCTCAATATCTTTAGTCATTAAGAAAATGTAAATCAAAACCACAATGAGATACAATATCACTCCCACTAGGAATGGCTAAAATAAAAAAAAGACAGACACTAACAAGTGGTGGTGAAGATGGGAGACATTGGAACCCTTATGCCTTGCTAATGGGAAAGAAAAATAGTGCAGCCACTTTTAAAAACAACCTAGCAGTTCCCCAAAAGTTTAAATATAGAATTATGGTGTGACTCTGTAATTTTGCTCCTAGGTCTATGCAAGAGAACTGAAAACACTTCTTCACACAAAAATTTGTTCATGAATGTTCACAGCAGCATTATTCATAATAGCCACAAAGTGGAAACAATTCAAATGTCCATCAACTGATGAATGAATAAACAAATGTAGTATATCAGTACAACAAAATATTATTCGGCCATAAAAAGTAATGTAGTATTGATACATGTGACAACATGGATGAACCTTGAAAACACTATGCTAAGTGAAAGAAGCCAGACACAAAAGGACAAATACTGTATGATACCATTTATATCAAATGTCCAGAATAGGCAAATCCATAGTGACAGAAAGTAGATTAGTGGTTTCCAGGGTTGGAGTGAGGTTGGGTAATGAGGAGTGGGTAATGAGGAGGCTTTCTTTCAGGGGCCATGAAAATGTTCTGAAATTAAATAGCAGTGATGGTTACACAACTGTGTGAATATACTGAAAACTAAATTTCATACTTCAAAAGGCTGAATTTTATGGTGTGTAATTAAACCTCAATAAAACTGTTAGTAAGTAGTTCCAGATCCAGCTCAATTCAGGAAACTCTTTTGTAAAATTTTTGAATAGTCGGTCTCTGTTTGAATACTTGTAAAGGCAACAAGCTCACTCTTATGTAGGGCAGACTGTTCTGTTTGTGGGTATTTGGATTGTTTTTTCTAACCACTGAATTCCCCAATAACTACCACAGTGCCTGACACAATGGAAGGGCTCCCATAGTGTGATAAAATGTTGGATTGACATTTCACAGTGATATTTTTAAACGAGAAAAGCAAAGAACAGAACAGTATATTATGTAATAGACATTTTATCATGATTCCATTTATGTAACTAAAACGTGCATATTATATTTAATATCTAATATTTATTTAAGATAGAAAATATGTATCATATATAAACTTTAAAATGCATGAAATATTCCTTGATGGGTATTTAAAAATCTTTAAGTAGTTACTTCAGGAAAGTATCAAGGAAAGGGAAGTTGGAAGGGGACCTTTATTTTTCACCTATAACCTTCAATAATAGTGTAATCCTTTTTTTTTTTTTTTTTTGAGAGACAGTCTCACTCTGTCACCCAGGCTGGAGTGCTGTGGTGTGACCTCGGCTCACTGCAACCTCACCTCCTGGGTTCAAGCGATTCTCCTGCCTCAGCTTCCCAAGTAGCTGGGATTACAGGCACCCACCACCATGCCTGGCTAACTTTTTTGTATCTTTGGTAGAGATGGGGTTTCACCATGTTGGCCAGGCTGGTTTTGAACTCCTGATCTCAAGTGATTCACCTGCCTCAGCCTGGTTAAAAAGGTGTAATGCTTTTTAATCTTAAGCAACTACATAATTTTAGAAAAAACTATGTTCCTCATGAAGTAGAACATCAAATCTCTGATATTCTACTTCACTATATGTAATTTGGTTCTTTATCAGAGGAGAATCCTTAAGAAAAGATGCACTGTGTTCTGTGGCTAATACTATATAGGCCAGTGTTCTCAAAGGGCTGTTGGAATGGGAAGCTGAGGTTCCACTCACGGCACTGTGACTACTGTGCTTGTCACTAAAGACCAAAAAGCCTGCCTCCAAGCTGCAAACACCTTTCTTTCCTTACCTGAGCCCTGAGCAAAGGAGCCAGGGACTCCTCCACACAAAGCTCCACCATTCTCTGTCATAATCATCAGTAGCCATGTCAGCATATAGCTTCAGCTCAAGGGCTGTGAGCTAGTGAACTAAGTTACTCTCTAATGACTTGGCTACCCCAAACACACATGCACCGTATGTCTCCTCCATGCCAAGCTCTGTGCTAGACATAATGTCTGCCCACAAGACCTTCTGAACATACTACAAAGTCTTTCAAGCCCTAAAAGCTTAGGTCTCTGATTTCAGAGGCACCCTAGAAAGCCCACAACTTTAAGAATCTGCACCAAAAATTCAATACACTTTGGAGGCAGCAGGAATTCTAGTATGAATATTCAGTGTCAGAATAGCATAGCTAGCTGGTCCCAGACTCAACGTTTTACTGGAAGGTATCTGATTCAACTTATCTTTACAGATGGAAAGAGACCAAGAGGAAAAGTGACTTATTTAAGGACACATTATTAGGTCATGGCAGGATCAGGTTTCCTGGCCCTAATCCAGTTTTGATTGCTTTCCTCCCAGCTCTGTGGCTTCTGACTCCCTCCAGTAACTTCTTGGGCCATCTGTAGACCCACCCCTGACCTCCTCTCCACCATCCCCATCACATCAGGTCAGTGATTCTGCATCCTGTCTTAACTAAGGCCTCTGTGGTCCATGCTGACAGCATCCAGGGCCTTCTCTCTGGCTTCCCCCTTAATATTTCAGTGGGTTTAGGCATCTGGAGTGGGGAGCTGGTGAGTAAAGGATGGCAGTGGAGTAGGTGATGTCTGGGAATATTTAAGACTGAGCTTGCCCAGTAGCCAGAGGTGCCAATAGCCTGACACATATTTGGCACTCTTGCTCCTGTTCCTTAGAATCCAACTTTTCCAGAGCCCAGTCCTACAATACCTCACCATGAGCATATGACTATGTCATCTCAATAGTTAATTCAAGCCTGCCTTCTGGATCTTCTCCAGAAGCATCCAGACTCCTAGGGTGTCCTAGAATGAAAGCAGGGTGGAGCTGGGGCCTCCTGACTCCTCACATGCTGCATGGATCCAAAGCTCCCTCCCTGGGACTGAAGGCAAAGACAGCAGGAGGTTTGGAGGACACCTGATTCTTACAAGACAGGGAAAGAATGAGGGAGAGTGAGAGGAAGACAGACTGGAAGAGAAAGAGAAGGGGGAGTGGAATTCATTATCTGATTATTCCTTATCTGATTGTCCAGGTGCACACAGTTACCATGTTGCTTAGAAATGCAAAAAAATATATATATAGTCATTTAATTACCCTCTCCTCAACAACCTCTCTCTCTGCTTAACAGTAGCGATTTTAGAAGCTATTCTGAATGCTCTATTTTAGAAGTCATTTATAATTATGAATGCAATACTGCAAAGCAAATCTGTTGCAAAGTGAACTTGAAGATCTTGCAAACCACACAGGATTTAATGGAATCAATTTAAGGCTTGTTACAGAACAGAACTTCAGTCTGCCCTCTGGCAAATGAGGATGAAGCAGCATTAGACCAGTGAAGAAACAATGAAGAGAAAACCAACAGAAGATGGCAAAATCTTCAAGTGATAATAATGTGAATACCAAAGGGTTAAAGGAGGTATTTGGGTTAAACTGTTAAGTTTTGATTTATTTTTACAAAAATGAGGATTTTTAAGGTAGTCCTAAAAAATCAATCACAAAACAAAGAATGCTCCATTGTGCTGTTACATCATTTTGTCAGCACAATTAAGCCAAAAAGTCAACACTCCTTTTATTCCATGTTTATTCTAAGACTTAATGCAAAGTTGAAATTGTAATCTAAATATTCTTAACTAAAAGGTGAAAACACACTTCATTTCATAATCTACAATTTCATTTTAAAGGTAAGTTCCCGATAAAACTTTTTTTTACCATGACATTTTACACCCCTGCTTTCAGTGGGGGTGACCTTTCTTTAAAACCAGTTGCCCTTGGCAATGAAGACCTCCTGAAGGTTCTTCTGTCCTTGGTATAACTGCCACTTCTCTGAATTATGCAGCCTCAGTCATGATCCTGTGACAGGTGGTTATAGAAACACACAAGTAACAGTGGCATTACTGAGACCTATCTATGTATCAGGCACAGTTATGAGTGTTTTATGAGCATTAACTCATTTATCCTTCACAATAACACTATAAGATAGATGCCATTATTATCTTCCTTTGGCTGATGAGGAAACTGAGACATGGAGAAATTAAATAGCTTGCCCAAGGCTACACCACTAATAAGTGATGGATGCATTGTGGTGGCTGCAGAGCCCTTGCTCTTTTGCACAAAGCCCCGCCTATACCATGTACATTTGGACTTGCTTCCTGTGGGAAAGAACACTGTTTCTCCTTAAGGAAGGAAAGCTGCTTCTAGGACAGTTCCTGACCCTGACTCACCTGGCGGTATTTAGGTTCCGATAAAGCTGCCCCAGGGACTCCAGCAGCCTCCCTTCCATCTCCCGGTCCCTGAGTTGCTGAGCCAGGGCCAGCCAGTGCTCATGGTAGGTGATGCATGCCTCAGGGTTTGGGGACACAGAGCTGTAGAAATGGCAGAGGGATTTGGTGGCCTGAAGCTGACCTGAACACAAAGCAGGGACATGAATGAGATGACTTGAGATAGGAAATGGATAAAACTTGATCCAACACTTTTCTCTATAGCTTCCCAGCAGCATGGGACATACTTACTCTTTAGATGTCGATGCCTTAAGCCAAACAGCAATGCCATTTCATAACAAAGAAGGCCATGGGTCAGCTGGTGTCCAGACACCAGAACTTGGGCCAACCAGAGAAACACCTGTACTAATTCCATGTCTGTCTCCTTACTGGCCTGAAGTTCACAATAGAGTCGTACAGCCTGCAGGAGATAGTTTCTGGCTGGATGCTGAGCCCAGGACTTAAGGCTCAGGTGGCCAAGATTGGCCATAGCCACTGCCTGGTTATGCACATCTCCCACCTCCTGGGCTCTGTTCAAGGCCCGAAGATAGCTCTTGGCTGCCCTGTTCACCCGGCCTTCACCTTGGAGTGCAAGTCCCAGGAGGTTATAGATGACTCCCCTTTGAGTGAGACTCTCTGTCTCCTTCAGGGAGCATAGCAGTGGCTCAAGCACATCCAAAGCCTTCTTGGCCTGGCTGGCTAAGAGATAGGCCCATGCCAGGCAGAGAGAAGACTCAAAGGATTCCTGCTCACCCAGCAGCTGCCCTAGCACCAAGGCCTGGCTCAGGTAGTGGATGGCACCGTCAGGAGACCTGTGCTCGAGGTACACTTTGGAAAGGATGAGACACAGGGCCCTCTGGGTGCTCCGGTCTGCTAGTTCCTCACAGGCAGCCAGGGCCTGTCTGAGCATTGGGCAGGCCAAGGCAGAAACTTCACCCCAGCCTGGGGAAGGAAAGCCAAGGAGCTTGGTTGTGTTCTGGAGGACAAGGTGGACCTGCCAAATAGGAAGAGACATCCCTTGGGCACTCTGGATACCATGTTGCTGGACAGAGGCCACTGCAAGGTGTGGAAGATATTTCTTGTCATACAGAAAACTCAAAACACTGGCCACAGCCTCAGAGGCAGGAGGGTGTCCAGAGAGGAGCTGCAGGCGCTCGGCAAAGGGCAGGACCTCCTCGTGCCGGCCTAGGCTCAGGAGCAAGCGGATGGCCAGAAAGCAGGCCCTGGCCTCCAGCGGGCTGCTGCCCACCACAATCCCCTGGCGCAGCACGTAGGCCACCACGTCGAGTTCATGCTTGGCACTAGACTCACGGTCAGGCAGGCAGGCCAGCAGGGCACCTGCCTTTTCCAACAGGGCGGAGCCTTTATGTCTCAGCCTCTGTTTCAGGTAGATGGCAGCCAAATTGATGTACAGAGTGGCCACCAAGGATAGGTCCTCAAATGCTCCATTGAGAATGTGGATGGCCTCCTCGAAGTACACCCTGGCCTGAGAGAGTTTGACCTTCCTGATGCTCAGCCGGCCCAGGAGGAAGCAGAGACGGGCATGGGCCCAGGTCATGTGGCTCTTCTTGGCCCACTTTCTTGATGCCTCCAGGTAGGCCACAAACTCATCCTCCTCAGAGAAGCTATAAAAGGAAGAAGTGAGGAAAGAGAAGGAGAAGTCATAGAGACTCTTAAAGTGGTCAGCATAACCCTCATGATCCAGAAAAGCCAATATGGGGGCGAAGTTCTCAGCCTCCTCCTCCTGACCAGTGCTTAGGTCCATGAGCAGTTCCGGGTCATCAAGGTCATCAGGCTCCGGCAGGCGATAGCTGTCTGAGGTGGCCGAGAGGAGCTCCTCCTCCAGGCTGGAGTCCTCAGAGCTGCTGGACTGTCTGGACCCCACGGCCTGATGCTCCTCCCAGGCTCTGCCAGGCCTGACCTCCTTGAAACCTTCAGGCTGGGATGCTGTAAGGACAGGCAAAGTTGAGCAACCTTGGGCACCTGCACCTAAGGTGGCCGCTCTTGGCAAGAGGACAGAAGTGCTGTCCTCAAGGATGAATGTCAGGTTCAGCATGATCGCTACTCACCACTCAGATCATTTGGAGGATTCTGGATGGATTCAAACCCACCTAAGTAGAGATGAAGAACAGGTCTGGTGTTAGGTCAGGATGGGCCACCATGCCCATGCCTCCAGGTGTACCCCAGATCAGTGGCCTCTTAGGAGCCTTGGCATTCAAGACCTTCAGTCATCATTAAGGAACAGGGCAGAATTATCCTTTCACCCATCATCTTAAGAGCTGTAGGGGCCTAATCATCTTGTTTAACCCATGCACTTTACAGTTGGGAACCAAGGTATACGTGAAACTCAGAGTCCGAGAAGAAAACCTGGAAACACAGGCTCTATGTCAAGAGGTATGGGTACTGTAGGGGGGTGGGGGGTGGGGACAGTGGGGGTCCTGATAGAATCTGAAGATCAGAGAGATGCAGCTCCCAAATCTCTCAGCGAGTTCACGATGGAGCCAGGACACAACTCCCAGCACAGAACACGTGGGAGCACATGGTGCTGCCTCCCACTTCTAAATGTATCACATCCTTCCTTCTTGCCTCCTCCATTCATTCATGATTCATCCACTTGGCAGACATTGGTTCCATGTGTCCACTGGGCTGGACACTGTGTTTGTAAAAGTGGCAGGGGCGAGGGGCCAGAAGTGAAGGGCGAATAAAAAGGAGCAAGGATGCATCTGAGACTGAAGTAGAGGATGGGAGAATCTGGAGTGCAGTTTTAGACCTTTGGGGTTTGAGGTAGCTGCAGGAGCTCTAGGCAGATAATGATGTAGGTCTGGAGCCAAGGAGAAAAACTGAGACTTTGCAAACACAGGTTTGTGACCCAAAGCAGGTCACAAATTGCTGGCCAGAGTCCCAGGACTAAATGTAATCACACAGGTGAGGCATCTGGGGGAAAAGAAAAGCAGCAGGGGAGTGAGGGAGTGAGGGAGTAGGGGGAGTTTGTTAATAAGCCTGGGCAACTCACTGGCAGCCAGTAGCCAGTGAGGGAGACTGAAAAGGCACAGTCAGAGAGAAAAGGGGGTTACAGAGGCCAAGGTGACTTAAAACATAACCACCTATTGCCACCAAGTGCAACCGGACTAGGTAAGAACCAAGAAGACACCTTGGGTTTGGCAGTGAAGAAGTGACCACTGTTGGCTAAAGCAACCACAGTGGAACTGTGGAGGTGAAGGCTAGCTTCACACTCCACAGGATGGTAGCTGCTAGAGGGAAGATTCTACCTCTTCTTAGCAGAGAAGTAACAACTGTCTGTGCCACCACCCTGAGTTCTCTAGTGAACTTTGAGGACCAGCAAGCCCCTCACCAAGTCAAACCTTTTCCTGCTGTTCTCCAGGATGGCATCTCCAGAGATTGTCATTGCAGAACCTCCAGATCTGTAACCCCCAGAGGGTAGAAAGCCCCGCAGCTAAAGATGAAGAGCTATAGAGCTTGGCTAAGGAGAGCTGTTCAAATGCCCTGGCCTCTCTGATGTGGAGGGGTACACGCCCCTCTTGGGCCACCTCTTCTCTTCTGGCCAAGAGTATGAGTGATGCGCAAGTTACAAAATGGTGTCCCCTCTCTAGGAGGAAGAATTACAAAGGGCCATCCTTCCCTATGGTATACGCCTTGGGGAAGCTGCAATTTACCAACAAGATGTTCTCCTGCTGCTTGTCTTGGTGCTGGGGCAGCCTGCACAACCATAAGGTGCGGACTGCACGCCGCAGAGCTGCACTCCTGATCTTTGAGTGAGAGTCAAGTGCTGTCTGGGGCCTCCTCTTACATCCTCCCCACCACTGGACCAACAGCTGGCAGAAATCATGATCCAAGTCTGTGCCCAGGCCTTCTCCCCAAGGAACACTGCTAGTACACCTCAATTTTCAGACATCAGGCTCCCGCCTACTGGGCAGTGTTTACAACTCTAGCTTCCTGCTCAACCTCATAAGGCAATATGATCTGCTTGTGGCTTGTGGCAAGAAAGCTCTGCTAGGGCAGGGTGCTTATGCCTGAGGCATGTGCTTTCACAAACACTCTTTATGCACGGACATAGCTCTCAACTCCCTGCTCTACTCCTGGGAGATGGCCTGAGGGCCCCTTCAGCAGAATCTCTAGCTGTATCCATAAAATATGGATCATCTAATCTGGCTACACAAGAGCGGACACAATGTCACCATCAATGAAGAGATGGGAGAAACAAAAATTCTTCCTCAAGTCACCATCAATGAGAAAATGTACTCCCTGACACACAACAGTAGGCCTTTCTCAAAGTAAGAGTATCATTCATTCAGTCAGTCAGTCCTTCAGACACTGCTCAAAACCAGTCAGTTTGTCAGAGGAATCTTTCACAATTGTTGAGATCTGATCCCATGACACAGAAAACATCCAAGACTAACACACCCAACAACTCAAAGTCATTTTGTGTCAGGGGCAGTGTGGTAAAGTGGATTGCTCTGACTAGCAGTTCTTATCCTAGCTCAGGCACTAATTCGTTTAGGCCTGTTTCCCAATCTGTAATGTGAGACAAGAAATCATCTCTTAAGGCCTTTTCACAGCGGTAACATTTACAGCCCCACCCATCTCACTGGGGGCTTACTTCAGTCCTAGAAGGTACCTCAGCCAGGACTCAGGAAGTTCTCCTCCCCCAAGATTAGGAGGGAAGACCCAGTACAGCCAGTCACCCACGGTATAGGTGAGTTGGTTTCATCATGTCTCATAGTTCCCCTGAAACCCCAGAATTACCTGAAATCTAAAGTGAAATGCTGCTAATCAAATATGATTCAGGTCGTCAACAGAATAGTGGTCATGGCCACCCAAATTCATGAATAGGATTAGAATTTAGGGGTATTCTATTCCTGGTTAGGGACACTATCTTATTCTTGAGGACCCCAGGCTTTTGAAGGTGTCTGAGGACCAACACTCACTGAGCCGGTAGACAGATGTGATGTCAGTGCGAGCAAGAGTGTGGAGGAAGCTGGAACACTCAGTCTGCTTATCACTTCCCAGGGCCAACAGGGAGCATCTCTCCTCATCACTGAGAAAGGCAGAGTTCCTGCTCCTGCATCGGGGCAAAAAACACAGAGACAGATTACTGCAAGGCTTCAGACTCCATCTCCTCTTCTCTCCACACTAGGATGTAGTGGAGGATGCAGAAAAGTCATCAAACCAACTTCCCGCAAATGAAATTAGATTCCTCATCTCACCATTGCATACTGTATTTATACTGCCAAAAAAGAAGAGCTACTAGCACATCATGCTGGGAGAACTGAGGGGTGTGGTTGTCCAGTAGGTCAAAGTGGGGATGAAAACACCCCTTCTCTTAAAACCCCATCTCCCAAGAAAAACAAAGCCCCTTCTCTCAACCTCTACCCATTCTTTGAGACACCATGGTACCCATTTTTAATGGAAGAAAGAGGAATCAATTGCCCTAAATGGAAGGGTTGAAAAGGGACCATTAAAAATTTTATTTGTCCTTAGGTTACTTCAAGAAAAAGCAAGGGACAAGTGACACAATCTAGAAGAACAATGAAGAAAATCTGACCATGGTCAGAGGAATCTTTCACCATTGTTAAGGTCTGATTCCATGGCATAGAACAACAGTTTAGTCAACATTAAGAGGATTGGAATCGCTAAGGGAAAGAAGTGGGTAAAAGGAAGATTAGGGGAGCTGAAAGAAATCATTATAAGCAATAAAGATCTTGATACTCATGCTGTTGTGTAAACTAACTGTTAAGCCTAATTTGCTTACTAGAGATTTGTTATAGAATTAAATAATAAAAAACTAGAAGTGCCTTAGAAGCTACTGGGTTGCATCTATCTAAACAATTTTTTAGGCCACTTTTAGTTCTAAATAGAGAATGTTTTAATGTCAGAACCCATTTTGAAAACAAAATTAACTTGGAAGCCCAGGAGTTAATAATAGCTAATACTTTGGGAGGAAGTGGTATGAAGAACCAGATACTGTTATTTTATTTAATCCACACATTTGCCATACAAGGCACGTACTACTCTTATCCTTTTTACAGACGAATAAACTGAGGCACAGCAAAATGAAGTTGGTGGTTAGGGAGTGGTAGAGCAGGACATAAGAACTTCTCTAATTAAAGCAGTGTTCAAGGAGGGGATGGGATGGGGGTACTGTAATCAGCCATTACCATTTGTCCCCATAACTCAGGTAAATGTAGTTTGAAAGCCCATGATGAGAACACTATTAATAGTACCACACTGACTGGGCCCCCATCTCCCTGGGCTGATCGCCAGATTCCCCCCAACACCACGGAAGCTTCTAATCTCAAAACAGCATGTAATTGAAATCTACAACTAAATTCAACTGGGATAAATTGATCCCAAAGTTTTATAGATCTCTTAAATTTTACAATGTATTCCTAAATTTACTATTTCATTTACTGTTTATAACAACTTTATGGTGCAGGTTTTTTTAATCCATGTTTGTAGATTAAGAAAAGGATTCAGAACTGTTCAGTGACATGCTAAGAATTGCATGGCTAGAAAGTGGTAAAGCTGAAACTAAAACTGAGGTCTTCTACCTCTGCGTGCATTGCCTCACAACATCTGCTAAAGTCCTGAGTTCCAGGACAACTTACGAGAATTTAGAATTTAGGGAAAGGCCAAGAAGCTTGACAAATTGCATTAGATATTTCCAAACATGAAAACTGGGTTAGAAGAACATGGCAAAGCTTCTGGCAATATGGCAGGTTAAAGGGCTCTAAAAGGGCCACTCTCCCCCATATCTATAGAAAAATCTGTAACAAAGATGAATATTTTAGTACATTATTTAAAGAAAGAAAGGGAAATCACTGGAAGCCAGTAACAAAAGCAAAAACCAAACCCAGATTGGCAGGTGAAAGCAGATGGCCCAGAGCTCCTGGTGGTTTCAGCTGGGACTCTGGCCTTCAGAACTGGGGTTGACCTTCTAATGCCCACCCCAAGGACAGGAGATGTGATTTAGACCTGCCTGAAGCAGGGAGCCCATTAAACTCCCTGGAGTCTGAAAGAGTTCAACTTCTGTAAAGAGCAAAGAGCAGATTGAAAAATTTCTTCCTACCTGCCGAGAACACACTTTTCATCTATTTGAGTCCCTGGAAAACATCAAACACCTAGGCTTATGCCACTGGGACGTGTGGGATCTGAATTTACACTACCTGGTGTTGGTACCACGATCCAAGAATTAATAGTAAAAAATCAGTCCTGGATCATTACTCCCTAAGGTTCCAGGAGAAGCAAATGCAAAACCTAGTCAGCAAGGTTTTCTTCAGTCCAGGATCCATATAAAACCCATCTTTTAAAATGTTGAAAATTAGTTCATGTAACAAAAAATACAAACCATGCAATAAAATGAACTATTCACAACGAGAGCCAGCAGATACACAAATAACTATATTAACACTACAAAAAACTAGAAATGACAATAATCTGAAGAAGAATTTATATGAATGATTAAAAAGGTGAAATAATAAGAAAAAATAGAAGCTACAATGAAAAGATGGAGCACTGTGAGAAGAAACAGCCATATATGAAAAATAGCAAAATATAAATCGTAGAAAATGGAAAATAAAGGCACAGAAATTAAGAACTACATGGGTGGGTTAAACAGCAAGTTTAGTCATAGCAGAGGTGAGAATTAGTGAAACTGAAGATTATGTCAAGAAAATCAATCAGAATTTAGCCTGGTGTGACAAAAAGATAAAAAATATAAAAGAACTGATTAAGCAAGAATGAGGATAGAGTAAGTCCAACGTACCTCTAATAGGAATTCCAGAAGAGAGACTAAAAAGAACGAGAGAGAGGCAATATTCAAAGGAAGAAGGACTGAAAATTTTCCAGAATTGAAGAAAGACATGAATCTTCATATTGAAGAAACACACCAAGTCCTGAGCAAAATAAATAAATATAATATCATTTTTAACATGATGTCCATTTCTTTATGCTTACAGGTCTTTTTAAGTTCTCTATTTCTCCTACGCCTCCTTTCTTGGTTTAATTACTATTGACAGTTCAACTTTATAGAATGAATGAATTGAATATGAAAGATAAGATCATAAATTAATGAAATAAAAACAAAGAAAGTAGACAAAAATAATCAAAGCAAATGCTGTCATTAATGAAGTATCATTATAAAAACAAAAATCAATAAAGATGGTCAACAAAAGAAAAAATGATTCTCTGAAAAGACAAGCAAAATGGACAAGGCCCTGGCAACATGGATTTGCAATTTTATAGTTAAAGTTATTTTTTCCTGCAAACTTTGAAGATGTTATGCTATACCTAGCTAAATTATAATTCAAGAGTATATGTTAAGTGTTATATATATTTAAGACAGGCCAAGACTCAGGACTGAGAGTATTTATAACCCACAGATCTTCACTGAAAATAGCTACTAAAATAGATACTCTATGAAGAAGAAGTGGACAACTTGCTGTCAATATGTAATAAAATATATTACACGTAGACACATCATGCAAATAAATGGCTATGAGACCAATGGCAAAATTATTAGTGTCAAAAATAGATTCCACAAGAAATTGAATTATAAAGACACAGGCAATATGAAGAATAAAAGAAGGAATGTAACAAAAGAATGTTTTCTAACTGTAATACTATAAAATACTAGCTTTTTTCCTATGTTCTTTTTTCTGGTTTTGAGTACATTAATTTATCAATCTGACTTATTTTTTTAATTTAGGCACTTAAGTATACACACATACTTTAGGGAGTAATACACAAGCACAAAAAGAAAACCTACACGGAGAAGATGGAGACTTCAGCAAAGGCTGAATTTCTTCTCAGACCCTGACACCCAGCAAACATAGACAAGAGTGACACCCAGTGGCCAGTCGGACGGCAGCGTGCAGAGACTTCAGCGGCTTGCTTGCGTGGAGTTGGGTCATTCCTCTGAGCTCAAAACCCATCCCTCTGTTGCTGTGATTCAAGGAGCTCTGATATCTGGAGAGTGCTTTGGGGGATATGCAAGGAGCCAGTTCCCCTCTTCTCCTTGTGCCACCCCTCCCTGTTTTCTGACTCATTTTCCCCTTCGGTACCAATTGTGCAATCTCTGGTGCATTGGGTCCCACAACTGACCAGGCACAGGAGAATGTCATAGTCCACCTCACACAGCACAGAGGACGCTGCTCTTCAGTGTGAGAGGACCCCTTACAACTAAGCCAGTGAAAATATGATGACTGAATTAATTCAGTAGTGCTGACTTACTGTCATTTGAGGTAAATTAGCGTGAGGTGCAGAAGTCCAAATATAAGTTATGAAAATGACATCTGTCCCCAATATCCTATTAAAACTGCCTCTCAAGATCACCACCCACAACAACGGCAATGACACAAACAACAATAAGAACAAGTGCCTGTGGATCATACACACACACACACTGTGCCAGGCACCATTCTAAGGGCTTTGTGTGTATTATTAGCTCATTTAAAGTCACGGCAATCCTATTAGGCAAGTGCTAACATTCTACACATTTTACAGATGAGAAAACTGAGGCATGGAGAGATAAATGAATATGTCCAAAGACAAGGAGCTGGTAAGCCAGTGGAGGCACAAGCTGCACTCACATGGTCATGAATGCCTTTTGGGGACCCTGACTCCACAACTCTGTAAGCCATGTAGCTACTGTGCTTCCAGAAGACCTACCAATGGCCAGTCCCAAAGGCCTTTCTTTCCTCACTTGGCCCTGCTGTACCTCTCTGATGACAGCACAGGTGTCAGCCCCGCCTCCCCCGCAGCTTGTTTCTTCCTCTCTGTGGCTCCTCTGTTTCCTCTCTGCGTTCTCTCTTCCTCTGCTCTGTAAATGGAGGCATCCTCCAGGGTTCTTCCCCCATTCCTATTTTCCATCCTCTTTTTTCTTTCTCCCTTTCACTGGGACTTCTCACCAGAATGTATTGGATTTCATGTCAGGATTTAAAATCACCAGGACATTTAATGAGAGCTCACTGGATTTAATGTCAGGATTCTAAAGTTCCAGAGGGAAGGCCTTGGGTTCAGCTCCTTCATCCCTGGGGTCCTCTGTTCCCCCTGTGGTAACATGAAGGGGTGGTTCAGAGCAATGTTCTCACCTTGGTTGCCCACCAGCCCCACCTGGGGAGCTTTTATCAATATAATTGCCCAGCCTCCATCCAGACCAGTTACACAACAGCCTCTGGAGGCAGAACACAGGTGTCCATATTTGTAAAGCTCCTGGAATCTTTGACTTCCTGTCCATTGGTCCTCAGCAGTGGCCTTCCTCTCCATTCTCACCCTTTTCTAAGTGCCACCGTGGGCTTCTCGCTGGTCTCCTGCCTCCAGATTCCCCCTGATGATGCATGCCTCCCCCAAAGCCAGGTTTCATTTCCTAGAGAAAAGGTCCAGTCATATAATATGTCACCCTTGCTCAGAGACATGCAGTAGCTCCCCATTCTCTGCCAGGTTAAGGAAAGGGCCCTCACACAGGCATTCCCAGGTTTCCAGAGCATGGACCCACCTTTGCTGCACCAGTGACCTTCTGGTAACTTCCTCCAAACTACATGAGTCGTTCTTCAAGCACTGACTCACTTTCCTACCTATGACCTCTTTTCCCATCAACATCTGTTGAAATATTTTACATTGTGCAAAGCTTAATTCACATGTCCCCTTCTTCATGAAGTTCTCTTGATATCCTTTTCTTCCTTACAAGTCCCGATAGTTCTCCATACCTCTCCAGGAGCTCAGTGAGTGGTCTTCCTTGTTTATAGTTATTTGGACTCCCACATTTCTACATAGAAAAAAAATAACCTTCTGTCTCCTCCTCTCCCCACGAAGGGCAGGGCTTACAGGGAGCTTCTGCCCCTTGGTCTGCTCTCTTCATTGGCTATTTCCCACAAGAGAAAGAATTTAAGTCTCTGTTCAGATCGTTAGACATTTCTGGGGCCACATTTTCCCAGTGTAGGGCGCTATGTTGTGTCAGTGTTAGGAGCCAACTCTCCCTTTCCTCGTGTACTTCCTGCGCCCAGGCTTTCTACTGTTTCCTATCCCCACATAGGAAGCCCACTCCAAAAAGATGGAGCAATACCCGATATCTCTGTCCTTCCATGACAGGGTGGGTGGAGCAGGCTGATCACCTTCTCCTGATTGGCCAGGCAGATGGGTCTGCTCCTCAGAACCAGCCTTTCTGGATTCAAGGCAGAAAAGAGTAAGAGAAACACTCTGCCCTCCTAGCCAATGCTGAAGTCACACATTGGCATTCAGCTTGAAAGCTGAATGAGTGAAGATCTACATGGGACCCACCTCCCAGCCCTATGTGGGATCAGCATGCTGCTAATCTATTTCTCCCCGTGTGTGCCCTTCCTCTGAAGGGGCCCTGTGGTTAGACAGTGTGGGTAGCAGGATCCAAGTACCAAAACCACACCCTCAGTGCCTAACAGCATGCCCTTTGTCTTGGAGTTTTGCTTCCCTCCTTGCACAGAGGAAGTCCTCAGTGACCACCTGTTAAAATAAACTGAACTGACGCATTCTCTCCTTTCTATCACTCTCTGTATCAACCTTGGTGTCAGCATGTGCTTTTCTGGCTCCATGTCACCAGGGCACCCTCGAAGCTCAACTGCAAATCTGCTCAAAGAGGGGAGGGAACCCTGGGAAAGGGAGCCCAGCTCCAGGACATGCTCACTGTCAATACTCACATTGGGGAATAAGAATCAGGATCTATGTTCCTGGTGGGGACAAAGCCCACTTGTCCTGAACTTGTCGACTTTCCAATGAACCACTGAAGCCCAGGTATGACAAAGCCGATGATCTCAATGCTTTCTCCCTGGTAGAAATTCAGTTCATCCTTTTCTCCTGGCTCATAACCCGTCAAGGCCTTACAGCGTCCTCTGCCTGTGGAAAATAGCACACAGATCAGCTACAGAAGACATGAACAGCTGAGCCTCCCATCACCTTCCAATGCAATAGAAAATGAGGGGTTCCCAGACTTTAGAATGTCAAGGACCAGTAACATTTCACTCCCCTCCCCACCCAAAAATTGGCAGGAATGACACAGGACAATTTGCTTTTCATTTTGCCAAACTAGGACATATTTTTAAAAGAACTACAATCCACTTTCACCAAAGAAAAAATGTTTTAACAAACACAAAAAAAGATTCTCAGATAGCGGATATGCCTTAAAAATGAATAAACATAGCTTATGGGAAACTGGAAAGCTCACTGTATTGTCCTGGTTTGTCTGATTTTGCCACTGTAATGTAAATGCTTTGTCATGGTTGGCACAAATCCACAGACCAGTGTGTGAGAACCACTCGACCAGAGAAGCTCTCCATGTCCTTCCAGCTCCTTTGGCCTCTATGACCCTCAGTCTCCCCAACTGGAAAATGGGGATAATAGGAATACCTGCTGCTTATAAATATTAAAGAGAATCAAAGAGATACAGTGCACAATGCCTGGTACCTGGTCAACCCTCAATAAACATTAGCCTTATTACCACTGGTGGAATAGAAAGCTGCTAATGACTTAGAAGGATCTAAAAGACTCCCTTTCAGACTATGGTACTCAATCTGATAAATTGCCTACCTAGGATCTAGCAATGACCTTTTGATGAATGTTTTTCTGTCCAGTTTACAAAGTACAATTTGCACTCACTTTCTCAGGTCTTCTCAAGAGCTTCAAAGGGCACGGAAACTATCAGAATCCCCTTTTCCCAGGTTACGGAGGGAGAGAGAGGGTATGAGATTTGTCTAAGGATCTTATGCATGGCAAAACTGAGTCTAGAGCTTAAGTCTTCAGGCTGCTGGTTAGCCTCTCCATTAATCCTGGTGGAGATAAAGGCTTTTATGTGCCTCAGTTTCCATATTTGCTTTAGCTTCTCTGCTAAAGCTACTAGCCTATTTTTTCTGACATTTTTGGTCAAGTTTCTAGATTGTGTTTTCAAGATCAGAAATTCTCACTATTTTGTGGGTCGATGGGATCTACCATGTGTTAAATATCTACATTGTAAGAGAAACTGTGCAAAGTGATTTATGGATGTCATTTTGTTTGGTTCTCATAACAACATTTAAGTTGGTTTTATTGTATCATTTTACTAATGAGGAAGTTGCAACATAGGGCAGGTGGATTGGCCAAGATCACACTGGTTTTAAGTCAAGGAGCCAGAATTTGAACCAGAATAGACTTCAAAGCCTTGCGTTCTAACTACAAGGCTGTACTGCTTTAGGAAGCTAAAAATCTTGTTTGTCATCAGTAATTTATTAGATCTGATGTCTGGGTTCCATAATCCTATTTCTTTTTTTGTGTTATTTGGGCTCAGCACTTATAAAATTGTACTTTGTGGTAGGAGTGTGTGGGAGGGAGGTGAAGGGGAGTTCTAAAGATGAAGATGAACAGAAGGTATTTCTAGATGTCTAAAAAGTGTTGGACTTCATTATCCAGTAGATATGGATCTACAGTACTTACAGATATGTGTGTATACACACATACAGATTACTTAAATTGTGTGTGTGTGTGTATATAATTCATTTATTCAACAAATTTTTACTGAGTACCCTTATGTGCCAGGCATTTCTACTCTTCCTAAATTCAAAGTTAATTTTACAAAACTCTAAGGGAAATTAGAAAATGTTTTGACCAGAGATTGAAACAGGCAGCCCACAGGCCGCATTTGGCTCACGAAACATTTAATTTGGCCCTGTTTTTTCACTCATATATCTTAAAATCCCTAATTATTCCTGCCATTCCCTAATACCTTCCATCCAGGCCCCCTAGCATCTGTGTGTCCTGCCCACACCTGCAGGCATTTGTAGCTGCCCCCTGGATTGAGACCTCTCATTTCACAGGCAGGGAAAACCATGTGCACAGACAGAAACTGGCTTCCCTAAATCCAGTTCCTAGCAGAGACGAGACAAAAATTCACATCAACTGACTCCAAACCTGCAGATAAAATTGAGAGGCAGGACAACATTATCTCCCTAACAATACTATGTTTTTGACTCAGCCATACCAATCTGATAGGAGCCTGTCCAATCCCTCTTCCTGGAAAGGCCACAGCTTCCTGGATAATTCTTTAGGAACCACCTGCCAATGAAAACATGGGGTTTGCAAACACAGATTTCAAAAAATTGCAACAATGAACAGAACAGTCTATCAGAATAATGATGATGATGATGAGTATTGTTTTTTCTCTTATTTAAATGATGGCAAAAGTTTATTGAGAACTTACTTTCTACCAGGACCTGTGAAAAGGTGAGAAGTTAGTAGACCTGGGATATTTTGTGGCTCCGAAAGTAGTTTGTCAGTTAAATAACTAACAAACAATCCCTTTACACTTGAACTGTCAGATCTCTGCCAGAGCCACACAGGTCCATGGTGTGGGGTAATGTTTACTGTCAATCTGTATATTTAAGTTTAATCATATCTTCCAGCAGGATTTCTTAAACTTTAGTGTGAAAAGCATCTCCTAGGAAGTTTATTTAAAATGAAGATTCCTAGACTCAACCCCAAGAAAGTCTAAGGAGGCCCAGACAAGTGGTCCCCAGTCCATACATGGAGAAACACTACATTGGCGGTCGTGTGGTATATTTGCTGCTAGGTACAATGCCCATCTGAAATTTAGAGTTGTCTCCAATTTCATCAGATTGTTAAAATTCTTGGTTGTTAAAAAAGAAAAGAAAAAGACAGAAAGATAAAGACCCACCCAGAATCTGTTCTCTCCTCCACACTATGGATGCCCATATCTGAAAGCATGCCTACTCTGTTCTGTGCAAACCTCAGTCTGCTCTGGGACTTGCTCCCAGGAGGCAGATGGCTACTCACTGGTGGAAAGGGAGAGGCAGAGGCTCCAAGGCTGACACCAGTACCAGGCCCCGCTGACCTGTCACCAAAGACACGCCTTCCAACTCGGAGCCAGCTTCTGCCATCTTCACTGAGATTAACTCATTCTTGCAAAGTGTCAAGCATTCCCCTTCCTTCTCGGCTGGTGGAGTCACGGAGCACAGGGCTCTGCAGAAGAAGTGGCCTGTGGATAATGAGAAAAGCAATGGCTTTCTAAGGAGTAGCAGGAAGTGAAAACGGATTATCACACAAAGTAATGCTTCTATTCAGAGCTGGAGTACTTTTCTTCCTGGAAGTAAAGTAGACGTTTCACAGGGGAGACACTAAAAGAGGCCTTATGATCCCAGGAACACTGATACCAGGAAGAAAAAAGCCATTGAGAGGGAATTCAGTTAAAACAGACACCAACATTTCTAATAATCTATGAGAAAAAGGCTTAATTGGGACTTTATCTTGAAAAAGAGATGAAAACTTGTGAAAATATATTTATATTTAATAGAATTTCATTTATTGTTGCAACCTCATGATTAAAATTAGAACCAAAAAAGAATTGATTAAATTAGTTTGGGTGAATATAATTACTCCAATAAGTTTTATAATAGCATGATATTAAATTCTTTCCTTCATGCAATATTTCTGCAATGCAATCATAAGAGTCCTTTTTGCAAAAATATCATATGCAAATCTGGCTCTTTCCACGTGTCTGTGATGTCATCAGGCTTATCCACCTCATAGTTGTTAATTGGTAGATGATAACCTTGATGGGACTCTCACCTATAAACAGATCAAGAGGTGCTCCAAGAGGTTCCTCAACATCACTTTCCTCACTTTCATAAAAAACTTCAAGTTTTGCAACATTTGCAACTTTATTTTACAATCAAATTTTATCACGTTTGGAAAAGGGTTTCTCGATTTTGGGTAGACATTAGACTTATGTGGAAAACTTTCCAAAATATGCCAATACTTGGGCCTTCACCTTCAGAGATTTAATGGGCCTAAGTGGAGCCCTGGCTTGGGTATCTTAGTAAAACTCTCCAAGCAGTTCTAACATCAATCAGTGAGACTGACCAGCACAGCTGTTCGTGTAATGTCAGTGTTGAACTCAGAGGAATGTTCAAAGTACTATTATAACAGGTGGGTTCATTTGTGAATATTCCATGTTTGAATGATTTTTCCCTCCCTTTGCATCCTGCTTATTTCATGGCCTCTGGTAGCAAATATCTGAATAAGATCCCATCTCTACCCCTATGCCACACTCACCTTCCTGTATCAGGAGTCCCAGGTATATTGTTTCCAGGTGTTTATCATCTACAGACACTTGGATCTCTGTATCCTCCACCAATATGCAGTTGAGCCAGTACTTGTGGTCAAAGAGGAGATGTTCTAGACACATGGATACGTAGCCTAAGAAGTCAAGCCAACAAGATTTCTGAACAAAATGATTTCTGACATAGCTGAGCACAGAAGAGAGTGAGAAAATTCCCTCCTGAGCTTGATTCCCAGACCACAAGCCCCAACCTGCCATTTAACTGGAATTAAAACAACATAAGAGGCAAAGCCAGACATTTTCTAGAATGAGTTGAGTCTTCTCAACATCTATTGGGAAATACAAGTCATTTCTAAATGTTATTTACCATTTCAACATATTGTGAGTTTCCATAAATGCATAATGAGATGACCAAAACCAACTGCCTTTTTCTAATACAGCCACGGAGGTCTCCAAGTTTACAGTGTTGACTATGGGGGTTCCTAGTGCCCCCTTAAAGTTCTCCTGACCTGAGGTTCAAACTACTGTGTCCCTGATGATGCAGTGGCTGAGGAGGTTCTACATGGCTCCCCCTCAGTGAATTTCAGGAGTCAGGATTTCCTTCCACCCACCAGCTCTGACCCTGCCCCTCCTCCAATGCCCAGAAGATCTCTCTGGTAAAAGCAGACTAAAAACTATGTAAATTGTAAAACTCTAATAATTATATATAGTATTTTAAACATGGCTATAAACATGAACTACTCGTATTGCTTCTCTTGAGGCTTCTTCTGTTTCCTAAGATGCAAAAGCCTGTCTGTTTCTATCCTGACTGTCCATTGTGCTGATCTAGGCCTTATGTATCTTCTATAATTGCACTTTTGAATTTTAATGTGCACACAAATCACATGGGGATCTTATTAAACTACAAATGCTTAGTAAAGGTCTGAGATAGGGTTGAGCTTCTCCTTTTTTTTTTTTTTTTTAACAGACTCTATGTGCTGCCAACGAGCCGGTCTATGGAGCACAGTTTGAATAGTGAGGATGTCTGATGGTCAGGAAGGAGATGTGTAGTGTGGAGATCAGATCTCCAGACCATAAGAGGAGAAGATACACCTTATGTTTTCCAGTCATGAGTCATCTTGACCCTCCACCCCTGCACAAAATCTGTCCTTGTGTATGTCGGCATGGAGCCCAGCATTTTCTGGGAGATATAAAACATCCATCAAATTAGGTGGCCTGTTGTTTTGTTTGGCTTCACTTTAACTTCCCCATTATAAGTTGTTCTGTCTGGAGAAGGCAGGTGAACCATTTCCCACCACAGTGGAACTGACGCTGCATCCCAATGTCCTTCTTTACCTTCTAGAAAACGCTGCAGCCTTAGGTTGCTATAAGCAGATAATTTCTCTATTTCTTTCTTTAACTCTTTTCCAAATACATGCAATAAAACATCTGGAACTTTGCTATTGACTATGTTGAGCAGCTACTTCGATCTTACTCAAGATTAGTTCCCTATAGTTTAAAACACACACACTAGCACCAAGTTCACATCTATTTCAGTACTTTGAACTTAGTAGATGACCAATAACTGTTTTCCAATTGATTGGTTATCTAATAAAAAAAGATCTCCCTGGACACAAAAAAGCAAACTTCTTCATACGGCATTTTAGAATAATAGTTAATATTTGCCTTAGATTTAGTTTGAGGCACTTTGTGAAATTTCAAAAGTTAACCATCTTTTTTAAGGCTCTATTTCTCTTAATTACCAGAGCCAGGCCAATTCCTTCATGTCAAGCCCTACAAATTGGCTAAATTGTGGAGGAGGTCATCCTCCACCTGCTTGCCTTGTACCATACCTAAATTAAGGTAGGTGGAGAACTTCCAGATTTCCTCCATGGTCTTGAAGGTGATGAGAAACTGGGCCCTCTGAGACTGGATACTGACCAACCTTGCTGAGAGGTCCTACGTAAAGGAAACAATGAGTCAGCCTGGGATGACAGAAGTGTCCCATTAGCAAGCTCTTATATAGACCAAATACTCTGTATGAACTTCTTGATTATGGCATTGATTTTTACGTCACCAAAAAATGGAAACAACTTAAATATTCATCAATAAGAGATTGGTTAAAATGGAGTACAATTTATCCATAAAGTGAAATATTGTATTATGCAGCCACAGAAAAGAAGAAAGAAGCTCTTTGTGTACTGATATAGGCTCCAGATATAATACTGCTATACAGCGGCAGCAGCAAAAGAAGCCAGGGAATAGAACTATGGGCAAAGAATGCTACTTTTTGTGTTTAAAAAAAAAAGTGTATGTGGGAGGATAAAGGACGCTGATTCATAGAAGGCATCTTGAAAGCAAATTTGATTATGAGTCTATGTCTAATGATTATTTTTATTAATACAAAGCTGAAAACAGAAAAACCAAAACACACAAAAATAATCATCCCTAGTCCCTACTCCTAAAGATCATCAGTGTTAACATCTTCATGTAATAAATTTGCATCTTTTTTCCTACACAAGTTTCCATATAACTATTTCACATATATAGAATCACATTGCATAAATTATTTTGCAATCTTCTTTTGCTGCTAAGCAATATTTTGCAAAGCATCTTCTATGTCATCACAAAGTTTACACCATTCTTAATGGTTACATGTGCCATTGTTGCATTAACATAATGAATTATTATCATTTTCTTATGGTTTCATGTTTGGATTGTTTTACATTTTTTAAAATCCTAAATGGTACTGTGATAAACATCTTTATAGCTAAATCTTTGTGCACATTCTTAATTGTTTTAACACATGTATTTCTAAGAGGTGCAATTGGAAATGCAAGGATATGCACATTTTCAATCCTAAAATGCAGTCACCCAACTGTCCCCCAGGAAGGCTTTCCAATTTACATGCTCACAAGGAGAGTGACAGGAAGACTATAAGCCTCTTGGGGGTTTTTTTGTTTTCTTTTGTTTTGTTTTTTTAGACGGAGTCTCGCTCTGTCGCCAGGCTGGAGTGCAGTGCAGTGGCGCAATCTCGGCTCACTGCAACCTCCGCCTCCCAGGTTCAAGCGATTCCCCTGCCTCAGCCTCTCGAGTAGCTGGGACTACAGGCACCTGCCACCACGCTTGGCTAATTTTTTGTATTTTAGTAGAGATGGGGTTTCACCATGTTGGCCAGGATGGTCTCGATCTCTTGACCTCATGATCCACCCACCTTGGCCTCCCAAAGTGCTGGGATTACAGGCGTGAGCCACCGCACCCGGCCTGGTTTTTTTATAATACCTAAAAAAAAAGCAGGTCTGAATCACTGCCCAGACTTAGTTTTCCCTTAAATCTGTTGTTTGTCCAAGCCTCCGGAGTTGACTGTAACAAGTGACGGTCAGAACATCCCTCCACCAGGCCAGGTCCTGTCATCAGTACCAACTCCAGGAGCTCTATCATGAGGGAAACTTAGAGGAAGAAGAAGATAGAAGAATCCAGAAGAAAAGCCCCAGTTCAGTAAAATCAGAACTCTGGGGTTCCTTCTGCCATACCAAACCCCAGGAGGCCCCAGATCCATCATTAGGGAAGGGGTGCTAGGTAAAAATCAACTTACAGAGAATTTACTACATCCCTGGCACTTCACCCAGAGCTTTATGAGCAATATGTCATTTAACTCCCACAAAAGCGCTATGAAGAGAATGCAATGACAGTATTTGGGCCATTCCAAAATGTGCTTTTATCACATTTAACCACTTCTGAACTAAAAGATAAGGAAGTATGTCATCAACCATAATTGGCAGCATTTGTTTTCTTTCTTGGAAGTACATAAAATAACAGTGCATTTTATAATCAATGGCATCTTAGATCTAATGAAAAATGGCATTATCCCTGTTGCATATTCAAGGGGGCCAAGGCACAGAGAGGTTAAGTAAATTGTCCAAGGTCACCTTCAGGGAGTAAGCTGCGGAGCCTTGATTAGATTTCAGATCTAGCTGACTCCAGGCCTCAACTGTAGCCCACAAGTATGTCTGACTCAAGCTTCAGCCCAGCAGACCAGCTCTCTCAATCAACCCTGCTCCTGCCATACCAAATGAGACTCAAAATAAAGGAAAATCTACAGTACCAATAGCAGCCAGTGTCTCCCAGTTCCTGAATTCCAGATATTAAAAAAAATAAAATAAAATTCAAAAAAATGTAGCTACTGTTTATGGAACACATATCACCAAACACAATGCCAAGCTCTCTACTCATACAATCTCGTTTTCCCCCTGAAAAACCAGACATTATCTTTTTTTGCTGCATGACATTTAGAACACTTTTCTCCTTCAGTTTGTACCAGATTCATGCAGAAACTGTAAAAAGTAACTAGAACATATTAGTTTATGTAAAGTAATATTATCCTTTCCCTACCTCTAGTTGAAACAACTTTTTTCCATTTCTGACTTTAGTTCTCCTACTTAATACATCCTAAACTGTAAATAATTTGATCATACCATTCTTCCTTGGTTTTAACAAATGAAGATATTATCTACCTACTATGAAAGATGAGAAATTGGTTTATTTACTTTATTGTTTTTTTCCTCCTCTCACCCAAGTATTTATAAGGTATTGTTTTTTGATTGGCAATCTTGGTACTTTAAAAATATATACTTAGCGGTTACCAGGAGCTGAGACATGGGGATAATGGGAGTTATTGTTTAATAGATATGGAATTTCAGTTTGAGATGATGAAAAAGTTCTGGAGGTGGATAGGTTGTGAATGTACTTAGTGTCATAGAGAATCATACACTTAAAAAATGATTAAAATGGAAAATTTTATGTTATGTATATTGTATCACAGTAAAAAAAAAGAATTTGAAATTACCGCATTAGAAAAAAAGTATACTTAATGAGGTAGGTATTATAACAACTCCCATTCTATATAGGTTAAGTAACTTGTCAAAGATCACAACTAATAGAATATTTGAAACCAAATTTTCTCTGACTCAGCAACTCCAAGTTGCCTCATTCAGAGTTCCTGCCCACTCCTCTCCACTCCTGTGCAGAGAATGTGCACGGAATCTTTCATTCATTCAGTCTACCTATTAGATGTTTTTTCCGAGGACCTACTTTGTTCCAGATGCTGTCTTAGATGCTAGGGATCCTGTAGCAGACTGACACAAGTCAGTACTCAGCATTCACCTGTTTCCTTCATGCTCACCTTAAACAGCATGCGCACCTCCTGGTCCTCATTCTCCAGTGCCCAGAGCCGCCTCCGAGCAGCTTCCTGTAGGGGTCCATTTACACACCTCCTGGAGCGGCTCTTTACACAGAAGGAGAGTGTCAGGTCTTAAAGAGAACAGAGAGAGAAGGATCAGGCTGAAAATAGAATAAAAAGGAAGAAAGAGTTAGATTAGCCCACAGTTTCCCCTACATGTATACCTGAACCCTCAACTGGTGTCCTCATTAGTTACAGATTAGAGTGGTCTTAACACTTCTCGGAGCACTCCTTTAAATGGTCCTCCCTTGAGGAAAAACACATACTGAACCCAGGAGGGCTCTGGAATCGCAGGAGTTGATGCACTCACGTTGTTTATTTCTGCTTTGTACGGGGTTTATTCCTACACTGCCTGGCACTGATGTAATGGTGCTGACACAGGACCAGCTAGGACATACATCACTCCCTGTGAATGACTTGTGAAAGTTTAGAATCAATAGGACTTTATCCATATTTAAGGAAATGTACTTATGTGTCAAAGTTATCATATGTAATAGACATATACTTTGTGCATTACACATTAACACATACACATAAACATGAACACATTACACATAAACACATTTTCTCTAACCTGTCTTTTCTGATACTGCAATTATTAATGTTTATCAGGGTAATTAGTTAATGTATTAAAGTCTACCTTTAATTTCTCCAAAATGTACATTCATGTAACAGATACTTATCAAGAGCTTTCTATAAGCCAGAAGCTGTTTTATGGGCTCCTCAGCAAAGAACAAAACAGGCAGTCCCTGTTCTGATGGAGCTTGTATTCTTCTTGGTAAGTGAGTAACTAGGCAAGAAATTCCACAAACATAATAGTTTCAGATGGAGAAGAGCGCTATGAAAAAAAATTAATGGGGTCAAGAGACAGAGAGATGGAGTGCTTGAAGGCAGGGGATACCTTTGGATAGTGTTGTCGAGAAAGGCCATACTGAGGAGGTTCATCGTATAATTGCACTTTGCAATGTGTCTTCTTTAGACAGTAAGTAGCAATCCTGTTAATAATTATTCAACACAATAAACTGAGAAGGCGTTGGAATGGATCATCACAGAGGTCTCACTTGCAGCCTCAACTTGCCAGGACCTCTGCAAATTCCTCAGCACATTAGAGATGACCCCTATCATGCTGGCCTGAGTCCACAAGACAGCTGTGGACTTCTACCTTTAAAAGGCCTGTCTTTAACCTGAAAATGCTGTGGCTGCAAATGAGCTCTTCTATGACATTCCCATATAACCTGACTTTGATGTAAACTTCACGTGGGTGTTTGTTCCATGCAGTTCCTCCTAGGCTTATGCTCCAATCTCATGCAACCCCTTTCACTTCAGCACCCCGCATCCATCCAGGCCTCCATCTGGTAGCCTCATGGCATGCTGAGCTCTAGGAGGAGGCACAGTGCAAAGATGAAGCCCAGGGAGGGGTCACGCAGTCTCCAGCTCAAGACTTGGCTCTGCCCCTCAATAAATGTGCCACCCTAAACAATTAATCACCTCTCTATGCATGGCTTTTCCCTTTAGCAAAATGACTTTTATAGTACCTATCCCACAGGGGTTTTAAGATGTTTACTAGACTGGGCGCAGTGGCTCATGCCTGTAATCCTAGCGGTTTGGGAGGTCAAGGGAGGAGGAGCACTTAAGCTCAGGAGTTCAAGACCAGCCTGGGCAACATGCCAAAACCCTGTCTTCTGACAAAAAAGAAAAAAAAATTAGCCAGACATGGTGGCCTGGGCATGGTGGTGCATGCCTGTAGCCCAGTTACTCAGAGGCTGAGATAGGAGGATGGCTTGAGCACAGGAGGCTGAGGTCACAGTGAGTCAACATCACACCACTGCACTCCAGCCTGGGCAACGGAGCAAGACCCTGTCTCAAGGAAAAAAAAAAAAGCTTCCTAAATAACATCGTGGATATAAAACTTTTTACTCAGTGCCTGGTATGTATCAAAGATTCAGTAAACACATTAAGCATTAGCTGTTCCCCTCCTCACCTCCCCACTACCAGCAAGTACTGCTCATGGCTGGCTGCCCTCAGGTGATCATGACTATTAACCTTGGCAATAACTGATTCTATGATTCCTTTCTACCAAACCCATCTCATCCATCCTTCCAACATCTGATCCAAAATCCCCCATTCGTAGCCCCTGCTGACTGACAAACAGGGCATTTGGTGTGAATCTCCTTACCATGCACATGAATCTATGTATATGGAACTCAAAAGACCTGGACTTAAATAAGCAGACTGCTCTTGAGATCTCAACCGTGAGAACTGATACTTAGAGCAGAACCCCTGTGCCCACAGTGGGATCCTACAGTACCCTCTGCATCACTAGAGCAGGGAAGAAGTCAAGCTCAATATCATTTTCATGAAGTGTATTGTGTCACAGATTAATCCTTCTCAAAGTCAGTTCTGTAATTGTGATAATATGTCTGACTGATTCTGTCTGCAACTGTACTCATTAAGGAGAGGTTGGCAGCTACAGCCATCTCCCCTTCTCACTCCATGACCTTCCTGGAAACAGCATCAGGGTGGAAAATGCTGAAAGATGGACAAGTTCAGCCCGAGGTCAGTTCAGTTTCACCTACAGATACCCTTTGTTCACTGGCCTTCATGCATTGATAAGGCAAAATGCTGACTCTACTGCATTCATGAAACAACAGATGGTAATTCAGGTTTTTTCAGGGGTGGTCCAAGCTGACAGACAGATAAGCAGATTGACACAATATCAAGAAACAAAGGGCAAAGTTTTTCTCATTGTCAACCAAGAAGTTTGACAGAATTTGAAATTGGGCTTATGGCTATACCACCCTGAACATGCCCGATCTCATCTGAAATTGGGAAAAGAAAGAACCTGGTATGACATGTATACAATATCTATTTACGTAGTCTAGATCCTTTAAATATTTATAATCTTTTTCACAAGTCTATATTTTGTATTACAGGGAGAGCTATATTTTTGGAGGGTGAAGGAGCATTGTAGTTTTGAACAAGGCCCTTCCTCATCACGTGTTAACTGTGTCGTGGTGAAGTCGTTTCCCTCGCTGACATTCTGTTTCTCATCAGCTAAATGGAGATTTGGGTGCTTCCACCTAGCGATGGGCAAGCAAAAATGAGAAAAACATGTGAGGATCATTTGGCACACAAATTGCCCTCTAAAATGGTCCCATCTACCGTACAACAGAAATCAAGTCTTCTACAGGTTTGTCCTCAGAGTTTCTGTTACAGAGTTCTGCCCAGGTGCACCTTTCCTCTGATAACAATTTTCTCTTTGCGGGCTTCATCGATGTCTTTTAAAAAGGATTTTGTGAGAGATGTGTATTAAGAATAAGATTTGTTTCACATTAATTTCAAAACTTTTTCTGCTTCTGAAAGATTCGTACAGATGCCCTTCTGCTCAAGCCAATCTCACTTCACATATTCATTTAGTTATTCACTTATTTAACAAATATTTACGCAGAACCTACTACATATAAAGTACTATGTTGGGTATCATATAGTATGTAAAAGTGACCTCCACATATTCATTCAACCATTCATGTATTCATTTATTTATTTATTTTGAGGCAGGGTCTCACTCTGTTACCCAGGCTGGAGTGCAATGGTGCAATTACAGCTTACTGCAGCCTCGACGTCCCAGGCTCAGGCAGTCCTCCCATCTCAACCTCTCAAGTAGCTGGGACTGCAAGCATATGCCACTGTGTCTGACTAATTTTTTGATTTTTTGTTTAGGGATCAGGTCTCACTCTGTTGCCCAGGCTGGGCCCCAACTCCTGGGCTCAAGTGATCCTCCCATCTCAGCTTCCCAAAGTGCTGGGATTACAGGTGAGAGCCATCACGTGCAGCCCATGTATTTATTCATCAAAGATTTTCTGAGCAGCAACAACGTATGAACAACTCTTTGAGGTACCATGTTGAATATAAATATTTTTAATTACCCCATCTCTCAACACCTTCAAATCTAATTTATGATATACTTTCTTCAACAAAGCAAATAAGTATGGAGCTCCTAATAAGTGCCAGATTGTGAAGAGCTTTGAGTGACAGCTTGAGAAAGTTAAAATTAATTTTGTAGGCAGTGGAGTGCAACAGAAGATTTGTGAGCAAGCAAATAGCATAGTCAAAATCTTTTCATCAAGAGGGAAAGAGGGAGGGGCTCTTTAGATGGGAAAGATAAAGAGGTTATCGCAATACTCAACATGGAAGAATAGGGCTTGTCTTTGGCATTTGGATACCTGGATTAATGTTCTGTGGCAGAAAACATTTTTCCTTGTATTCAGATGAGGCTATACACTCACTCGATACAGTTGGATCCTTGGAAGGAGTTTCTTTACCTGGAGAAGATGAAATAAAAGGTCATCTTAAGAGTGTAAGGAAGTTGAAAGCAAGTTATAAGCAAGGCTGTAGTTTTGGTCAAGTGACAAATTTTTTCCAGGATTAGTGGCATGGAAGAATTCTAATTGTTATCACCATTGCCTTGTAATTATCTAAGCTGTTATCAAAGAACTGTCATACATGCCATCTCAATCCAGCAGCAGCCTGGGTATGCCCATCTTATTAAAAAGCAGATCCCCATTCACATATCGAACTACGTCTCATGGCTTAGAACACTGAAGGTGCTCAATATACATTGAGCCTACACAGGTCATCACAGATCTGACTACAGCAAGGCTTAAGGTTCAATAGGGGCAGATAATGGAAGGGCTGGAGTGGAGACAGACATTGGCATCATTAGGGAGACAATTGGGGTGTGGTTATAATGGCCCTGAAATGTATAATTGTCCCCAGCTGTCCTGTCTGCCCCTTAAATAGGGTCCTGTCAGGCCTGTCTTTCTTCCCAACTCTGAAAAGTTACTGTCTTCACAACGGTAGAAGTGGAGTAAAAAGAAGAAGAAAGAAGATCAAGACACAGGCTAGGGCTGGGGAGGAGGAAACTTTGATAGCAGAAAGTTGAAAAGAAAGAAGATGGTGCACCTATAAAGCATAATGAAGTAGTTACAGAAGGAAATGTCAAAAACATTGCTGTAGAACATGGGTCTCCTTTATGGCATCCCCAAAACACAACAAGGAAACTCAAGTCCTTCACACATTAATTTTAGTTGATGGATTCTGTCCTTTTTTCCATAAAACTGTTCAAGAACTGTACCATGGAGTCAGAATGTGATAAGTATTACCTGGTCCTGAAAAGCAGAGTTAGGGAACCTTGGCTCAACCACTATTTGTGAGTCACTCCTTTAATGTGCTTATAAAATTGTGCATCAGAGCCAAAGAGGCCTACCAAGTTTTGCATACTGGATCTGTGCCTCTAATGATACAGCTCAAGAATGCAACAGGGGTGGAGCAGTCACACTCACTTCTGGTTAATGTTGAACCTAAATTCTCATATTGCTGCTAATAGCCTGTGTCTCCACTCTGTGCCTATGGAGGGGGATTTTGACACCCAAGTTGAGGACCTTCCATTTATTCGCAGTGGGAGCAGTTAGCACTGTTTTGGGTGATGTACATGAAGAATGAAGTGGATTTCAGCTGGAATAGGCAGAAGCAGGGGCCTGTCAGCTCTTCATCCAGTAAATCTTGTTAGCTGTTCAGTGCTGAAAGCTAAGCAGCTTAGCTGGAAACCTGGCAGCAATGAGCTATATAGTTGAACAGGATCATTTTTCAGTTCTGCCCCGAGGAACCAAAAGCAACTGCAGCAAAAAGGCACTGGCTTGGGAATAATGAGAAATGAGAATGAGCACAAATCAAATCTTCCCATACATGAGTTCAATGACCTTGGGCAAGACACTTCACCTGTCCACTTTGTGAGTTTTCACTTTCCCCACTTATAAATGAAGGACTGATCTAAATTAGTGCCTTTGAACCCCAGCTGCCTATTTGAATCATCTAGGTTGCCTTTTAAAAATATTGCTTCATCCCAGCTAAAAAAAAAATTAAAACAATTGGACTCATGAAGATAAAGAGTAGAATGATGGTTACTAGAGGCAGAGAAGGGTGTGTGCGCTAGGGAGAAGTAGGGATGTTAATGGGTACAAAAATGCAGCTAGATAGAATAAATAAGATCTAATGTTTGATAATACAATGGGGTGACTGTAGTCAACAATAATTTATTGTACATTTAAAAATAACTAAAAGAGTATAATTGGATTGCTTGCAACAAAAAGAAAAGATAAATGTTTGAGGCGATGTGATTTACCCTGATGTGATTATTACCCATTGTATACACCTATATCAAAATATCTCATGTATTCCATAAATATATACACCTAATATGTACCCACAAAAATTAAAAATAATAAAGGAATAAAAAGAAAAAATATTGCTTCATCCTTAGAGATTCAGATTTTTGTGGTCCATAGTACAGCCATAGATTTTTTTTAATAATAAGTTCTTCAAATGATTCTAATTTGAGCCAGTGTTGAGAACCATATGTCTAGATTGGTGCTTTTGAAACTTTATTTTACCTATGAATCACCTATGGATATTGATAAAATGCTGATTCTGCTTCAGTATTTGAAAGCTGAGGTTCTGCATTTCTGATGTTTTCACAGGTGATGCTCCTCCTGCTGCTCCCAGGACCACACTTGGAGTAGCAGCCTGCTTCCCTGGGACAAAGTTTGACCGTAGACTACAGCAAACCCACAAACATCTTCTTTATTTTTTTCTGGCCCACACAGTGAATTTTTAGTTTGAACTGCTTGACATCATTTAGAAATTGAAATGTTTCACATAACCCAGATGCTTGAGTTTGTTTTGAAACATGGAAGATCTGTAGCCCAGGAGCCTCATTGTCATATGGCAACAGTCAGCTGGGGCCAAGTGGTTGCTGTCGCTCTGCAGGGCATTTGTTCTCCAGCCACCATGGTGCCCACCCTATTCCATCACTCATTTACACCTGACCCTGGCAAGTTTGTGAGTGTATCCCTGCTGTAGAATTCTCCAAGAAAATACAATAGCCTGACAATGAGGGCTTGTGAGGTGAGCCCACCTTGAAGAAGGGAAGTCAAGGATGGGGACCCTGGCTTGGGGAAAGGGTGCACAGCTTTTTAAGGATTTGTGAGGCTTAGGGCAGAAAATTGCAAGGTTTTGCAAAATGTGATATGTGAACTGTCTGTATCAGAATTTTTTAGATAATTGTTTTTAAAAAGATATCTATGCAAAAAAAAACTTATAGAAAATATAGAAGAATATCTGCATGACTTGATGTTGACAGTGATTTCCTAAACAGGATGGAAAAAGTGCTACCCTCAAAAGGAATAATGGATAAATAGTAATACATTAAAATTAGAAACTTCTATTAATCAAAAGATGCAATTAAGAGACTGAAAAGCAAGTGACAGAGTACAAGAAAATATTGATCATACGTATGTATAGTTATCAAATAATTCAAACATAGAATATATAAGGAATGCCAAAAATCTTTGAGAAATAGGTAGCCAGCCCACCAGAAAAATGGGCAAAAGGCTTGAATAAACTTTTCACCAATGACAATATTCAAACAGCTAATAAATATATGAAAATTGTTTCACCTCATCAGGGAAATGAAAATTAAAACCACAATGGAACACAACTACACAGACTGGCTAAAATGAAAAAAAAAAGACAGATAAAGCCAAGTGTTTGTGAGGATATAGAGCAAGTAGAATACCTAGAATATACTGCAACTAGAATATACTGCAAGTGTGAAGATAAACTGAAGTTCTATCCTTGGAAAGCTGACAGTGTCAATTCAAGCTGAAAATATGCATGCACTAAGACCAAAAGACATCCACTAAAATATTCAGAACAGCACTATTTATAAGAACCCAAACTTGGCTACAATTCAAATGTCAATTTACACTAGAATGGACAAGTAAATGATGTATATATAATATATAATTAAATCTTAACACAGCAAACCGGGCATGGTGGCACATGCCTGCAATCTCAGCTATTTGGGAGGCCGAGTCTAGAGGATCGTTTCAGCCCAGGAGTTCAAGCCCAGCCTGGACAACATAGCAAGACCCATCCCCCAAAAATTAAATAAATAAATAAATCCAATACAACAATGAGAATGAATGAATTGCCACTGTATAAAACAATATCGATGAGTATATTCACTTGTGAAAAGTCACCACACTGTACACATGATTTCATGCACAATTCTATATAAATGGTAAATTTTTTTTAATCCTCTTAAAGCCTTTACTGACCTCAACATTCTTTTTTTTTTAACTTTTATTTTAGGTTTCGGGGTACATGTGAAGGTTTGGTTCTTAGGTAAACTTATATCATGGAGGTTTGTTATACAGATTATTTCATCAGCCAGGTATGAAGCTCAGTACCCAATAGTGATCTTTTCTGCTTCTCTCCCTCCTCCCAACCTCCACCCTCAAGTAGATCCCAGTGTCTGTTGTTTTCCTCTTTGTGTTTATAAGTTCTTATCATTTAGCTCCCACTTATAAGTGAGAACATGTGGCATTTTGTTTTCTGTTCCTGCATTAGTTTGCTAAGAATAATGGCCTCCAGCTCCATCCATGTCTCATGAAAGACATGCTCTCATTCTTTTTTATGGCTGTATAGTATTCTATGGTGTATATGTGTTAATGGTACATTTTTATGAAAAGCTGAATTTTATAATATTCCTGGAGCCCCTCTCTACTTACTCTACCTTGAAATATCTAGGAGTAGAGTTCTGAGGTGTGTGTTTTTAATTAGCACTTTGGGTATTTCTGATGTCTTCTAGAGTGTGAGAATGCTCAAGCCAATTCACCAGAGGCCTCGGATCCCATGAGCCAGAAGGGCACCTCTCTGAGAAACAATAAGGAAGCTGGAAAATTAGAATGCATTCTATAATAGGAAAAACAGCTAATAGTTACACATGGATTGACCGTTTACAGCATTCTTTTACACATGGTGTTATATTTCAACATGAAGAAGTTTGAAAACTTGAGCTGGGCCTTGGAAAAGAACCAGAGATGATTCAAGGCAACAAAAAACTGTCATATAGAATAAATTACCTTCGAAAAAAATGTATGATTTTTATAACTGAAAGAAAATAAACCAAAAGGTCTATGGTAGTTATTGCTGAGTCATTTTAACAATCTTTTTGATACTTTCATCTACTTTCCAAAATTCTAATTTTTCTTTTTTTATAGGCACATTTAAATATTATTTAACTGAAATATTAATTTTTTGAAAAATAAAAGTTTTGTATGTTAAAGACAACACAATCTGCTAATAATACAGGCTGCTGATTAACAATTGTTTTAATATTAATACTTTAATCTACTATTTAAATTCCAGCTTTGTCAATTGCCCCAGTAATATCAGTAATATCCTTTTTATCTTCTTTTCTTCTTCAGTATAGAATGCAGTCTAGGGTCAGTACTACATTTAGTTGTCAAATGTCTTTAGCCTGCTTTCATTGGGAACATTTCCATACGCTTTTTTTATGACTTTTTTTTTCTCTGATGACATTGATATTTTTGAATGATAAAGTCCCTCCTCCATCCTTCTTTTAGTTTTTCTTCAACTTTTATTTTAAGTTCAGGGGTACCTGTGCAGGATATGCAGGTTTATTATATAGGTAAACGTGTGCCCTGGTGATTTGCTGCACAGATCATCCCATCACCTAGGTATTTAGCCCAGCATCCATTCATTATCTATTCAAAAATATGGAACACTTCACAAATTTGCATGTCATCCTTGCACAGGGGCCATGCTAATCTTCTCTGTATCCTTCCGATTTTAGCATACATGCTGCCAAAGCAAGCTCTCTATTTTTCAAATATTCTGTGATCGGTATGCATTTGTTTTCTAACACTGAAGGCAGGTAGAGAAGTGGCTAAGAACAAGTGGCAATCAGACAGTCCTGGACTCAAACCCTGGCTTCTTCATTAGCCATGTGACCCATGTGAACCCAGTCTATGTAGTCTATATGGAGCTGACTCTCTCCCTAGCTCCAAAAGTGAGCACATAATTCAGGCATAATCCAACTGGGTTATGCAGTGCCATGGCCACATGATCAAAGTTAAGCCAATGAGAATTAGTTCTAGGACCCTCATCAGCACACTTAGTGATTTCTTTTCACTGGACTAGAAGCTATGAATATGACAGCCTGGAGCTGTGGCACCCACCACAAGGAGAAAGCCCACCTGACATTGAGTCCAACCCATAAAAACAGAGCTTAGGAAAGATAGCTTTCTGATAACATCATCTGAACACCTTGATTTAGCAATATCTGAAGAAAAAAACCTAGATTTTCAGTTATTAATCAATAAATTGCTTTTGATATAAGCTAGTTTTATTTTTATTATTATTGATCAGAAAAAGTTACTAACCCTCAATTCAGAAAAACACTGAGATTTATTTGTAAACTGCCAAACTGTTTTCCAAAGAGGCTGTAACATTTTGTATTCCCACCAGCAATGTGTGAGAGTTCTAGTTGCTCCACATCCTCACTAACACTTGATGTTATCAGTCTTTTTAATTTGGGCCATTCTAAGTAGGTAGGCCATTTTATCTGATTGTTTCAATGTGCATTTCCCTAATGACTTACGATGTTAATCACTTTTTCACATGCTTATTAGTCATCTACATACTTTTTATATGGAAGTGTCCATTCCAACATTTTGCAATTGTTATTGGGTTATTTATCTTATCATTATTGAGTTGAAAGAGCTTTTTTTTTTTTAATATACTTGTTCTGGATATTACTCCCCAGTTGATGGCTTGCTTTTTGTGTTCTTAGCAGATGTATGTAAGTGGGAGGAAAGCAGGATGGGGTGGGAATGAGCTTTGTACATACATGGGATGCTAGAAGCCAGCCTGCGCATGCTGGGGAGGTGGGTAGTTGTGGGACTAAAATGGATAAGTATGGTAGGTTCAAGATGGCAGAGCACTTTAAGGCAGGCAGGGGTGTTTAGAATGGATACAGTAAGCGATGGTGAGGTGTGAAATATTCTTGAGCATGGCAATGGCATAACAAAAGTGAAAATTCTACTTGGGTAACCTGGGAAGGATAAGGAGAGAAAAGCACAATAGGCAGAGAGACCAGCTGAAGAGGTGCTGTGAAAATCCAGGGAGGTGAGTGTAAGAATGTGGGCTGTGGCCCTGGCAATGAGAAGTGAGGGCATAGAGTGAATGAGGCTATATTTTTAAACAAGAAAAGAGAAGGCATCTTGACATATTGAATATGAGGGATAAACATGGGGAAGAGGCAAGAATTGCAGAAAATGAATGAAGGAAGGGATTTAAAAGATCACCTAGCTCCACTCCCAATTTTACTGTTGAGAAACTAAAGGCCCAGAGAGGAGTCATGATTTTACTGAGATCACACAGCAAATTAACAAAAGCGCCAGAGGCCATCCAAATCAATGGGTAGGAATGGGTAGGGACCTTGCCATTTTCTCTACATTAACCTGACCTCAGAACTCTAAAGTCTCGGGCCTCTGATCAGGGAAACATCTCACAACAACTTGCCGAAAATGAGAATTCACCTTCATTTCTCCTCTCTCAGCCTCTCTTTGCTCCTACCCACCCACCACCATGCTCAACTTTAAAAAGAAGACTAAACAGTAAACATTTATCTGCATGTTTTTTTTTTCCTGTACCCACATTTTCTTTTCTTTTTTGACCTAACAGACCTACCATCAGCAGTTTTTATGATGTAAACCCACTTTCTCCTTGTTGGGACGAATAGCATGTTAGAAGTACAGCTACATCTACCCACATGAATATATCTTAGATGATAATGTTTAGCAAAAAAAAAAAAAAAGTTGCATCATGATATCATTTTGTTTAAGTTTTAAAGTCTGCAAAACAATTCTTTGGAATGATTGTGAGTTCATGAATATGTAGTGAAAGCACATAACCATTGAATTCATGAAAGTTATTAACTACATGGAGAGAGAAGGAGAATGAGATTGGAAAGAGATATCCAGGGGCCCCTAAGTATGTTTATGATGTTTTATTTCTTCAAAAAGTAAGAGAAAGAAAAAGGTAAAGTTCTGAAGATAACATGGCATAATGCAAAAATTTGTTACAGCTAGATGGTGGGCTAACTATTCTAATATCCTCTATTATCAGTAGTTTTAAATGCTTTACAAGTCATTTAAAATTCAAAAGTGAAGCATCATTTACTATTATCAGCATTCACCCTTGATCTCCTGTTATTATACTGATGATTCACATTTATCAAAAAGGTTGAAAGGAAAGTTACAAGCACCAGTGATCAACAGAGGCGAATGTATCTCTTCCACATCTTCTATTTAAGGGCATAAATCTGCCAAATTTCTTCAAACAGGCATTGAAAATAAGGGTGAAGTGCTAGAAGTTTTTTGATCAACAAACTTTGACATGGCTTTCTCTGTGATCCAAAGTGAGCAACTGTAGCTTATTAAGCAATGGCAAGAAACAACTCATAGATAGGGTGGGGAAGTCAGAGATGATAGCAACTGATCAGAACCTATCCTCTCACCATGTGCAGTCCCCCCTGATTAGGGGAGTTCTGTGAGCAGTTGAGAGCCATCCCAGGGAACAGATGCTGCAGGCAGAGTCCACATGTAAGAATGCAGGTGCCTGGAGTAGTCAGAGTCAACGTTCATTATTGTGTCACTCCACACAAACTAGTCTGGCAGCTGTCCAGTGCTCAGTGCTATCAAGAGCCTTCTCCTTTCCTGTGTCCATTAGCCCTGAGGACTCACTGTTTTGGTGTCTGCTGTTAACTCTCACTTAAACAGACACAAGGCAGAAGCACCCCAGGAAACATAAGTACAGACTTCTCCAGACCAGTAAGGAATTAGGAGGAAGTGATGTAGGAGTGGCCCATATTAACTAACGATAAAACAGCCTGTAGTTACTGAAGGGTTATCAAAAGCCAGACCTTGTGCTAAGTCCATGAGAGGAATTATTAAATTTAATCCTCACAAAAGTTCCATGGGATAAGTACCACCATTAGATACAGTTTACAGCCAGGAAAACTGAGGTTCAAAAAACATGAGGGACTTGCCCAAGGTCACACAACTATTAAGTTGCTCCAGGATGGGTCTCATACTTTGTTCCTTTTCTCTAGGATAAATAGGGGAATCTGGAATGGGAATATCCAGATCGACTGGACTTGGACCTACAACACCAATATCAACCTCGCTAGGGAAAGGCCCTGACACATACAGGGAATAATATGGGGGAATGGCATGAAAAGTCTCGAGGGAGATACATAGCAGGCTAACTCTTGGTGAAAAGGTGAATGCGGGGTGCCAGCCAGTAATCAATGGCAAAAAGAAGGTGAAAGAATAAAGTAATTGAATGATAGTGTTATTATGATTTTGACCTTTTTCAATATTTTGTTTGTTTGTTTGTTTGTTTTCAGCTGCGTAACTCTGTTCTACAGGAAATCTTTGGCTGAAGGACGATGTCAACTAGAAGCAGAGCCGCTCTAGGTAGGAATGAGGGAACATGAGCAGAGCTCTCTGAGGCACCTCTACACAGCAGTTTACAACCCTAAAATTGTATATATGATTAAATGGAGGCCCAGGGAGAGCGCGAGTTATACTGGGGTCATCAAAATGGAATTAACAATGGTGAATTTTATTGTGCTCAACTAACTGTGCACCAGACTGTTTCACCATTTCACATGTAGACTTAATCTCCACCACAGCTCTATGAAGAAGACATAATCATGTCATAAAAGCTACAGATAAGGAAACTGAAACACAGAGAAGTTAAATAAGTTGTCGAGGCAAGTAAAAGAACCAAGATAAAATCCAGACACTTTGGCCTCAAAGACCAAGTGAGTAGCCAAGATGACAACTGCATAACTAGAGCTAGAGGAAGTCAGATCTAGAACCCCGATCTCCGACCAGTGGTCCTGCACGTCTCCCTCCATGCTGTTTCTACTCTCATGGGGCACAATGACAATAGGACTTAGGGGGAGGGACTGAAAAGTGTTTACATCTGAGAAATCTGGAGAAGCGAAATTGTTCATAGCTAAAGTCGTGCCTTTTGTGCCAAGGGCATCATTTGGGGGGACACTCCCTGCTGTAGGTGCCAAGGTGCCTAGATCAAGACTTCAAGCAGAGGAAGCAGAATATGGTTGTTTTGGGTTCACTTTAATGACCTCAAGTGCCTTCTACAAGCCCAAGTCATAAGACTAAAGAAGAAAGTTGTCTGTCAGAGAGTAGAAAGCCCTCAGCTAGGGGATGCTCCTTAGCTCCTTCTCTCAGGAACCATGGTGGAGCTCCAGGAAGACACAGAGTTCTAACAAGGGTTAGGAATGATTCCTTGGAGCAATGTTCCCCTATCTCCCAAGCAAGCCTCCCCCCACCAATCTAACCCCACATTTCCCCAAAGCCACCACTCATCCTGATAAACACCACACAAGAGAACACAGGGCCCTACCTTGATTCTCCTCTGAAAAAAAGCAAGAAGGTTGCTTCAGGGAGACCAACCAGCCTGGTTGGCCTGGAACTGACATATCCCAGCAAATTCCTCAGTCCCAGGCAAACCATAATGGCTGGTCACCCTAAGTCACTCTCCCATGAGTTGACAATTTCTTAGAGCAACAACTCTCCATTGCCTCAACTTGATGCACACACTCACACATGCACTCACACACAAATCACTCTGTAATAGGTGGAGGCAGGAAACTGCCTGTTTTTCTCCAGTAACAGCAACCCTGACAAAAATAGGCTTGAATGACTAAGGCCAAGTTTATGGCCACCCATAGGCCACAGAGGAACTCACTGCCTGAACTTTCTTCCTGTCCTGGGGGGATCTCGGGAAGAAAGGAAGGAAGGGCTTAGTCACACCCTGGGAGTGGCAGCCAGGAGCAGTGCTGCTCAGCTCCTGACAGAGTAAACTCAAAGGCTCTTTCTTCAGGAAAAAATAGATGCTTCCAGGCTTTGCTCCCTTTTTACAGAGCCAGCATGACAAACACTTACCCAGGGAGGAAGGAGAGGCAGCCAGAAAGCACAATCATCTCCCCATCTTTGGGAGAAAAGTTTCTCCAACCCAGCAGGTCCCTGAGCCTCTACTGGACCATCCACTTTGGCCAAGCCACAGGCCAAGGGCCCCCTGGGAAACTCACCTGGGCCCCGGGTCAGACTCCGCTCCCTGGGGATGCAGAAGCAGCCACCCATGTGTGTACCATCCTACCCTGGCCGAGGCCCTTGGGAACACAGGCCAGAAGAGTGCTGCAAGGGACAGCCTCCCAACGGTGTCCCTCCTCCCGCCTCCTCCCTGGCACACGAGGGACCGAGGCCTGCTCAATGCACAATGCAGCCTTTGATATCCCGGCTACAGCAGGAGGCCCAGGGAGGGTGGGAGGGGCAGCCCAGCCCAGCCTGCAGGCCCACAGCTCCTGCACTGTCAGGCCTGGGGAACAGGGCTCCTCCCTGCCTCTCAGCAGATCGCTTCATGCCTATCAGCCTGCAGCACATTCCTCGCATTCTAGGATTGAGATACACAGTTTGGTTCTTGTGAGGGCAGCCAGGGCTGGGGAGGAGGGCAGAGAACATCCCAGAGATCAAGACTGCTCTTCTTGCTCCCTCCCCGACTGACTTGGCCCACACTGACTGGCCTGCCACCCCTTTACAGTGATCTCCACCCAGTCTCTCTCTGCAAAGGCCTCCCTTGGCTCTCTGATAAAGTTGGAGCTGTGGGTGCAGCATTTCACTTGGACCTAGCAGCATCAATGAGCCAGCTCCTCACTGGGGAACATGCAAACCCCCAGCTGCTGGTGTGCAGGAAAAGAATCCAGGAGATCACCTGATGAAGCCCAGCATTTTACAGGTGAGGGGATGGAGAACCAAATACATCAAAGGATGGGGAGAGGTTGGTCAATAGGTAAAAGGTTAGAGTTACATAGGAGGAGTAAGTTCTAGTGTTCTATTGCACAGTAGGGGGACTACAGTTAATAACGTATTGTATATTTCAACATAGAAGAGAGGATTTTGAATGTTCTCACCACAAAAAAACAATGATGTTTGAGATGATGGATATGATAATTACCTTGATTTGTTCATTACACAATACATAGATATATTGAAACATCACATTCTAGCCCATAAATGTGTAGAATTATTATGTGTCAATTAAAAATAAAACTAAAAGAAAAAATACAGCAAGTCTACAGGTATGCAAGCAAAACTGGTCCCACAAGACTAACCTCTTTCCTGTTTCAGATAGGCAGTGGAGCAGGGGAATCCAGTTGACACTGTGGCTAAATTTCAGAAAACCTCCCATGAGATCTTGCAAAGGAGATGGAGAAAATATGGCTGAATGCCAGCAAGGTAGGACGGAAGCATGACTGCTCTAACAACCAAGCTCAAAGAGCACTGCTCACCCAATGTTTCCTTCATGACTAGAGCAAAGTGGTGAAAGGACCCTGGTGAGAGGCCCAAAGAACAGGAGGTGTGAGCCAAGAGAAGGTCCTGCCAGGCCTATGTTGCAGGCTATTTGGAGGCTGAACTTGAGGTCAGTATCACCAGCATTTTTAGGACGGCAGTGGCCTGATCAAGTTTATATTCTGAGAGGAGCACTTGGGTGACCAGGTGAAGAATGGCCTAGGGGTCAGTCCCACCAGAGATCAGGAGTATCCACCTCACACACCAGCCTAGCCCCAGAGGACAGGGTCTTGAGCCTGTCTCTGAAGCACTGCTCCCGTCTCCATCCTGACTCATCCTGAGACACAGTTACTGAATGTTTACTGTGGGCCAGGCTCTCACTGTACATTATTCTATTCAAATCCCATAACAGCCCCATAATGTAGGCATCATTTCTACTTTGTAAGTGAGGAAACGGATAAAGAGGAGTGTATAACTTGTCCAACTCCCTCCCTTCTCCCACCATTTATGAATGTCAGAGTCAAGACTGAGCAAGGTCTAGTTGATTCCACAGCCCAGAAGAATCACGTTTCTGATACATGGGATACATTGTGGGTTCTCCCATGACTACTAGGACACACAATGAGAAAGGCCTAGGAAGGACTGAAACCTCTGGAGCCAGCTAACCATTTACACAAAGCCCAGGAGATGAGAGCTGGGGCAGGGAGTAGAGCGCAGGAGGGATGGGGTCTCTCTGATCACATTGCCACCGGGGAGGATGTTTTCTCTGTGCAGGTCTATTTAAAGTATCTACTTCCCATACGTTTCTCATGTGTTTCCCTTACTGAAGTACAGTGTTTTTGAATATGAATTCAAATGTTTTCTTGGGCCCACAATGAAAGGACAAGAGTTTCTTTAGAAAACAGCCACTTAAAACTGGGATGTACTTGAAAGTCAGGCAGTGACAAGAAGCCCCATGCTCTAACTTACACACGCTGACAGATGCGCAGACTTATCATTGCTCCTTGGCTGGTCTGCACACCAACCACTCTTACACAGGTACAACAACAATCAGACTATAAATGATCAAAATCAACTATTGAAAGGATCCCAGGCCATGTGTCAGAGATGACACCCTAGGCAGTTGGCTAACACACACATTGCAGCAGGTCTTAAATGAATAGTCCATTCTGGATAAAGTCATTGCTTCCCTTGAGATGCAAGAAACTGTGCTGTTCTGCTCCTGGGTAGCCTGATGAATTGACTAGAGCAAAGAGACTTCCAGCAGGAGCAAAGGCCCTGAAGTAGGAACTTGCTTAGCATGTTAAAGGAAGTGTGGCTGAAGGCTAGTGAGGTAGGTGAGGGCACAGAGATGAAGTCAGAGAAAGCAGCAGGAGACCAAACAGTGTAGGGCCTTAGAGGTCATCTAAGGACTCCAGTTTTTACTCTGAATGAGGTAAGAGCCAATGGAGGACACTAAAGAGAAGAGTAACATGCATGACTTACGGTTTTAAAGGGTCAGCCTGGCTCATGGGCTATAGATGGAACTCCAGATATGCAGCAATTGTAACATCCAGCAGAGAGATGATAATGTCTTGAACCAAAGTGCTATTGGTAGAGGTGATGAAAAGGGTTTAGGTATTAGACACATTTTGAAATAAGGGTGTATTAGTCAAGGTACTCCAGAGAAACAGGACCAATAAAAGTTGAGAAAAAAAAAAATTAACAAATTGGCTCCTGTGAGGGTTGGCAAATCTGAAATCCATAGGGCAGGCCAGCAGTCTGGAGACTCAAGTAAGAGTTGCTATTGCAGTCTTTAGTCAAAATTCCACAGAGCAGCAGACTAGAGACTCATATAAGTTTCCCATGTTGCAGTCAAGAATTCTTGAGAAGAATTTCTTCTTTTTCAGGAAACTTCAGTCTTCAGTCTTAAGGCCTTCAACTGATTGGAAGGCCCCCAGTCAGCTAGTGGGAAGACCCATGCACATTAGAGAGGGTAATCTGCTTTGTTCACTGTCTACTGATGTCAATGTTAATTATCTTTAAAAAAAAATACCTTCAACATCTATTTTGTTCTTTGGTCAAACAACTGGCCACCATAACCTAGCCAAGAGAACACATGAAATTAACCATCACAGAGACCCATGAGGATGTGTTGATACATTGAATGTATGAGAGGAAAAAAAAAAATCTACTTTAGAGTAGTTCTGATTTTTTTTATCTGAACAACTGAAATAATTTAATAATTATTGAAATGTTAAATGCTAGGAGAAAAGAAGCTTTGTGAATTGAAACCAGGAGTTTGGTTTTGTATATGTAATATTTAATAGTCCTTTAGTATATCCAAGCAAATGTAGACAAAGCAATCTGGAGTTCATGGAGAAGTTAAAAGCTGAAGGTAAGTATTTGGGAGTTGTCACTGTGTAGAGGGTATGTAAAGTTAGAAGACCAAGCAAGATCTCTTAAGGCAGAAAGTGGAGGATAGAATACAGAGGATATATCAAGAATGAGCCCTACAAGCACATTAATTTTTATATGAATAAGAAAGGAGTAGAAACCAGCAAAAGCGATAGAGAAATAGTGGCCAGTGAGACGATATGCACCAAGAGCATAAGATGGTACAGAATTCAAGTGAAGAAAGTGTTTCAAGAGCAGAAGGTGATTAACTATGTCAAATGCTGCTAATAAGTAAGATGTGCACAGAGAATTTACCACTGGACATCTTGGTGGAGCAGTGGAGATAAAAGCTAGATTGAGAAAGCTTCAAGAGTATACGGTAAAAAAAAAAAAAAAGTGGAGCTCCAACCCACCTTCAACTCACCACCATCACCATCATTGCCATCATTATGGAATACCTGTTATTCCCTTAATATTTGTTTGGTGTTCAGGGGTTACAAGCTCATATGGCTACAAGAGCCACGCAGCTGATAGAAATGAGTGAACTGGCCAGGAGATAAGTGGCAGCTGATCCCACTGTAATTGCCTAATGGATTCTTTCTGCCTGCTGCACAGACAAAACCAGTTCACTGAGACTGGTATTGCAGCAGAGAAAACCTTTCATTAATGTGAGGCCAGCCATGCAGAACAACCAGGGTTATCACTCCAGTCAATCTCCCTGAAGACTCAGAGTTTAGGGTTTTTCAAGGATAGTTTGGTGGGCAGGCAGGGAGGGGTTGGGTGCTGCTGATTGGTTGGGGGTGCAATCATAGGAATGTGGAAAATAGTCCTCATGCACTGAGTTTGTTTCTAGATGGGAAACACAGGACAGGTGAAGTCATGAGTAATGAGTCTGGGTGGGCTCAGTCAGTTGCCAGAATGTAAAAGTCTGAAAGACATCTCAAAAGACCAATTTTAGGTTCTACAATAGTGGTGTTACCTACAGAAGCAATTGGGGAAGTCACAAATCTTGTGACCTCTGACCACATGACTCCTGAACAATAAGGGATTATAGAAACTATATCTACATTTTAGCAGAATTCAGGTCCCTCCCATAATCTTAATCTTATGGCTTTTCATTAGCCTTACAAAGGCAGTTTCAGCCCCCAAACAACAAGGGAATTCGTTTTAGAGAGGGACTGTTATCATCCTTGCTTCAAAGTTAGACTACAAACTAAGTTCCTCCCATGGTTAGCTTGGCCTACACCTAGGGATGAGCAAAGACAGCCAGCCTGTGAGGCTAGAAGCAAGATGAAATCAGTCACATTAAACTCCTCTCACTGTCATAATCTTTGCAAAAGAAGTTTCACTGGTGTCAAGGTTGGGGCAACAACAGGGAGAGGTGTACCTGTGGGGCATGGAGGGCACTGCTCTGTCTAAGAAGAAGCCCCTGCTAGGCTTTGGGCATTGAGGAACATGGTGCAAGACAGGCCTGTGCAACCACACATTCTCTTTTGTCATGGAAACCAAAAATCCAGATTTGTAAGTGAAGCTTCCTAACGTTTAAATGTTTATAAGCTATAGGAGGCTAAGGCAGGAGAATTACTTGAGGCTAGGAGTCCAAGACCAGCCTGGGCAACATATAAATACCCTATCTCTAAGAAAATGCTAAAAATAAATAAATAAATATTTATAAATTATTTCAAAAAATCTTTCAGAGCACTATGTGGTCCAATACCTCAGGACAGACAAACTTGCCTGCAGACCAAATCCAACCCAAGAGCCACCCACCAGTATGCCATTTCAGACATAAAATTGAACCTTTTTCTTAGAAAAATTGTAATCTAGTTGGAGCAATCATAACTTAGGTACTATAATTCCAGGGAAAAACTGAAAAGATCCCATTATCAGTTGAATTGTGTCCCCCTGAAAAAGATAGGTTGAAGTCCTCACCCTCTGAATCTGACTTTATTCAGAAATAGGCTTGTTGTAGATATAATTATTTAAGACAAGGTTATACTAGAGGAGGGTAGGTCCCTAATCCAATATGATCTTATAAAAATGTCCTTATAAAAAAACAACCTGTGGGCCAGGCGTGGTAGCTCACGCCTGTAATCCCAGCACTTTGGGAGGCCAAGGCAGGTGGATCACAAGATCAGGGGATCGAGACCATCCTGGCTAACATGGCGAAACTCTGCCTCTACTAAAAATACAAAAAAAATTAGCCGGGCGTGGTGGCCTGTAGTCCCAGCTACGCGGGAGGCTGAGGCAGGAGAATGGCGTGAACCCGGGAGGCAGAGCTTGCAGTGAGCCAAGATCGCGCCACGGCAATCCAGCCTCCGTGACAGCGCAAGACTCCATCTCAAAAAAAAAAAAAAACCTGTGAATAGACAAGGACACACAAGGAGCGCTCCATGTGACAATGAAGGCAGAGATTGGAGTTACGTAGCCACAAACCAAAGAATACCAAGCATTGCCTGCAAACCACCAGAAACTAGAAAAAGACAAGGAAAGATTCCCCCTACAGGTTTCAGGGGGAGTACAGCCATGCTGATGCCTTGATTTTGGACTTCTAGTTTCCAGAACTGTAAGACAATCCATTTCTATTGTTTCAACCCAGTTTGTGGTACTTTGTTAGAGTAGTCCTAGGAAACTAATACAGATCCCATAAGAGACAAGAATATGTCATTTCTCAACAAATTGTTCAGTGAACAAATATTTATTGAGCACCTTCTACACCTAGGCATTTATCTAAGTCTAGAGGATAATCAGCAAGGAAAAAAGACAACATATCGCCCTCATGTAGCTTTCACATTCTAGTGAAAGGAGAAAGGCAAGAAACATAATAAATAAGTAAATTATACAGTGTGTTAGATGGCGGAAAGTGTTATGGAAAAAAAAAGGGTCTGCCACAGTAGAGGGGCTGCAGTTTTCAGAAGGGCAGAGAGACAGAAGTCATCACTGAGAAAACGACAACTGAGCAAAGACCGAAAGGACATGAGGGAAGGATCCAGGGGCAGCCAGGGGAAAAGCATGCCAGGAAAAGGGAAGAGCCAGTGCAAAGGCCCTGGGGCAGAAGCGTGCCCATCATGATAGAGGAAGGGCAGAAGAGAGTGTGACTTGAACATGGTGAGAAAGAGGTAGGAAGCAGACACCTTCAAGGTCATAATTAAAGAAAGAATGAAGAAAGATCTTCATTACAAAAGTGTAGGCAGGCTTAAGGCAAACCAGCAAGTATGATGACGCACTCCAGGGCTAGAAATAAAAAGAAACGATAACATCCTTAGGCCTGAAGGCACAAAAGGAGAGGTAGCTAGTGGAATCTAGCAAGAGCTGGCTGCAGCCAGGGCCCAGTGCCAGGGGCTGTGTCTTTGATAGAGAAACATAGTTATGGCCTAGCCAAGGTCATGAATGGAAAGGGGCCAGCAGAATAAATACTCCATCTTCTCACCTTCCATCTTCCCATGACTGAATATAATTGGAAGCCAAAGATTGAGAGAGCTTTGTGGAGGAAGCCCATAGAGGCCAGCCTCCTGGGGGCACAGCACAGGGTAGAGAAGAGTGCAGAGTGGGTTCCAAAGGATGACTGAAGATTCGGCAGCATAGGGAGATTAGCAGGAGATGAAGTCAGAGAGGTAACAGGGGCCTGGGTATGTAGAGCTTGCTAGATCATTTTAAGGATGGTGGCTTTCATCTGAGTGAAATGGCAACCATTGGAGAATTTTCGGTGGAAGAGTGATATGACTTATGATTTGAAAGAATCACTCCAGCTGCTGTGTTGAGAATAGACAGGGTGGAAAAGGACAAGAGTGAAGCAAGAAGACTGGCAAGAGGCTATTGCAGTAATGCAAGCAAAAGTGTGGCTGGACCAGGGGGTTGGCCTAAAGGAAAACAAAACTGAGGCAAACTTAATATAAGTAGAGTTTATTTGAGCCAAGTTTGAGGACTGCAACCCAGAATTATAGATTCAAGTTGCCCTGAATATGAGCTTGGATTAGCCACAATTACAGGTGGGTTTTTAAAGGAAAAGAAGAAGCAGTTCCTAAGTTATTTACCAATAATTTACATTAAAATAACATAAGCTATTGATTGGCTATACATTGTTATTAAATTCCAGGAAAATGAAGATTATGAGTGAGGCAGCTAGTCAGGAAAAAAATGCCTTTAATAACGGACCCATGGTATGGGTGCAGGAGACATTACTGAAGTCCCATATTCATGACTCTGAGCCTGATAAATTTTGCATACCTCGCACAGCTCAGATTGTTCTGAGCTATTTTTCTTTTCTTAAAAATAATGTTAAACTAAATTTGGCCTAAGGACGCCTCCATATTTGATTTCTTATGTTACAAACTATAACCTAATTTAGTACATAAACTAACTGAAACTAACTTGGGTGTATACTTTTGTAACAAAAGCTGAGTCTCAGCCCATCACAGCAGCAGAGCTTCAGTCAATTAAAGGTGGCCAACTGATCAAACTATGATCAAATAAGGCAAATACTGAGCTGTAACCAATCAAGCAGCCTCTGTACCTCACTTCTGTTTTCTGTCTGTAAATGCTGCCTGCTCAAGTTGCAGCCTGGAGCTCTCTGAAACTGTTCTTGTTCTGGTGGGGGTGGGGCAAGGGTGGGGGTGCCCAATTTGTGAATCATTCTTTGCTCAATTAAATGCTCTTAAGTTTAATTTTTCTAAAGTTTTTTCTTTTAACAGTAGAAGCAGTGGAGGTGATGAGAAGTGGTGAGATTCTGGTTTATTTTGCAGGTTGACGCAGAATTAACTGTTGCATGAGATGTGGGGTATGAGAGAAGGCCTGAGTACCTAGAAGGATTGGGATGCCATGAACTGACAGAGGTTGTGTAATAGTGTGATATAATAAGAAATACATGGTGGGCATGGTGGCTCAAGCCTGTAATCCCAGCACCTTGGCCACCACTGCAGGACCATTGCTTGAGTTCAGGAGTTTGAGACCAACCTGGACAATATAGTGAGACCTCACCTCAAAAAAAAAAAAAGAAGAAGAAGAGGAAATACATATTTGATCTCTGCCCCTGGTTCTTGAGACAGAGCTCCTAAAACTTTTATGATTCCCTAAGTGACAAGATCACCTGATGCAGAGCTCCTAAATCCCTTGGAATTTCCTGGAGGACAGGAGCATCTTTTGTTCTAAAGGTCACTCTTGGTGGACTCCTCAATAGCCTCATGATGGGGGCTGGTAGCCAGGGGAATCAACCGTGTGATTACAGTAGAACTTTCAAACCCCACTGACCTGACCTCTGGGGAAGAGAGGGGGTGCTAAAGATGAGCTAATCACCAATGGTCAATGATTTAATCAGTCATGCTACACAATGAAGCCTCTATAAAACCCCAAAAGGACAGGGTTCAGAGAGCTTCCTGGTTGATGAATCAGTAGAGGTGCTGGGAGGATGGCACACCTGGAGAGGGCATGGCACTCTGTGCCCCTTCCCACATACCTTACATTATGCCTCTCTTCCATCTGGCGTTCATCCACATCCTTTTGTAATATCCTTTATAATAAATGGGTAAATGTAAGTCAAGTGTTAGTCTGAGTTCTGTGAGATGCTCTAACAAATTAATCAAACACAAAGAAAGGATCATGGGAACCCTTGATTTATAGCTAGCTGGTCAGAAATACAGATCACAACCAGGGGCTTGTGACTGACACCTGAAGTGGAGGGCAATTTTGTGGGACTGGGCTCTTAAACCGTGGGATCTGACACTATCTTCAGGTAGATGGTGTCATAACTGAACTGAATTATAGGACACCCAGTTGGTGTCTGCTGGAGAATTGCTTGGTATGTGAGGAAAAAAACAGACACATTTTGGTGAGAAGCAATAAAATACTCTACATGCTGTGTTGAGTGTTGTATCATGTGCCCCAGTAGGAATAACAGCTTGTTTTTCCTATTGTTACAATTGGCACTGGATCTATCTCATATAGGGGACAGGAGGAGGCCTGCCAGGAGAGCAGGCTTGGCTGAGTGGGTAGGTGAGGTGGAACTGTTCACAAGTCTGGTATTTAGGGGAAAGGTCTCTATGGAAAATACAAACTTGGGAACCATCAGTATATAGATATATATTCGATATGAAAATGAAGTTAACACTTCTCAACAGGAAAAACAAAGTTTTTTGGAGGAGGTGGCATGTGATTGGGGACCTTGAAAGATGGGATTTTCATAGTCAGAAATAGGTGGGAAGACAATCCCAGATTAAGAAAGAGCCATTATCAATGCTAGGATTCACATTGAGGCTAGTTTAGGGAACATTTTTTCAGTTTGAATGAGCAGAGGACTGATTTTGGAGGGAGCCAGTGGCAGAAATATGAGCAGAATATTAGCCTTGTGACTTGCTGTACACTCATGCATCTATCTACGAATTCATCAGACACCACTGGTTACCTTAAAAGCTGTGTTTGTTGTGGACATTAACAACAACAATCATAAATGCATATTGAGCCCTTATCATGTGCTCATGTGAAAATTCCTCACTTAATATTCACCCCCAACTAAAAATAAGGAAAGTAAGAGTCTGAGTGATTTTCTCCAGTTCTGTCTGCCGGTCAGATTGGAACAAAGGCAGTGTGACCCCAGAGCCTTTGCCTTACCACTCAGCTCTACTTCTTTGTCAGAAACACCAAACCAGGCATCTGTGGTGGTGGGGCCTGGCAGCCACCAGAAATATAGACTACTAAGTCTTGGGCAAGGCTTCCTCCTGACTTTCTTCTGTATGAGATGTGAAACCTGCCCTCTCCAGGGGTCAGCTGAGGAACCAGCAGTGGTAGCTCCAGGAAAGAAGGTAGGGCTGCTGACCAGGGCTTAGGTCACCAAGCTGCTGACTCTGACTCACCTGGGAAAGCTGACTGGCTTTTAAAGCATCCACTCCCCATTTTGTGTCTCCTATGGGCAAACCTGAGGTCAAGGGCAGAAAACCAAAGCATCACCCTGGAAGGTTAGCACCGAAAGTGCCCTTGAACAGTAATGTGTCTATTCCTCTACTCCTTATCTCCTCCAAACCCATTTAAGACCATAGAGGCTATGTTCCTTGTCCTACATTGTCTTGGAAGGTTTGTGACAAATCCTATACTAGAGCTCAAATATGAGGACTTTCATGTTCAGTGTGCTTCCACAAAAGATGCTAACATGAATTAGTTCCTGGTTTGAAAGGAATAGTATCAACAACAAAAAGGGCGTCCACTCAGAGACCCCATCTGAAGGTCACCAACATCAAAGACCAAAGGTAGATAAATTCACGAAGATGGGGAGAAACCAGCTCAAAAAGCCTGAAAATTCCAAAAACCAGAATGCCTCTTCTACTCCAAAGGTTCACAACTCCTCACCAGCAAGGGAACAAAACTGGACAGAGAATGAGTTTGACGAATTGACAGAAGTAGGCTTCAGAAGGTGGGTAATAACAAACTCCTCCGAGCTAAAGGAGCATGCTCTAACCCAATGCAGGGAAGCTAGGAACCTTGAAAAAAGGTTAGACAAAATGCTAACTAGAATAACCAGTTTAGAGAAGAATATAAATGACCTGATGCAGCTGAAAAACACATGAATTAGTTCCTGTTTTAAAATTAGGTTTCCTGGTGAGCAGGCTGGAATAGAATCAAGTGTGTGTGTGTGCATGCATGTGTGTGTGTGTGTATCTGTGTGTGTGCCAAGTTCATGATACAAGCCCAGGACTGACACTCCCTACCACTCCCAGGGAAAGGAATTTCTCCTAAGTTCAACTTGTCTTTCAGGAAAATTTAGATTTTAAGCATCTGACCCAGTAAATGGGACAGGAAAGAGGAGCCCTGCCATCCAGTGAGTCCTGCTCAGGTGTCTTTCCTGGAGAAACACTCACACCTGTGTAGCAAGAGGCCTGTGCAAGAAAGCCAACAGCAGCATCACAAGAAATAGTGAGGAGTGGAAGGAACTCAAATGCCCATCAATACAGGAGTGATTATCCAGCAGTTAAAATGAATGAAGTGGGTCTTCACAGAGTCAAGGAAAGATCCCTAAGACATTATTACACAAGGAAGAAGGAGAAGAAAAGAAAGTTGGCAATACAATGCATACAATATGATCCCATTTGTGAAAAAGAAAGAACATCCCAACCATATGTGTGTATGTAGAAAGTAGATCCTCTTGCCTGATAATTTCAATGGATTTAATTCCACAATTGTGCACCGAGTGCCCTCTTTGTGCAGGCCTTGTAATCCATAAGGAAATCATCTAGCAGGGAGAAGTGTAGGCAACATCCCTGCCCTCTAGTAGCTGGATAAGGGAGGGGTAAATCATGCCTGAGCCAGCAGAGCATACCTGAGCCCCCAGAGCCATAACCAACCCCATACCTCACCCCTCAGAATCAGTGTCAGCCCAGGAGAGTAGCCACAACCCCAGCATTCAAGCCCATGTGTCACCAAGCCCCTTGGGGATCCAGAGATGGTCTCACCAGAGCAGCTGCACCTCTGATGCCTGAGCAGATGTGGTGCCCTACCCCCTAGGGAAACAGAGTCTTGGCTGTTCTATTTCACCCTACCCTTTGGGCTGTGCAACTGCAGAGCTCCATCTTCTCGGATCTGAACCAGCCCTCTGGAGTCTGAGCTGCTGAGGTGTTGCACCTCCCCAAGGTATTGAGCTATCATTGCCCTGCTCCCCACCTCCTAGAGCCCAAGCCACAGCTGTGCACCTCCATTCTAGGAATTCTCTGCCACTGCACCTGGACTTACACACCCTGGGCCACTGTCGTGTTCCACCTCTGCAGAGTCCAGAGTCACCATGATGTGCTACTTCCTCTCCTGATGCCTGAGTTGCCACTGTACCCTATCGGCTCTAGGCCCAAGTTTCTGGAACACTCCTTCCTCCCCAGAGCCATACCAGTGCTGTGCCCTGACCCCCAGCATCAGAGTCACAGCTACACACCTGACCCCTGGGCCCAAGCTACTGGGGAGTGGCTCAGAGTAACAGTCCTCTGTTTAGTGCAGGAGCTTCATCCACTTGTCACAGAGAGTGAACACCCACCTTACAGGTTCTACAACAGTACAACAAGACATTGAAGCCAGGACCCAAACTCCACAGCTACTCCAAGCAGCTGTAGTCTGGAACACAGAACCACTGTGGCTGCCTGTGGCCTGTGTCAGACCCAACACCAAGAGGGATCCCCTCAGCTACTTCTTCCCACTGTGGGAAAAAAAAAAACAAGAGGACCCCCCCCGCAAAGACTTTTCCACTGAGAGCTCTAACAACCGACCCTGCCACCACTGCTGCTACAAACTCTTGGAGCCTCAGCCACTGATTCAGCTGCAGTTATCAATGATGTCAATCACAACTGAAAAAAACCTCATGGAGACTGCTCTACTGCACCCACCTGGAACCAGAGCCAACACACAACCAACCTAGGACTCATATGCCAGTAAAAATCTTTCCCTATGAAAGCTACTCTAAAATTGGAGATGACTATTTCATCAGAGGCACAGACATCAACACAGGGACACAAGAAGCATGGAAAAGTAAGAAAATATGACATGATCAAAGGAACATAATTCTCCATTAACTGACCCTAAAGAAATTAAACTTCACAAATTTCCCAAAAAGTAATCAAAACAATGATCTTAAGGAAACTCAGTGAGATACAATAGAATACAGATAGAAAATTCAATGAAATCAGGAGAACAACTCATGATCTGACTGACAAATTCAACAAAAAGATAGATATAATTTAAAAAGAACCAAACAGAAATCTTGGAGCTGAAGAATTCAATGTATGAAATAAAAAAAAAAATACAGTTGAGAACTTCAACAGAATAGATCAAGCAGAAGAAAACGTCTCTGAACTTAAAGATAAGCCTCTTGAGAGAAGAATCAAATAGACGCAATAAAAAATAATAAATGGGATATCACCACCGATCCCACAGAAATACAAACTACCATCAGAGAATGCTATAAACACCTCTACGCAAATAAACTAGAAAATCTAGAAGAAATGGATACATTCCTCGACACATACACCCTCCCAAGACTAAACCAGGAAGAAGTCGAATCTCTGAATAGACCAATAACAGGCTCTGAAATTGAGGCAATAATTAATAGCTTACCAACCAAAAAAAGTCCAGGACCAGACGGATTCACAGCCAAATTCTACCAGAGGTACAAAGGGGAGCTGGTACCATTCCTTCTGAAACTATTCCAATCAATAAAAAAAGAGAGAATCCTCCCTAACTCATTTTATGAGGCCAGCATCATACTGATACCAAAGCCTGGCAGAGACACAACAAAAAAAGAGAATTTTAGACCAATATCCCCGATGAGCATCGATGAAAAAATCCTCAATAAAATACTGGCAAAACGAATCCAGCAGCACATCAAAAAGCTTATCCACCATGATCAAGTGGGCTTCATCCCTGGGATGCAAGGCTGGTTCAACATATGCAAATCAATAAACATAATCCAGCATATAAACAGAACCAACGACAAAAACCACATGATTATCTCAATAGATGCAGAAAAGGCCTTTGACAAAATTCAACAACACTTCATGCTAAAAACTCTCAATAAATTAGGTATTGATGGGACGTATCTCAAAATAATAAGAGCTATCTATGACAAACCAGCAGCCAATATCATACTGAATGGGCACAAACTGGAAGCATTCCCTTTGAAAACTGGCACAAGACAGGGATGCGCTCTCTCACCACTCCTATTCAACATAATGTTGGAAGTTCTGGCCAGGAAAATCAGGCAGGAGAAGGAAATAAAGGGTATTCAATTAGAAAAAGAGGAAGTCAAATTGTCCCTGTTTGCAGATGACATGACTGTATATCTAGCAAACCCCATCGTCTCAGCCCAAAATCTCCTTAAGCTGATAAGCAACTTCAGTAAAGTCTCAGGATAAAAAATCAATGTGCAAAAATCACAAGCATTCTTATACACCAATAACAGACAAACAGAGAGCCAAATCATGAGTGAACTCCCATTCACAATTGCTTCAAAGAGAATAAAATACCTAGGAATCCAACTCACAAGGGATGTGAAGGACCTCTTCAAGGAGAACTACAAAGCACTGCTCAATGAAATAAAAGAGGATACAAAGAAATGGAAGAACATTCCATGCTCAGGGGTAGGAAGAATCAGTATCGTGAAAATAGCCATACTGCCCAAGGTAATTTATAGATTCAATGCCATCCTCATCAAGCTACCAATGACTTTCTTTACAGAATTGGAAAAAACTACTTTAAAGTTCATATGGATCCATAAAAGAGCCCGCATTGCCAAGTCATTCCTAAGCCAAAAGTACAAAGCTGCAGGCATCACACTACCTGACTTCAAACTATACTACCAGGCTACAGTAACCAAAACAGGATGGTACTGGTACCAAAACAGAGAAAAAGACCAATGGAACAGAACAGAGCCCTCAGAAATAATGCTGCATATCTACAACTATCTGATCTTTGACAAACCTGACAAAAAGCAGAAATGGGGAAAGGATTCCCTATTTAATAAACGGTGCTGAGAAAACTGGCTAGCCATATGTAGAAAGCTGAAACTGGATCCCTTCCTTACACCTTATACAAAAATTAATTCAAGATGGATTAAAGACTTAAATGTTAGACCTAAAACCATAAAAACCCTAGAAAAAAACCTAGGCAATACCATTCAGGACATAGGCATAGGCAAGGACTTCTTGTCTAAAACACCAAAAGCAATGGCAACGAAAGCCAAAATTGACAAATGGGATCTAATTAAATTAAAGAGCTTCTGCACAGCAAAAGAAACTACCATCAGAGTGAACAGGCAACCTACAGAATGGGAGAAAATTTTTGCAATCTACTCATCTGACAAAGGGCTAATATCCAGAATCTACAATGAACTCAAACAAATTTACAAGAAAAAAACAACCCCATCAACAAGTGGGCGAAGGATATGAACAGACATTTCTCAAAAGAAGACATTTATGCAGCCAAAAGACACATGAAAAAATGCTCATCATCACTGGCCATCAGAGAAATGCAAGTCAAAACCACAATGAGATACCATCTCACACCAGTTAGAATGGCGATCATTAAAAAGTCAGGAAACAACAGGTGCTGGAGAGGATGTGGAGAAATAGGAACACTTTTACACTGTTGGTGGGACTGTAAACTAGTTCAACCATTGTGGAAGTCAGTGTGGTGATTCCTCAGGGATCTAGAACTAGAAATACCATTTGACCCAGCCATCCCATTACTGGGTATATATCCAAAGGATTATAAATCATGCTGCTATAAAGACACATGCACACATATGTTTATTGCAGTACTATTCACAATAGCAAAGACTTGGAACCAACCCAAATGTCCAACAATGATAGACTGGATTAAGAAAATGTGGCACATATACACCATGGAATACTATGCAGCCATAAAAAAGGATGAGTTCATGTCCTTTGTAGGGACATGGATGAAGCTGGAAACCGTCATTCTCAGCAAACTATCGCAAGGACAAAAAACCAAACACTACATGTTCTCACTCATAGATGGGAATTGAACAATGAGAACACATGGACACAGGAAGGGGAACATCACACACCGGGGCCTGTTGTGGGGTGGGGGGAGAGGGGAGGGATAGCATTAGGAGATATACCTAATATTGAATGACAAGTTAATGGGTGCAGCACACCAACATGGCACATGTATACATATGTAACAAACCTGCACGTTGTGCACATGTACCCTAAAACTTAAAGTATAATAATAATAAAAAAAAGAAAAGGGCCTACAAGACAAAAAAAAAAAAAAAGAAGATAAGTCTCTTGAAAAAACCTAGTTAGAAGAAAAAGGGGAAAAATTTTAAAGAGTGAAGAAAGCCTACAGGATTTATGGAACACCATTAAATGAGCAAATGCTCACATTATGAACTTCAAAGGAAGAAAAGAGAAAAAGACACGCAAAGTTTATTTAATGAAATAACTGCTGAAAGCTTCTTAAGTCTTGGGAGAGATATGGACATTCAGATCCATGAAGCTCAAAAGTTACCAAATTTATTCCAAAGGCACATTTTTATCAAAATGTCAAAATACAAAGGCAGAATCTTAAAAGCAGCAAGTGCCGTAAAGGGAATCCCCATTAGACTATCAGTGAATACCTTAGCAGAAACCTTGAAAGTCAGGAGAAAAGTGGGATAATATATTCAAAGTACTGAAAGAAAAAAATGCCAGCCTGGAATACTATAACCACAAAGTTATCCCTCAGAAATAAAAAAGAAATAAAGTATTCCCCACTTCATTACTATAATGGTAGTATGTAAATCTTTCAAATTGCTAGTATGAAGATTCAAACTTAAAATGGTCAAAATAACTATAGCTACAATAAAGTACAAAGGAAGATACAATATAAAATGATGTAAATTGTGACAGCAAAAATATAAATGGGGGGAATATAAAAGTCTAGAGTATTCACATGCAACTAAAGTTAAGTTGTTATCTGTTTAACACAGTCTATTACAACTACAAGATGTTTTAGATAAGCTCCATGGTAACCACAAAACAAAAAGCCACAGCAGATACACAAATGAGAAAGAGAAAGAAATAAAAACTTAACACTACAGAAAATCACCAAATCACTAAGACAGTAAGAGAGGAAGAAAGAAACAAAGGATCTACAAAACAACCAGAAAACAATTTAAAAAATGGCAGGAGTAAGTCCTTATTTATCAGTAATAACTTTGAATGTAAATAGATTAAACATTAAGCTGGATGTGGCGGCGCAAACCCATAATTCCAACTACTCAGGAGACTGATGCGAGAAGATTCCTTGAGCACAGAAGTTTGAGACCAGCCTGGACAACACAGTAAGACCCCCATCTCAAGAAAAAATAAGACATTAAGTGGCTGACATAGAGCGGGTAAAAAAATAAATAAATAAATAAATAAATAAATAAATAAATAAATAAAATTCCAACTATATGCTGTCTGCAAGAGACCTATTCTAGCTGTAGAGACATACATAGGCTGAAAGTAAAGGAATGACAGAAGATATTCCATGCAGATAGCAACCAAAAGAGAGACAGCTTGCTATGTTTATATCAGATAAAGTAGACTGTAAGTCAAAAACTGTTGCAAAAAACAAAGATCATTATTAAATGAGAAAGGAGTCAATTCATCAAGAGGTCATAACAATTATAAATATATACGCATCTACCATTGGTGCACATAAATATATAAAGCAAAAATTAATGGACATGAAGGAAGAAATAGATAGCAATACAAAAAAATTAGGGAACTTTAATACCTCATTTTCAATAATGGATAATCAACCAGACAGAAAATTAACCAGAAAATACTGGACTTGAACTGCACACGAGACCAAAATGGATCTAATAGACATATATAAAACTTTCCATCCTAACAGCGGGAGAATATACATTCTTCTCTAGTGCACATGGAACATTCTCCAGGATAGACCATATGCTAGGCCACAGAATAAGTCTTAACAAATTAAGGATGATTAAAATTATATCTAGTACTGCTTCTGATCAAAATTGTATGAAACTAGAAATCAGTAACAGGAAGGATCTTGACAATTCACAAATATGTGGAAACTAAACAACATGCTCCTGAACAACCATTGGTTCAAAGAAAAAAATCAAAAGGGAAATTCAAAAATGTCTTGAGACAAATGACAATGGAAACACAACATATCAAAACTTATGGAATGCAGCAAATGAAGTTCTAAGAGGAAAGTTTAGCAATAAATGCTTGTATTAAAAAAGAAGAAAGATTCCAAATAAATAGCCTAACATTATACCTCAATTATCCAGAAAAAGAAAAACAAACCAAATTCAAAGTTAGTAGAAGGAAAAATAATAATAAAGTTCAGAATAGAAATAAGTCAAAGAAAGAACAGAAAAACTATAGGAAAATAATCCATAAAACTAAGAGTTGGTTCTTTAAAAAAATAGATAAAATTGACAAACCCTTAGGTAGACTAAGAAAAAAAAGACTTAAAGAAAAAGAAAAGTGAAGACATTACAACAAAAGCTTCCGAAATTCAAAGGATCGTAGAGACTATTATGAACAGTTATATGCCAACAAATTGGTTAACTTTAAAGAAATCAATAAATTCTTAGAAATAAATAAACTACCAAGATTGAATTGGAAGAAATAGAGAGATTGAACATACCAATAACAAATAAATTGATTGAAGAAGCAATTAAAAGCCTTCCAACAAAGAAAAGCCTAGGACCAAAAGAGCTTCACAGCTGAATTATACCAAACAGTCAGAGAAGAATTAATGTCAATACCTCTTAAATTCTTTCAACTAATTTTTAACAAGGGCACCAAGAGGACACAAGGAGGGAAGGATGGTCTCTTCAACAAGGGTGCTGGGAAAACAAATTTTAACATGCAAAAAAAATGGAATTGGACCCTTATCTTACACCATACATAAAAATCAACTCACAATGAATAAAAGACCAAAATGTAAGATCTGATACCATAAAATTTTAGAAGAGAACACAGGGAAAAAGCCCCTTGACATTGGTCTTGGCAATGAATTTTTGGATATCGCACCAAAAGCTCAGGCTACAAAAGCAAAACTAAATGAATGGTATTACATCAAACTGAAAAGCTTCATTATAGTGAAGGAAACAATCAACAAAATGAAAAGGCAAGCTATAGACTGGGAAAAGATATTTGCAAACTGTGTGCCTGATAAGGGGTTAATATCCAAAATTTATAAAGAACTCTTATAACTAAACAGCAAAAAACAAATAACTTGATTTAAAAACAGGCAAAGGATATGAACAGACATTTCTCTAAAGAAGACATAAAAATGGCCAAAATGTATATTAAGAGACACTCAACATCACTAATCACAAGGGAAATGCAAATTAAAACCACTATGAGATATCACCTCACACCTGTTAGAAAGGCTATTACCAAAAAGATAAGAGATAACAAATGTTGGTAAGAGTGTCAAGAAAAGGGAAGCCTAGTATACTACTGTTGGGAATGTAGATTGGTAGAGCCATTATGGAACACAGTATGGAGGTTTCTAAAGAAATTAAAAATAAAACTTCCATATAACTCAGCAACCCTTCTTCTGGGTATATATCCAAAGAAAATGAAATTACCACTTCCGCTGCTGAGTGTGTTAGCTCATGCCTGTAATCCTAGCACTTTGGGAGGCTGAGGCAGAAGGATCACTTGAGCCCAGAAGTTCAAAACCAGCCTGGGAAACATAACAAGACCCTTTCTCTACAAAAAATAAAAAATTAGCCAGGTGTGGTAGTGCCTGCTTGTAGTCCCAAGTACTCTGGAGGCTGAGACAGAAGGATCAACTTGAATCCAGGAGTGAGTCTGCAGTGAGCTATGATAACACCACTGCTCTCCAGCCTGGGCAACAGAGCAAGATGCTGTCTGAAAAAAAAAAGAACAAAAAAGAAATAGCCACCTCATAAAAATATTTGCACCCACATGTTCATTGCAGCCTTATTCACAGCAGCTAAGATAAACAACCTAAATGTCCATCAATGGACGAATGGATATAGAAAATGTAAATATATATGTATATTAATATTATTCAGTCTGAGGAAAGAAGAGATTATTCTGCTATTTGCCACAACATAGATGGATCAGGAGGACATTTTGATAAGTGAAATAAACCAGACACACAAAGAAAAAAATTGTATGATCTTACTTATATGTGGAAACTGAAAAAAAAAAAAAAAAGGCCAAATATGCAGAGCTACAGAATCAACATTGTCATTTGTCTCAGTGGTTACCATGGTGAGAAGTATGGGGAGATGTCAAAGGATACAAAGTAGCAGATATGTAGAATGAACAAGTCTAGAGATCTCATGTACAACATGACTGTAGTAATAAAATAAAAGTAATACTGTATTAGGATTTTTTGTTAAATAGATTTTAGCTGCTCTTGTCACACATACACAAAAAATAACTATATGAAATGATAGATATGTTAAGCTGCCTCACTATAGTAACCATTTTACTATCTGTATATATCCCATAACATCATGCTGTAAACCTCAAATATATGCAATAAAATGTATTTTTTAAAAAAATATGAAAAAAAGAGATGAAGAAGGCAAAAGAAAAAGAGGAGGAGAAATTCTAATGTAAGCATGGTGTATAAGGGGTGCTCTTAGAAGAAAGGTCCAAGGTGTCTCCTAGGCTGTTATACTCTTGACCTGACTTGAAAGATGGTCCCTCATACTGAGCATCACAGAAGATACCAGATCTCCATGCCAAACACAATCTCCACAGCAACTCAGAAGGAAGAAGAAGCAAAATCAAGAAGCATTTTCTGTAACAGGCATATTCCAGTAACTGAAGGTCCCTCAACTCCCCAGTTTTTTGATGGCCTTCATAGAGCGCTGCCTGTAGCTGATTACAGCGCCCTGGGGAAAGCAACTTTATACTACCAGTATCTTCTTCTGGGACAGACGTCATGCAGGAGTTACACCATCTGCATGAATGTAGCCACCCTCCAAGTATGACCTCTACACTCTCCCCTACCTGATGAAGTGCCTCCATTCGACCCGCAATCTGCTCAGAGGGCCCCCACTCTTGCTGGGAGCCTTGGGTAATAGCAGAGGAAGCCTCTTCTCTTCTTGAAGATGACACACCTCTTTTCATCCAGTCTAACTGAGAGCAGGCTGAAGAGTTACATGGATTACACGGAATAACATACCCTTCTACCACAGCACTTCCCGGTCCTTGGGCTTGTCTTCCCTGGGTGGAGAAATCAGCCAGACAAGCTACTATCCAAGAGGGTAACAGAAATCTTACCAGTACTTGGATGTGTTTGTACCTCTCAGCGGTCAATCTGGGCATTAGATTTGTGGTCAGAAGACTTGAATTATATCCTGACTCTACCGGTTTGAGTTGTATGCTCTTTGGCATATATCCCCCTTTGTAAATAACAATAATAATAATAATTAAAGAAAGATAACAAAAAAGGTTATACCTCACTAAATAACGGTGAGAAATTGAAAAGATTTTTTTTACTTGTGCAAAGCTCGTGTGCATAGGTGTACACGTGCAAACACTGTTGTACTTGTCTTAGGTGTGTTCTTCAAGTATCTGGAACATATAGGTCTATGGGGAGGAAGGGGATCCAGGTGAGCAGAATATGCCAAGCAGTCACGATAGAAACAAAATCTCAGTTTCAATCAGAAGGCATATCCAGAAACACTACTAAGCAAAACCGCATCCACCTGTCCTCAAAGATAATCAGAAAGATTCTTTTCAGATTCCTAACATCTGTAACTGTAAGAAAATAAAATTTGTGTTGTTTTAAGCATTAAGTTTGTGGTAATTCATTACAGCAGCCATGGGAAATTAATATACCTGGGAACCAGTAAGATGCAGATTCTGATCCTAATAGGTGGGAAGGGGCCGGAAGATCTACATTTCTAATGGGAGCTTGCCTGTGGTACCTGTTCCACTGGTCTGCAGACCATACTTTGAGCAGCAAGACCACAGACAACTCCACCTGCAGCCCTTCCTTCAGTGACTGGAGCCTCCAGTTAGCATGGCATGGGAGCAGGGACCCTGCAGAGTCCATAGTTCCTTACCTTTGACTGCCTGAGCCCTGAGCATCTGTCCCATTGAAACTGGCATGGATCTCTCACCAGGCTTTTAATGTCACCTCGCCTAAGAGATACTCCTTTTATTCCCTTTTGTTGCCCTCTGTTTATTTACTTCATGGACGATAATCATAAATCTGAGTTTTTGTTTATTTTCCCCCTCCTCATATTTCTGCCCCCACCCACTCTGTGCAGCAAGAGCCTAGCACAGAATACGTACTTCTACGTAAATAAATAAATAAATACGTGGATGAAAGACTGAAGGGGTCCCTTAGGTTTTTTTCAAATAAATGTGTGCCAAAATCCCTCACAACTTATATTTGGTTTTTGGTTTTGTTTTTATTTTGAGAAAAGGTCTTGCTCTGTTGCCCAGGTTGGAGTACAGTGGCATGATCACAGTTCATTGCAGCCTCGGCCTCCCAGGCTCAAGCAATCCTCCTGCCTCAGTCTCCAGAGTAGCTAGAATCACAGGTGCACACCACCACACTTTTTACATTCTTTGTAGAGATGGGGTCTCTCTATGTTTCCCAGTCTGGTCTCAAACTCCTGAACTCAAGTGATCCTCCTACATCAGCCTCCCAAAGTGCTGGGATTACAGGCATGAGCCACCACTCCCAGCCTACATCTTATATTTGTACAACTGGATTTTTCTTTAAGCTACATAATTCAAAAGTTTACATTGATCCAAGGAGCTTTATCTGCTCAGACTGGGCTCTGAGTATTTGAGTATTGATTCTTCCCATCCATGTTCAAGATTTCTTCCCAGATTTAAAAAGCCTGCTGTAGTAGGTTAGTTTCCTAGAAGCAGACTCTGAGAAGAAGAATGGCAGGCAGGAAATTTATGGGGATGTGCTCTTGGGATCCACACCAGTGGGTAGAGCGAGAGAAACAAGATCGGGCAGGAGGAGTTGCTGGGCAGCAATACAGATCCAACAGAGGCCTGGACTGGTTCCTACAGAGTGCTCTAGAGTGGGTGGGTCCTTCAGAGTTCCTGAATTGAGGTCAGGGGGCCCGACCTTTTCACACCTATAACAGCCTATCATTGGAGTCAGGCTGCTTCAGAAGGGACCACGCCCATGAGATTGTTCTCTTCAATTCTAAGCAAGCCCTAGAGAGGGACTCGGCTGAGAGCCGTCAACCTTGAAAGCTTCCAGCAACTAGGGGATAAGTGGGTCCATCCTGATGTGGTGGGAATGTAGGCAGCCTCCACAACATTCTGTATGCATGCCTGTTTTTTCAGCCATTTTGTGGGGGGAAACTATTAAATAAGTCCAGAATAGAGATGTGTGGCACACTGATACGAACAAAAGAGAAACAGACTAATGATGCAAAGGAGAAGAAAAACACCGTTTTTTTTTTCTGGAGGGAGGTTCTTGTACACACACTTTTAAATGACTAGCTCTCATAAGAATTCACTCACTATAACAAGGACAGCACCAAAAGAAACTAGGATGGACTTGAGGTTATATACAAACAGCCTGTCTCGGAGACAGAGTTCTTCTGAGATGGGCCACAAGGAAAATGTGATACACAAAAATGTTAAGAGTTTGAGGGAAGGAGGGGAGCATTTGGGGCAGTTCATGGGTGGAGGTCTCAGTGTTCTCAATATAAACCAGGAGAAGAGGAAAGGTCTACATGGGAGGGCAGTGTAATAAGAAGTCAACAGAAAGGAATAAGATGATTGCTTGGGGCAGTGAGGGGCAAGCCAGGCTGGCTGTTAGGAGTTTTCAGGGGACCCAGTCATGGGAATTTATGGCACCCCTCCAGCCGTCTTGAAACACAGCAGGGACAGCAGATGGTTCTGAGCTGGCAATGTAGGGGTGGCCAGGGGGAAATGGGGTGACAGAATCCCGGGAACTGGTGAGAGAGTCACTGAAATAGATGACCTTGGAGTCAGGCTGGATGGGGAGGCCAAGGTGGGTGGCAAGGGAAATGAGAGCAAGAATGGTCCATGACATAAGGTCATGAGAAGACTGTCCAGCTGGTTCAGGAGTCAGTTTGTATATTTTCCCTATCCAAATCTCATGTTGAAATTTAATCCCCAATGTTGGAGGTGGAGCCTAGTGGGAAGTGATTGGATTGTGGGGGCAGATTTCTCATGAGTTATTTAGTGTCACCCCCTTGGTGCTGTCCTTGTTATAGTAAGTAATTCCCATGAGATCTGGTCATTTAAAAGTGTGTGGTGGGCCGGGCACAGTGGCTCATGCCTGTAATCCCAGCACTTTGGGAGGCCAAGGCGGGCAGATCACCTGAGGTCAGGAGTTTGAGACTAGCCTGGCCAACATGGAGAAACCCCATCTCTACTAAATAAAAATACAAAAAAAATTAGCCAGACATTGTGGTACATGACTGTAGTCCTAGCTACTCTAGAGGCTGAGGCACGAGAATCGCTTGAACCTGGGCAGCGGAGGTTGGCAATGAGCTGAGACTGCACTACTGCACTCCAGCCTGGGCAACAGAGCGAGACTCTGTCTCTATTTAAAAAAAAAAAAAGGTGTAGCGCCTCCCCTTTCTCTCTCTTTTGCTCCTGCTTTCACCATGTGATGTGCCTGCTTGTGCTTCACCTTCTTCTACAAGTAAAAGCTTCCTGAGGCCCTCCCAGAACCTGAGCAGATGCCAGCACCATGCTTGTACAGCCTGCAGAACTGTGAGCCAATTAAACTTCTTTTCTTTATAAAGTACCCAGTCTCAGGTATTATTTTTACAGCAATTCAAGAACAGCCTAACACAGAGTAGGACAGCAGACAAAGTGGATGGTGAAGAGGGGCACGTCAGAGATCATGTTTGTAATGCTGGAGAGTAAGAAGGAGTCCTAGTCCCTGCTGAGGGTGATGATGGAAGTGCCATCCTGCAGATAAGTCAGGTCCCAAAACCACCCAATGTATTCTGCTTAAAATGATGTTATTACAGTAGGTTCATGTGCATTAAAAAGTTCAAACTATATAGTGAACAAAAAAGCTAGTCCCCTTTCAAACAACTTCAGCCCTAACCCAAGCTTAGCCCCTTCTCCAAAGGCAACCACTGGTATTTTGGAGTGACTTTCCAGATCTTTGGCTCTGTATTCTAGACACAGGCATATGTGCTCCCATTTCTGGAAGGAAGATTATATATATATATTATATATATACATAAAAAAATATATACACACACACCCTTAAGATAATATTAATCACATAATAAACATATCCATATATATTCATACCATATATAGTATTATATAATTGAAAATCTATTATATAATTACAAGATAGTATATTATATTATTATATAATGTATATTAATTTGCACACCGCTTCATGCTTGATTTCACTGGAATTGCCCCACATTGTGAAAATGGCAACTCTGACTTTGCCTCTTTAACTTGACTTGTCACTGGGTCTTTCAAGTAAGAAAGATGGGTGCTCTTCGTGGAAAAAAGAATTTTACTGAGGGCAGCCCAGATGGCAGCCTGTGAAGGGTGAGGTCCATGGGTAAAGCTGGCCCAGAAAGGTTTTCTCTTTCCTCCTGCTAGAGGCAGTAAAGTTGTGTCTCAGTGTTTTTGGCACATGGTTTTCCAACATCTAGGAATATTTTCCTCTTTCCGGTGGGAGTTGTATCTCCCTTCCTGGAATCTAAACAAGTTCAAAACAAACTCCTAAACAAAGGGACTCTCTGCTCCATGGTTCTCAACTCCATTCCCTTGAGAGGCACAAGCTGAGATTCTACTCTTCTGATTACTTTCCCAGGCAAGCCCCACAGAGAATCCCACACCAGGCCTTCCTCTTGCACCTTGCCAGTGGCCACCAATTGTTATGAACATCCTTATGGGTGTAGCATTTTACACCCTTTATTTATGCTGTCATAATTATGCAGGGAAAAGAAGATTGTTTTCCTGATAGAAGCTATTTGGGGACTTTCGATGACCCGAGGTTCAATGAATGGTCTTGCCTAAGACAAATTGATCACCATTAAGCTGGATGAGATAAAATGAATCCTAGACAAAGGATGGTGAGAGGCCCCCATTTAAGTCCTGATTCTGCCCCTCTGCCTCATCACGAGGCTGAGAGGCTGAGCAGCTTGTCCAAGGGTGCATTCATCAATTATGAAATTGAAACATAATCTCTGCCCTATGTGCTTTACAGAGTGGCTGTGAGAGGAAATTCAGAAGTATCTTTGGAAGCATTTTGTTAATTTTGAGATGCTGGGGACATCATCAAAATGAAAAACTTTTGTGCCTCAAAGAACACCATCAAGAAACTGAAAAGACAACCCAAGAAGACAAAATTTGCAAATCTTATATCTGATATAATATAGAATATATAAATAAATATATATATACACATATCTATAACATATAAAGAATTCTTACAATTTAAAAATCAAAGTAAAATAAACCAATTTAAAAATAAACAAAAGAACTGAACAAATGTTTCTCCAAAGAAGATATATAAATGGCCAATAAGCTCATGGAAAGATGATTGACATCATTAGTCCTCAGGGAAAGCCAAATCCAAACCACAATGAGATACCACTTTATACCCACTAAGATGGCTACAATCAAAAGGCCAGAAAATAACAAGTATTGGCAAGGATGTGGAGCAATCAGAACCTTAATACAATGGTGGTGGGGATGTATAATGGTGCAGCCACTTTTAAAATCCAGTCTGTTAGTTCTTCATCATTGATATGGTTTGACTCTGTGTCCCCACCCAAAACTCATCTTGAATTGTACTCCCATAATTCCCACGTGTTGTAGGAGGGACCCACTGGGAGATAATTTGAATCATCGTGGTGGATTCTCCCATACTGTTCTTGTGGTAGTGAATAAGTCTCACAAGATCTGATAATTTTATCAGGGGTTTCTGCTTTTTCATCTTCCTCATTTTCTCTTGCTGCCACCACATAAAAAATGTCTTTCCCCTCCTGCCATAATTCTGAGGCCTCCCCAACCATGTGGAGGTGTAAGTCCAATTAAACCTCTTTATCTTCCCAGTCTCTGGTATGTCTTTATCAGCAGCATGAAACAGAGTAATACAGTAAATTGGTACCAGTAGAGTGAGGCATTGCTGAAAAAATACCCAAAAATGTGGAAGCAACTTTGGAACTGGGTAACAGGCAGAGGTTGGAACAGTTTGGAGGGCTCAGAAGAAAACAGGAAAATGTGGGACAGTTTGGAACTTTCTAGAGACTTGTCGAATAGCTTTGACAAAAATACTGATAATGATATGGACAATGAAATCCAGGCTGAGGTGGTCTCAGATGGAGATGAGGAACTTGTTGGGAGCTGGAGCAAAGGTGACTCTTGTTATGTTTTAGCAAAGAGACTGGCAGCATTCTGTCCCTGCTCTAGAGATTTGTGGAACTTTGAACTTCAGAGAGATGATTTAGGGTATCTCGTGGAAGAAATTTCTGAGCAACAAAGCATTCAAGAGGTGACTTGGGTGCTGCTAAAAGCATTCCATTTTAAAAGGGAAGCAGAGCATAAAAATTTGGAAAATTTGCAGCCTGGCAATGTGGTAGAAAAGAAAATCCCATTTTCTGAGGAGAAATTCAAGCTGGCTGCAGATATTTGCATAAGTAACAGGGAGCTGAATGTTAATCCTCAAGATAATGGGGAAAATGTCTCCAGGGTATATCAGAGATCTTTATGACAGCCTCTCCCATCACAGACCTGCAGGTCTAGGAAGAAAAAATGGTTTTGTGGGACAGGGCCAGGGTCCCCATGCTGTGTGCAGCCTAGGGACTTGGGCTCTGTGTTCCAGCCACTGAAAGGGGCCAACACAGAGCTCAGGCCATGGTTTCAGAGGGTGCAAGCCCCAAGCCTTGGCAGCTGCCACGTGGTGTTGAGGCTACGAGTGCATGGAAGTCAAGAATTATGGTTTGGCCTGGATTTCAGAAGATGTATGGAAATGCCTGGATGCCTAGGCAGAAGTTTGCTGCAGAAATAGGGCTCTCATGAGGAACTTTTGCTAGGGCAGTGCAGAAGGGAAATGTGGGGTTAGAGCTCCCACAAAGAGTCTCTACTGGGGCACTGCCTAGTGGAGCTGTGAGAAGAGGGCCCCCATCCTCCAGATCCTAGAATAGTAGATCAACCTACAGCTTGCACCATGTGCCTGGAAAAGACACAGACACTCAACACCAGCCTGTGAAAGCAGCTGGGAGGGAGGCTGTACCCTGCAAAATCACAAGGGTGGAGCTGCCCAAGACCATGGGAACCCACCTCTTGCATCAGCATGACCTGGATGTGAGACCTGAATTCAAAGGAGATCATTTTGGAGCTTTAAAATTTGACTGCCCCACTGGATTTCAGACTTCCATGGGCCCTGTAACTCCTTTGTTTTGGCCCATTTATCTCATTTGGAATGGCTGTATTTACCCAATACCTGTACCCGCGTTGTATCTAGGAAGTAACTAGCTTGCTTTTGATTTTACAGGCTCATTGAGAGAAGGGACTTGCCTTGTCTCAGATGAGACTTTGAACTGTGGACTTTTGAGTTAATGTTGAAATGAGTTAAGACTTTGGGGGACTGTTGGGAAGGCATGATTAGTTTTGAAATGTGAAGACATGAGATTTGGAGGGGCCAGGGGTGGAATGATATGGCTTGGCTCTGTGTCCCCACCCAAATCTCATCTCGAGTTGTACTCCCACAATTCCCATATGTTGTGGGAGGGACCCAGTGGGAGATAATTTGAATCAGAGTGGTGGAGTCCCCCATACTGTTCTCGTGGTAGTGAATCAGTCTCACAAGATCTGATGGTTTTATCAGGGATTTCTACTTTTGCATCTTCCTCATTTTCTCTTGCCACCACCATGTAAAAAGTGCCTTTCGCTTCCTGCCATGATTCTGAGGCCTTCTAGCCATATGGAACTGTAAGTCCAATTAAGTATCTATTTCTTTCCAGTCTCGAGTATGCCTTTATCAGTCAACAGCATGAAAATGGACTAATACAGTCATGTTAAACATAAGAGTTATTATTTGATCCAGCAACTCTACTGCTAGTTTTGTATCCCCAAGAAAAATGAAAAGTTATGTTCACACAGAAACTTGCACATGAATGTTTATGGTTACATTATTCATAATAGCCAAAAGGTAGAAACAATCCAAATGCCTGGTAATTAATGAATGAATACAAATGTGGTATATGCATACAATAGAATATTATTCCCCAATAAAAATAAATGAAATACCAATACATGGTACAACATAGATAAACCTTAAAAACATTATGCTAAATGAAAGAAGCCAATTACAAAAGACCACATGCTGCATGTATGATTCTACTTCTTTGAAATGTCCAGAATAGGCAGATCTATACACACAGTAAGTAGTTGCTTGGGGCTGGGAGGTATGGGGGAATTGAAGAGTAATAGCTAAAGGGCACAAGCTTTCTTTATGACATGTCACAAATGTTCTAAAATTGATTGTGATGATGGTTGCACAACTATGTGATTATACTAAAAATCACTGAACTGTACAATTTAAATAGGTGAATTGCGAGGCTTCAAGATGGCTGACTAAAGGCATCTGGTGCTTGCCTCCTCCACAAAGAAGAATCTAAATAGAGTAGAACACTTTGAATATATCATCTAAGAAACTACACTGGAATTCAACTGAGAAATGACAGGAAAATCCAAAGCAAGGAAGCAGAGGGAAGTCAGGCAGTCTGCTTGGCCAGGATTGGCTGGGAGCCTGGAGAGGCTCCACAATGCAGCGAAAGAATGAGTGAGTGATTCCCAGAGATTAACATTTCCACTATAGACTCCTGCATCCTCTGCATGGGAAAGCCCTAGACCCTTGCAGTCTTCAAGACTAATATCAAAAGCTGCCTGAAGATCAAAGGCATTGTTCCAGAAAGAGAGCTCATGCTGGGCCCCACACACCCCAAGCCCTAAGCAGCTACAGCAAAATGCCATATTGAGAGCCCAGCTTCCAAGAGACCACAGACTCCAAGGCAGAAGAGTAAGCCATTAGCAAAACCCCACTGCCCCCCACAATGAAGCCACTGCATATTTTCATGCATCGCAATGACAAACCCCCCTACCCTCAACAGCTGCTTATGGCTGCCACTGCCAGGATTCAAGCATGAGCAAAATGCATACTCCCCAGCCACCTGCATATGGCTCCTGCCACTAAAAGCAACCCTGCCCTTCCCACAAGCCCTGAGCAGGCCTGGAGTGCAGCCACTGCAGTCCCCACCTGAACATTCTGCCTTGGGCCTGGAGATCACCCCACCCCTGCCAACCATAGCCAGCACCTGCAAGCCCCACTAGCAGACCTAAAGGACACAATTGCGTGGCTCACTCCACCACCCAAACCTCCTAGTGCCAGAGCACACAGTGCAGGGACCTGGAGACTGCTTAGTCCAGTCCATCACCATTGGCACTTGAGCCCTTCTCCCAGGGGCCTGAGGTGAGGCTCATTCGGCCTGCCACTGCCACTGCAGTTGATACTCACCCACACATGCTACCAGTGGGCCTAAGGCTCACCCTGCCTCTGCCTACCACAGCTAGTACCTGCAAGTACCCCTGGGAGGACTAAGGACCAGTTTGCCCAGCCTTGCTCTGCTCCCCCACCACCAGTACCAGAGCATGTGGTCCAGAGACCTGGGGACCACCCAGCCCAGTCCACCATTGTTGGCACCTGAGCACTCCTCCTGGAAGCTTGAGTTCAAGCCCACCCAACCTGCCATTACCACCACAGTGGGCACACACCTATAGGCCTACGGACTGGCCCACCCAGCACATCACAGCCACTGTCAACACAAGTACAGACCATGTAGGACCCAGAGATTAGTCCATCTACTGCTACTACAATCATCCATGCCATGACCATTGCCCAGGGGCCTGAAAACCCACCCGCTTGCCTAGCCCAACTCTGCTACTACCAGCACCTGAGAAAGCCACCTGGGGATCCAAGAATTGGACTGCCTGGAACCACTGAAACCAGTGCCAATATATGCCACCCTGGAGCCCAAGGGCAGGCATGCTCAGCCCACTGCTGCCACCACAGAGGTCTGAAGATAGGACCACCTGGCATTGCTGTATCCAGCAAAACTTTGCCACAGTCTCCACTCCACTAACAATTGCACCCTAAGCCACTCAGGAAATCACAGACACCACTGACGATGTTTACAGCTGAAGAAATCATATGGAGACCACACTGCTGCACACATCCAAAATCAATGGCAAAGTGCCCGACCCAACCAACACCATAGATACATCTTCAAAAAAGTACCCTCCCCTATGAAAGCAAATTTCAAAAATTGAAAGAAACAACTGTTACACCAGATGCATAGACATCAATGTAAAAACATATGAAACATGAAAAAGCAAGAGAATATGACACCTCCAAGAGAACACAGTAATTCTCCAGCAATAGAGTTCAGTCAAAAGGAAATCTATGAAATCCCAGATAAAATACTCAAAATAATGATGTTAGAGTAGGAGGGAAAATGGCAGCTAGGAGGAAGGACTAACTTGCAGTTCCTACTTGGATTGGCAGAGCAGCATGTGGAGACTTACACAGTGAATGTTTGCTCCAAGAACCACCAAAAGAACAACCAGGAAAACCAAAATAATTCACAGACCCTTTGAAGGAAGCAGCTTGCTGCTGCAAACTGTGAGAGGAGAAAGTCTGCCTCCAAACACACATCCTTACTGGGGAACCTGAAAACACAGATCATTGAAGAAGGATTTAACCTTACCTAGAGCTGAAGCAAATTTAGAGAGCCAAGTGAAATAAAAAAGTAGAAGAAGCAGCAGGAAGAGCCTGTAGGCACTCCCAGTCCCCAAGGAAGCCATTTCTGAATTTATCTCACAGGGGTCCTTGGGGGAAGGCAGACAGTGGAATTAGGGAAGGGCCACAGGGTAAAGGAGGCTTCCAGCTGAACTATGTAATAATTTCAACAAAGTGCGAATTTTCTTGGGCAGCATCTGTGGGCTAGCAGGGTGAACAGAAAGTGTAGAGAGGAGCACAGAAGCCATGGCAGGCAGGGAGAGTCAAGACCTGAAAGACCTGCTTGCTTTCTCAGCAAGGAGGCTTGTAGCCTGAGGCAAGATCTCAGCCCTGCACACCAGAGGCCTGGATATAAATTTAGCTCTATGGAGAGCATGGCGGGAGTGAGACTGGCCTTGCTGTCTGCACAGGAGCTGGGTGAGGCCTGTCACTGCCAGCTTTCCCCCACTTTCTTGGCCAACTGTACAAAGCAACAGAGGCAGCCATAATCCCCCTTGGAACATAACTCCATTGGCCTGAAAAATACACTCCCATCCCCCACAGTGGCCATGGCAAGCCCTGCCCAAAAAGAGTCTGCACTCAGACACACCTAACCCTGCCCCAACCTTATGGTCTTTCTCTACCCACCCTGGTAGTCAAAGACAAAAGACATAAGCTTATGGGAGCTCCATGGCCCCAACCATCACCAGAGAAACCCAATACTTATCCAGGTGACCTTAGGACAAGTTCGTATCCTCCTTCTACTAGCACAGCTGGTGCTCTCTTGAAAGTGCCACCTCCTGGCTGGAAACCAATCAACTCAAGCCATTACAGCAACCCATAACAGAACAACCCTACTCCAAGGAAGGAGAAGACAACAGCCAATTCCACCACCTAAAACATCCTGGCTACCCAGAGGTCTTGAGTCTGTCCACATTACAACTTTACTGCTAGCATAACCAGCATACAAAAAAAAAAAAAAAAAGTGCACTAAACAAAACTACAACCAAGGACCATCACAGAATCCACTTACTCCCCTACTACTTCCACCAGAGCAGGTGCTGGTCTCCATGGCTGGGAGATCTGAAGATAGATCACATCACAGGACTCTTTGCAGACACACCCTAGCACCTGCCCAGAGCCTGGTAGCTCCACTGGGTGGCTAGACCCAGAAAAGCAATAGTAGTCACTGCAGTCCAGCTCTCAAGAAGCCCCATCCCTAAGGGAAGGGGGAAAGCACCACATCAAGGCATCACCCCCTAGGACAAAAGAATCTGAACAGCAGACCTTGAGCCCCAGATCTTTCCTCTGACATGGTCCACCCAAATGAGAAGGAACCAGAAAAACAATTCTGGTAATATGACAAAACAAGTTTAACACCCCCAAAAGATCACACTAGCTCAACAGCAATGAATCCAAACAAAGAAGAAATCTTTGAATTGCTAGAAAAAGAATTCAGAAAGTTGATTATTAAGTTACACAAGTAGGCACCAGAGAAAAGTGAAAACCAACTTAAATAAATTTTAAAAATAATACAGGATATGAACCACAATGCTTTCAGAGAAATAGACATCATAAACAAAAAGCAATTACAACTTCTGGAAATGAAAGACACACTTAGAGAAATACAAAATACATTGGAAAGTTTCAACAATAGACTAGAAAAAGTAGGAGAAAAAACTTCAGAGCTCAAAGACAAGGCTTTCAAATTAACCCAATCCAACAAAGACAAAGAAAAAAGAATAAGTAAAAATGAACAAAGCCTCCAAGAAGTTGGGGATTATGTGAAATGACCAAACTTAAGAATAATTGGTTTCCCTGAGTAAGAAGAGAAATCTAAAAGTTTGGAAAACTTATTTGAGGGAATAATTGAAGAAAACTTCCCTGGCCTTGCTAGAGACCTAGACATTTAAATAAAAGAAGCTCAAAGAACACTCAAAAAATTCATCACAAAAAGATTATCACCTAGGCCAGGGGCAGTGGCTCATGCCTGTAATCCCAGCATTTGGGGAGGCCCAGGCAGGTGTATCACCTGAGCTCAGGAGTTCAAGACTAGCCTGGCTAACATGGTGAAACCCCATCCCTATTAAAAATACAAAAATCAGCCATGCATGGTGGTGCACATCTGTAATCCTAGCTACTAGGGAGGCTGAGGCATAAGAATCGCTTGAACCTGGGAGGCAGAAGTTGCAGTGAGCCAAGATCACACCACTGCACTCCAGCCTGGGTGACAGAGCAAGACGCTGTCTTCAAAAATAATAATAATAAATAATAATAATAATAGTAATAATAAGAATAAAGGTCATCACCTAAACACATAGTCATCAGGTTATCTAAAGTCAAGACAAAAAAAACAAATCTTAAGAGCTGTAAGGCAAAAGCATTAGGTAACCTATTAAGGAAAATCTATCAGATAAACAACAGATTTATCAGCAAAAACCCTACAAGCTAGAAGCGATTGGGGTCCTATCTTTAGCCTTTTAAACAAAATAATTATCAGCCAAGTTAATCTATAAATGAATGAAAGCTTTATAAATGAAGGAAAGATAAAGTCTTTTTCAGACAAACAAATCCTGAGATAATTCACCACTACCAAGCCAGCATGACAAGAACTGCTAAAAAGAGTTCTAAATCGTGAAACAAAACTTCAAAACACACCAAAATAGAACCTTCTGAAAGCATAAATATTGCAGGGCCTATAAAACAATAACACAATGGGAAAATGTATTCAGGTAATAACTAGCACTAGGAATAGAATAGTACCTCACATCTCAATACTAACACTAAATATAAATGGCCTAAATGCTCCACTTAAAAGATACAAAACAGTGGAATGGATAAGAATTCACCAACCACGTATCTGCTGTCTTCAAGAGACTCATCCAACATTAAGGACTCACATAAACTTAAGGTAAAGGGGTGGAAAACTGTTGCTGTTCACCAATGATATGATTGTACACCTAGAAAACCCTAAGTACTCATCCAAAGAGCTCCTAGATCTGATGAATTCAGTAAAGTATCAGGATACAAAATCAATGTACATAAACCAGTAGCACTGCTATACACCAACAGCAACCAAGATGAGAATCAAATAAATAACTCAACCCCTTATACAAAAGCTGCAAAAAATAAATGAAATACTTCAGAATATGCCTAACCAAGGAGGTGAAAGACTTCTACAAGGAAAACTACAAAACACTACTGAAAGAAATCATAGATGACACACGCAAATAAAAACACACCCATGCTCATGAATGGGTATAATCAATATCATATAACCAATATTGTGAAAATGAACACACTGCCAAAAGCAGCTGACAAATTCAACAAAATTTGTTGTTGAATATTCATCAAAATACTATCATCATTCTTCAAAAAACTAGAAAAAACAATCCTAAAATTCATATGAAACTAAAAAAGATCCCATGTAGCCAAAGCAAGACTAAGCAAAAAGAACAAATCTGGAGGCACCACATTATCTGACTTCAAACTATACTATAAGGCTATAGTCACCAAAACAGCATGGTAGTGGTATTAAAATAGGCATATAGAGCAATAAAAGAGAATAGAGAACCCAGAAATAAAACCAAATACCTACAGTCAACTGATCTTCGACAAAGCAAAAAAAAACATAAAGTGGGGAAACGACACCCTATTCAACAAATGCTGCTGGGATAATTGGCAAGCCACATGTAGAAGAATAAAACCGGATCCTCATCTGTCAACTTATATAAAAATCAACTCAAGATGGATCAAAGACTTAAATCTAAGATCTGAAGCCATAAAAATTCTATAATATAACCCTTCTAGACATTGGCTTAAGCAAAGACTTCATCACCAAGAATCCAAAAGCAAATGCAACAAAAACAAAGATAAATAGATGAGACCTAATTAAACTAAAAAGCATCTGCGCAGCAAAAGACATAATTAGCAGAGTAAACAGACAACCCACAGAGTGGGAGAAAATCTTCACAAACTGCATCTGACAAAGGACTATTACCTAGAATCTATAAGGAACTTAAACAAATCAGCAAAAAAACCACAATCCAATCAAAAAGTAAGCTAAGGACATGAATAGACAATTCTCAAAAGAAGATATACAAATGGCCAACAAACATAGGAAAAAATGCTCAACATCTCTAATGATCAAGGAAATGCAAATCAAAACCACAGTGTGATACCACCTTACTCGTGCAAGAATGGCCATAATTAAAAAATCAAAAAATAATAGATGTTGCCATGGATGTAATGAAAAGGGAACACTTTTGTACTGCTGGTGGGAATGTAAACTAGTACAACCACTATGGAAAACAATGTGGAGATTCCTTAAAGAACTAAAAGTAGATCTGCCATTTGATCTAGCAATCCCACTACTGGGTATCTACCCAGAGGGATAGAAGTCATTATATGTAAATGATACTTGTACATGCATGTTTATAGCAGCACAATTTGCAATCACAAAACAAAAAAGCGAATGCCCATCACTCAATGAATGGATAAAGAAAATGTGATAGATAGATAGATAGATAAATAGACCATGAAATACTACTCAGTCATAAAAAGGAATAAAATAATGGCATTTGTCACAACCTGGATGGAATTAGAGACCATTATTCTAAGTGAAGTAACTCATGAATGGAAAACCAAACATTGTATGTTCTCACTTACAAGTGGGAGCTAAGCTATGAGGATGCAAAGGCATAACAATGATACAATGGACTTTGGGGACACAGTGGGAAGAGCGGGGGTGGTTGAAGGATAAGAGACGGCACATCAGGTACAGTGTATACTGCTTGGGTGATGGGTGCACCAAAATCACAGAAATCACCACTAAAGAGCTTATGCATGTAACCAAAAATCACCTGTTCCCAAAAAAACTATTGAAATAATAACAAATTATTTTTTTAATTTAAAAAACAAAATAATGATATTAAGAAAGCTCATTGAGATACAAGAGAATACAGAACAATAATATAAAAAATCAAAATAAATTCAGGATATGAATGAGAAATTTTCCAAATAGATAGCATACAAAAGAGTCAAGTGTAAATTCTGGAACTGAAGAATTCATTAAATGCAACATGAAACACATTTGAAAGCTTCAATATTAGACTTAACCAAGCAGAAGAAAAAATTTCAGAACTTGAAGATAAGTCATTTGAAATAAACCAGGCAGACAAAAATACAGAAAAAAGAATTAAAAAGAGTGAACAAAGCTTATGTGACATATGGAACACTGTCACATGACTAAATACTCAAATTTTCAGTATTCTGGAGGAAAGAGAAAGTGAAAGGGTTAGAAACCCTATTTAACAAACCAGTAGCTGAAAACAGCCCAAGTCTAGCAAGAGATTTAGACATCCAGACACAGAAAGGTCAGAAATCCCCAGACAGATACAATGCAGAAAGATCTTTCCACAGCATATTATAATCTAATTGTCAAAAGTCAAAGACAGAAAGAATTCTAAAGAGAGAGAAAAATGTTTAGTCACTTATAAGGGAACCCCCATCAGACTAACAATGGACTTTTCAGAAGAAACCTTACAGGCCAGAAGAGAATGAGGTAATATATTTGAGATAATATATTCAAAGTGCTGAAAGAAAAAAAAAACTGTCAGTCAAGGATACTATTCCCAGCAAAGTTATACTTTATACATGAAGGAGGAATAGTCTTTCCCAGACAAGCAAAGAATGAAGGAATTCATCACCACTAGACCATCCCTAAAAAAAAATGTTTTAGGGAATCCTGCACCTGGAAGCAAAGGGATGATATCTGCCTTCAAAAAAATGTACAAAAGTATGAAACCCACTGGTAGAATGAAAACACAAATAAGAAAAAGAAAGGACTCAAATGTTACCACTATAGAAAACCACAAAAACACAATGATAATAAGAGTGAAAGAAACGAACAAAGGATACACAAAATAATCAGAAATCAATTAATAAAATGACAGAAATAAGCCCTCACATATCAATAATAACCTTGAATGTAAACAAATTGAACTTTCCACTTAAACTAGATAGCCTGGCTGAATGGATTTTAAAAAACATGACCCAACTATTGGCTGCCTACAAGAAAATCATCTCACCTGTAAAGACATGTAGACTGAAAGTGAAGGGACAGAAAATGATATTCCATGCAAATGGAAACCAAAAGTGAGCAGGAATAGCTATACTTAGATAAAACAGAGTTTAAATCAAAAACAGTAGAAAGAGACAAAGAAGATCATTATGTAATGATAAAGGAATCAATCCAGCAAGAGAATATGACAATTGTAAACATACATTCACCCAACACCAGAGCACCAAGATATATAAGGTAAATACTATTAGATCTAAAGGGAGAGATAGGCTTCAATGCAACAATAGTTGAGGACTTCAACACACCCCACTCTCATCAGTAGACAGATCATCTAGATAGAAAATTAACAAAAAAAATGGATTTAAACTGCACATTAGACCAAATTTTCCTAACAGACATTTACAGAACGTTTCAACTGCAGCTACAAAATACACATTCTTCTCATTAGCACACAGAACATCCTCTAGGACAGACCATATATTAGGACACAAAACAAGTCTCAACAAATTTTTTAAAATTAAAATTATATCAACTATCTGCTAAGATCACAGTGGAATAAAACTAGAAATCAATAATAAAGGGAACTTGGAAAACTACAAATACATAAGAATTAAACAATATGCTCCTGAACTACCACTGGGTCAAGGAAGAAGTTAATGAGGAAGTAAGAAGATTCCTTGAAACAAATGAAAAGCAAAAATTGTCATACCAAAACCTATGAAACACAGCAAAAGTAGTGCTAAGAGGGAAGCTTCTAGCACTAAATACCTACATCAAAAAAATAGAAAGATTCCAAACAAACAATCTAAAGGATGCACTCAAGGAATTAGAAAAGCAAGAATAAACCAACCAAAAATTAGTAGAAGTAAAAAAAAAAAAAATCAGAACAGAACTAAATGAAATAGAGGCGAAAAAGCTACAAAGAGTCAATGATATCAAAAGTTATTTTTTGGAAAGATAAACAAAATCAATAAACCGCTAGCTAGACCAACCAAGAAAAAAAGGCAAAAGTCCCAAATAAACAAAATCAGAAATGGAAAGGAAACATTACAACTGATACCAAAGAGATACAAAAAATCATCAAAGACTGTTATGAACAACTATATGCTGACAAACTGGAAAACCTACAAGAAATGGATAAATTCTGGACACATAAAACCTACCAATATTAAATTAGAAAGAAATTAAAAACTTGAACAGACCAATAACAAGTAATGAGATTGAATCAGTGATAAAAACCTTCCAACAAAGAAAAGTTCAGGAATGATGGCTTCACTGCTGAATACTACCAAACTTTCAAAGGAGAACTCACACCATTCTCCTCAAACTATTCCAAAAACTTGAAGAGGACGGAACTCTTTCTAACTCATTCTACGAGATCAGCATTAACCTGATATCAAAAACAGATAAGGATGCAACAACAACAAAAACTACAGGCCAATACCCTTGAGGAACATAGATGCAAAATCCTCAGCAAAATACTAGCAAATTGAATCCAACAACACAACAAAAAGATAAACACCACGATCAAGTGGGATTTGTCCCAAGGATGCAAGGATGGATCAATATATATAAATCAATAAACATGATCTATCACATCAACAGAATGAAGAACAAAACTCATATGATCATCTTAATGGATGCAGAAAAAGCATTTGACAAAATTCAACATGACTTTCTTATAAAAACTCTCAGTAAACCAGGCATTAAAAGAACATTCCCCAACATAATAAAGGCCACATATAACAAACCCACAGCTAACATTATACTAAGTGGGAAAAAGCTGAAAGCCTTTCTTCTAAGAACTGGAACAAGACAAGAATGTCCACTTTTACCACTCCTATTCAACATAGTACTGCAAGTCCTGCTCAGAACAATCAGACAAGGGAAAGAAAAAGCATCCAAATTGCAAAAGAGGAAATCAAATTGTTTCTCTTTGCAGATAATACAATCTTATGTCTAGAAAATCCTGAAGACTCCACCAAAAAACTCTTAGATATAAATAAATTTGATAAAGTTACAGAATACAAAATTAGCATACAAAAATCAGTAGCAATTCTACACACCAATAACGAAATACTTGAGAATAAAATAAAGAAGGCAATTCCACTTACAATGGCTACACAAAAAATAAAATAAAGGCCAGTCATGGTGGTTCACACTTGTAATTCCAGCACTTTGAGAAGCCAAAAAGGATTGCTTGTGGGCAGAAATTCAAGACCAACCTGGCCAACATACAGAGGTGCCATCTCTACAAAAAAAATAAAAATAAAATTTAATTAGCCAGGCAAGCTGGTGTCATGAACTTGCAGTTCTAGCTACTCAGAAGACTGAGGTGGGAGTATCGCTTGAGCCTAGGAGGTCAAGGCTGCAGTGTGCTATGACAGCACCGTGGAACTCCAGCCTGAGTGACAGAGCAAGACATTTGAGACACTGTCTCAAAATGCATCAAATGGGACTATACTAAACTAAAAAGCTTCTGCACAGCAAAGAAAACAATCAACAGAGTGAAGAGACAACCTGCTAATGGGAGAAAATATCTGCAAACTATTCATCTAACTAGGGACTACCATCCAGCATATACAAAGAACTCAAACAACTCAATAGTTAAAAAATAATAACAATAATCCCATTACAAAGTGGGTAAAAGGCATGAATAGACATTTCTCAAAAGAAGACATACAAAGGGCCAACAGGCACATGTGTGGGGATTTCTTCCCACCAGCAGTCAGTCAATTTTCCAGCAGATTATTCAGTTAGGTGTCCTCTTATTCAATTCAATTCTGACACTATCTACTCATAGATTGCACCAGCTCCCATAGGGTAAGGGCTCAGTTTTACAAGACTGTGTCCACTTCAGACACAAGTCACAGTTCCTAGGACCTCCTGCTTGGATTTCATTAATTTTCTATAGTGGCTCACAGCATTCAGGGAAACACTTTGCTTATGTCTACTAGTTTATTAATAAAACATATAATAAATGATACACATAAATGGACAGATGAAGAGATGGATAGGGCAAGGCATGTTGAAGGGGCATGAAGCCTTCATGTCCTTTCTAGGCATACCACCCTCTAGGAACCTCCTCATGCTCAGCTATCCAGAAGCTCCTGAGCCTAATCCTTTAAGGTTTTTATGAAAGCTTCATTCTATAGGCATAATTGATTAAATCACCATTGGTGATCAACTCAACTCTCAGCCCTTTGCCCCTCGCTTCTCCCTAAAAGTGGGGAGCTGGAGCTGAAAGTCCCAACCCTCTAGTCATGCCTTCATGTCCTTTTGCCAACCAGCCCCCACCCTGAAACTATCTAGGGATTTAAGACACTTTTATCACTCTGGAGATTCCAAGGGGTTTAGGAATAGTATGTCTGGACTTGGGGACCAACACCAAATATGTATTTCATAACACGACAGCCTCATACAGCCAAAGAACTTTGAAAAGAGCAAAATTCTTCAGACTCTATCATGCTGTGTTGAGGCAAAGTAGCAAACATAAGAAGTAATATTTGCTCATTTTTGCTTAAACCCCTATCTGTGATGAAATGCAGCTCTCCGGAAGATGCTTTGAAGACAAAACGGGATAGAACACACACAGCCTCCATAACTCTTGCTTGAGTCACTATATTTCTTAAAAAAGAAATGACTCTGGCCCCTGTCTTTACTTACACATAAGATAACACCTGCCAAGATTAGGCATTATGCCCCTGCAAACCGTAATCAGATGTGCTCTTGTACTCATTTGATGTGATTTTGCATGTGCCGAATCCCCAACACCTGTATAAGCAATGGACTAAACACTGCTTTGGAGGTGTCTAACAGAACCTCTCTAAAAGTCTCCTCCCAGCATATATGCCTCAGTCCATAGGCCTCCATAGGCCTCAGTAAGACTTCTAAATAAAACTAACTTTAATTCTTTAAAAGCTTGCTTGTGTTTTTCTTTAGTCAATGGTCATGTCACATCTTTTCATCTGCATACATTCAGATACATGTAGGCTGTACTTTGCCTGTTGCTTCTCAATTTTGCCAGAAAAATACTACCTTGGGAGCCCCTGTCTCTCTCAAAGAGGACAGAAATGAGCAGTGGTCAACTATTTTCCCAGTTAGTAAGAAATAAGAGGACAGGTGACCAGCTCTGGGCTTCATCTCTCTGGAATCCTCAGGAACTCTAGGCTTGTTAATACCATAACACTGAGTATTCCTGAAACAAAGGAAAAATACTTTTAATTTTTTTTAAGAAAATATGGCCTATAATATTGAATACTAAAAACACAAATAGTAAGAAAAATGCCACTCTAGGCTCACATCTTTTTTTCAAATAATCAGAGGGTGTGAGTACAGTTGTCCTTCAGTATCTGTAGAGGGTTGGTTCCAGGACCCCTACAGATACCAAAATCCACAGATGCTCAAGTCCCTGATATAAAATGGTGTAGTGTTTACATATAACCTATGCACATCTTTCTGTATGCTTTAAATCATCTCTAGGTTACTTATAATACCTAATAAATATAAATGCCATGCAAATAGTTGTTACACTGTATTCTTTAGGGAATAATAACAAGAAAAAAGTCTATATACGTATTCAGCATAAACATGACCACCCTTTTTTTCCTGAATATTCTCAATCTGCTGTTGGTTGAATCTATGGATGCAGAACCCACAGATATGCAGGGCCAATTATTTTGTGTCCTAGAGGCACTGGAATATGCATTGACCTCATTTTAAGAGTTAAGCAAAGAGAGCAGGATGAATGGCCTTGGGAGACCCTAACCCCTCCATCAAGGGAAGTGTTTCCATTCATGAATACTTGGTGGAATACTGCAGGGGGGTTAATCACAGGGCTCTGTGGCTGGATCATTGAAGTTCCTTCCAAAACTGTTAAGAGTAAAAATCAAATATTTGTGATATCTCACGTCATGTAGCCTATGGATAAAAAGGAATCAATTACTAATACAACCAACAACATGGATAAATCTCAAAACTATTATGCAAAGGGGACGTAGCCAACCACAAAAGAATACATACTACATGAATCCATTTGTATGAAGTCCAACAGACTGAACGAATGCTTGGTTGTCTCTGGAGTGGGGATGTACACTGGGGATGATATTCATTGGGAAAGGACATAAGGGGACTCTCCAGTGATAAAAGCTGTCCTCTATCTTGACTGTGCTGTTGAAATATGGAGATATACACTTGAGATCTGTGTACTCTATGTATGAGAACCCTTTCCGCTGTTCAATGGCTCCATCCAATCTATCTCACTTATGTCAACAGATTGGTATCAAATAAAACAGCACCTGTTATTTTATGATTAAATGCTTTACAGTTCAGGAGCCTCCTCTCCAACTTATTTTGTGCAAGCCTTTCCCTGGCCCTGATGTTCCAGCTGCACTGGCCTCCCTGAACTCACCATGTGCTTTCCAGCCTCAGGACCCTTGAATGTGCTATTGCTACATCTGGATTGGTTCTTGCCTCTGGTTTTCCATGGCTGGGTCTCACTCATCCTTCCAGTCTTATAACTGAAATATTTTATCTTCAGATTACTTGTCCCTACCCCCTTGTACATTTCCTTCATTCTACTGTCTTACTTTGCAATTATCTATTTATTCATTTACTTAATGAATGGTAAGCTGGTCTCTTTATAACAGTGAATCTTTAGTGCTTAAACATACTACATATCTACAATATTTACTGAAAAAAGAAATATGTTAGTGAACATGGACTTCAGGGCATATATTTTGTAATCTAGTGTTGGTGACTGTAAATTGCATAATTCATCCCTGAGCCAGGCATCAGCAGCCTTGTTTTTCTCCCCCAGGCCAATGAAGATACACAGGCTTTCCATGGCGCACATGAGGGAGGACATGGACTTGAGAATTGTGAGGCTTGAAGAATCCTCAGAGATCACCTAGCATAACAGGAAACCAAGGATTTGGAGGGAAAAATCTTGTCGCAGATCACACAGAAATATCAGGGCCTGGTTTGAATCTTACCTCTGCCCCAACCAGTTGTGTGACCTTGAGAAAGTGAAGATCTTTTTTGTTCATTGGTTTCCTCATCTGTAAAATAGGGATTTAATTTTACCTGCCTCAGAAGATTGTAGTGAGGATTAAATGAGGTGATAAAACTATAATGTTTAGGACAGTAAATTGTATGTAATATAATATTAATAAATATTAGCCATTATTAATATTATTTTGCCCTGAACTCTAGTCCAGCAATCTTTCTACTTCTCTATGTCACTTCTATAATAGACGCCTAACACACAATAGATGCCAAATAAATATTTGTTATATAAATGAACAATGCTCATCCATAATGGTGACTCTAAAATATAAAAAAAAAATTTTCTTCTGATTCTTCTGCTTAAGAAAAATAAATAAATAGAGCAAATGTTTTAAAAGAATGGCATTTAGATTGGGCATGGTGGCTCATACCTGTAATCCCAGCACTTTGGGAAGCCGAGGCAGGTGGATCACCTGAGGTCAGGAATTCAAGACCAGCCTGGCCAACATGGTAAAACCCCGTCTCTAAATGCAAATCAAAACCACAATGAGATACCATCTCACACCAGTTAGAATGGCGATCATTAAAAAGTCAGGAAACAACAGGTGCTGGAGAGGATGTGGAGAAATAGGAACACTTTTACACTGTTGGTGGGACTGTAAACTAGTTCAACCATTGTGGAAGACAGTGTGGCAATTCCTCAAGGATCTAGAACTAGAAATACCATTTGACCCAGCCATCCCATTACTGGGTATATACCCAAAGGATTATAAATCATGCTGCTATAAAGACACATGCACACATATGTTTATTGTGGCACTATTCACAATAGCAAAGACTTGGAACCAACCCAAATGTCCAACAATGATAGACTGGATTAAGAAAATGTGGCACATATACACCATGGAATACTATGCAGCCATAAAAAAGGATGAGTTCCTGTCCTTTGTAGGGACATGGATGAAGCTGGAAACCATCATTCTCAGCAAACTATCACAAGGACAGAAAACCAAACACCGCATGTTCTCACTCGCAGGTGGGAAATGAACAATGAGAACACTTGGACACAGGGTGGGGAACACCACACACCAGGGCCTGCCATGGGATCAGGGGAGGTGGGAGGGATAGCATTTGGAGATATACCTAACGTAAATGACGAGTTAATGGGTGCAGCACACCAACATGGCACATGTATACATATGTAACAAACCTGCACATTGTGCACATGTACCCTAGAACTTAAAGTATAATAAAAAAAAGTTTTTAAAAACCCATCTCTATTAAAAATACAAAAAGTCAGCCGGGCATGGTGGTGGACACCTGTAATCTCAGCTACTCGGGAGGCTGAGGCAGGAGAATCGCTTCAATCCGGGAGGCAGAGGTTACTGTGAGGTGAGATCACGCCGCTACACTCCAGCCTGGGCAATAAGAGTAAAACTCCATCACAAAAAAAAAAAAAGACTGATATTTATTAGTGTATTCTTTAATTGTCTGTAAAATGCTCTTATGCAGAAGAACTCTTCTTTCATGATAGGGATTAAGGCAAAAATGAAATATAAGGCAACATAGTATTGCACAGGCTGAGAATCTAGAACTTCAAGGAACAGTGGACATCATCTAGATTAATAGTTCTCAACCGTGGTGGCAAGTACACTCTCCCAAAAATATTTTATACATACACGTGCAGTGTGCTGAAATCCCATGCTAGTCTGAGGCTCCAGACTTCTGGGAGCGAGGCCCAGATTTCAGTCTTGATCAGACAGCTCCAAATGACTATTGTACAACCCGGGTTGAAAATTGATCTAGTCTAATGCTCTTATTTTATAAAGGAAACCTTGGGCCCAGAGATGAAAATGGACTTGCATAAGATGGTGAAGCACATTAGAGGACTTTCCAAAGCAAACATTTTCTTCTCCCAAGTCACAGTCCAGCTCTGGTCTCACAACACTGAAACAGTTGTCATGATTAATGGTGTGCTGGTAAACCAGCAATCCAGAAAAAAAAAGGCTCTGATTTGTATTATTTGCCAGTTTCCATGGTATAAATACTACCAGCATGGTTAATTTCATGCTACCAATGTTAAATAACCAGCTCACAAAATTCCTGTGTATTTAATAATCAGGTCTCAAGGGCTGGTACATGCTGGCTCCAGAACACTACTGTGACCATCACCCATCTGCATCAGTATTACATCAGAAACCCTAGCTCTATCTGAGACTGACTCAATCCAAATTATTATAGTTGCAACCCAGAAGTCTGACTTTCTAAGAAACAACCTTGATAAAACTCATACAAGCCAAAGTTGGAGCACCATGCTGCATGGAATAATGCAGCAGTCTCATAGGTACCCTGGATAGTCATGAGTTGATGCTATGAACCAACAGAAGGACCTTATCTAATGTGGTTATCATCTCATCATGGACAACCCAGTGCCCATGCCACCTTGTGCACAGTGATGGAAGCATAGCATTGTCTTTGACTAATGAGACCCTGATTCATTTTGACAGGAAGACAGATGTCAGCTTTCTGAAGAAAGTGTCAAGCATTTGTCCCTTACAAGGACTGGGAAGAAAGAGCATACATTTTCCCCGTTGCCTGCCCTTGACATATTTATAACATCCCAGGACTGGCACTGACCATCCTCTCCCAAGTAACGGAATGTCAAGATGACTGCAGAGATTATGCTGTGAGTAGAAAAGCTTTATAGTAAGCCGAGGTGATCACCAGCCTCCCTGAGCTAAAATAATCACAGACTTTTTTTCTTAGTGACCCCTGTCCTACTCTCAGGCACCTTATATCCTCAAATCTTAAATAGAGTTAAGAGATTGGGCAGGCCTGGCCTATTATTCTACCTACTTCCACTGGACATAAGACATGTTTTATGTAATCCTGGAATTTTTACACCAATCAAATACTATGAAAGTCATCAAGCTGAATAGTGACTATAACCCCAAATTCATGGATGCCCTGAACTCTAATCCAGACTGAACCACCCTATTCCCAGTTAGAAAAACTCAATTAATCCTGATGAGCCTGGATCTCCAGAAGATATTAGGAATATAGAGTCAGCTGGTAGGCAGATGTTATATCAGTCCATGAGCATCATGCTAGGTAGGCGGCACACTCTGACTTCTTGTCACTTCCATGATCCAAAGAGAGCATCTCACTTGTCACTGAAAATGTAGAGTTTCTGCACCTGAATTAAGGCCAAGGGGAAAAATAAAGGTGCAAGGTCTGAGACCTTCCACCATCTGCGCATCACACTGTGATGTGGTGAAAATCCTGGGGAGATCCTCAACCTTCATTGCTCACCGCCAAACCCCAACTCATGCTCTCACTAGCCCATAATGCAGTCACACTGCCAAATAAGAAGAGCTACCACCAGCTCATCAATGGAAAATTGTGCTGAATAATTGCTGTGTGGGAATAAAAATGCCTCTCCCAATAGCACCTTCTCTCATGAAACAAAGCAAAGCCCTTTCCTTAACTCCTATCCTTTCGGTGAGACGACATAGACCCTGCTTGCATGGGAAATGTAGAAGAAGTTGCCATAAACGTAAGGGTTAGAGAGGGACCATTAAATAAGATTCCTTTGTGGTTAGGTGATTTCAGCATAAAATCTAAACAGAGGTGACACAAAGTTGAAGAACCAGGAAGCAAGGCTGGCTTCGGTCAGATAGAAGCTTGCATAACCATTAAAACTTGATTCCATGACTTAGGACAAATTCACTGTGAATCACTAAGAAAAAGTATAATTGCTAAAGGATGGAAAGTGGGGTTGAAAGATGTCAGGGGGCTGGAAAAAAAAATAATTATAAACAATAGAGATCTTTATACCCACTCTGGTAGGCTTCAAACTTGGCTAAAACTAACTTTCCTACTATAGAGTTGACATAGAAGTAAAGAATTTTCAAACCAGAATGTCCTTAAAAAGTACAATAGCCAGTCTAGAAAGTGCAGTGCTTTTAAAGCCATTTCTAGATCTAAAAACACATTGTTTTTTCATTCAGAATAATTATTTAAAAATAATAAAACTTGGAGCTCAATAACCATAAGGATCACCTACTGAGTGATTACTTCGAACCAGGCACTAATCTGAGTGCTTTCTATGTATTATCTCACTTAATCCTCATAACATTCCTGTGAGGCAGGCATTACCACTGTCCCCTTTTTACAGGTGTAGAAACAGGCATAAAGAGATGAAGTACTTGCCAGGGTCACACAGCTGGTCTGTCATGGAGCAGGACACAGGAAGAACTGCCCTGTTTAAAGCAGAGGAGAGGGCAGGGGTCTGCAGTCCTGCCACTGATCCTTCCCACAGCACAGGTGACCCTGCTTGAAAACCACTGATAAGAAAAACAGAAAAGAAATAGAATTGCTTAAGGTCAAGCCAGGATAAAGTGTGACAAACATAAATATTTTAATGCATATTTAGCTTTAAGAAAAAAAAGGGTTGGCAGGGACAGTGGCTCATGCTTGTAATCCCAGCACTTTGGGAGGCTGAGGCAGGGAGGGTTGCTTGACCCCAGAAGTTTGAGATTAGCCTAGGCAACATAGGGAGACCCCATTTCTACAAAAAATCAAAAACTTAGCTGGGCATGATAATGTTCACCTGTAGCCCCAGGTGCTTGGGAGGCTGAGGCGGGAGAATCACTTGAGCCAGGAAGTGAAGGCTGCAGTGAGCCATGATCATGCCACTGCAAGATTCTGAGAATAAAAAAGAGAGAAAGAACAAGAGAGAGAGAGAGAGGAGGAGGAGGAGGAGGAAGAGAAGAGAAGAGAAGAGAAGAGAAGAGAAGAGAAGAGAAGAGAAGAGAAGAGAAGAGGAGAGAAGAGGAGAGAGAGAAAGACAGAAGAAAGAGAAAGAAAGAAAAGAGAGAAAGAAAGGAGAGACAGAAAGGAGAGAGAAAAGAGAAAGAAAGAGAGAGAGAGAAAGAGAGAGAAAAAGAAAGGAAGGAAGGAAAGAGAGAGAGACAGAAAGAAAGAGAAAAAGAGAGAGAGAGAAAGAGAAAGAAAGAGAAAGAAAGAAAGAAAGAAAGAAAGAAAGAAAGAAAGAAAGAAAGAAAGAAAGAAAGAAAGAAAGAAAGAAAGAAAGAAAGAAAGAAACAGAACAGACAGACCCGGGAGCCAGAAACAAAAGCAGAAATCGGTGATCAGAGCCCGATCAGGAGGTGAAAATAGATGCCATGGAGATCCTGGAGTTTCTCAGCCTACACTGGTCCACAGAGCTGGGGGCTAGCCTTCTGTTGCCCCCACCTGTTAACAATGACCTTGAGCCCATGTGAAGCCAGGGAGTGGGAAATTTGCTCCCTACAGAAAGCCTGCAGGCTGGAAGGGTTGATGTTCCATCAAAAAGGAATTGGAAAACTTCCTTTGACAGGAGAAGACCCTGAAGAAGCTTTGCATCTGTTAGAGGCCTTACAAGGAAAAGTCAAACACCCAGGCCTGCACCTTGAGAAAGTACCATGCATTGTGCAGGAACCCCATTCAGAGGAGTTAGTGACAAAAACTGGTTTCTGGATGTTGATTCTCTAAGAATACAACAGAAACAATGGCAAAAACAACTCCTTAAGGATATTTTCATAGTGCGGGGTTCACATGAAGCCCATTTTCTTAAAACGCTGAAGAATACAGTCATGCACTGCATAATGACATTTTGGTCAATGACAGGCCACATATATGACAGTGATCCCATAAGATTACAAATGGAGCTGAAAAATTCCTATCACCTAGTGACATCTTGATGATCCTGACCCTGTGTAGGCCTAGGCTAATGTGTGTGTTTGTATCTTCATTTTTTAACAAAAAAGTTTCAAAAGTTAAAAAAAAGTAAATAATTTTAAAAATAGAAAAAAAGTCTTACAGAATAAGTGTATTAGTCCATTTCCACACTGCTATAAAGAACTACCTGAGACTGGATGATTTATGAAGAAAAGAAGTTTAATTGACTCACAGTTCCACACGCTTAACACGAAGCATGACTGGGAGTCCTCAGGAAACTTACAATCATGGCAGAAGGCAAAGTGTAAGAAAGCACCTTCTTCACAAGGTGACAGGAGAGAGAAAGAGCAACAGGGAGAAGTGCCACAGACTTTTAAACCATCAGATCTTGTGAGAACTCACTCACTATCATGAGAACAGTAAGAGGAAATCCACCCCCATGATCTAATCACCTCCCAGCAGATGCCTCCCCCAACACTGAGGATTACAATTGAACACAAGATTTGGGAGGGGACACGGAGCCAAACCATATCCATAAGGATATAAATAAAAAAAAAGTTTTGTACTGCTTACAATGTGTTTGTGCATTCAGCTAGGTGTTATTACAAAAGAATCAAGAAGTTTTAAAAAATTAAAGATTATAAAGTTAAGAAGCTATAGTAAGCTAAAGTTAATTAATTATTGAAGGAAGAATTTTTTTTATATAAATTTAGTGTAGCCTAACTGTACAGTGTTGATCTCAGCTCACTGCAACCTCCGCCTTCTGGGTTCAAGCAATTCTCCTGCCTCAGCCTCCCGAGTAGCTGAAATTGCAGGCGTCCACCACCATGCCCGGCTAATTTTTTCTGCAGTAGTATACAGTAATGTTCTAAGCCTTCATATTCACTAACTCACCCAGAGCAACTTCCATTCCTGCAATATCTATTCATGGTAAATGCTCTATACAAATGTACCATTTTTTATCTTTTATACTGTATTTTTGCTGTACCTTTTCTATGTTTAGACAAATAAATACCATTGTGTTACAATTGCCTACAGTATTCAGGAAAGTAACATGTTGTATAGGATTGTAGCTTAGGAGCATTAGGCAATATTATACTCTAGGTATGCAGTAGGCTATACCACCTAGGTTTGCGAAAGTACACTCTATGATGTTCACACAACAAGAAAATCATCTAATGACTCGTTTCTCAAGAATGAATCCAGAGTTAAGCAATGCATGACTATAGTTCAAAGTAGTTCATAGTTAAAACAGATACAAATCAAATAAGGAAATTGAACACCAAGAGAAAAAAAACAACAGATGCAACTGATCAGTGAACCAGCACTGCAAGAATGAGAAATTAAAAAACTATGAATGAAAGAGATAGAATAAGCATGTTAAAAGGTAGACTTCATAGTAAGTGTTCTTATCACAACTTTTTTTAAAAAGGGAGAAAAAACACAGACTAAACTGCAAAGAAATGACTATTAAACTGACAGCAAAATTCTAATAAAATTAGAAACAAAAAGAAAATGGAATTATACAGACAGCACAAGTAAATGGTATTGGGCAACAATTTGTATAAACTTTTAAATGTACAAAGCCATACTGTTAAATATTTATGAACATGTACAGATTTAATAAGAGCATCAGAATATGGACAGGAGAAAGACCACTTACATCAGAAGAGAGAATGCCTCTAGGGTGGAAGGAAGGGGAATGTGATTAAGGAGGGCTATAAAGGAGACCTCAACTGTATCTGAAACCTGCTATTTCCTTTAAATAAGTACACACACTCACACGCACATACACAGAGACACACAAACACATTTGGATACAAAATATTCTTAAATGTCAATATGAAAAAGCAAGTCCTGTCACCTTCACAGATGTAAGATTCCCATAGCCACCTTGGCCAAGCTCAGTAACATATCTACTTCATTAGAATGTCTGCTCAATGCTTCTAAGACTTGTTTTCAACTGCTATTGCTGTAGAATTAGTTACTGAGGCTGGAATCTCCTTACTTTCATGACAAGCAGGCTGGTTTCCCATGTGTGGATCAGAAGTCAGCTTCCTGATGCGATTTCACTCTCAATATACTGCCTGTCTGGCCAGTAGAAGCTTCTAGGGGTAAATATCAGCACAGGGAGAGAACAGCAAAGGCTGAATTTCTTCTCAGAACCCTGACACCAAAGGAACATAGATGAAGAGTGACACCCAGTGGCCAGACAGAAGGCAGAGTGCAGAGACTTCAGCTCCTTGGCTGCTTGCTTGTGTGGAGCTGGGTCATTCCTCTGAGCTCAAAATCCAGCCTTCGGTTGCTGTGATTCAAGGAGCTCCGATATCTGGATAGTGCTTTGGGGGATATGCAAGGAGCCAGTTCCCCTCTTCTCCTTGTGCCACCCGTCCCTGTTTTCTGGCTCATTTCCCCCTTCTGTACCAATTGTGCAATCTCTGGTGCATTGGGTCCCACAGCTGACCAGGCACAGGAGAATGTTGTAGTCCACCTCACACAGCACAGAGGACGCTGTTCTTCAGTGTGAGAGGACCCCTTAAAACTAAGCAAGTGAAATGTGATGAATGAATTAATTCAGTAGTGCTGACTTACTGTCATTTGAGGTAAATTAGCGTGAGGTCCAGAAGTCCAAATATAAGTTATGAAAATGACAGCTGTCTCCAATATCCTGTTAAAACTGCCTCTCAAGATCACCACCCACAACAATGCAATGGCACAAACAACAATAAGAACAAGTGCCTGTGAATCATACACACACACACTGTGCCAGGCACCATTCTGAGGGCTTTGTGTGTATTATTAACTCATTTAAACTCATGACAAGTGCTAACATTCTACGCATTTTACAGATGAGAAAACTGAGGCATGGAGAGATAAATGTATGTGTCCAAAGTCACAGAGCTGGTAAGCCAGTGGAAGCACCAGCTGCACTCACATGGTCACGAATGCTTTTTGGGCAGCCTTACTCCAGAACTCTGTAAGCCATTTAGCTACTGTGCTTCTGGATGACCTCCTAATGGCTGGCCCTGAAGGTCTTTCCTCAGTTGGCCCTGCTGTGCCTCTCTGAGGACAGCAGCAGTGTCAGCCCCCATCTCCCCCGTGGCTTATTTCTTCCTCTCTGTGGCTCCTCTGTCTCCTCTCTGCATTCTCTCTTCCTTCACTCTGTAAATGGAGGCATCCTCCATGGTTCTTCCTCCTTCCTGTTTTCCATTATCTTTGTTCTCTCTCTCTTGCACTGGAACCTCTCACCAGAACTCATCGGATTTAATGTCAGGATTTAAAATCACCAGGGCATTTAACCAAAGCTCACTGGATTTGATGTCAGGATTCTGAGGTTCCAGAGGGAAGGCCTTGGGTTCAGCCTCTTCACCCCTGGGGTCCTCATTTCCCCCTGCGGTAACATGATGGGGTGGTTCAGAGCAATGTTCTCACCTTGGCTGCCCACCAGCCCCACCTCGGGAGCTTTTATCATTATTGCTGTCCTGGCCTCACAGGCCATTTAGATGACAGCCTCTGATTGTGGAATTTCTATTTCTTCCTTTAATTTTCTCAATTGCTTCTTTGTATATTTTGAGAGCTTGTTTGGAGGTCCTATCAGCACAGCTACTGGTATACCCTTGACCCAAGACTGGTCCTTCTCTATTGGGGATGGTCATCCTCTACTACCAAGCACACAGCTCCGGGAGGGATGCATGTGGAGTGGTGAGGGAGGAAGAGGACACCCACCTAGCCAGCCAGATCAGCCAAATCAACCCTGAAGATCAATGGGGTGACGGATGTTGCAGCCAGCTTGCCCTCACATCTTCTTGTATATTTTGAACGTCTATTATTCAGCACACGCCTTCATGATTATATGTCTTTTGGGGTATTAATATAGCCACTTTAAACTTCTTGTGCTCTGCAGTTTACATGATATATCTTTTTCAATCCATTTGCTTTTAACCTCTCTTTATACTTAAATTATAACTTCTGAATAGTATATAATTGAATCTTACTTTTTAAAAATAAATTCTGATAGACTGTCCATTTTAATTAGAGTGCTGTTTCACACTCTTCTGGCCTCCATGATTTCTGATGAGAAGTCAGAGATCTTTGGAATTGATATTCTATTTAATGTAATGTGTCTTTTTCTCTGGCTTTTTCAATATTTTCTCTTTACCTTTAGATTTCAACACTTTGACTATGATGTGACAAGGTGCACTCTTCTTCTCATTTATCCTAAGTTATGGTTTATTGAGATTCTTAAGAATTTGTACCTTTCAAAAAAATATCTCCTGGGCACGGTGGCTCACGCCTGTAATCCCAGCATTTTGAGAGACTGAGGCGGGCGGATCACCTGAGGTCAGGAGTTCAAGACCGGCCTGGCCAACATGGTGAAACTCCATCTCTACTAAAAATACAAAAATTCGCTGGGTGTAGAGGCAGGCACCTGTAATCCCAGCTACTTTGGGAGGCTGAGGCTAGAGAATCGCTTGAACCCGGGAGTCACAGGTTGCAGTGAGCCGAAATCATGCCATTGTACTCCAGCCTGGGAAACAAGAGTGAAACTCCGTCTCAAAAAAAAAAAAAAAAAAAACTACTCAATTCTATCTCTCCTCTTACCTTGGGGTTCCAGTTACACAATGTTAGATCTTTCATTATTTTCTCACATATCCCTGAGGCTGTATTCATTGTTTAAAAATTTTTCTTTTCCTCTTCAGATTGGATAATTTCTATTGATCCATCTTCAAGTTCACTGAATCTTTCTTCTATTATTTCTATTCTGCTCATAAATGACCTGGCAAATTTTGATTTTAGAGATTGTATTTTACATTCTAAAGCCTCCACTTCGTTTATTTTTATAGTTTTTTGGTTTATGTTTGTCTACTATTATTTTGAATATATTTTTATTTGTTGAAAGTATATTTTTCTTCACTTCAACCAGAATAATTACAATAGCTGTTTTTCAAATTCCTATCTGTTAGTTGTAGCTTATGGATTATATCAGGATTGGTCTCAGTTGATTTCCTCTTCTCTTAAGATTTTCCTGACCTTCATATGTCAAATAATTTTGGATTGTTTTCTGGATATTATGGATATTATGTTGTAAAGACTGATGATTCTGTTATATTCATCTGAAAAGGTGTTTGTGTTTTTCTTTTGCTATAATATTACAGTTTGTTTAGACTCACACTGTAAGCTCTGCCTCAGGAGTATTAATTCAAATTTAAGCTCAGGGTTTTTCCCCATGGGTAAGGCACTAGGAGCATCCCTCCATATGAATTTGGGGGAGAGGGGTCAACCAGAGACAGGAAGAGTTTATACACAGAATTTAGAGCTGTCCTTCTCTGGTTCTCTGCTTTCTATAGTTTACTCCTCACTTTCTAATGACTGATTGCTCCAAACTCTCTCCTCTGATATTTTAGATCATAATCACTGCAGCTGTTCTGTCAGAATTTTAGTCACCCTGTGTGAGGCAATGAGTTTGATAGCCGGCTGTCCATCAAAATTCAAAAAGAAAATGAAACACACCTCTCACTTGCCCTTCTTTCAAGTTTCAACTCCCCTCTGCAATCTGTCTGCTTTTGTTATTGCTCTAATGCCTACAGATCATAGTTTTGTTTTAGTTTGGTTTTGGTTTAACCAATATGAACTTACTTGGGCATTAACAAAACCAGAAATCCTCACCTTGTCACCTCTTGAGATTTTTATTTTTTCTCCCTAAAATGAAGGATTGCTCTAAAAGAGCAATTCTCAACCCTGGCTTTATAGTTAAATGAAGGTACTAACCTTTTAGGAATGCTGCCTATACCCCATCCCTAAAATTCTGATTTAAGTTTCCAGAATGGGGTTTGGGCAAGAGTTTGAGTTTTTTGCTTGTTTGTTTTTGTTTTTTTCTTATGATTCTAATATGCTATCTGAGTTCATCCCCACTCTTGAAGATAGGCACTTTTTAAACTTTATTGGGCACACAAATCACCTGGGGATCTTGTTACACACTGATTCTGACTCATAGCCCTGAGGGAGGCCTCAAGCTGTCCATTTCTAACTAGGTCCCAGGCAATAATAATGTCACTTGCCTGAGGACACATTCTGAGTGGCAAGATGCTACTGAACTCTTATATCCTAGAACAATGGTTGAAAATAGGTAAACAGTAAACCATACCTTTCCAAAACCATGACTTTTTTCCCACACAGTGATTTTCTGAATATCTGTAGCCCTGAACCTTCATTCCCATGTGAAAATAGCAGATGACACCAAGTGTTTGCTACACTTCACACAGGATGATACTCTCTATGTTTCCAAGTCCCCACCCTGTTTATAGCACTTATTTGCATATGCCCCCTGCAGGCTTTGAGTTTAGGATTCTAGCATAGGATTCCGTGAGCAGAGAAGGTAAACATCATGAGAGAACATATACTACAGGGTTGTTCTGAGAATGAAGTGAGATATTATAGGTAAGGCAGCACTGTTTGCAGCCCATATAAAATGTTGAATAAATATTAGTTATTTGTAGTCAACATCTATTGGATTTTTTTCCCTTTTTCAGTATTCCTTTTCTTATAAAAACAATACCCCGATTTCCCTATAGAAGCCAATCCTTAACCATTCTCAGTATATGTGGTTCATGTGGGGCTAACACCATCTCTAGCTCCAAAAGTAGGCATTGACCTAGGTATGTATATAAACCTAGGTATGTGTATTCAAGAGAAATAAAAGCATTCTGTCCACATAAAAACCTGTACATAAATGTTCATAGCAGCATTATTCATAATAGCCCAAAACTGATAAGCCCAAATGTTCATCAATCAACAAATGGATAAACAAAATGTGACACAGCATGGGAATGGAATATTATTCACCAATAAAAATAAATAAAGTACTGATACATGCTGCAATATGGATGAACCTGGAAAACATTATGCAAAATAAGAGAAGCCAGACATAAATAACACATATTGTGTAATTCCACTTATATGAAACATCCAACATAGTCAAATCCATAGAGACAGAAAGTAGATTAGTGCTGCCTAGGGCTGGAGAGGATGGGGGATTTGGGGAGTGACAGCTAGTAGGTGAAAGGTTTCCTTCTGCAGTAATGAAAATACTCTAAAATTAATTGTGGTGATGGATGCCCAACTCTGTGAATATACTAAAATTCATTCAATTTTATGCTTTAAAAGGGTAAATTGTATGGTATAATAATTATAATGCAATAAAGCTACTTTTCAAATTGTCTTTCTAAGGCCAAAAAATGTGGGTTTAAAACAGACTTAGCAGTAAAATGTATTATAACAATAACACAAAAGACAGGAGAAACAAAAAGGAAATACTCTTATAAGGTGCCTGTATTATATGTAAAGGCAGCCTCTGATAAGTTAGATGTTAAATTATATGGCAACCAACTGAAAATACCATAAACCAAAAAGTACTTCTAAAATTAAATGTAATCATTAAAAAATGCTCAAAGCAAAAGAAGACAGGAAAACAGGGAAAAAACAAAGAGCAAATAGAACAAAGAAATAATGACAAGATGGTAGATTTAAACGCAACCAAATGATAAATTACATTAAATAAAAATGTCCTGCATTATCCTTAGCAAACTAATGCAGGAACAGAAAACCAAATATCACACATTCTCTCTTGTAAGTGAGAGCTAAATAATGAGAACACATGGACACATAGAGGGGAACAACACACACTGGGTCATATTGGAGGGTGGAAGGTGGGAGGTGGGAGAGGATCGGAAAAATAACTAATGGGTACTAGGTTTAATACCTGGGTGATGAAATAATCTGAACAACAAACCCCCATGACACGTATTTTCCTATGTAGCAAACCTGCATTTGTACTGTGAACTTAAAATAAAAGTTTAAATAAATAAATATGGGCCTAAACTCTCCATTTAAAATTCAGGGATTTCCAGATTGAATAAGAAAATTCAAATACATAGATATAAAGATACATATAACTAGGTTAAAATTAAAAGAATGAAATAAGGAATGCCATTCAAATGCCAGTAAAAGGAAAGCTGGCAAGACTATATTACTAACAGTTAAAGTAAACTTCAGGGGGGTTGGGGGTTCTTATTTTCTTTTTTTTTTTCCAAGATAGATTACTAGAGATCTTAGACACCAGTTCTCTGCAGAAAGAAGAACCAAAGTTACAGGTGAATAATCATAACTTGAATGAAGTATCAAGTAGAAAGTTCTGGAGCCTAGCAGAGAACTCATGGGAAGAAGCTAGGGCACAGAAAAAGAAGAAAGCAAGAGGCTGGCAGAGATCAGCTAGGAACCCCAAGGGATTTGGTATTACATACAAAAAGGATAGGTGGAAGTGGTTTTGGCTCCCCTTATCCCTGCAGGAGACCTCTGGTATCTGAACTGTTGGAGAGCTCTTCCACCCGCATGAACCCAAACACTGGTGTTGACAGTGATCTGGGGACTTCTTAAGGGCATCACACTAGACCACCAGCTCACCCTGAGTTGCCTGCCCTCCCCGTGACCTGAGCAGCAACAGCAGGTGCCATACTTGGGGCACACCCATTGGACGACTGTGTCCTTCCAAGGGAACATCAGTCCCTGTGTTTCCACATCACTGGAGCCCCTGCAGACATTCCTTGGCACCTACTTAGATTGTGGCAGCCACACAGGGCTGCCTGGGCCAGGGGAGCTTCAGGGTCCCCAGTGGTCTAGCCCTTGAGAAATGCTGCTCCTAAGAGAAGGGAGTGCAGCACACCAAGGGGGAACCCCTGGGGACCAGGAGACCAGAGCATGCACTTTCCTGTGCCCAAGAGCTCCCTTGGGCTGAGAGCAACTGCACTACCTCCAGTGGAGAGGCAGGCACTGGGCTCACTAGAGATATCAGATACCAGTTCTCCACAGAAAGAAATTCTGCAAGGGAGGAGTATGGTTTTGTTCCAGCAGATAGGTGGTTGCGGTCCTCTGGCATGGATGTGAAGAGGAGGACTTCTCCTCCCCCTAACTCCCACTGCTGTGGGAACAGCGATGGCTGCTGTCTTGGGAAGTTGGTGCAGATGTGTGGAGAATGAACATTCTAGGGTTATAGGGGTGGCTGCACCCCCACTGGTGGTGTACATACCTGGCCTAGGTTTGCACAAAAGATGGGGCCCCTCCTTCTCTCTACATGAAGTGGCAGCATTCCTGCAGCAGACAGCAAGAGAGCCACAAAGCTGCACGTTTGAGGCTGAGGGAGGAGGCTCCACACAGAAGACATCTGAGGTGAGCCATGGGACAAATGTCTTTCATGGTGCTCGACTACATTGCAGCTTGGAGATAGACAGCAGTGTCTGTCTGATCTGAGTGTCCTGAGTGCCAGGAGGGGGCATGACAGGGAGGCAGGAGCTGCGGCAGCCACCTACCTCACTACGGAGCCTTCAGCGCATTTCATTGGGAGCTCCCCTCACCACCTCTGTCAGGACTGGTGCTTGTGCCTGCCATTGGGGTATCTGAGAGCAGGACTGGAAGTTCAGCTTTGCCCAGCTCCGTCCCCCCATTAGTGACTAAGCAGGAAGCTAAGGCCACCATGCATTCCACAGACCAGCCCATCATCTGAGGTACCAGAGAAATCTTCTCCTGGTAAAGAAAGGTGACACATACGCCATCTTCTGCTGCTGCAGCCAGCTCTTACCTATAAGTGTCATCTACTGATCTACAGGTTGAAATACACAATGTAATTTTTTAAAGAAAGATCTGCTAACAGAAGTGCATGGTGCCGAAGAATGAGATAAGCTTCCTGAGACCTTCACTATCCCAGCCATGCAGGAGACGGCAAGCCTTCTCACAGACTCGGTACATCACTGCTACAACCAGAATTTGAGAAAGCCACCATACAAATACTATCTAAAGCCAAGGAGCTGTTACAGAGGCTTTGACACTGAAAGTACCGAGAACCAAAGCCAAATGATCATACACAACACATATTATAGTCACATCCTCAAGAGGAAAACAATCTCCTCTAAACAAAAGTAAGTTCAAAAATAAGAAGAGATCATTTACCCAGATGAGAAGGAACCAGAGAAACAATTCTGGATATATGAAATTGTACAGTGCTACAATACCCGCAAAGGGTCACACTAACCATCCCACAATGGATCCTAACAACAACAAAAAAGTCTCTGAAATACCAGATAAGGAATTCAAAAATATTTATTTTAAAGCAGCTCAGTGAGATCCAAGAAAAAGTTGAAAACCAACACAAAGAAATCAGAAAGCAATACAGGATGTGAAGGAAAATTTTACTAAAGAGATAGATTAAAAAAAAAAAACAAAAATAACAGGGGTCCATTCCAAGATGGCCGAATAGGAACAGCTCCGGTCTGCAGCTCCTAGCATGATCGATGCAGAAGACAGGTGATTTCTGCATGTTCAGCTGAGGTACCTGGTTCATCTCACTGAGACTGGTTGGATAGTGGGTGCAGCCGAAGCCGGGCAGGGCATCGCCTCACCCAGGAAGTGCAAGGGGTCAGGGGATTTCCCTTTCCTAGCCAAGGGAAGCCATGACAGACTGTACCTGGAAAAACAGGACATTCCCACCTAAATAGTGCGCTTTTCCAATGGTCTCACCAAATGGCACAGCAGGAGATTATATCCTGCACCTGACTCGGTGGATCCCACGCCCACAGAGCCTTGCTCACTGCTAGCACAGCAGTCTGAGATGACCTGAAAGGCAGCAGCCTGGCAGGGGGATGGGTGTCTGCCATTGCTGAGGCTTGAGTAGGTAAACAAGGCAACCTGGGAAGCTCGAACTGGGCAGAGCCCGCCGCAGCTCAGCAAGGCCTGCTGCCTCTGTTGACTCCACCTCTGAGGGCAGGGCACAGCTGAACAAAAGGCAGCAGAAACTTCTCCCAGCATGGCGTTTGAGCTCTGAGAACGGACAGGCTGCCTCCTCAAGTGGGTCCCTGACCCCCGTGTAGTCTAAATGGGAGATACCTCCCAGTAGGGGCCGACTGATACCTCGTACAGGCAAGTGCCCCTCTGGAACAAAGCTTCCAGAGGAAGGATCAGGCAATATTTTCTGTTCTGCAATATTTGCTTTTCTGCAGCCTCCACTGGTGATACCCAGGAAAACAGGGTCTGAAGTGGAAGTCTGGCAAACTCCAACAGACCTGTAGCTGAGGGACCTGACTGTTAGAAGGAAAACTACCAAACAGAAGGGAATAGCATCAACATCAACAAAAAGGACATCCACACCAAAACCCCATCTGTAAGTCACCAACATCAAAGACCAAAGGCAGATAAAACCATAAAGATGGGGAGAAACCAGAGCAGAAAAGCTGAAAATTCTAAAAACCAGAGCGCCTCTTCTTCTCCAAAGGATCACAGCTCCTCACCAGCAATGGAACAAAGCTGGACGGAGAATGACTTTGACAAATTGACAGAAGTAGGCTTCAGAAGGCCGGTAATAGCAAACTTTTCTGATCTAAAGGAGGATGTTTGAACCCATCGCAAGGAAGCTAAAAACCTTGAAAAAAGATTAGATGAATGGCTAACTAGAATAAACAGTGTAGAATAGACCTTAAATGACCTGATGGAGCCAAAAACCATGGCACGAGAACTACGTGATGCATGCACAAGCTTCAGTAGCTGATTCGATCAAGTGAAAGAAAAGGTATCAGTGATTGAAGATCAAATTAATGAAATAAAGTGAGAAGAGAAGTTTACAGGAAAGAGAGTAAAAAGAAACAAACAAAGCCTCCAAAAAATATGGGACTATGTTAAAAGACCAAATCTACGTCCTTACAGTCTATATATCCGACAAAAGACTGATATCTAGGATCTATAAAGAACTCAAACAAATTAGCAAGAAAAACAAACAATCCCAACAAAAAGTGGGTTAAGAATATGAATAGACAATTCTCAAAAGAAGATACACAAATGGCCAACAAACATATGAAAAAATGCTCAACATCACAAATGATCAGGGAAATGCAAATCAAAACCATAATGTGATACCACCTTACTCTGCAAGAATGACCATAATCAAAAAATCAAAAAATAATACATGTTGGCATGGATGCGATGAAAAGGGAACACTTCTACACTGCTGGTGGGAATGTAAGCTAGTAAAACCACTATGGATAACAGACTGGAGATTCCTTAAAGAGCTACATTTTTATTAGTTCAAAGAGATATGTGATCACTGAGAAGGGACAACTGGGCAAAGGCTTAAGAACATGAGAGAAAAAGACCACCACGGACCTCAGGAGAAAAGCATGCTAGGGAAATAGGAGAGCAGTGCAAAGACACAGAGGCGGGAGTATGCCCAGCATGTTGGAGGAAGGCCAGGGTAGAGAGTGCTGATTGAACAGAGTGAGCTGGGGTGAGTGGATTGATCCAAGTTATACAGGAAACAGAGGGTACCTTTTAAAAAAGAGTAATCATCATGCCTGTAATCCCAGCACTTTGGAAGGCCGAGGCGGGCGGATCACTTAAGGTCAGGAGTTCAAGACCAGCCTGGCCAACATGGTGAAACCCCGTCTCTACTACAAATACAAAAATTAGCCGGGCAGGATGGTGCACACCTGTAATACCAGCTACTTGGGAGGCTGAGGCAGGAGAATCACTTGAACCTAGGGGGCAGAGGTTGCAGTGACCGGAGATCGTGCCACTGCACTCGAACCTGGGCAAGAGAGTGAGACTCCATCTCAAAAAAAAAAAAAAAAGGAGTAATCAAAGAGCAAGAGAGAGAGAGACTATTTGCAAAGCTCTGGGCAAAGTTAAGGTAAATCAGCAAGGTCAGGCACCTGCGAGTTGGCAATAGCTAAATGCCTTCAGCACAAGTAGGCCAGAAGGGGCCAGGAGAGAGCAAGATTACTGGAACCTGGAGAGAGCTGGCTGACAGAGAGGGCTGCGGACAGGGATGCATCTCTACCGGTAAAGGAACACAGCCACGGCTTGCCAGGGAAGGGACTAGAGAAGCAAATATCCCGACCTTTCTCAGCAACCATCTCCCCATCCCATACCAGTGCCTGCCGTCGGGTGATCTAACTGCAAGCAAAAGGCAGCAGGGAATGTTTGAAGATTTCTGTGGCCAGTCTCCTAGGAATGTGAGCACTGTGAGGAAAGCTGGAACATGGATCTGGAGGGACAAACGGAGAACGTCCGGGACAGGAAGAGTAGTGGGAAACGAGTCAGAGAGAGAGGTATGTGGTTTGTAAAACCTGTTTGGCTGCGTTCAGAGCCCAGCTTTTACTCTAAGTGAAATGTGCTCCACAGCAGGATCTTGAGCAGAGATTGATAGGACTCGACTTATATTTTACAAAGAACACTCTGGCCACTCCAGGGAAAGCGACTGTGGGTGAGGGAAGAGCAGGAGTGGAGTCTATTGGCCCTGACTTGGCCCACAATGGTAGCAGTGGTCATGAGAAGTATTCTGATTCTGGCTACATCCAGGTAGATCAGCAGGATTTCTGGATGGATTAGATAGAAGGTTGTGAGAGATACAGAAACATCAAGGCAAATTCCAAATGTTTTGGCCTGAATACCTGGAAAGATGGAGTTGTCTTTAACTGAGATGGGAAAGCCTGCAGATGGAGATGACTTAGTGCAGTGGGTTGGTGGGGTGTGGACATATTAAGTTTGGGTCTATTCAGTACTTGATACTGAAGATACCAAATAGACAGTTAGATGCACTAACTTGGAATTCATAAGAATGATAGGGATTTAAAATATAAATGTGGGTATCATTAACAGAGAAATATATTGGAAATATGAGAAGGAATATGTCACTTCCAAATGGGAAAAACAAAGAAAGCTTCATGGAGGAGGTGACATGTAATTTGCATTTTAAAGGGTGGAGTTTTTGACAGCAGAAACAACTGAGGAGAATATTCCAAATGGAAGAGAAACCACTAGTAAAAGTGCTAGAATAGGAAATTGGAGGAATGTTTCAGGGAGGTCAGTAGAGTTGGGAGGAGCTGTAAGCTTGGTGTCAGAAGTCAGACATGGAAATAGAACCAGAACATGGGCCTGTCTTCCAGTTCATTCAAGCATTTGTCATTTATTCCGCATGCATTTACTGACCACTTACTTGGTCTAGGGGCTATGCCCCTTTCTGAACATTAATAATAAAAGCATTTATTGGACACAAATTATGCACTCCATGAGTAAAAACTTATTTAATCCTTACAATGCCCCATAAGAGCTATACTAACATGATCCCCAGTTTAAAGATAAGGAAACTAAGAGTCTGAGTGGTTTGCTCTGGCTCTGTCAGTGGCAGGATTGGAACCCAGGCAGTGTGACCCCAGGGCCTTTGTCCTCATCACTCTGCTCTGCTGCTTTGTCAGAAACACCAAACCAGGCATCTGTGGGAGAGTAGCCTGGCGGCCGTCAGAAATGCAGATTAGTAAGCCATGGGGGAGATGTTCTCCAGACTTTCTTCTGTGTAGGATGTGAAACGTGCTCTCTCCAAGAGTCAGCCAAGGAACCAGCAGCAGCAGCTCCAGAAGAGGAGGTGGGACTGCTGACCCGGGCAGAGGTCACCAAGCTGCTGGGTCTGACTCACCCGGAAAAGCCAACTGCTCTTTCCAAAGCACCAGCTCCCCTTTTCTTGGCTTCCACAGCAAACCTAAGGTCAAGGGCAGGCAACCGAAGCCTTACCCTGGAAGGGTAGCATTGAAAGTGTCCTTGAACAGTAATGTGTCTACTCTTCTACTCCTCGTCTGCTCCAAACCCATTTTAGAGATGAGGAAACTAAAGACCATGGAGGCTTTGTTACTTGTTTTACATTTTCTTGGAATGTCTGTGACAAATTCTACAATAGAACTCCCCAAATCTCAGGACTTTCATGATCAGTGTGCTTCCACAAAACAGGTTAATGTTTGAAAACTAGGTTTCCTAGCAAGCAGGCTGGGATAGGATCGTGGGGGTGTGTGTGTATGTATGTGTGTGTGTATGTGTGTGCGTGTGTCTCTATGTGTGCCAAGTTCATGATACAAGCCCAGGACTGACACTCCCTACCACTCCCAGGGAAAGGAATTTCTCCTCAGTTCAGCTTATCTTTCAGGAAAATTTAGATTTTAGGCATCTGACCCAGTAAATGAGATAGGAAAGAGGAGCCCTGCCATCCAGTGAGTCCTGCTCAGGTGTCTTTCCTGGAGAAATATTCACACCTGTGTAGCAAGAGGCCTGTGCAAGGAAGCCAACAGCAGCATCACAAGAAATAGTGAGGAGTGGAAGGAACGCAAATGCTCATCAACACAGGAGTGATTATCCAGCAGTTAAAAAGACCTACCTCTATGAAGTAGGTATTCATAGAGTCAAAGAAACAGCCTGAAGACATATTACACAAAGAAGAAAAAGGGGAAGGAGAAGACAGAGAAGCAAAAGAAACTGGCAATGCAATGCATACATTATGACGCTTTTTATGAAAATAAAACATCCCAGTTACATGTATGTGTCTGTGTGTGTATAGAAAAGGAATCACCTCAGCCTGGTGATTTCAATGCATTTATTCCCCCAGCAAATGTGCGCTGAGTGCCTCTCCATGGAAGCCTGAGGGGAACCCAGCAGGGCGCAGAGCAAGCAACATCCCTGCCCTCTACTGGCTGGATGAGGGAGGACGATGAGATGCGGTAAGGGGAAAAGAGACGTTCTTTTTTTTAAAGTACCCTGTGTTATCCAAAGTTTTCACAACAATAATTTATTCCTGAATGTGTCGTTACAAACGTGTAAATATGTGAATAAACAAAAGAATAAGGTGGAAGCAGAGAAGGGGAAGGAGAAATGCATGGCTAAGTGCAAAGTATCGGAGGTGCTCATGGAAGGGAGGCTGGGGCCTCTCATTCTAGGCTGCTGTATCACCAGTTCCCCACCCCAAGTAAAATGTCCACAGTGTCTTGGAAAGTAGAGGAAGGAAATCAAGTGATATTATATCTTCTGCAACAAGTATATTCCAATAACTGAAGATTCCACATCTCCCATTGCCTCCTAGTGACCCCCATAGAGCGCTGCCGGCAGGTTACAGCCCCTACAGGGTGCTATCTGAATCATCCTCCATGAATGTCATTACCTGCAGAAATGGTCTCTGCACTATCTTCTCCCTGATCACACGTCTCTTCCCAACCCATGTTCTCTGTAGAGAGTCAACCGTTTACAGAGCCCCCTCCTGATTCTTACTTCTTGAAGGTGCACTCTGCTGCCCACACAGACTACCCAAGGGCAGATCACAGACAGAGGCACATACCTTCCAACCTGACCCCCACCCTGTCCTTGGACTTGTCTTCTGGTTTGCACAGGAAAATTGATAAAATAAACTATTGGCCGATAGGATAGCAAAAATATTGCCCTTAATTCAGTGTGCTCTTTCCTCTTAATAATAAACTAGATTATTAGATTTGGAGTCAGAGCTCTCCATTCAAATTCTGGTTCTGTAAGTTTCAAGATATATTACCTTAGGCATATTTACTCCTATGTAGAAAAATATCACTATTAAATGTGGAATTAAAAGGCCTACCTCACAGAATAGCTGTGAGGATTAAAAGAGGCATTTACAAGTGTTTGGGTTTTGTTATTAATATTGGTGTGTGAGCATGACTGTATCCCATTCTGCTGGTTTCAGGTGCCATCCGTGCATCTGGACATTGCAAGGTGAGGAATAGAAAAAGGTGCCCAGGAAAGCAGAATGTGCCTACCACCCACAACAGAGATAAAATCTCAGTTCCAGCCAAGAAGTGTACACAGAAATACCTCCAAGCAAAACCAGATCTGCCTGTCCTCAGAGATAATCAGAAGGATTCCTTTCAGTTGCCTCAGACCAAGAGCAGCCTGGCTACATTTTTTGCCTCTTGCTTCTCAACTGGCTGGCATTTTCATAGACTTACATTTTAAAAGGCTGTTTACTTAGGAACAAAAAATGAAGTTACATACTCAATTAATTTTAACTTTATGATATTTGGCTTCATTGTCTAATAATCTATTTTTTCTTTTTTTTCTTTTTTTTTTTTTGAGATGGAGTCTCATTCTGTCACCCAGGCTGGCGCGCAGTGACGTGATCTCGGCTCACTCCAACCTCCACCTACCAGGTTCAAGGAAGCAACTCTCCTGTCTCAGCCTCCCAAGTAGCTGGGACTACCGGTGCACGCCACCACACCCGGCTAATTTTTGTATTTTTAGTAGAGAGGGGGTTTCATCATATTAGTCAGGCTGGTCTAGAATTCCTGACCTCAGGTGATCCACCAGCCTCAACCTCCCAAAGTGCTGGGATTACAGGCATGAGCCACCACGCCCAGCCTAATAATCTATTTTAATAATTAAAAAATAGTGTCTCTCTCGTTCTTTTTCCTGTGTGTTTTTATTGATAAATTTCAATGCTTTGAGCAAATAAAACATTTCCCCATTCGATTGCTTCCCGATTTCTTATATGATGTAGCTTTGAGTCCCTGTACTATTTTGGTCTTGCTCCTCTGAAGACCTTGGCTAAGTCCCACTTAGCCAAGTGGTATCCCCAGATCTGCATCCAGAAGTCCAGGTATGTGGTGTTTAATACACAACTGGAAGGTACTGGTCCCTTACTTGTTTCACTCCCTATCCTATTTTAGGCCACATCCACATCAGCCAGCAAGTCAGGAAATGATCATAGGACCACACTTTGAAAACACACATGGGCCAGTGAAACCGAGTGCATTTGCAAATCACTGGGACACATTAACACAACACAGATTCTCAGACCTTGCTCAACCAGTGAATCAGAATCCCTGAAGGTAGGATCACTGGAAATTTTATTCATATGTCCTAGGTGATTCTGATTAGCTGAAATATTGGCAAACACTACCTCAAAGCTCCCTTTCACAAGGATGAGGGATAAGGCATAGAATTTAGGGGTCCTCAATGCCGGAGTTTCCTTTCTTAATCCTCTGAAGCTTCTTTAAACTTTCACTGCCAAGCCAGCAGAGGGTAGCATCTGCAGGGCATTTGGACTACAGAGAACATAATCTGCAGTAACCTTTTTGATTCCTCACGTCTATGATGATAACAAATAACCTGTAATCGTACAGAAAGTCCCTGTCCGAAGTCATGGATTCATTGCATCCTTACACCATGTCTGCAAAGTAGGTGTTGGTCCACCTTCGTGTACGGGAGGAATGTGTTGTCTGAGAGCAGTCAAGTGACATCTCTAAAGCCTTATTTATAATAATTGGCAGTGATAGGGTTTCTCACACATTCCAGGAGGGGAATGAACAGAGGAAGAATTACACATAGTAGCTTCATATTTTAAAACTTACGAGATAACACACACACACACACACACACACACACACACACACACACCACAGCACAACCTTTACTCCCATACCTCACTTCCACCTTCGGCAACCCTGCCTAATAAGAAAGTCCAGGATGCTTCCAACCTACACAGAACCACATTCTTATAGAGGTTATGCAAACAAGTGAAGCAAACTTGTCATCCACACACTTACATGCACAGTCAGCAAAAGTGAGGGAACCGTTTAAATACCACAGGCTAGTTCTCAATTCTTGAAGTGCATGTTAACACCGTAGGCTACTACATTTCAAACCTCAAAGTACAAACAAGCTGCCTGAGAATCTTATTAAAATGCAGATTCTGATTCTGCAGGACTGGGGCAGGGCCTGAGTTTCTGCATTTTTTAGCGAGCTCCCATGTGACATAATGGCAGCTGGTCCATGGGCCATACTTTGAGTTCTAAGTCCAGAGCCTATGTCACCATCTAGCCTCTGCTATTTCTCTCCCTGGATGCAGGCATGAGATGAGAACAGTGGAATACTGACCTTTCCATTTCTTGCCTTTTATTAAGTGAGTATCTCTCCCCATGGGGGGTAATTCTAGAGTTTAAAGACACATATTGTTCATCTATGGCCCCTAAACCATACCTGTTGTTTAATCTCATACCTGAAGAGTGATCGCTCCATAGCTCCAGATTTCTAAGTCATTCCAAGAATTGTCTTAATTAAATGAGATTTTGAGTTCCCACTCATCATATATCACACATCACATATGATGTGTGTCTCACATATGCAACACTATCATTGCCTTAGAGCATGAAGAGGGTATTTTTTTTGTTTGTTTGTTTGTTTGAGACAGAATCTTGCACTGTTGCCCAGGCTGGAGTGCAGTGGAATGATCTCGGCTCACTGCAAGCTCCGCCTCCTGGGTTCACGCCATTCTCCTGCCTCACGCCATTCTCCTGCCTCAGCCTCCTGAGTAGCTGGGACTACAAGCGCCCGCCACCACGCCCGGCTAACTTTTTGTACTTTACTTAGTAGAGACAGGGTTTCACCGTGTTAGCTAGGATGGTCTCAATCTCCTGACCTCGTGATCTGCCCGCCTCGGCCTCCCAAAGTGCTGGGATTACAGGCGTGAGCCACTGCACCCAGCCGAGGAGGGGATTTTGTGTTTTGTTTTGTTTTAATTTTCTTCACTGTCTTCCAGCAGTTTTCAACCAGGAAAGATTTTTGCCTGCCTGGGGACATTTGGCAATATCTGGAGACATTCTGGTTGTCACAACTGACTACTAGCTTCTAGTGGGTAGAGGCCAGAGATGCTGCTAAACATCCCGCAATGCACAGGACAAAACCCATAACAATGATGTATCCTGCTCACAAGGTCAATGATGCCATTGCTGAGCAATCCTACTGTCTTGTAGTCACCCATAATCATCAATATCTTTGGCAACTTACTGAATGCTTTTTAAAGATACTTCAACAAATCTAGGTAAGAAAAATATTATAGACAGCCATTCAAAACAGAAGCCACTGAGGTCTTGCTTTCCATTGGGCAGGAAAGTTTAGTGGTCAAGGGGCCCAGTGACTGGGTTTGAGTGCCAGTTCTCCGACTGACAAGCTGGATGGAATTGGACATGTTTCTCTAGGTCTCTCAGATTTTATTTCCTCAAGCATCAAATGACTACAAGCCCAACAAGAGCAGGGACCATCTCTGGGGCAGCAAAGTATATACATTCTCCTGGCACCTAATAAGCACTTGTGTATATATCAATGAAACAAATGGTGCCTGACTTACAACATAAGTTTTGCAATCTGATGGTGAGTACTACTTTTTAAATCTTGATTAGAGACTTGAATTTTAGGGATTACTGTTACTAGCTGTGCCTTATCCTGGCAGAGCAGGACTTGTGCTCCAGGATATATATAGGATCTTATACTATACACACAGCAGTATATAGCAGTGGGAAAGATTGCAAGCTCTAGTATAATCTGGTTTCAAATCTTAGCCCCACTACTACATGAGCTGAGACATTTGACTTACCCTCTCTACACCTCAGTTTCTTCATTTGAAAAATGGGGGTTATAACAATTCTTATCTCATGGGGCTCTTGGAAGAAATTAAAATTAAATAAGATAATGTATGCAAAGCCCTTTGCACAGTGCCTGGCACACAGCACACGCTCAGTAAAAGAAGTCTTTATTATGCTTTTGGCCTCCAGCCTCCAAATCAAGGGCACCTGATTAGTTACCTCTCAAAAGAGAGGTAGAGACACAGTGCTGAAACCAGAACCTCACCCCAGAGACCAAGCTGATCCAACTCCTTTCTGCTGGATGGAAAGTCAGGAGCTCACCCTCCTCACCAGGGGCTTGGGAATAAATATTCCATGCTCTTCTGCATGCCTGCTTTGTCATATTTGGAATACAGCCCCAATGATGAGATGCCTAGCATGTTCATTCTGCTACAAGACCAAAGGACACTAATAAAGGTGTCAAAGCTGACAATTGTTTGGAAAGCAAAGAAAGAAGTGAGGAAAGGAAACTGCAGCCTTTGATTCAATAATGAATTTTGCATAAAGGGCTCCATATTACAGTGCACCAGAGACCATCCTGCCACACACTTCACGTTCTATTTTTTATGAGAAAGAGGAAAATGAGGGGAAATTTTCAAACAGATATTAGGAGAGTATTCAAGAAAGTAAGTTCACACATATATCTTGATTTAAGCAGGTGGACCCAAGCCATTTATATTTTACAGCATAGTAAAAGCTTAGAGTGGAAAAGAAGCATCTAGTCCAATCCCTTCATCTTCCAGATAAGCAAATTGAAACACCTGGGGATTAAGTAACAAGTTGCGCACCGTCAGCCTTGTAGTGGCTGACTTAGGAAGAAGAGCCATGGGGCTTGTCTTTTTGTCTAATCCCTCCTGACTCTTGGACTGTAAGGCTAGAAGGAAACTTGGAGTTGTTCTTCTCCAGGGGCACACTTCTCTCTGGGCTTGTGAAATTCATTCATTTACTCAAGTAATAGTTACTGAGCACTTATTATGTGCCAGATGCCATTCTTGGTACTTGAGCACACAACAAGCTCTGGACAGAGAACAGAACAGGTGCCTGCTCCTTTTTCATTTTCATTCCAGTAGGCGATGTCAATTAACAAGTGCACAAATAAAGTGTACAGCACAACTTCAGATAGCGTTCTGTGCTCTGAGGGAAATAAAATAGAGCATTGTGACAGAGAGGTACCGAGGGAGAAAGGACAACTGGGAAAGCCTCTCCAAGAGGCAACATTCACTAGAGCTGAGACCTGAATGATGAGAAGGAGCCAGTCACATGGAATTCAGAAGGAAGGGGTTTCAGGTCAGAAGGAACAGCACCCGTGAACACCCTAGGCAAGCGTGGGATGTGGTGTGTACAGAAAAGAAGCCCGTGTCTGGAACAGAGTGGGCGAGGGGTTGATGCTAGAAGGGGAGGTCAGATCAGTGGGCAGAGGCAGGACGCTGAGGTGGCAGGCACTTGCCCTGGAGCCCCTGGAAGGTAGAAACAGGACTGAGATAAGAACTGGAGGCTCCAGGCTCACAAGTTTTATGGTTCTGTGCCAGCCATGGTGTGCAGGCTCTTCCGTCCTGGAGACCTTATGCTGAGTCACCAGGTCAGTTATGGGAGGTGCCACACTGGCCCCTGGACACGTTGTCCTCACACTCAAAACCTGGCAAGGGACAAGCTCTCGAAGGCCAAAGGAGTCCCCAGGAGCAGAGAGACCAGACAGTATTGAGATGGAGAGTGGCCCTCTCCCTTCCCTTTAGCCACCATGACTCATACAAGCTTAGTCAGTCATGAATCAGCCCTACAAGCCCAGAAGAAGGGCTCAGTAAGGCCTAAGGCTAATTTTAAAATCATTATTATTAATTTTTAATTATACAAGAACTCATGAATACATTTTCCTGGTTAAAAAATAAATACATAAACTAAAACATGGTCCCTATAGCTAATGTCCCCATAGACTCCTCTCTAATCCTGTCATCTTGTCATCACCCCCCAACTTCTATCCCACTATTACTAGTAGTTCAGTGAATAGCCTTCCAGACAATTTTTTTTTTTGTGAGACAGAGACTCACTCTGTCGCCGACCATTTCTTATTCCATAAAAGGCATCCCTCACCAGACAACAAGTCTTGAATAGTCCAGGTTACTACATAAATATGCACCCCATTTTTCAAATTGCTGTGTAATATTCCTCAGTATGATATGCCACAGCTTATCTCCCTGTGAACTGTAGTTTAGACTGTTCCCAATCTTTTTGTATTACAAAAAAAAGTTGAAATAAAATTTCCTTTTGGTATATTTTTGTGAGTATGTCTCTACAGTAGATGAAAGGGTTTCCTCTTAGACGTAATTCACAAATGGAAACTGAATTGGTCATGGGAATTTCTAAACACTGAGTGGCTGTCGAGAGCCGGGAGACTTGTCTTTATTATTACTGCCATTGTGGACTCACTGCATGATTTTACCCAATTCCTAACTTCTTTGGGACTCTGTACAAGGAGAAACTTAGTTTTGATGAACGCTAAGAACTCTTACAGTTCTTGCCTCCTACAACTCTATGATTTGGGGTATCAAACCTGTGGGGTTCTCTCCCAAGTCGAGGTTTGATTCCCATTCCAAGGTTATAGGGCACTTGCAGGAGGGCATTGCTGTGGGTTGCAACACATCAAGATCACAGTGTTCCACTCCAGGCAGTAGAACGTACTGTACAGAGGTCAATGGGGAAATGACTAGCACACACATAGCCACTGACTTCTGCCTTTCCTTTTCCATGCCCTTTCTGGATATTAGGGGATATGATGTCACCTTGTATAAATGCTGTATAAATGCCTGAACCTGAACCCATAATTTATAATGAGATGTAACCACAACCTACTCTGCACAGACTTTAGTTTACAAAGCACACAGTTTCTCATGACATTCCTTGAACAATCCTGAGATATATTCCATGAAGGGATAATTATAACATATAACAATGTGCAGTGAATATTATTATTCATTACAGCTTAGTAGATTGAAACAAAGAATGAATTGATTGCCCAAGGTCACCTAGCTAGGAAGTGAGGGCAAACTAGAGCCCAGATGTTCTGATTCCCAGTTCTTTTCTCTTGCACAGGGCAACAATGGACTTCACTGTTGTGTGGCTGTGAACCCATTTGTAATTATTAATAACTAGAAGAGACATGCATCCTCAGCAGATTCTAAAGCATTTACTGGAAGACCATATTCAGAGACAGAATTTAGGTCTCAAAGAGCCAAGGAAATAAAGAGGGAAGAGGACCAAACATTGGGGAAGGGGGCATGGGAGTTAATTAGCTGAACTCCAAACTGAAATAAATAAGTCCATGTTGTCTGAAAGGCTTTTACTCCATGGATTAATGAAAGATGCTGTTAGGGATGATTTAGCTAGACTGGTCATGGAAGGGAAGGTTTTCCTAGAGCAGAGGCAACTAAGGTAATATCTAGAGCATAACAAGGTTCCAGCTGTGTAAAGAATCAAAAGAGCAAACCAGGTATAGGAAGCAGTGAGTACAAGGTTCCCAAGATGAACAAATTCACGGGAAGGTCAGCGAATTTCCTCTGCTCAGGAAACCAAAGGGGGATAGGGTAGGGGCATGGGATAGAGTGAGCCTTCTCAATGCTTGACCTGGGTAGTCAGTGCTAGAGGAGCTCTGAGGACAGAGTCAAGAAGATGGAACTTAAAGGAATCTTGAGGAAATAACCAGCTTTATTCAAGGGAAACAGAGGAGGTGGGCACTACAAGCAGGAGAACTGAAGCTGAAGAGAAAATGTGGGTCGATAATGAGTAACCCACAAAACCTGGCAATGGACAAGCTTTCAATGGTCAAGGGAGCTCCCAGGAGCAGAGTGAAGCCCCTCTATGCCTAATCTGTAAAATGGAACGTAGGATAGAATGTTCCCTGACATCTTTTTTAGATGGTTCTACCAATAAAATAAAAAACAGCCCAGAGAAGGTTAGCCAAGGGAATGGCAGCACTGAGTCCAGTTTTCAGATCTCCCAAATTCCTATCCAGAGCTGCCTCCACCTCAGCTCCTTCCTTCTGCTGGAAGAATGACCATCAGGAAGGAGGTTTGGGCTGTGGCCACATGTGAGTGTGAGGCCTCAGAAGAATCCTATGGTGGGGCCATCTGCATGGAGCCCCCCTGGAGCCCATGCTGTAGCCTCCGGCACTCTGATCTCAAAGCCAGTTCCTTTGTTTCCCCAAGAAACTTCCCAAAGATGTTGGGAGCCACTTTGATTTTGGTTTTGTTTTCCTTAACATTTCCCCACAAAACAATGTGAGGAACAAGAGGAAAAGCATGGCCCAGTCACAAAGCTATTTCAACCAGAAAAACAGGTCTAAATCCTATCAATTCTACCTAGGTTTCAGAGATCCCCAAGAGAGGAAAGGGGGACAGAAGCTCAGAGAGCTTCATACAAAGCACCACTCCCTGTGGGAAGTCTGTTCTGTGTTCAGGGCCTGGGGCTCAGCACAAACCAGTGGTGTCCCTTGGGGAACAAAAGTCCCTACCCCAACCGAGAATGTGGTCAGATCTGCCAAACTTCAAACTTGGTTCAACCGCTCTATGCTTAGAACCAAGAACACTAGAGCGAAAGGAACTGAAGAAATTATCCAGTCTAATCCTTCAACAGCATTTGCCATCACATATACAATACCCTAAAGAACATACTGTATCTATTTTCTGTAATTTTCTTTTTATTTAATCACATACTATGAAAACCCTCCCCCACAATTATACATAGATCTTTCTCATGTTGTTAACCATAACATATTATTTTTCAAAACTAAGAAAAGAAATAGTCACCTTTGGTAAGATATTCAGATAGTCTAGGGATGGCAAGTAGAAACTATGAGACTACAAGCACCCTCCCCACCATTCCCACACCTTATAGACTAAAAGGACTTTGTATTCAAGATGAGGGTGAGTGAGCATTTATTTGTAAATGAACAGGAGCAGGATGAGGAGGAGGCAGAGATGCAATGGGACGGGAATGAGAGAAAGGCAACCAGAGAGAAAAGTCAGGGGCCAAGAGTTGCCTTGGTCAATAACAGCAATGGGAGGCAGGGAGCAGAAAGTGAGGAGGAGAGCTTGAGATGACCCCAGTTAGGGACAGGGAGTCAGGAAAGATGGGAGCTCTTTGTGGTGAAGAAGAGCCCAGTAACGGCAGCCCAGCAACAGCCCCTGAGGTGCAAGGCCATGGCCATGGGTGAAGCTGGCCCCAAAACCTTTCCTTTTTCCCCTCAGAGAAGTTGGAAGGTTTGTCTCCCAATGATTTTGCCACATGGTTTTTCAACACCCAGAGCCTTTGCCAGTTTCCCGGTGAGATTTGTTTATCTCCATTCTGGAGTCTTAATGTTCAAAACAAACTTCCAGACAAAGGGATCCTCTGCTCTGTGGTTCTCAGCTCCATTCTCCTGCAAGGACAGAGTCAACAACACCGATCCCCTGATGACTTTCACAGCCATGTCCACAGAGAATCCCACCCCCAGCTTCCTCCTGCGTCTTTCCCGCTGCCTCTGATTGTTGTGGACATCCTCAAGGGCATAGCTTGTATAGCTTATTTTAGCCCCTTTTTTCCTATCCTTATAAACTATGCAGAGAAAATAAGATTGTTCCCCCGGCAGATGTTATTTGGGCCTTAAAAAGTGGCCCAAGACCCAGTGATCTCTTCTAAGAGGTGAAGTCATCAGCATCTAGCTGGATACATTATCGAAAAGAACCCCAGACAAGAAGAATTCATCAATTAATCTCATTAATTGATGAATAATTAATTCATTAATTCATCAATTAATTTATCAATTAATTAATCACCTGAAAATTTTCAGGCATATTTTCGTGGCCACCACTCTGTGGAAAAGCCCAACAGATTTCCATAAGTAGAAAATGACAGCATTGTCACTGAGGGCAGGTATAAGTGAGGGGTGATATTAATAATTAGTATGCAACCAGCCTTTATTTGTCATGCATTACACTAAGTCCTTTAATATATACGACAATCCAAAAGGTAGGCACTGTGGTTGTACCCTTGTACAGATGAAAACTTTGAGGCTTATAGAGGCTAAGTATCTTCCCCAAAGTGAGACAGCTAGAAAGTGATGAAGCTGAGATTAAAAGTCAGGAAGGCTGGAAACGGCACCTGGGCTCTTCCCCAGGCCACCATCGGGTTTAGCTAATTTATATTTTGCTTAGTTAATTGTCTCCCCGCTGTCCCAGGATTGGATTTATGCTTATGAGGTTGGAGTTCTTTTTATTTCTTTATTTTTTATTTTTTCTGCAATCATCCATTATTGGGTAGAGCTCTTGTCTGTCCTGTTCTCCACGGTATCCCCAGAAGCCAGCACTGGGGCTACCACAAAGCATACCCTCGATAAATAATTGCTGAGTGAATGAACTAATGAATGAATATCATGCTTTCATTTGACTATTTCTTATAATTTGAAATTTTCTGAACATTGAGGCCTTGGGTGATAACTAAATATGCTCATGGAATAGAACAGTTAATTTTACATGTCTAATTTATCTGAACTTTCTCCCAGAAAAATGTTTTTCCAAGCATTAGAATCTAGCAAGTTACCTGCAACTTGGAAACTGAACAAGGAATCCCATCTGAAAATGTAGAGGACACATAAAGTGGAATAATTTAAATATTTACTAATCACTTACGTTTTCAAAGCTATTTTAGGCCTCTACCCTTTTCAAAGAGCTGTCTATGAATCACCTGGGATGCTTGTTTCAAATGCTGAGCAAGGGAGTCCAGGGCCTGGGAATCTGCATTTTTGGAGGTATCTCAGGCGTTTGTTATCGACACAAAATTTTAAGAACGACCGTGAGGACATTAGGGCTATTTTTACCTCCACCCCATTGGACAAAATTCTTTTTTAAAAAATTATTATTATACTTTAAGTTCTAGGGTACATGTGCACAACGTGCAGGTTTGTTACCTAGGTATACATGTGCCATGTTGGTTTGCTGCACCCATCAACTCATCATTTACATTAGGTATTTCTCCTAATGCTATCCCTCCCCCAGTCCCCTATCCCACAACAAGCCCCAGTGTGTGATGTTCCCCTCCCTGTGTCCATGTGCTCTTATTGTTCAACTCCCACTTATGAGTGAGAACATGTGGACAAAATTCTTAACAATCTATCAAATGTGTTTCAAATCTATTGATCCTTAGGTTTATCCAAAGATTCTTTAATCCTGATCACCTCTCGGGGTCATGAGCCATATCCTTTTTTTCCTCCCTGTGTAAGGTAGAAACGTTGTATTTATCTAAAAGCATTGTATAAAAACATCGTATTTGTCTTTCCCCAATTTTAATAGGGCAGCTATCTAATCTCACACTGATATCCCAGACTTTAGTGCACTGAGCCACTCTCACACAGGATCAAGCTAGAAGTGAGAAGATCTGGTCCGATTCTGCCACAAGATGCTGTGTGTCTTAGGGCACGTTGCCCAGCCTCTCTGACACCCTGTTTCCTTGTCTAAGCTGGGGCTGTGAGTGTTCACAGCCTTTTGAGTCTGCACATGCTCTAATTGAAGTCATGCTATAGACAAGGATCATGTGCCCTCACAGTCTTGTTTTTCAGCACTCAAAAGTCATGCTTCTATGATCATGAATTAGGTTCAGAAAGTGACAGAGTAAGTAGTCACAGGAATGTAAAGAGCCCTACCCCACTGAATCAATTGTGACTAAAACACTTTGGAATATAAACTTCTACAATACACACGTATAAGACATAATTACAAAAAAAAAAAAAAAAACAACAACAACTTGGGGGAAGAGTTAGTTGACCATATGAAAACTAGGGTGGACCTGTGAGGCCACATACCTGCTGTTCTCCTCAGACGGGGAAGTGTTTCAGGGTGGGGCGCCTAGGCAGTCTACTCTTAGGGCTGTGTAATATTAAACCCAGAAAATGTCTGGGTTGCTCTGTCAACAAATATTTATTGGTAGCCACTATATGCCGGGCCCTGTGCTAGGTATTGGGGGCCTGTAGGTGAACCCTACGGACAGACCCATTCTTTCACGGAGCTAACATTCTCGTGGGGAAAAGAGGTAATAAACAATTCTAATGATGAATCAGCGATAGAGGATAAAGGGAATCTGTGAGGGAAGAGGGGACATAAACGCTGGGAGGCTGGAAGAGCCCCTTACGTGTTATCCACTTGTCCAGACGCCATATTCATAGTTGAGAAAGATGAGGCAGAGACGGTAGTGACCGGCTTGAGCCTAGACTGCGCCAAGCTTGCCAGAGCAGAGCCGGGTGGAAACTGTCTTCCTGCAAAGCCAGGTTTTCCTTCACGGCCCCTCCTAATGATGTTTCTTTTCCTATCATTGTCGAGCCCTTAGAACCCCAGGATCGAGGGAGGGAAAACAAGCGCTCAAGCACTCCCTCGTTGGTCCCAGGACACAAGGCCTCGTCCATCTCACAAGGCCTCGTCCATCTCCCATCACACCCTAGGGCCCAGGCAGAAGCCCGGCGGGGCGGGGCCTCGGACACGCGCCGGTGCGTCCAGCAGGTGGCAGCAGCGAGCGGCCGCGCCCCCTGCGCTGCCAACCCGCGAGCCCGCATCATGGATGTCGAGCTCCCCTATTTCGCATTGCTAGCCCTGGAATTCGAGACCCCAGACGAGGACCAGGATTCATGAAATCAGTCGCAGGGGCCGGGGCAGGGGCCTCTGGCTCCCGACACTGGCCGAGAGGTGGGTTCCGGGGCGGGTCGCTGCTCCTTGAAGCCGGGCGGGGACGCGCTGCCCCCGCCCTGCCTCCCTGTGGTCCACACCCCCTTTGGGCTCCGGAGCCGCTGGGCAGGAATAGTCCGGGGTGCGCGCGAGCAGGCGCTGCCAACCCCACTTCTGCCCGGGATTCCAATCTGAGGAGCAGGAGGACCGGGGCGCCGGTGTCCTGCCGCCTCCTTCTCCTTGCTCTCACCTGCGCCTATTAGTCCACGCGCCTTCAAGGCCAGGGGCTACAGCCCAGACAGAGAGGGGACAGCAGAGGGAGAGAGAGCACCTGAGGATACAGAGCTGGCACTGGACTGCCTTTTCACCCCCCAGGTGATGAGTGAGGTTCGAAGAACGGAAGATTTAAAAAGCAGCCGGGGCCTCCGTATTGAATGAAAGACCCAGTGCAAAGACATCACCATGAACACTAGCAGTAAGTGGATCCTCCTCTCCTTTGCCATGGGAACAGGGGTGGGGGCGGGAGGTGAGGGAGCCTGCGCTCGGGCTGCCTGGAAAGAGGAAGGAAGCCTGGCATCTCTGGACACATGACCCCCAGGCTCTTTTTTGGTGCTTTCCGTGCTCCTTGGCAGAGGGATAGCTTCATGACTCTGGCTTTTCGTGATAATTTTGCCAATATTTTATCAGCGGCGCCGGCCGCCTCTCCTGGGAAGGCTGCTCGTCTCCTTCTAGCACTGCCTGGGAAGGCCTAGGAAGCAGTGTGTGGCCATTGTCTGACTGTGGGGGCTCTGAGGAGAACTCCCTGCACACATCTGGAAAACCATGGAGGGCCCTGCCTGTCCCAGAGGTGGGAAGAGCAGGGAGGCTGGCCTGTGGGCAGGCGGGAGGGTAGGTGGGTGTGGGCAGGCAGTGGGCTGGGAAGCCGCAGTTTGATAAACAAATAATCGCCAAGCCACCTTTGGGTCTGGAGATTGTGAAAGATCCAGCTCCCGAGTGCCTGCAGCCCGGTGGGCCCAGGGCTGGTTTCTCTATGTACCTGCAGGCTGGTTAGCTATCCTTGAGAACAAGAAGACAGGAACAGCCCTTTGGCCAAGGGCTCTAACATGCCAGAGGCAACAACTGCTTGCAGAGCCAGGACCAGATATTTTGCTGCCAGGTAGGGCCTCAGCTACTGAGAATGCAGTCCGAAATTCAAGAAGGCACAGTCTGTTTCTCTTCAATGTAGCGCTGTGACCTGGGAGGGCATATCTTGGTTCCAGACTCACTCTCCTGCCCTCTTGTCAGCTTGGCCTGTCTAGGTTATTCCAGCATCGCATAGGGCTGTTGAACCAGAGAACCCCTATGAACAGTCACTTCCCTGGGTCTATGACTTTGTTATCAGTCCCCTCTCTGCATCTCAGACTGCTCATCTGTATGATGAGAGGGGTTGAATTAGAAAGCCTTCTAATCGGCCAGGCACCGTGTTCCATGCCTGTAATCCCAGCACTTTGGGAGGCAGAGGCAGGTGGATCACGAGGTCAGGAGTTCGAGACCAGCCTGACCAACATGATGAAACCCCGTCTCTACTAAAAACACAAAAATTAGCCAGGTGTGGTGGTGTGGGCCTGTAATCCCAGCTACTCAAGAGGCTGAGGCAGGAGAATTGCTTGAACCTGGGAGGCAGAGGTTGCAGTGAGCCGAGATCACACCACTGCACTCCAGCCTGGGCGACAGAGTGAGACTCTGTCTCAAAAAATAATAATAATAATAATAAAAGAAAGCCTTCTAATCTAAGAATCTACACTTTTTTTCTTAAAAAGCTAGAGCTGAGCAACAAGGCCAGAACTATCAAGACCTTATTGAAGCTGTATCCAGCCAAAACCTACTATTTCCTCACACACCCCACCCCACCCCCACCTCCTAGCATGGAAGAGAAAAAAAAAAGCAAAAGCTACTGAGATGAAAATAAAATATATTTATTTACTACGTATTTGTATGATTCATCTCTCTGCTGTCTTCCTTTGTGTATTGCATATCTATGCTAAGCTAGCGAGTGTGGCTGGACTCCCTCTGCCTCTTACAGCCAAAGAATTTTGCCTTTTGATTTTGACAGGCTGGAATGGTGTTTTGGCTTCATACCAGGCTCAGGAAAAGAGGAAAATCCTGTAGCCTCTATCAGCTAGTGGGTCACATGTTTGCATTTGCATGTTTTCAGGCAAATAAAGATGTGAGTTGCCTGTCACTTCTCACTATCTCTAGGAAAAAAAAATGTATTTATGAGAGTCCTTTCCCACTAAGTGACAGAAAAGAAAGATGGCTCATCTATTTTTCAAGGAACTAAGAAAAGAAACAGGCAACTGACTCTGCCCTTTTCTCTCTCTGGAATGCTAAGGAACTCTTGTCCTATTAGTAACACTGAGTATTCCTGAAAGAAGGAAACAGACTATCCTTCTTTTAAGAAAAAGAAAGAAAGAAAAGAAAAAAGAATCAATAGAGTTGGATACTGCAGAATATGAGGACTGGCAAAAATGCCACTACTTTTTATAAGCAGGGAGAGTGTGTGAATTTTGCAGTAATGGAAAATGAACAGAGGAGAATGGCTCAGCAGCCTTGGAAGCCCTCCGGGTTCCCCCCAGGAGGAAGTGCTTCTCTAAACAGACACCTGGGGGACACAGCAAGCACAGAGCTTTGAGGGCTTAACTCCATCATCATGGAGGTACCTCCCAAACCCACGAGTCTGCAAATGCAGAGAGTAGACATCAGACCTCACAAGAAAAGGAGTAACAGAGCCATAGGGTGATATGGATAGGGCATTGGCAGGAGGTCCTTGGGTCACCTGACTAAGCAAAAAAGCTCCCCTTTGAGATGTGAAATTCTTAACTTGATCCTCATGCCTGATATTGTCCCTAATAGAAACTCTTGCTTAGTTTTTCTTTCACTTCTATTTATTTAGTCCTTATTCTCCACCAGCCACCATGCTAAGCACTCCCCTGATTGAGCTCACCAGACTGTCCCACCCAACCTGTGAGATGGGTGTTTTTACTCATTTTATGGGTGAAAATTTGAAGCTGTGTTCAGAAACGTTGTAGTTAATGCTCAGTGGCTTCTTCAAGTCATGCAGTTAATTGTTGGGTTATGAAAGGTACTTGGATGTGTAACACATTTGACACTGAGTACAACTCCTAATCAATGATTCAAATGTCAACACTGAAATAGAGGCAAAGCATGAGATTACAATCATCCCTTTGTACACATGGGGATTGGTAAAACTGTGCATACTAAGTCCTGCAGTCAGCCCTGTGGAACCTGCTTATACAAAGAGTCAGCCCTCAGTGTAGGCAGGTTTCAAATTCTGCAAATACTGTATTTTTTTAAATTTCAACTTTTATTTTAGATTCAGAAGGTACATGTGCAGGTTTTGTTACATGGGTATATTGCATGATGCTGAGCTTTGAGATACACTTGATTCCATGACCCAGGTACTGAGCATAGTACCCAATAGTTAGTTTTTCAACTCTTGCTCTCCTCCCTCCCTTCCCCCTCTAGTAGTGCCCAGTGTCTATTTTTGCCATCTTTATGTCCATGAGTACTTAATGTTTAGCTCCCACTTATAAGTGAGAATATGCAGTATTTGGTTTTATGTTCCTGAATTAATTTGCTTAGGATAATGCCTTACAGTTGCATCTATGTTGCTGCAAAGGACATGATTTTGTCCTTTTTTATGGATGCATAGTATTCCATGGTATAAATGTACTACATTTTCTTTACCCAGTACACTGTTGATAAACACCTAGGTTGATTCCGTATCTTTATTATTGTGAATAGTGCTGCAATGAACATATCAGTGTGTGTATCCTTTTGGCAGGATGACTTATTTTCTTTTGGATATATATCCAGTAATGGGATTGCTAGGTCAAATGGTATTTCTGTTTTAAGTTCTTTGAGAATTCTCCAAATTGCTTTCCACAGTGGCTGAACTAATTTACATTCCCATCAACAATGTAAAAGCATCCCTTTTTCTTTGCAGCCTTGCCAGCATCTGTTGTTTTTTGACTTTTTAATAATTGCCATTCTGACTGGTGTGAGATGGTATCTCATTGTGGTTTGGATTTGCATTTCTCTGATTATTAGTGATGTTGAGCATTTTTATTTTTTCATATTTATTCGCCACGTGTATGTCTTTTTTTTTTTGAGATAAGGTCTGGCTCTGTTGTCCAGGCTGATGTTCAGTGTAACAAACATGGAACACTGTAGGCTCAGCCTCCCAAGCTCAAGCGATCCTCCCACCTCAGCCTCCTGAGTAGCTAGGACCGCAGGTGGGTGCCACCAGGCCCAGTTAAGTTTTGTATGTTTATTTTGGTAGATATGGGGTTTTGCCATGTTGCCCAGGCTGATCTCAAACTTCTGGTCTCAAATGCTTCAGCCTCCTAAAGTTCTGGGATTATAGGCATGAGCCACTGTGCCCAGCCCACTTCTATGTCTTCTTTTGAAAAGTGTCTGTTCATGTCTTTTGCCCACTTTTTAATGGTTTTTGGGGGCGTGGGGTTTGTTTTTGTTTTGCTTGTTGAATTGTTTAAGTTCCTTATAGATTCTGGATATTGGTCCTTTGTCAGATGCATAGCTTTCAAATATTTTCTCTCATTCTGTAAGTTGTCTGTTTACTCTGTTGATAGTATCTTTTGCAGTGCAGAAACTCTTTAGTTTAATTAGGTCCCAGTTGTCGATTTTTGTTTTTGTTACAATTGCTTGCAAGGACTTAGTCATAAGTTCTTCCCCAAAGCCAATATCCAGAATGGTGTTTCCTAGGTTTTCTTCTAGAATTCTTATAGTTTGAGGTCTTACAGTTAAATCTTTCATCCATCTTGAGTTAATTTTTGTATATGGTGAAAGGTAAGGGTCCAGTTTCATTTTTCTGCATGTGGTTAGCCAACTGTCCCAGCACCATTTATTGAATAGGGAGTCTTTACTCCATTGCTTAATTTTGTCAGCTTTGTCAAAGATCAGATGGCTGTAGGTATGTGGCTTTATTTCTGGGTTCTCTATTCTGTTCCATTGGTCTATATGTCTGTTTTTGTAGCAGTACCATGCTGTTTTGGTTACTGTAGCCTTATAATATAGTTTGAAGTCAGGTAATGTGATGCCTCCAGCTTTGTTCTTTTTGCTTAGGATTGTTTTGATAATTTGGGCGCTTTTATGAGTTCACATGAATTTTAGAATTGTTTTTCTAATTCTGTAAAAAATGATGTTGCTAGTTTGATAGGAATAGCATTGAATCTATAAATTGCTTTGGGCAGTATGGCTGTTTTAATGATATTGATTCTTCCAATCCATGAGCATGGAATGTTTTTTCATTTGTTTGTGTCATCTCTGATTTATTTCAGTGGTGTTTTGTAGTTCTCCTCGAAGAGATCTTTCACCTCCTTGGTTACATATATTCCTAGGGTTTCTCTCTCTCTTTCTCTCTCTCTCTCTCTCTCGCTCGCTTGCTCGCTCTCTGTGTATGTGTGTGTGTGTGTGTGTGTGTGCATGTCTCTTGTAAATGGGATTATGTTCTTGATTTGGCTCTCAGCTTCAGTGTTATAGGTGTATAGAAATGCTACTAATTTTTGTACATTAATTTTGTATCCTGAGACTTCACTGAAGTCATAGTTTTTATCATGAAGGGGTGTTGGATTTTAGCAAAAGCTTTTTCCATATCTTTTGAGATAATCATATTTTTTTGTTTTTCATTCCGTTTATGTGGCGAATCAATTTATTGATTTGTGTATATTGAACCAACCTTGCATCCTGAGAATAAACCCTACTTGATATGGTGAATTAACTTCTTGGTGTTCTGCTGGATTTGATTTGGTAGTATTCTGTTGAGGATTTTTGCATCTATGTTCATCAGGAATATTAGCCTGTCATTTTCTTTTTTCATTTTGTGTAAATACTGTATTTTCAATCTGCCTTTAGTTGAAAAAGATCTGTGTAAGTGGACCTACACTATTCAAACCTATGTTGTTCAAGGGTCATCTGTATAAGAAATTCCTAATCACTTTATCTGGAGAAGAGGAGCACAGGGCTGTGGTCTTTGAGCAGTGATAAGAGTTGATAGAGTGCAGGCCCTGGAATCAGACTGTTCCAGGTTCCAGTTCTCATTTTTTTATGTGTTAGATGTGTGGTCTTCAGTATGGTTGTCTCATGAGCAAAAAATGAAAATGATGAGGCATACCTCAGCTGGGAATGGAAACCAAATGTTAATGTTTAGTGTAGTATGCAGAGTGTGGTACCTTGGCTGTGGGCACAGCTGGCATCATGTCAGTGATGGGTGGTCACACTGTCATGATCACTGTGGGCATCATTGTGGCTGTCATTGTGGATTTTATGACACTAGCAAGCAGGTCACGCAACCTCTCAGACTTCAGTCACATCCTTCTCATGAATTGAGAAGCACACCTGAAGTGTGATTTTTTAAGGATTAAATGGGATTATGAGGAGATGTTTTATAAACATTTGTAAATTGTTTTTACTAATAAAAAAATGCTTAGATTACAAAAACAAGAGCATGCTTAGTCAGTGGCTCTTCAGAGTGAATTTTAGTTTCATTAGAATCCTTTCTTCTGAAATCTAGCTGAATATTAAGAAAGGGGTAATTTTGGAGATGCTGGAGTGAGGTGGTGGGCAGACCTAGGTAGAGCACAGCAGGTGGGGTCTGGTCCTTATTCAGGAGAAAATAGACACCAAACATGTGAGCAGGACACCCCAGGCTTGGAAAGGCCTGGGCTCATACTGAGTCAGTACACTCGCTTCGCTGAAGGACTTCAGAGGAAAGGAGGGAAACTGGCCAATCATTGCCACTTTGTCTTCTGTAGGGTAGATCCAACATCCAGCCTTTCTTTCTCTCATGAACTCTCAACCTATTCCAAGGATCTCTCATTTGTCTCCTGACCTACTGAGGCAGCCTCTAACTGGCCTCCTTTCATCCATGCCAGCCCCCTTCAGCGATCGGCCGCATCCCTACTCTGTATCACACTCTGCTTAAAGTGAGGCTCCCATGCTCCCAGGGTGAGAAAGGAAACTCCTCAGCAAGCCTGTAAGGCCCGATGTGGCCTGCTCCTGGCCTTGCTGACCAGCCCCATCTTGTCTACAGTGCACAGTTCTCAGTGTCCTTGTCACATGTGCCTTCTCCCATTCCCTCTAAGGGTTTGCTCCTGCTGACTTTACATGCATGGTTCCTTCTGCCGAGAAAGCCCTTTCCCCACTAGCACCAGCCCCTCTGCCCAGCCCCACACTTCACACTTCACCAAGGCTGGCCTCCTCACCCTCCAGAGCATCAAGTGCACCAAGATCAATGGTACCACATACTGCTCCTACTCATTTTATAGGCTTCCTCCTGCCTCTAGCCCCTTTGTTGGTCTTTACCATGGATTTGTATGCTAACAAATTACTTTTTTAGAGTAGACTTTGTTCTGTTGAAGAGAGTATTGAAGGGTCAAATAACTCCCACAAAGATGTCATGGGATAAGTAGAGACCATGCTGGGACAGCAAGAACCTGAGCTTTGGGGTATGGATTCTCGAGTTCAAACTCAAGATCTATCATGTACTCTCTCTGTGGTCTTGGACAGAATAGATCATGTCTCTGAGCTAAATTTTACCATGTATAAAATATGAGCAATAAATGCCAAGGTGCAGGGTTCTTCTAAGGATTCAGCGAAATAACATTAGAAACTCACAGGCATTGGGTCTCAGTGAATGGAGTTGAGTCTGAAGTTGAGTTGACTGTTGAGTAAAGCAAAGTTCTGGAAAGATGGTGTCATTAAAACTAAATCCTCTGATTAAAAATTAGTCTGTTCTTCTGGTATTACAGTAGGTGATGGATTTTCTACATAGGAAACTCATAGCTCCCGGGAAGCCTACAGGAAGCTTATTAACCTGGCATTGTATATGGCATGGGTTGAAAAAGGGAAGACAGGAAGTTAGGATCCCAATTGTCCTAGTTCAGAAAACGTCTCGGGCCAAAATTTGGATGGTTATAAAACTAGAAATAAGGGGAAAAATCTTTTAGAAAATAAAGACTGCATGGCCTAGCCACTGATTGTTTTATAAGGCAAAGAGGAAAAGGAGGATTCTATTAGGTAGGGTCTTGGCAGAGAACAGATTGGCAGTTTGAGAGGAGTTAAATGGAAGGACTCTTCACAAGTGTGTGAGAAGGACATTAAGAAACAAACAAAGAGAAGCAAGCATGACCCAGTACCAGGAGCCTAGTAACTGTGGCTCATGACCCACTGCTACCACAACTGCCCCTAGCTGGACCCAGAGACCCAGCTGGCTATGGGGTGAAGGCTGCCTGACAGGAACTGTGGCTGTGGCCCCAGGAAGGCAGCCAGCCTAGTTCCAAGGAAAGAACTAGGAGGATAAATATCCTGATCCTCCTCTTCTCTCTCCCTCAGATCTCCTATGGGTACCTCCCATTGGTCAAATCCAATCAGGAGCCAGAGGGCAAGGAAGGCATTTGATAGGTTCATAATGGTCAGCAGCTTCCCAGGGCACAGTCCAGAGTAGGGAAGCAGGCAGAACGGATCTGGAGAGGTGAGGGAGTTCAGAATAGAAGACACCCAGCACACGGGGCATGATGACCTTCCTCTGCTAATGCCATTGCCCAGATCAAGAAATCTAAGGATCCCTGAAGACAGGATCCTGACACACAAGAACGCAGTAGGATGCCCTCTCTAGAAATTCTACATCTGCAAAACAGATAAAGTAGAAGTGATTATTTACTCCACAAGGATAGAGATTGTTTTAAAACAGTACTTCCCAAATGAATGAAGCAGTTGTTGACAGATGATTACCTGAGGCTAAGAAGGGGTTAGAGGAATAACGTAAGGAACAATTTTAAAATCACCCAAAATGACTATAACACATCTCAGAAAAATCACAACGTGATTTCAAGAGCACTTGGATTGCGTAAAGGAAGTGATATCAATTCTGAACTCCAGCTTTCCTATCTGGCAAAAGCTTTATCTTGCTGAGATAGCATCTGCTGTGGTGAACGGTCAACAACTGGCTATTACCCAACTTTAGGCAGAAACCATTGTAAAAGTACAGAAAACAACCAGAAGTATCTGAACACCTTCGACTTTCTGGGTATTTTGCCAGATAAATTCTTCCTTTGCAGTTCTTAAGGGCACAGACTGAAGTTAGGTTGCTGGACTCAAATTCTAGCCCTGCTTGTACTTTCTGTGTATCCTTAGGCAAGTCACTTACCTTCTCTGTGCCTCACTTCCTCATCTCTAATGATAATTACAAGGAGGCAAATAATAGTGCCTCTGTCAGAGAAGAGATATAAAGAATAAATAAGTTAGTTGTGAATTCCTTAAAACAGTGCATGGCACATAACAAAGGTTTCTGAAATAAATAGTATATATTAGTTTGCTAGGGCTACTGCACCAAAGTGCTACAAACCGGGTGGTTTAAACAACAGAAATGTATTGTTTTATAGCTCTGGTGGCTAAAAGTCCAAAACGAAGGTGTTAGCAGGGTTCCTTCTGAAAGCTGCGAGACAAATGTCTACTCGAGGCCTCTCCTTTGCTTGGAGATGGCTGCCTTTCTCCCTGAGTCTTTTCACATCACCTTTATCCATGTGTTTCTCTGTGTCCAGATTCCCCCTTCCACAGGGACACCCGTCACATTGGATTAGGACCCATCTAATGATTTCATTTTAACTTGTTTATCCCTGTAAAGACTCTATTGCCAAATACGGTTATATTCTGAGGTACTGAGGGGTAGGGCCTCAAATATGAGTTTGTGGGGACACAATTCAATCCATAATAGAGTGTTTGTTAAGGAAATGACTCCTCAAGGAGATTTTCTTGTGTTTTGGTTTCCCCTGAATGTCAGCCACTGTCCACACTAGCGTGAGATGCTAACAGTTGGTTACTAAATGCAAGTCACTAAGTTTATCTATCTAGTCTTGATGTTTAAACCCTCATTTTGCTATCCCTGACCCATGGAGGTAGACCCTCTCTTCCTAAGAATCTGAAGGGAAGTGCTCTTACATAGGAGGTCCCCACATGGGAAGACCCCAGTAATTTAGTATGTCCACAGCCAGTCTGTTTGCCACACTTTCCACCCCACCTGGTCATTTCTTACAACTGTGGTGTTTCAATAGTGTAAGGGAAGTTAGTCATGACATTCGTTTCCAATCTTCCTAGTTCCTGGGCCTGTCCAACACAGGGAATAAGAATTGGATTGTTCATTTGTTTATTCATCAGGTATTTACTGGACACCAGCTCTGCACTAAGCATAATGCTGGAGATACAACAGTAAATAGAACCAATGTGGCCTTTAAAATCATGGGTCACACAGCTGGGCAAAATGTGCCTCCTGGTGGCCAATGTAAAGGGACACGTCTTATTTGCCCTACACCAGGTTTTTAGTGAATTTGAATTATTTGCCAACAATGGGAAATTGGGAAATCAGAAGTGGGATTTCTGGCTCTCTTAAAAACAAAATGAAGTCGGAGGATTTTGCAGCCCTGACCCAATTTTTCTTCCTAACAGCAATCAATAGGATTGCCTGCTTTGGATGGGGTATATACTTAGTTTCTGGCTTGCCACAATTATCACTTCCTATTAAATTACACAGTGACAGCTTAATATTTTTATGTCACCTTGCCACTGCAGTCCAGTAGATGATCCATAAAACATCAAATATGTAGAAGTGATTCTTCACACAGAGATGTGGAAGCTGCAGCACATCTGTTAATGATTATGGGAGAAAATCCTGTCTGAAGTTAGCAATTGATTAACATTGCCATGATATTAATGTCCTCATGAAGTGAGCAAAACCCTGCCACATGTCCTTATTCCCCCAACTGACCCATTCCCAGAAGGGTGATGTCATATCCTGTTGGATACAGTTAGGCAAATAACAGGGCAAACAATATCCTGCCCTGACCTCCTGGAGGTCAGTTTTGTTTTCAGAGAACCTAGTAAAAGAGAGTAGGACACAGAACAAAGGAGGGCAATTCTGGATAACTGATCCCAGATCTGGGTACCTTTTCTAGCCCAAAAGAGGGCGTCTGAGGAGGCTGAACTGTTCCAGAGAATGTTCTGACATACGGGACATGCCTGGTCCAGTTGAGAACATCTAGTCAACAGCATGAGCTCTGTATGGGTTGGGTGAGTTTGATTACCCACCCAGCTAAGGGATGACTGCTGAAAGGCCACAACAATGATTGCATGTGGCTACTCACAACCTTTCCTCTGTCATTATAGAGTCCTCCTGCTTGAGAAAGTAGATCATGCCAACATAATTTCTTCTGTTTAGGGCAGATTCTTCCTTATTCCTCAGGAAGAAATCAAGGTAGCAAATAATTCACAGAAAGCAAAGCACAGTGTCTGGCACATAGTAGGTACTCAAAAGATAATTGATGAGTTAACGCATTCATGAAAAGCCCACTCTCTCTAATAAGCCCCAGGATAAAGATAGATAAAGATCTCTTTCCTAAGCTCTAGGGTCATCTTTCTGATCATCTGCTAAGATGGCTACTAGAATATTCCCAAGGCACTTCAAAATTTAATAAATTTACTCTCTTAAGAAAACAAAAGCAAAAAGCCTACCTTAGCTCTTACAGTCCTGGTTGATCTATAGAACCTCTATCTACCCAGTCATAAGTCAGTGATTAGAAAGCAGTCTTCTGAGACACTTCCCTTTCCTCCACTCTCCTGTGTTCCATCTGTCACCACATCTGGTCATTTCTACCTCCCAAACATGACTTGAACTCTTCCCCTCCTCAATGACCATCACTCCCTAATGTCTCCTACACCAGGCATGGCAGCCATTGGAGGAAGAGGTTAGGGGAGCAGGAGTTGGTCTCAAGTTCAGAAAGAGGCAACTGAGCAGTACGGCCTACAGGAAAAAATGTGATTTCAGGCCATATGGACAGGAGGTGAGAGTCCCACTCTGCAGACCCTGATCAGGCTCTGTTTGAAACATTATATTCAGGGAAGACAGTGATCAGCCCGTATATTCCCAGAAATGAGTGACCGGAACAGTGGAAGGACTTGAAACATGCTGGGGAGAGGATGTTGAAGGAACAGTAGGAAGACGCCAGGCAGCTCCACATGTTGGTTTTGTGTCTGCCTGAGAGTATGGATGGTCCCTCAGTGATTTCAGATTAGGTTTCACCTGGCTCCCTAAACATCTCTTAGGCCTTTTTTCTAAGGGTGTCACCAGACAGACAAGGAGAACATACAGGCTCCACATGCCGCCCTGCTGTTCCCAGGGGCTGTGGTGGCTGTTTGTGTGCCTGTGCTACAGCCCCACCTTCTCTCGCAGCAGAATGCTACTCTCTAGTGCCTCTATCATTTCCAAAGCTTCGTCCTCACATCTGCTTAATTTTGTGCAAAGCACAGATCTTTCTCCATGGGCTGTTACTCTTGCCCTCACCAGGCCAGCAGGGCCGATGAAGCAACTGCTTTGCAATAGTCTAATGACACAGCTGATCTATTTTAAGCACCTGAAGCACACTCTATCAAGTGCCAATCTTCCCGCTGCAAGTCACGCTCAGCTTGCAGCAGCAGGGGCAGCCCAAGGTCTATTCCTATGTTTTGAGATATGGGGAAACAGCCCAGGGATCCCAGCCCTGCCCGTCTGGTGATAGTCTAAAGCAACCATAAAATTAGATATTTTTCACAGTCAGCATGAGTTGTTCTCGAAAGAGAGTTGCCTGTGATGTTAGCATTATATGGTGCAGGAACCTCAGGTGATTATAAATCCCCCTTTCAACTGGCAGAGACAGAGCCTGGGCCTGTTACATGTAGGGAGAAGGAACTTGAGAGGCAGCATTTCAGGAACTGAAGCTCAATCCCCATCAGAAATTCCTTAGACTCAGACTAATGTTTTCTCCTCCTCCTCCTAATCCAGAGACTCTTTTCCAACTGCAGCCTGAGTGCAAATGTTTTACATCTATTATTTTATTTAATCCTTACAACAATCTTACATGGGCCTTCCTTGAATTCTGTGTCTAGGGAATATCCCCATGTTATATTTGCTCTCACTATTCTTCACAGAGCTTACCATAGTCAGTGATTATTTTGTTCATTAGCTCATTTTCTTTGTTTCTTTCTCTCATCCTCCTTTGACTATAAGCCACATGATGATTGTGTGACAAACCCTGTCTGTTTTGTTCACTGCTGAGTCCTGCACACTCAACATGGTGTTTGATGCAGAGTGATGATCACTTATAAAAGCATTTCTTGGACACATGAATGAGCCCACTTACGCTTCACAAGAGTCCTAGAAAGAGGACACTGACATTGTTCTCATTTTACAAAGAAGGAAATTGAAGCCCAGAGAAGAGATATTTGGCTCCAAATCACAAAGTTAAGAAAAGTGATGGAGCCTTGAGTGAATATGTGGATGGATTCATTTAATGAGGAATACTTCAATATCCTCATTTTACATAAAAGGAAAATGAGATTCAAAGGTAAATTGCCTGGATAAAGTCACATGAGCTAGGAAGCAGAGGAGCAGATGTTTAAACTGTGTTGGTCTGACCCTGAGGCCTCCTTTCCCTCCTCCCTGCTCCTCCTTTTTACCATCTTTTTGTATTTTTACTGTGATGGAGATCTCCAGGGGAAACATGGATTGGGATGGCTGATCTTCCCGTTGGATGCCCCAGCACTATTCACTCATTCACTCGGGCAGTGAAACAAATCTTCACGCTGTGAGACAGTGACATTCCATATTCTAGGCACCATGAAATCAATGATGCACAGGACAGAGAACTGGACCTCAGACTGCTTCCATCCAGCATCTTGGAGGGGCAGACAGAAGCATGCATGACTGTGATGTGAGATAAACCATGGCGGGTGCTGAGAGGGAAGGAAAGAGTACAGAGGAAGACAGGCCAAATTCCTCTGGAAGGCCTGGGAATGCTTGTTGGAGAAGGTTCCATTCAATCTGGTCCTTGGGGCAGGGAACAAACTTATGTTGTGTAGGGTTGAAGGAAAAGAAAGAGCAGTCTAGATGGGCTTACTCATTCCTAGGCAGGCATTCCACACACCCTAATGCACAATTCCTGAGTCCTGGGCCTTTGTCTGGGTACTGGGATGGAGACCGAAATAAAAAGACAGAAAGCCCTCATCGGGAACTGTTAGGAAGTCCAGTTTGTATACGCTAGAGAATATGAGTATGTGGACACTGAGAAAACGCTGGGAGTTGGTGAGGATCAGCTCTTTGAGAGGGTCAGATGCCACGCTAAACAGTATTTGTTACAATCTACAGCCAATGAGGAGTCAGGAGAGGTTTGGAGCCCAGTAGTGACCTGCCCAGAGCTGTGCATTATTTAGGAAGATCTCCCCAGCAACACATACCTCATGCATCAGAGGGCCTGGAGGCAGTGAGAGGCAGACCTAGTGCAGCAATGCAGTTGTGAGTGGATGCGAGGGAGAGTGTGGGGATGCAGGGAGAATGAGCTCCCAGTTGTTCTGCAGCCAAGCTGTGCATTTCTGCAACTATGCCCATGGGTGGGCTTGCTGTATATTCTAATACCTGGGACTGTGAAAACTGGTACTTTGAAAACTAGGTTATTGACCAAACTGAGAAGGCTAGATCGTATATTTGATAAGAAGTTGAGCTATAGAATCAGACTGCCTGGGTCCAAATTCCAGCTTGACCCTTATTAGCTGTGCCGCCTTCAGAGAGTTGCTTTTTACCAGACCCCCAAACGTCAGGTTCCTCTTAAGATGGGGATGATAGGTGAACTTTAAGTGAGTGAATATATGTGAGATGCTTAGCACAGTGCCTGGCACATGGAAAATACTCAGTAATGATTAATAGTGATAAGTAATGGAACACATTTGAATGTACTATTTTGGGAAAACCCCTTTTAAAGATACAAAATAACCAACACATGCTATTGTTATGATGTAGTCACCACTTGGTCATTCCACTAGGAAAGAAGAGTGGTATATATATTGGTAACACAGGACTTTTTAAGCTAACATTTAAGGAGCACTTATTACATGTAAGACCCTATGCAAACATTTTGCCTGTATTATCTCTTTCAGTTCTTGGCATGAGTCAGGTGTGAAATGAATGTTGGAGAGGGCAATTCTGATTAAGCAGGGAACATGTCACATTAGTCCAGGGACTGGCAAACCTTTCCTGTAAAGGGATTTGCAAGCCACACAGTCTCTGTGGCATGAAAGCAGCCATAGACAATGTGTAAAGAAATGGGTAGAGCTGTGTACCAATCGAAATGTATTTAGAAGAATAAAGGTGAAGGGTGATTTGGCCCGTGAGCCGGTTTGCTGACCCCTATACTAAATGACCTCGAAGGTCTTTTGCAACTTTGAGATTCTAGTCTGAGATTCTAGTCCAAAATGATGACAAAGAAATGTTCAATCCTTCTAATTTAGTTTATCTCTGTAATCACAAGGGGTGTTACTTCAAATAAGATAGAGAAGGTCATTGGGAATAGACACAGAGAGGACCAGAAAGCGTTCCATTCTTTGTGTTGCCTTCATAGTCAGCACACCTCATTAACTCACACTCTGATATTATATGAGTCTTCTCAAGTGGCCATTAAATGACAAGCTGCACAGGCTGCCCTGGGATCTGCAGAGTACACAGTTCTTCAGAGGCAGAGAATGATACTCAGACCAGAGACTTTCACATTTGGGAAGGAACATACAGGACAATATTCCATGCCAACACTTCAGTATGCGGAGCAAATCCTCCCCCTTTGCTCCCGATTCACATTTCCTACTCACAGCCCACATGCCTTGTAGCCTAATATGATAGCCAGGGTGTCTGCTCAGCATGTTTTATCCTTCCTCCTTCTGATTCTTTATAAGAATTTCTCTCCATCTCCTTGTCATACTAATGGACTGTCACCATGGTGTTCTGTCCCCCACCCCCCGCCCCTGAGAATGACATATGACTTATGCTAGCCAATCAGAGTTTCCCATCCACCTTGGCCACAAGGATTTGCTCATCAGTGGAAATTAAACCCAAGACAGGCCAATCAGAGTATTCCCTGGAATTGGATAGGGAGATATTCAGAAGAAGAAGTGTTTATTCCATTGAGATTGCTGAGCTAAGGAGAAAAGAGTGTGGGAATACCAGTGGCCATGATTGTCAAACATGAAGAAGCCATCTGCAAAATAAAGTCTTAGCTCTGACCGTATAGGAAAGCCCCTAATCCAGCCATACCTGAAGGCAGAGCCACCTCAGACCCCAGACTTCCCAGTTGCAAGAACCAACAAACTCTCTTTTTGCTTAAACTGGTTTCCACTAGGTTTCTGTAAAGTACAACTGAAAGGGTACCAACAAAGGCACTTTTTAAAAAGCATTATTTCCAGTTGGCAGTTGCCCTTATAATGACCTCTTATTTATCAACAGCCCAGCCATCTTTAGGCTTAAATATTCTTCCACCCTGCTACCTCTCATTCACTCCTGAAGTGATTTTATTCCCTCCTCTGAAGTCCTTGGCCCTTAGTTTAAAACATTCTTATAATTACAGGTCATTTGCTGTGAGTCAACATAATTTATTCATGTGCATTTCTTAGTGCCCTCTTTCAGATTATAAACTCCTTGAAGATAGAAATCACGTGTCTATGGGGTATAATGTATTTGTTCCCCAACTGCAAGCCAAAGATCACTGTGGAGCCATGGAATTATTGCTGGAGCTTACAAATCCATGTGTGCTCCTAATTCAAATGCATAATGCCTGTCAAATGAATGTGTTTGAAAAAAGTTAATATGGCAGAAAGCTAACATGTAAGTATTACTTAAATGTAATACTAATATACAGAGGATAACAAATATTTTTTATGTTAAAAAAGGAATCCTCAAATGATCTAAATGTGGTTGCATGGTTGTATATATATGTAAAACACTTTGAGCTGTATATTTAAGATTTATATACTTGACTCTATGCAAGTTATGCCACAATAAAAAGTAAAAAATAAAATAAAAATAAGAAGTCCTTATACTTGACAAGTCTAGTCAACCATCACTAGTACTGTTACAAGATCAATACCAATACACTAAAATTAATCCAGGATAGATCACTGACCTAAATAAACCAAAAGCTAAAATTACACAGCTTCTGCAAGAAAATGTAGGAGAATATCTTACAACCTCAAGGGAGGCAATGACTTCCCAGAACACTAAAATTTGTAAAAATGGGCAAGAATTCTAACAGACACATCACATGTACAAATGGTTAATAAGCACATAAAAAGGAGCTTAACATCATTAGTCATGTTAAATGCAAATTAAAACCACCTTTTTACAGCCTCCCAAATGGCTAAAATTCTGGTGAAAATGTAAAATGGCACAACAACTATGGAAAACTGATACAGTTTTATAAAAATTCAACATACACCTACCTATGATCCAGCAATGCCTCTCCTAGATATTTCCCTGTGAACGATAAAAACATATATCTGCAAAAAGATTTATGCAAGAATGTTGCTGTCAGCTTGATTCAAAATAATCCAAAGCTGGAAACAACCCAAATGTTTATATATAGACAAATGGATAAACAATCTGTGATTATATTTACACAATGGCATACTATTCAGCAATAAAAAGGAACAAACTATTGACACATGCCAAAACATGAATGAATCTCAGAAACATGCTGAGTAAAAGAAATCACACATAAATGAGGGCATACTGTATGATTCCATTTATATGGAATTCAAGAAGGCAAAACTAATCTATGTGGACAGAAATTATAACAGAGTTTGCCTTTGACTGGGGGAGGGGTGATTGATTGCAAAAGGTTGCAGCAAATTATCTAGAGTGATAGAAATATACCTTATCTTGATTAAACTGTTGTGGGCTATACATTTGTCAAAACTTATTGTATTTAAAATCTATATGTTTCATTAATTGCAAATCATGCCCAATTTAAACATATATGCGTGTATCCCCTTAAACAGAGTATGTGTGTATATACCTATTCCCTTAGATAGAATAGGCTTGCAAACAGAAGAACTAACTTGAGATCTCAGCTCTCCTGCTAACTCTGTGACCTCTGAGGCCAGTATCCTTATCAGTTCTATGGCTCCATCCTATCAGCCTTGCTTACCTCAAAGAGCTGTTTCAACTATGTAACACCTGTAAAAATTTTTGGTAAACCTTTAAGCGTCGTACAGCTCAAGAACCTCCTCTCCAACTTATTTTGTGCAAGCATCTCCCTGGCCCTGATGTTCTAGCTGCACTGGCCTCCCTAAACTCACCATGTGCTTTCTAGCCTCTGGACCCTTCCTTGCAAATGCTGTTTCTCCATCTCATTTGTACTTATCCCTGGTTTTCCACAAACAGCCCTCTCCCATCCTTGTAGTCTCAGCTGAAATGTTTTACCTTTAGATTACCTGTCCCCACCCCTTATTTATTTCCTTCATTCTACTTGTCACACTTTGTAAATATCTGTTTACTTGTCACAGACCCTTCCCACAGAATGATAAACTCCCAAAGCATAGCAAACATTAGCAAACAAGACTGTTTTATTCACTGGAGTATCCCCAGTTCTTAGCACATAGAAATTACCCAGTAAGGCTAGGAACAGTGGCTCACACTTGTAATCTCAGCACTTTGGAAGGCCAACGTGGGTGGATCGCTTGAGGTCAGGAGTTCGAGACCAGCCTGGCCAACATGGTAAAACCCCGTCTCTACTAAAAAAAATTACAAAAATTAGCCAGGCATGTTGGTGCACGCCTGTAATCACAGCTACTCAAGAGGCTGACACAGGGAATCACTTAAACTGGGGAGGTGGAGGTTGCACTGAGCCAAGATTGCACATCTGCACTCTAGTCTGGGCGACAGAGTGAGTGAGACTCCGTCTCAAAAAAAAAAAAAAAGAAGGAAATTACTCAGTAAATATTGATGAATAAATAATTGTGCCAACAAACATGAACTTTGGTTTATAAACTTTGTAACCTACTTGTGCTGATTTGGGACTTTCTGCTTGGAGCCAGGTCTTCCCTAGGGCATGGTGGGTGCCAAAAAATGACCCCAGGTTAAAGTTGGTGTCACTGTAGTGTGCTCACTCAGGAAAAGCTTTTTGTGTCAAGGGACTCAGGAAAGGCTTAGGACATCCTGTGCTTTGGAAGACAGAGACACTTTCTAGTTATGGCTATACTTGATGGCCCATCTGTTGGGCTGTAAGCTGGGGGTTCTGTGTGCACCTCCAGGCTGGGAAGAATCTGAAGTACACACAGGCTAACTGTCTAACATGGGGGAATTGTCCTCCATCTCCAGGGCCCTCCTCATCCCAGGCCCAGCAGTGGGCCCAAGAGCGAGTAGAATGAATGCCCGTGTTCATATCATCTTATTCAGCTCCTTTCCCATCTCTCGGCCAGCCATGGGGCTTCTTAGCCCTAATCCCCTCCCTCTATCTCTTCCCAATAATCAGACCACCTTCTTTCTTGGGTTTTCCGGGTGTGGATGTGGCTGCCCTCACCCAGGCCATTTCTGTCCTTTGAGTTAGTCCCAGGTCCGGAGCCTGTCCTCTAGCCCAGGGCACCTGGGCATCACCCACAGCTCATCTGCCCGCGGGAGCTCTCTGAAACCTTCTGTTTACAGTGGAAAGTGTTTGCTGACCTGGATTGTTTTGGGTCTGTGACATCAGTGCTATGGGAAATGCTCCTTAGCCAGTAGCAAAGTCCACTTGAGGGTACACACTTAGAGAATGATCCGGGAAAGACTTAGGGACTCCGAGCTAGGTGAGAAGTCCACCCTTCCCTCCACCTACTTCCTCCATGGCCAAAATTCTGCCTTCCCTCTCTGCCTGGCTGTCTCTCTTGAAATCTGTATTCTTTTCAGCAGATAATGTCAATAAGCCCTTTATGTGAGTAGGATTTGGAGCTTCTCTGTTTCTCATCTGAAAATCTGCCCTGTGCCAGTGAGTTTGGGCCTCTGGCCCACACGTTAATTATTGTACCAGGATTCCTGGAGTCGACTGGGGACAGAGTGCCTCTTTGGTTAGAAGAGGGGTATTCTGGCAGTATTTCTTTTTTGAGGCATTAATCTAGCTTAGAGAGGCTGAGCAAGTGAAAATCGTTGTGTGTTCCTTTGATATTTTTTCCTTTCCTGTTTGAATGCCACACTTAGCTGGGGTTTGGGAATCAAATGTTAATGAATCTCTTGGGGTTTCTTGAATTTAATTGTAATAGTCATTTTTTCTGCCATTAGTACCAAGGAAAAAAGCCAATATTTTAGGGCACAGAATGGTAGAAAGGGGTCTACTTTGTGTGTGTGTGTGTATGCGTGGGCTGTGTGTGTGTGTGTATGTGTATGTGTGTGTGTGTGCGCCTATAGAGAAAAGAAAGCTTACTGAACTAGGAGTCAGAACACCTGTGTTGAAGTTTGGGCACATTCCCCAATTCCCCAAGCCTCAGTTTGCTCATCTATAAAATAGCCGGAGTGATCCTTGCCTCACCTGATTCGTGGTTGGTGATGATCAAATGAGGCAATGAATGAGAAAGCCTTTGCGTTAGCCTCTGTTTTGCTGGTTATTAAACAGATGCCTTCCTCCCTTGACTGTTCTTTGAGAATAAAGCCAGAAAAGATTTGAATTGCTTTTTTTATTACTTTTGGTTGCTGGCTGTGTTTCTTTCAATCATTAAAATTTAATACAACTCGACACAGAAATTGAGCACAAGACAAACACAGCTTTATTGGGGTTATAGGTAAATGGGGCAAGGTAAAAAGACTCAGTTCATTGTGGGTCTAGTGTCCTCATATACAATTGTCTTAATTTCAAAATATTTCATCCCACTGTTAGGCCATGCATCCCTTCATGTGTTTCAGTATCTCATTCCAAAAGCATAGTCTCTACAACTAAATGATGATCAAAAGAGACACAGAATAGTGACCATAGGATAGAGGCTTTGCTTCTTCTCTTTGTGTCTGGAAGGGCGTGAGCAATCCAGACCAGAAAGAAAGAAACCTTTCATCATGCCCGTCAGAGCAGGTGACTCATTTTGGCCGACAGACCCACAATTTCACCTTTCAGTTCCTTTTACAACTCCCAGATGAATGGTGCTGTCACCAGGATTCATCAGTATCTAGATTGGGAAGAACATCCTGTGTGCCCCTCCGTAGGCCTCATTTTTTTGCCAGTCCCCTCACTCAATGCTTTTGACACTTTTCAGCTGCTGCTTAGACAGTTTCTCCTGATGGCTAACCTGACCAGGGCAGTGGGGCATGAGCAGGCAGGACTTCTCCCTGCTGAAAGCCACCTGCCTCAAAATGTGTTTTCTAGGACGCGTAACCCAGCTGAACAGGAAGCATCTCTGGCGTGTCTGTTTTGGAGTGGGAATCTCCCAGTGTGGAGAGGGAGCAGGATGCATTGGAAAAGAAAGGAGGCCAGTGAGGCTGCTTTCTCCTGCCGGAGGGGAGCAGGGTCTGCGACAGGCTGGGCAGGCCAACAGGGGCCAGAACACACAGGGCCTTGTGGACCATGGCCAGGAGTCTGGCTTTATCCCAAGGGTGGAGTGAAGTCATTGAATGGTTTTAAGTTGCCACTGGAGGTGGTGGGAGTCCGGGTTAAGCATCATCAGATTGCATTTTGAATGTATCCCCCTGGCTACTGTGTGTAGAATGAGTGAGGAAAGGAGACCACTCCTTACAACATGTTGGGATCCTCTAAGCAGCAGATGATGGGGCTGGGACTTGGGAAGATAGGGCAGGGCACCTTCTACTCCAGGGCCATTGCATGGTCCTGATTCCCTGACAGCTTTTATATCCTTTATGCTATTTAAAATAATTATTTACAGTCTATCTTAGTTAGCTAGAGCTGCATAACAAAATACCACACACGGGGTGGCTTAAACAATAGGAATTTATTTTCTCACAGTTCTGGGTTCTAGAAGTCCAAGATCAAGGTATGGGCAAGGTTGGTTTCTTCTGAGTCCTCTCTCCTTGGCACATAGGTGGGCATCTTCCCCCTGTGAGTTCCCGTGGCTGTCCCTCTGTGCTTGCCTGTGTCCCATCCCCTCTTATAAGGACACCAGTCATATTGGATTAGAGCCTATCCTAATGACCTCAGTTTGACTTAATTTTCTCTTTAAAAACCCTATTGCCAAATAAAGTCATATTCTGAGGTACTGAGGGTAGGGACTTCATCATGTGAATTTGGGGGGTGAGAGAGACAGGGACAGGAGGACCCAATTCAGCCAACATGGAGTCCCTCCTCACATTTTCTCTTCCCCTAATTTCAAGTCTGTGCTTATCCATCACTGTCTGGAGGTGTCTCTGCTTCCTTTGTTGCTGCTTTTAGGGAAGATGGTTTTTCCCCAGGTGAGCCCTTCTTGTTGGTCACACAACAAGTCAACATTTTGTATTTCCAACATACTTTTTTATTGGATTTCCTATAAAGGGTATTTAGATAGTCTTTAATATTTCTATTATTTTTTATTGCCCACCCCCCTAAAGCATGGTAACCATGTTATATGTAGTAAAAGTTGCATAACCATTTGACGGGTTTCATTTGGGTTTTGTTCTTCCACCAGAATGGTGGGCCTGACTGTGTTGTGATTTCCATTACAGCGTTGTTTAGCCACAGAAATCTCCTGTGCTGGTTGTTTCGTGGGAACGAGTGTGTTGCATTTGCCTTCCTTGCGGGCTCAAGAATACCTGTTGTGAGAAACAGCTGTCACATTTATGCTGACCAAAAACTTAACTCCTCAGCTCACCCCATAGGTGTGTCCAAATGTTTGTTGAGTGCCCACAAGAATACTCCAGGGTACAGAGAACTGAGTAGCATCCCTCCTCAAGTAATTTGAAGTCTGATAAAGATATAAAACAAATGAAAAAGTAGGTACATTATAGGTAAACTATGCTGTAGGTCAGTGGTTCTCAAAATATAGTCTCCAGACCCACAGGATGAACATCATCTAGGAACTTGCTGGAAATGCACAGTTTCAGTCCTTACCCTGGACCCCCTGAGTCAAAAACCCTGGGTCATGTGTTATAACAAGACATCCAAGGATTCTGATGCATACTCGTTTGAGAATGCATCAGGATTGAGAATGCATCCGTTTGAGAACCACTGCTTACCCATAAGAAGCGCATGACATGAGATTTTTAAAGAAAGCTCATATTTGGAGAGGGAGGAGGGGAGAAGCAGGAAGTATTTCTAGAAGTATGTTGCATATGAGATAGGCCTTGAGGAGTGGGTAGGATTTTTATATTTATATGTAGATGATCATATTTACTGTAATTGCCATCTGTATGTTTATGTATTTCTTTTACAAAAGTAATTAACAGCCTGGACTCTAACTTGAAAGATCTGCTAGCTGTCCCTTTCTTGCATTTTAACTGGCTCACTGTGAATCGAGGCTTCCATCAACATATGCTCAGTTGTAGAACTGGTAATTATGGTTGGAGGCTTTTTGTTGGAGGACACATTTCATTCCAAACATAGTTTCTGAACATAGCTTGAATTGAAAGTAGAGATTCTACCTCTATATACTTAAGACAAAATCAATTCAAAGCATCCTTGAATCTCACAGTGGGAAGGGGCCTTCAAGGTCATCTAGTCTAATAACCCAGGCAAATAACCTCTGAGCAGGCTTTGTAAAATAGGTATAATCAGTTCTTCTCTAGCCCACTGAATGATTCTGTATACTTCTCTAGCCCATTGAATGATTCTGTAGCAAGAGTGGATAAACTATGGCTCAAGGGTCAATTCTGACACACTACCTGTCTTTGTATATAAATTTTTATTGGAACACATTTTTGGGAATACATTTATGCATTGAATTGAATACATTTATGTATACATTTTATTGGAATACATTTATGTATTGTTTTTGGTTGTTCTTGCACTATAATAGTGCAAACCTTTAATCTCCTCTTTAAGACTTTGTATTAGTAAGAACTCTTAGAGTACAAGTAACCAAAACCCAGTTCCAACTAGCTCAAGTGAAACAGGAATCTATTGGCTCCTAAGCCTTTGAAGTCAAAAGAAGATCTCCCTGAAGTAGCTGTTCACTTGATATCATGCATGTGGTTCCAAATGGATTGTCTTTTGTATGTACGCTGCCCTAGTCATGTCTACTGCACCTCCTGGAAAGACCTTTCTCCCTGCTCACTCATTCTGATTACTTCTCCTCCCTTCACTACTCATGTTTATTTCATTCCATTCCATCCACTCCTCTAAGTGCAGATCTTTCTTCTGCTGTGGTGGCATCAGCAGCTGTCCTGTGAACACTAGGCTGAGAGTCACAAGTACCGGGTGCTAGTCCTGACTATGCTATTGAATAACAAAAATATGAGATATGATGTTAAGATACTTTGAAAATCAAAAACCCCTCAAAGGGTTGCTTTTATTTGCTTAGAATCTAAGCATATTTAACCTGGCAATGGCACCAAAGTTTATTTTGTCCTCATGGCCTGGGTGAGAAAATGATCCATAAATGTGTTTTAGTTGGCTCACATAGTATTCTTTTCGTTTATTTTTTAAATATTTGAGCCAAGATATAAAAACTGGGAGTTTTACTTTAAAATCCATATTTCTGGTTTCACTGAGCCCATGTCCCCACCTGGTAGGAATCAGTTGGAACTGAGTAGGGGCTGTGCCTGTTTAGTCACAATCTCCCACTCCCTTTGTCTTATCCCAACTGATGTCACTTACTTGCATGACCTACCCTTGAGCACTTAGTCAGTGCTCCCTGACTTAATACAGTCATGCATCTGACTCTCAAAGGTCTGATTCCCATCTGTCTTGGCATAGTGATCATGCAGCCTCTGCCAGCTTCCCACATGGAGAAAGCTCACTACCTAGAGAAGCAGTTATTTCATCCCTGGGCAGCTCTGGCCATTGGGAAATTTTCTCCTGTATGTTCCATCCTCTTCAGCATTCCAAAATGGGTAAGTGACTTGCCCCAAGTCTCCCAGTATGTTAGAGAATTAGAAGTCTCAGTATGGCTCACCAAGCTAGTGGTCTTTTTACCCCACCTGATGGAAGTATGTTCTTTCCCACCTTTCTTCCTCACTCTTTAACCCCCAGTCTAATTTAGAGACAAAGAGTACATTTAAGAAGTCATTTGACATCAGGTTTAGTTTTTACTGAACTCTTTGCCTTTGCAAACATTCTAAAGAATAAAAGTTGGCAAACTTTCTCTGTAAAGGACCACATGGTGAGTATCTTAGACTTTGCAGTCATGTGGTCTCTGTTGCAACTACTCAACTCCACTATTGTAGCCTGAAAGCAATCATAGATAATATGTAAATGAGTAAGCAAGACTGTGTTCCAATAAAACTTTATTTACAAAGACAGTTAGTGGGACAGAATTGTCCCTGAGCCATAGTTTGCTTATTCTTGCTGTGGAGCCATTCAGTGGGCCAGCAGAAGAGGTGTTTGTCTATGTGGGGTGTCCTGATGCCACCCATCTTTCAAGAGCCAGCTGAGATGGAGCATTTACAAGCAACTTGCTCTGATTCCTCTTCAAGGTGTTATGTCTGTAGCATCAGGATTTCTAGAGTACAACAGCTTTTGAAGATGTTCCAGGAATCCCTGAAAGTCCCTGAGACCCCTTGAGGAGTCCACAAGATAATACTATTTGCATAATAATTCTAAGAAGTTATTTGCCTCTGTCATTCTCATTGTTTTACTACAGTGGAGTTTTTTAGAGGTGATGTGTGATGCAGCCATCACCCTGATGGCTGTTGGAATCTGTGCTTGTGTATTTTTGTTTTTAAAAAATATCTGATATGATTTCTAATATGATAAATATTTATAGATGTAACCCATCTAAACAGAAGCTCTTTAGAGTTTGCAATAAAACTTAAGAGTACAGAGGAGTGCTGACACCAAAAAGTTTCAGAACTGCTAACATTGCAGTATCCTGACTATGCTTTTCTTACCCTACAAGACACTTCTCATCTTGTGGTATAGATTTTTCAGATGGTCTCAACAAGGATGTCATTTTCTTACAGACAAGAGCTATACTAATCATTGTGTTTTTTAATTGCACATGAATTGTACAAAGTAAATTATTTTTTAAATGTTTCTTGTAAACCACAGTGTGCTAGGTATTATGCTCAGAATTAGGACTAGAGAGATAAGCTCAAGAGATACCGTCCCTGCCCTCATCAAGCTTAGAGCCCAATGGAGGAAATAAACATTAAGCAAATAAGCACAACTAATGATACAAACACATCCTTGATTGCAGTGCAATCAACAGAGAGTACCCAGGACTATGGGAACCAATGAAAGTAGGGTTTATACTCCTGAGGGAAGTCAGAGAAGGGCCTTTGACCTGAGATCTGTGGGATGGAGGGGATCCATGGAAAGTAGGATTTCTCAGCTTAGCACTGTGAATTTTAGACTAGATAATTCTGCATTAAGGGGAGAAGGAAGAACTGTCTTGTGCATTGTAGAATGTTTAGCAGCCTCCCCAGCCTCTACCCACTAGATGCCTATAGCACACGCACACATACACACACACCATTTGTGACAACCAAAAATGTCTTCAGGCATTGTCAAATGACTGCTGGGCAAGAGATAGGGGTCAGGGAATTGTCCCCAATAGAGAACTGGTGAACTAGAGAAGAGATGCGGTAGAAGGCTACTGTGGTAGCCCAGGTGAAAGATGCCTGTTGCTGGGCTATGGCTGGAAGAGATGAAGACAGTAGGCTGAGCTCAAGCGCTCTGTAAGGGACTGGTCTATATGGCTTGGTAATGAGTAGGCCAGGAAGGGGAATATGAGGGGCCAATGATGAATCTTAATTTGTCATGTTGAAGGACTGACTTTGGTTTGCACAAGTGACACCATCACATGCTGGCTCTGAAATCTGAAGGGACAGGGCTCGGAAGACACGACGGAGTGAGGAAAAACACCTTTGCCCATCTGCCCATCTCTCTGCCAGCATAGCCACCTGTGTTGTTCATCTCTGCCTGATGGGAGATGGCTTTAATAACAGACCAAAAACAGCTCTTCCTAAAAGGAACAACAACTTTAGAAAAGAAAAACCATCTGCCAGGGCTGAGTGCATAAAGTATGTGTTTAATCTAGCTGTATTGGGACATTTTTTCAATGCCAGTTGACTTTTTTAAACATTTGTGAAAGTTGGCAAACACATCAGAGAAAATATACTTTGTAATATTTGAAGGATATTGGCACATGATATGGTGACAGCGCTTTTGATACACATTAGTATCAGATATCAAGATTTCTAAAATTCTGTCAGTGCTGAAGACTGTGTGAAGATCTTCTTTCTAGTCTAGCCCAGGATTTCTTGACCTTTAGTGAGAAAAAGAATCTCCAGAGGAGCTTGTTTAAAATGTAAAGCCCAATTCAGTAAGTCTGGGGTGGGGCCCAGGAATCTGTATTTTAACAATCCCGCTCCCCACCCCGGTGATTCTGAAGCAGGTGATACCACTTTGAGAAACACTCATACAGTAAAAGCACCTTGAAGGAATCTGTTCCAGTTCCTTCCCACCACTGACTTTGCTGTAGGACCCCCCCACCCCCCGTCTCACCCTAACTCTCCTTGGCTAATTTGTTCATATCCAGAGCTGGTCCAGAAAGCTTTCCTAACTGCGTAGACGCTAGAATGTTTGCAGCGACAAGCGACAGCCCCCAGCTAAAACTGGCTTGAACAATCTAAACACATTTATTTGACGTAACAGGAAACCCAGAGAGGGCCAGTTCCAAGGTAGGCTAATTCAGAGACTCAGCAACACCATCAAGACCCAGATTCCTTCCATCTTAAGGGGATCTCCCCTCAGAATCTATCATGGACTCCAGGGCTGCAGTTCCAGCATCACATGTGGATAACAACCTCCATCCAAGAAAACCTTCCCAGGACCCTCTCCCACACCAGGGGACCTCCCTGGTGTCTCATTAGTCAGGAGTATTTCACATGTCTTTGCTTAAATTAAATCATTAGCAAAGGAACGAGATTACTGGGATCAATTTTCGCCAAACAAGATTCCCTCCCCAAGTCAGGAAAGGTCACAACCTTTCTCAAAAGACATGGCTGCTCAGGGGAGAGTAAACAAAAATTGGTTCCTCCAGTAAAGAGAGAGTCTGTTCACAGAAGAAGGAGTGGCTGCTGAGAAGCAACTGTGTCTGCCACAATACTCCTCTTCCTCTCCCACCATTCCCCCACTGGAGGGTGAGTCACATGAGAGCAGGGGCCATGTTCACCTGGTTCACCATTCTATCTTCCACAAGATGCTATGGCTCATGTTAGATACAGGAGGTGTATCAGCATGAAGTGGTCCTGAAATGTTTGTTTAATTTAAATTAATGGAAGATTGTGATTTTGATGGAGAACTGTGAGTAATTAGGACATAAATTAGTTTATTCCAAGTGAAAAAATCCTAACTCAAACTAGCTCCTATCTCTTTTTTTAACTTTTATATTAAGTTCAGGGGTACTTGTGCAGGTTTGTTATATATGTAAATTTGCGTCATGGGGGTTCGTTGTACAGATTATTTCCTCACCCAAGTATTAAGCCTACTACCCACTAGTTATTTTTCCTGATCCTTCCTCCCACCCTCCAGTGTACTATATTGGTTTGTATATTGGGAAGCACAGTGGCTTCAGATCCAGGAAGATCCACAGACTTAAATGATGCATTCATTCAGGGTTCTGTTTCTCTCTCTCTCTCTCTCTCTCTCTCTCTCTCTCTCCTTCTCCCTCTCTCTCTCTCTCTCTCCGTCTCTAATAGGTTCTCTCAACATGTGGAGCAAGATGGCAAAGGAGCCCCAGACTACCTCCTCTTGGCTTAGCAACCAGGTGGCTTTTCTAAGAGCTCTTGCAGAAAAGCCTCAGAGAGAATTAGGTCATATGCCTGCCAATCATACGGAAAGGGGATTGGGCTGTTCTAATTGGCCTAACCACTACTCGCCCACCTCATACTGGGACAGGCCCCACCCAAACCCCATGGAGTGGTTTCCCTACAGGAAAGAGGTTCTATTGCCAGATGAAGCAGAGAGCAGATGCTGAGCAGGCAAAACAACAGATGTCCACTACATTTGTGGGTGAAAAACGCTGTTTGCAGGGCATTATACATGGGCCAAACCATAATTGAGAACTCCTTGCTGATACTCACAGAGATTAAATATTTCCCCCAGACTACACAAATTCAGTTTGAAACTTTGAATGATGCTTTGTTTCCTAAAGATAAAATGGAATGTTCGTCCGTTGATTTGGGGGGAGGATCTTTAAATTCTCTTATCTCAAAGATGTCTCAAAATATTCCTTATCTTTCCTCCTACTGTCTTTTGGTCTTTTTCTTCTGTATTTTTCTTGGTTACTTATTATGTCTTGACTTCTTAGTCCCATGTGTCATGTACCAACAACTTCATAAAAAATTAAAATGCCATCTCTCCATGGTACTTTCCCTAATTTTTCTTTCTCTCTCCTCCCCTTCCTAATCAGGAATAATTCATAAAAATCATCTCACTTCATGTATTGTCCTCTCTGATTCTTTTACCAAGTTCTACCTTAGATTGTAGCTATTTGTGGGTATAATTTAGTCATTTAGTCAGTCATTTATTTGAAACATATAAATTGAGTGCCTATAGTACTGGACTTAGCATTAGAGATGCAATAAAAAGCAATCTCCCCTACCCTAGCCTGGAACTTCCTTTAGGGTAGAAAGTGTTTTTTCTTTATCTTTACATCTCCACACTGTTTAGTCTCATTTTATTAGTAGTATTACTATCATTATCATTATTATTATAGTAAGCCTTTTCTTATTACTTACCATATGCCAGAAAATGTGATAAGTGCTTTATGTATATTGCATCTTATTCTTTCAAAAATCTTGAAAGGAAGGTAAAATACTACTATCCCCATTTTATAGATGGAGAAACTAAGGATCAGTGATACAAAGCACTTTGCTCACACTTACACAGACTGAGAGGTCTGTGAGAGGCAGAGCCTGCATTTGAATCCAGATCTGACAGGTTCCATACCCTATCTGCTCTCCAGGTGACATAAGCTTTCCCATAAATGCCTGGTAAAACATGGAAATTGGCTTCTGCTTTCTGTGAAGGTTAAGGTTAGGATCTGACAGCTTGTGTATGGAACATAGGATGTGGACTTCGGGTTGAGAGTCCTGTAGTGAGGATAAATCTGCAAAGCCCACATCTTATCCTGACTGCTTTAGTGACCACTGACAGACATCCTTGAGGCTTCATCAGTTTGGCCCCAATCCATGCCTTCCCAATCTCAAACATATCTCTTTGAAGGGCCTTGTGCCTCAATTTCTTCATTAGCAAACAGTGAAATTTGGCATAGACCAGATGTCCAATAGAACACTCCATGAGTTTCTATTGTCCACTATTCTATTCTATTTCTGCATTGTCCACTAGAGCAGCCACTAGACACATGCGGATACTGAGTACTTGAAATTGGCTAGTTAGACTGGGGGACTGAATTTTTAAGTTTAATTAATTTTTATTTAAATAATCACAAATGACTAATGGCTACCATTTTGGACAGCACAAAGTTAGAAGAATTTTTATCATTCTTTGACTTGTGATCTTTTACATACCCTAGTTTTAAATTATGTGTGCAACCCATTGCCAGATCCTGAAATCAATGTATTGGGGTGCAAATAACATTTTTTAATGAAATGGCATAAAATAATGAAACAGAATGGAATAAAAAAAGAAAATAAAATATCAGTACATATCATATGCACTACAAAATTCTGATTGTACTAAGTTTTGACTATGAAACTTTTGTTTCACATATTCGTGTACTGAGTCATTATGCAAAATTAATTTCCTCCAGTGGGTCATGGTCAAAAAACGTTTGAAAACCACCGCCTGCCCCTGAGTAATGTCACCAAGACCTTGAGTGTGTCATGCTTCTGTGGTGCACCCCAATCCACCCAGGGGCTCTGCAAGACCTCATTTCAGAATATTCTGTTCTTCCAGATCCTACACGCATGTGGTGAGCATGTGACTTCCCTCAGATGGTGATTAAAAGTGACTTTGTGGTCATCTATCTGTCTGGATGCAGAGACCCCAAATTGGTGGCCCACAGGCAGGATCCAGCCCCCACAGATAGGCCTCCTTGGAACTTTGACCTATTTGTGCATGGCCATAATCCCCTGAGGCCCAGTAATTTTTTCCCCTTTAGGTGGCCCAGATTCTCCAGATTGGTCCCTTTGGGTCAATTTTTCCATTTACATTACCTGCCTGGCCTCTAAAAACATGTCATGTTGTGACCTGTGTTTAACATGCATAGAAAATTATAACCGAAAGGAAACAGAGATGACAGAATGCAACTCTTGTACTTTGTAAATGGGAAAACAAGAGCCTGGAGAAGGGGAGTGTCCTCCCTGAGGCCTCACAAAAACTGAATGACAGACAAGGAAGTGATTCTCTCTCCCAAGGAAGAACCAGATGTTAGCAAGAATTGCAGTATGACAGAGAAGAAAGAAGAAAGGAAGGCAGAAAGGGAAAGAGGGGAGGAGAGTGAATGAACAGGGAGAGAGAGGAGCAAGAGGAAGGGACGGAGTTGGAGTGGTGGTCAGGCTGTCCTCACAGCCCTGGGGAATGGGGCCCTGGCCAGCAGTTCAGATTTCTGTGGGAAGGGTTCTGTCACATGGCGTGATCACTTCCAATGAGCTTCTAGTGAGCAGATGACTGCGGAGGCCATCAGTGGGTAGTCCCGTAGGACTTTGAGCAATGGGAGGAGCACTTTGGACACAAAAAGGGGCCTCCAGTAGACCTCTGCCCCATAAGAATGGAGGGTGCTTGCAACGGCTTCAGGAATTTCCTGACTTGCATTGTCTAGCCTTCATTTTGGCCTGACCTCAGGCAAGTGTCCCTGATCTGAAACTGGAACTTCCCCAATGTTTCCTGCTTGTCCTGGTGTGGCCAGCATCATAGAGACCCTGAGCCACAGGGCTGCATCTGTCAAGATGGGAAAGTGGATGAGATGGGGCAGAAGGGGACCTGGAAGCTTCCCTGAGGTGGGATGGGGTCACAAGGGGTGGCACTCCAGGCCCTACCCCACTTTAGTCGCTGCGGCTCTGCATTCATCTGCCTGGCTTCCAGGTGGGGCTCATAGCTCCAAGGCCTTAAAGTGCCTGGCAGTACAGGAGAGAAGCTGGCCAGGGGTAAGGCAAAAACAAGAAGTAGGAACCGCCGGGCGCGGTGGCTCACGCCTGTAATCCCAGCACTTTGGGAGGCCGAGGCGGGTGGATCACGAGGTCAGGAGATCGAGACCATCATGGCTAACACGGTGAAACCCCGTCTCTAATAAAAATACAAAAAAATTAGCCGGACGTCGTGGCGGGTGCCTGTAGTCCCAGCTACTCGGGAGGCTGAGGCAGGAGAATGGCGTGAACCCGGGAGGCGGAGCTTGCAGTGAGCCGAGATCGCGCCACTGCACTCCAGCCTGGGCAACAGAGCGAGACTCCGTCTCAAAAAAAAAAAAAAAAAAAAAAAAGAAGTAGGAACCATGGTGATCTGCAAGGATGTAAAAACAAACACCGGGCCATCCAAATAAAGTGTGTCTGGGAGCCACATCCAATGCAAGCAACCCCTGGTCTAGGGAATTTCCCTGAACGATGACCAGGGTGTCATAGGTTTGCATTCCATGCGTGGTTTGCAACAGAAACAGTATAACCTAAAGGCCATTTCATCATTTCATTTCAAGAAAGTCTTCATAGCTTTAAAAAAAAAAAAAAGTTTGGAAACCTCTAGACTAGGTATTTTCTATATTCCCTCCACTCTGATACTTCCCTGCCATGTTGAGGAAAGCCGGGTTCACAGTTAAGATTCCTTGGATTTCCCCGCAATACATCAGTGCATGATGGCCTGCCAGCATCTCAGGAAGCAAATGTTGTGTACATATTAAAACCTCTGGCTCAAAGACCAGGGGACTGAGTCACTCATAGCACAAAGACAATTGCTGGCTTTCTAAAGTTCCTCTATTTCCAACATAGTTTCCAGGTCCCCAAACGAAACCCAAATAGTATTTTTCAGATAAGCTGGAGAGATGCTGGAAAGGGCACCGCAGGCCTCCAGTGCAAGGCAACCCCATTCTCCCTGCTGGGGTCGAGGCAGTCCCTCCTCTTTCCTTCAGGATACACTGGGCAGAAGGAGGCCTTGATGGAACACCCTCTGGAAAGAGAGGAGATGAGAAGAAATTGAGCCCCTTCTAGACCTACTGATGCCTGTCTGAACCCTAACTCTAAAACTTACATGTGGTGTAACTTCAGGCTAATTAATTATCCTCTCTGTGCTTCAAATTCTCACATATAAAATGGAGATCATACAGTATCTGTCTCATGAAGTCATGAGCATTAAATGAGAGGATGCTTAGGAAGCGCATAGCACAATGCCTGGCACATAGTGATTGCTCCATTAATGTTAGTTGTTTTAGCTATTTTTACAGGCTCCTCTGTGTTACTGACTGGGGGCTTTGTAAAGATCACAAGGAACTGACTCAGCAGTGACAAGAGAGTATGTGGTGATTGGCAGAAGCCCATTCCAAAGTGGAAAAAATGCCCAGACTGGTAGACACCCTAGGGATGTTTCCCCTTCTCTATCAAATCTTCTTTATTCCTCAGATACTTTTTATACCACCGTGCATTAAAACCCATGACCAAGTGTAGCCGGATGGTATTTTTGAAATATTAACTGGGATTTCCTTTACCCACCACTCTTGTGCCTTTCCCTCTATTCAGTGAGCAAGGCCTCAGACTGGGATGGGCAGAAAACAGGGACAAAATGGGTGGCTTCCTAGCTTTTGAATTTTAAAATCCTGTCCCTTTAGAAGAACAGAAGGATTTATCACAAAGCTAAATATTCTAGAGAAAGCATAAGTTAGGGAGGGCAGAAAGGGCTTCTTTATGCCCAGCTAATAAGAATGGTTCCCTGGCACATGGGTAGGGAGGAGAATCTTGGGGAAAGAAGTGAGAACACAGATCTACTTGACTACTTTGAAAGAGGCCCTGTGCTGAGCCCACGGACACAGGCACAGTCAACAGCAGAGGAGGAAAGAAGAGAGGAAGGAGGGGCGGGCAATCCGGCAGCTGAAACTTCATTTTCTCTTATCTTGGAATAGAAACCAGTTGAAATATAAGAAATAAAGAACTCTGCGATGTTATGGGCTGCCATTTAGTCCTCCTTGCTTGTGAAGCTCACTGCAGTGAAGACCCCTTTAGGTCTATCTAACCCAAACCCTTTATGCTGTAGCTGCCATGTGGCAGCTGGCTGTCAGACAAGAGCAGTCTGGCTGGCCAAGAGCATGCCGTTCTGACACATGTCCTGACAACACGTTTCTGAAGAAGGCAGCACGAGCCGTGTTGCCAGCAACACGCCATGACCATGGAACATGCTGATGAGCCTGGCAGAGAGAAGCTGCGGAGGAGTTTCTGTTGCAGCAAAGGTTTTACAACATCCTCCTGGGAAGACAGGCTGTGTTACTGACCTGCTGACATGGGAAACTGCAGCCAGGCCCGGGCCATCTGTGAAAGGACCCAGGGGTTCCCAGAGGACTCGTACTTCCACCCTGCTGCAGCTGCCAACACCTGCAGCACTTGCATCTCTCTGGGACCCAGCACACACACCTGTCAGGCTTTACCTGCCCATGCCAGGGATGCTGCCCAAAGCTGACATCCCTGGCCCTGGAGCAGCAATCACTGCTTCTTCATCACCTGCCAGGGATGCTGAATTGCTCTTCCTATTTCCTGGCCTATATTCTAGTCACCTCCAATCATTATTTTTACATCTTCTTAAACTATTTTTTAAAACAACTAGGTAATGGATGACTACTATTGGGGAAAAGTTAGATACACCTTTACCCCTGCTTCCCACTTCCTCCCCAGAGGTAGCCATTCCACTGGCACTGTTGCATTGCAGGCAGTTGAGCTTAGTGGTAAGAGCCCGGGTTTGAAAGTCAGACTGCTTGGGTTCAGATTCTGCCTCTGCCGTTTACTAACTGTGTGACCTTGGACAAGGGGTCTCAGGTCTCTGAGTTTCATTCTCCTGTAAAATGAGGATAATAGTATCCCCTCTTGAGTTACGAGGGCTCAATGAGATGACATATATAAGTGGCTGAGGACACTGCCTGACATAGAGGACCCACCCTCTAAATATTATCTATTATCTTTCAAGACCCTTCCTTATGCATTAACTGCTCCTATTACTTCATGCATGGCGTCACTTCCAAACCCTCTCCTATACTTCTGCATCTTGGAACATGCACCCCCAGCCCACTAACTCTAACCCTAAACCTCAGCATGACCTCCAGACTTAGGATAATGTAGCCTCTTATGAACTCTTCCCACCTCACCCTCTCTGATTGGCCTCTCTCATTTTGTGGTCCAAGAACAGATACCTCCATGCCCTGAGGCAAGCAAGCATCAGTTGCTGTGTGAGCTTTTCTTGTCCTCTTCTGTCTTGTCCTCTGGGTCTCAGCTTTCTCATCTGTTAAGTGAAACCGCTGGACCAATTCAGCCATCTTTTTCTTTATTCTGCAAGTATGAATGAAACAATGACACAATGAGATGGGCACTCACTGTGTGCCTGGCACTGAGGTGTAATGGTGAACTGGAAAGACATGGTCCCTGCCCTCATGGAGCTCACAATCTCGTGTATACGAATAGCCTCCCAGGCCCTTTCTGCTCTAAAGCCTAGTCCCAGGTATTCATACAATGAATGCAGATTAATGCCACAATGTGGTGACACCTGCATGGTCCTTGGAGTTACCAGAAGCAGCTCTTATAATCTCCCTATCAGAGTTTTCAGAAAACATATCACTCACTTATTTTAAGTAAGCACACACAACAAACACACTGATGCCTCCCCTGGAAACAGCAGATGCATCCAAAATACAATGCCCTAGGATAACATAGATCATAACCCCTCTTCCTCACACAGGGAAATGCCCAATTCACACATTTCTCTGCAGGATATATCAAAAGCATGTCAGCCACCTACCTCTGCAGCCCACACAAACCCATAAACAAAGAGACCTCCAGAGATAGGGGGAGAAAGAAGAGGTTGCTTATAGTGGTGAATGGTCTGCAGCCAAGGAGTTTTTTTCTTGGCAGTCAGCAAAAAGGAAAAACTAGCAAACCTTTGCTGGACTTGTCAGAAAATGAATCTGAGAAATATTTGAGCAAAGCTCAGTGGGTAGCTGATAGGGGTGATTTAGAAAGAATCCCTGCACTGGGTTGGGGGTGAGGAGACATGGATTCAGAGATCCTTTAATATTAATTATTGCTTATTGAGGCCAAGCAATGCACTAAGCACTTTTCTATAATTTAAGTAATTTAATACTCACAAATTGCTTCAGTTATTCTTACTCTAGAGATGAGGAAACTGAGGCGGGGTTTATGTAAATTGCTCAGGATCACACAACCAGCAAGTGGCAGGGCTGGAATCCAAACCCAGCCCAGTGACTCCAGCATCCATTCCTTACCCGCTGTGTCGTGTGCTTCCCACCCCTTTCAGTGCAACGATCCCATGACTCTGTGGCCTCACTGTAGGAAACAGGATCGGCACCTGGGCCCTGGCTCAACTCTGAAATCAAACCGGAGGCCCCTGCTGTGAAGTACCAGATCCTCTCATGTACAAGCCCCACCTTTATGTTTCAGGCAGCTGCTTTCTACCTGCAAAATGCCTGGACCCACAGTTGGGTCTTCTTTGGTATTTAGCAGATGCCTGTGAACACTCTGAGTTTTGGGCTCTAATTGAGAAGCCAGAGTGAAAGCGGCTGCACCCTGCATGGTTATGTGTGGCATCCCCTGGGCCCTGGGCTGCTGTGTGCTCATTGCTGAACCAGTGGATTCTCTGCTTGATGTTTCACCTTTCAACCAGAAGTTCCACTGTTTATATTACACTTCCAGCCAATTATTCACAGTTGTTACGCTGTCTCCAAGTCAGTTTTCCCACTCTTTTAATTATACACCAGCATAGCATAGGTGCTCCTACCTTTTAAAGACTGCTTTAAAGACACTCTATTAAAATGTGGGAACATTTTTATCTACAAGGTCAAGCGACTCTCAGGAGAGGAAAACCCATGTGCAGGCAGCACATCAGTGAAAGAACATAACTTAGGTCACATTTTTATAGGAGAGGAATCGTGTCATTCGCTGTTTTTAAAAGAGACTGATAAATCTGATAACTTAAAGCAAAGTCTAGTTTAAAAGTGAGACCAGTTACTGGAGAGGAGAGAGTGTGGAGGGAGAGGAAAAATCACAGAAGAGGACACACAAGGCAGAATCATGTAACAAGAGGGACTCGTATGGATCACTTTGTTCAACCTCTTCCAAAGAGGGAATTGGGGCCAAAGAGGTTAGATGACGTGCCCAAAATTAGAACAGTAGGTAACAGCAGAGAGGGAATTGGAACCCAGGTTACCCCAGCCACACGGAGACAAAGAACAACAGATGAGAGAGGGAGGAAAAGTCAGGTGGAGAAACTGGATGCTGAATTTGTTTACTGTTGTGTTCAACTCCCATGCTCCTTTTCATTTACCCGGAGGTCGGTCACACCTCCCCTTCCAATATGTTGTTTTGCTCCAACAACTTGAAATTATCTCTAAAATTTGGGAAGAGCTTTACTTACAAATTTAGTTGTGGAATTAAGATGCACTTTTTCATAGAACTCTAAAGATTTGGTATGCATATAAAAGAGGGCTTAATGTTTCAGATCCCTAATTTTTAATCTCAGGGGCATTAATAAGCTGTTTGTTTGTTTGTTTGTTTGTTTGTTTTGTCTTAAAAAATTATACCGACAGCCATTGGCAACTGATTTACTTGCTTTTATTCTCGGAAAGATTAGGTTTGTTCAGTCTTTCAGTGCCTGAAAGTGTGTGATTTCTTTAAAAATCAGCATTTATTTCACTGCTCATGATCTTTTGTTTCCAGATCAAATTCAGGATGGGTGAATGTGTAATTGGTTCCCATTGCAAATTGTTTAAGTACAACTTTAGAACTCTTTAGGGATAAAAATGAATCATTTTAGTCTGAGATGATATTCCTAAATTAATTTGTACATTTTTTTTTTTATTTCTAGGATTCAACCAAGTTTCATTTCTTTTCCCTCTGCCTGGTGTTTTGTTGTTTTTGTTGTCTTTTGTTGTTGTTGTTGTTGTTTTTAACTATCAGGCTGTACTGTCATTATGGTAGCCACTAATCACATGTGACTATTTAGATGTAGATTTATATTAATTAAAATTAAATTTAATTTAAAATTAAGTTCCTCAGTCACACTAGCTACATTTCAAGTGCCCAGTGGTCACCTGTGACTATTATATTGGACAGCATAGATGTCTAGAACATGTCTATCATCTCAGAACGTTCTAGTGGATAGCACTAAGGGCTAGTAACTGGGAATGTCTGTCTTGGGCACCCTTTATTGGCCAGTAATGTTAAAAGAAGCCAGAGGTTCTCTGCATACATTTCAGAAATCAATCACATAATCTATAAGGTCTAAATGTGGCAGCTTCATGGATTATCTCACAAGTGAGCACAGCTAATGTCCTTTTAGGCTTGTGACTGGTCTCAAATGTTGCTCTCAAGGGTAGGCAGTTTCTAACATAAGAGGTAGTTCAAATATTCACGTGTAAGTCAATTTGGAATTCAAAAGACATTCACCCATAAGAAAAATGTTATAAATCATGTGACTGAAACTTTGCATTTTCTGAAATAAAAATTAGTGGAAATGATAACCAGCAGAAAATCAACAAATTTTAACATTTCAGGGCAGTTATAGATTGGTAGGAAGAAGTAAATACACACCCCCAATACACATGTACACATACACAGAACAATGTTAGATTAAGTTTCTGATTTAATTAGCCAAGAATATAAAATCTTACTGGAAATGAGTTGGCTTCCAGGGCAGGAGCAGGGATGTGGCATATCCCAGCCTAGCTTCCATTGACACCCAGAGTTCCTACGTCCAGTCTGCATGAGGAACAGTCTTGCCACACCTGTGAGCTCAAATCTTGCTACACCACTGTTCTTTTATAATCACAGCTTACATCAGCAATCTGGAAGAACTCACACCAACTGTATGTATTTTTTCATACAGTTGTATGGTGTATGTATGTATTAATACACCAAATGTATGAATTTTTGCTTATGGGACTATTTACAAACATCAGAGCTCTGGCCACACACAGCATCAGCAAAGCAGCATCCTTCTCTTGAGGGGATGCAGCAGGGTTAGGGCTGGGGTCCCATCACTACTGCAGCCCCAGAAAATTTTATTTTCCTAATCCATTCCCCTCACTTTGATTTTACACTTTTTTATCCGGGTGGTTCAAAGACTGAGTTCTGTTGGAAGACCATGCTCACAAATCCACTTTCCCAGAAAATCAAATCCAATTAGAAAAAATAAAATTGATCTTAGAAGTTGGCTCTTGAACAATAAGACAGGTTGAATTAGAGGAGGTAGATGAAAGTTTGTGCAATGATCCTGGAGGGACTGTTGGAGACTTCCAAGAGCACTCAGCGTTAATGATGATGATTGTACTATTCGTTCTTATTTTATTTTCAGACTCACAGCTTTGTTTCCCTTGGCAATGGTAGATCACCACACTGCTCATATAAACAGAATCTATATTTTTCTCACAAATTCAGGGCAGAAGAGAGAGTGAAGTATTTTCCAGGGAACATTGAGTAAGAATCAGAAAAAGAAAAGAGAATAAGATTAAAGAGAATGTTTATGAACATTCTGGGGGGTGGGGAAGGATTGCTCAGAGCTGTAGGGGGGATGTGATGGCCATGATACCAGTGAACATTTGTGGAGCACTTAACGCAGTTTTTGAAATATTTTGCATGTATTGACCTATTTAATGAGTTAATTAATGATTTAGTTAACTAGCTGATTTGTTTGATTTTTGTCTTGAATTTAAGACAGAGAAAAATAGATGAATAATGTGCATAAACTGCATGAAAGAAAGATTGTGAGAAGTATATTATTCTCCCACCCCAGTTAGCAAAGTTGTCAGAAGCCAGTTTCAGTGCTAAGCAATCAGCTCTTTGCTCTATAGCATCCTTGGGATTCAGGATACCTGTAAATGGGAGATGATCAGAAGTCCTGATTTCCTGTTCCTCTTTAAAAGGAGGAGGACAGATGAGATCAGTTTTGGAGATCATAGATCTCTTTGAGAATATGAACAAAACTACAAGATAATGTATGTAACACTTAATTTAATTAAAGAGAAATGTCAGATCCGAGGTTATGCTACAGTCTCAGAGGCTATGACAACAGAGATTTGTTCTTGCTCATGATAGAGGTTTATGATGGGTTAGTTTACAGTTCTGTTCCATGACTCCTCAATCCGGATCCAAGCTGATGCATCCTGCACACCATCTGGGGTAACATTCATTCCTGAGTTAGGGAAAAGGCAATATAGCAGATCACATATTGGCTCCTAAGGCTTCCAATTGGAAGGGACATGCACAATTTCAGTTCACATTTCACTGCCAAGCAAGTCACCATGTGCAATCCTCCATGTGCCTAGAAGAAAAGGTTCAAATTTCCAGTGAACAGACATAACTACCACACAGGGTCAAGAATCCCCAAAGTAGGTGACCTTTAAATTCCTTTGTGGTTCAAGGTTGCTGTGAGTCCAGATTAATTTATGATATACTTATTCAGAGTTTATCCAGGAAGTCTACATATATAAACGATAGGTACCAATTCCCCTTCAATCAGGTGGTTATCTTTATAACCAGGACAAGAGTGAGCCTTCTCCTAATAAGGTATGAGCAGAAGTTTTTGGACTATTCCTTCAACTTTGAGTGAGAATTGAAGAAATGAGTAATTCTCTCCCCAGTGCCACAGGGGTTTTCTATAGGAGAGAAGAGTATGTTTCTCAGTGGCAAAGTTACCTCAACAGCTTATGCATAATGAGATCAGACCAGACAGCTACCAACATTCCTTCCAACCCTGAGATTTTTGTGCTGTAGGCAGGTGCCTAATGAAATATCAGATGACTAGATTTTAGAATAGCCAAGCCAAGTGTATCTCAGGAAAAGGGTATCTAGAAAAGTAGCCATGAAATGGTCTTAGCAGTCTCACTTTGGCAGCACATATACTAAAATTGGAGATGGTCTTAGCAAGAGAATAACAGACCCAATAAGCTAGTAGAACTCTTAAGCATCATCAAATGCTGGCCACTCACCTGCAGCTCCCAGTGACTTCAACCCTTTCATAATCTCCACCAGCATTTTTTTCTTAATTGTATACATGTAACATTTTCCCAGTTTTATGGAAAGTGCTGTTCAAAGGTAGCTTTGAGATAAGTTCCCTTGTTAGCCTCCCTCCAGCCAGAGTGCCTCCCCTTCCCTTCATGCCTTCCTTATAAAAGTCTTTGCTACCTTTGACCACCCTCATTTGATAGACATGAAAATTGAGGCCCAGAGAGGGGCTGTAACTCACTTAATTCAAAAGCCATTTGGAGGCAGGGTCAGCCACCCACTTCTTTGAAACTTCTGAGTCAATTGCAAGTCCCAAATTCCCTTGGACAAGTTTGGGGCCTAATTTTAATTTAAAGCTTACTCAAAAGATGGTATTTTTGATCACTTACTTTGAAATACTCTATGTCCTCTTATTTGTCTTCATTCAGGGATTTGGCTTGTGTTCTTGCAAGGAAAGGTGATGCTCACTCAAAAGTCCTTGCCTGCTTAAGGAGGGCTATGGACATGTCTCATACCACTCAGTGCTGCCTTAGCTTGGCAGTCATCCTGATGATGAATTGAAGATACTTTGCACATCATTTCTTCCCCTTCCACTTTTTCTTCCAGCTACAATTATGATAATGTCTTGCAGCAGACTTTGTAAAGAATCAGGGCCTCTGGATAGTGATCTCTTTGTTTCTTTTACAGTTCCTTATCAGCAGAATCCTTACAATCCACGGGGCAGCTCCAATGTCATCCAGTGCTACCGCTGTGGAGACACCTGCAAAGGGGAAGTGGTCCGCGTGCACAACAACCACTTCCACATCAGATGCTTCACCTGTCAAGGTAGGAGGCTCAGCTCCCCCACTCTCTTCTTAGATTCCTGACCATTCTTGCACCATCAGGTCATGCCTCAGGGGCAGAAAGAACAAACACAGGTGGCTGGAATATCTATAAAGACCTAAAGAGACTTTCCCTGAGCCTCTTCTTATGAGATTCTCCCTTAGAATGAGGGCAGTGTATTGGTACGTGAGGGAGACAAGGATCCTGGTAACCTTGGAGGGGCAGGTGCTGAACCAGAAGGAAAAAGACTAATCTGCAAGTTTAACTTACTCATCTGAAGAGACTCCTGGTTTGTGCCTATAAATCAGTGTGAGAGCAAATGAAAGTGCAAACTATCTTGGATAAAATTCAAGATAGTTTTTTTTGTTTGTTTTTTGTTTTTTGGTTTTTTTTTTTTTGAGATGAGTAGCTATTCTATGACAATGTAGCAATCTTCAAAGGTTAAGTTTAACAAGGGAGAAGAGACATCTTGACCTTGGTAAGGTTTGCAATTTGGGAGCACATAGCTGTTAGGTCATCTCTCATTGTTACAGCTTACACAGGGCTAATTTATATACTCCTAGACTCAACCAAGCTAAGAGTTCCTAAAGAAGACAGATAATTAGCAGCAGGAAAAGGGACTTGGCTGAAAGAGCACAGAGAGCCCTCTGGCCCGGGGCAACACACCCTTCCACAATGTCTCTCCAGCCTCCACATCTTGACCTCCTCATTCAGGCTTCCCTGCTCCACAGAGCAGCCATTCTAATGTTGGATTGCCCTGTGGGTTTAGAAAATGACCCAAAATTTGTAACTTTTTTGTTGATCTTATATTTGTCCTCATAAAGTCTGAGGAATACTTTGTATTCGCTTTTCCCTTTGACTGCTCTTCAGATACTTGTATCCAGGTTTTCCCCATGTCAAACTATATCACAAGTCCTTAAATTGGGTCTCATCTTAAATGATTCCAACAGTGTCATTGTCCTGGAGTCTTCCTCTTTGATCCATTCTAGTGTGTCACTGTCGTTCTTAAAGTATGATACTCAGAACAGATCACAGTTTTCAAGGTCTAGCAAATACAAAGGACTACATTTCTGTTGATGTAACTGATATTGAACTGACTTCCTGAGGAGCCGCTTCACACTACTGGCTTATATTGAATTTAAAGTCGGTTGAAACCCGCGGTTCTTTTTATTTCAGTAACTGCCTCAGTCTCATGCACCTGAGAGTGACTTCCCCTGCCATTGTGAAAATCCTGAACTTCTTTCTTCATGATCTAACTAGACTCTGCACTGAGCAAACAAATTACATATACATATTTCCTAATTTGTTTATAGATGCATATACGGGATACATTTTAACTGGTGTGATTTGAATTTTATATTGAGTATTGGCAAACCCCTTTAGTATAAGTTGAATTGCAAGAATATCTTGGTGAGTGATTATTTTTACACCCTCTGAAATTGAGGCGGGACGAAGGGTAAAGACAAGGAAATTGTTACAAAGTGGTAAAGGATATAATTATGTGATTATATTCTTAAGAGAATGTATCAGTTACCTTTTACTTAAGCAAAAACTTAATAGCTTAAACCAATCGTTTATTTAGTTCATGATTCTCTGGGTTGGCTGGGAAGTGTTTCCCAGTTTCTAGCTCTGCTTATCTCTACTGGCCTCATCATGATGATATGCAGTTGGCGGGTGGGTCTGCTGGCAGTGGTTGGCAAGCTGCTAACCCCAGTGTCTCCACATAGCTTTTCATCCTCCAATGGGCTGGCTTGGGCTTGTTCATATGGTGGTCTCGGAGCTCCAAGTACAATGAGAGAACAAGCTTTAATAGGTAAGACCTTTTCAACCCTCAGCTTAATGTCCTGCTGTTGGCCAAAACAAGCCAAATGGCCAACCCAGATTCAAGGTCACGGAGAAATAAACTTTGCCTTTTGTAGGGAGATCTGCAGCATCAGATTTCAAGGGTGTTAATACAGAACGGAATAATTTGGCCATTTTCACATTTACCACACGGAGTTTGTAGAATCTCTTTCAACAGAGATTTTAAGGGGAAAAAAATAGACCAATATTTTTCTGAATATTTTCAATGTCCGTTTGCTTAAAGGTAAAAGAAATGAGAGGATTTTTATTTCCAACAGCAATCAACATGACAATTAAGTACCCTATTAGATAGCTTTCTCATCTAAAGAATCTAAAAATTGTTATGAATTTCTTTTACGACTCTTTTAACATGCACTACCATGCTGACATGAAAGGAAGGAATCTACGAAGGCTAAAAACGGAAACAGAAACCCTGCTGTGACTCCCAATGCCTTATTTCATCCTGATAGTTTATCTTAAACCTTGGAGACCTTGAGCTTTTACTCTGTTGTCTAAATGGATCATGGAGAACAGGAGGCAAAGCTTAGCATCTAGTCAAAGTGGGAATCCAATAGGAGACCTATGTATAAAGCTGTTTCCCCTGAAAAAAATATTCTCAGCATATGATGGATGAGAAATAAACTGGCTCTGGAGAGGGAGAGAGCAAGGAAACTTGCCTGTTCCAACTTTGGCACTGAGTAGAGGGGAATAAAACAGTGGCTCACTCCTGTAATCCCAGCAGTTTGGGAGGCTGAGGTGGGAGGGTCACGAGGTCAGGAGTTTGAGACCAGCCTGGCCAACATGGTGAAACCCCACCTCTACTAAGAATACAAAAATTAGCTGGGTGTGGTGGCAGGTGCCTGTAGTCCCAGCTACTCAGGAGGCTGAGACAGGAGAATCGCTTGAAGCCGGGAGGTGGAGGTTGCAGTGAGTCAAGATCACGCCACTGCACTCCAGCCTGGTGACAAATTGAGACTTCATCTCAAAGAAAAAAAAAATTATGAAAAATTACTTATGAAAATATCTGTCCATAATCCACCCTTTACATGGATTCATGACTATATTCGTGTTATATATTTGTTATAAATAAAAATTTATAACAATATATAAAATATGTAATAGAGTCAAGCAGAAAATTTAAGTTACAGCGGTCTCCCACTTGGCAAATGGCAAAAGCAAATGATACTCCTCTTTGGAGGAACTCAACTTTATTCCAGGCCTCAAAGACTTTCCACACATAGTGTTATCAGGAAAATGAGTAACTCACAGTCAGTCAAAAACATACAAATTATAATGGAATGAGAGCCAGCAGAAACAATGGCGAGCAGAATCAGAACCTCAACAACTTTGTATATTGAAATTTCCTGTCATTACATAATAACTATATTGATACATTTAAACAAGCTAGAAAATATGAGCAAAAAAAAAACAACAGTGCATTATAAGCAATAGTGCAGAAGATTTGAAAAGGAAACAAATAAAACTTCTAAAAATAGAAATATATAATCTTTGAAATTAATTCAATGTATCAATTAAATAGCAGATTAGATGTTGCTAAAGAAAAAATTAATAAAACAGAAGATTTCATCCAAAAAAAGTTATACAGATAATAGATCAAAAATATGAGAAGGTGGTAAAAATAAAAAAGAAGCTAATATATGGAGAATATAGTGAGAGGTCCTGACATATATATCTAATCAGAGTTCTGGGGATAGATAATAGAGAACATGAGTGGGAGGACAATATTTGAAGAGACAACAGCTATGAATTATCTAGAGCTGTTGAAAGACACATATCCTTGAATCCAGAAAACCTAATAAATTCCTGCAGGAAAATTTAAAAGAAATCCACCTACAATATCAGAGTAAAACCTCAGATCATCAAAGAGCCGATCTTAAAAGTAGCCAGGGAGAAAAGACAAATCATCTGCGTATAAATGGTAAATGGCCAGACAACTGACTTTTCAGTAGCAACAAGCAAACTAGAAAACAGCAGAAGAATATATTTAATGTACTGAAAGAAATAACTGTCAAGGAAAGATTATGTATTCAGCAAAACTATCTTTCTATAACAAAGACAAACCTACAACTAAGATTATACTTAATGGTGAAAGACCGAATGTTTCTGTTAGATATGAGTTCTAAATTTCTTTTCAAAGAATTAATACGTTAGTATGTTCAATTCTTTGCCTTCTACTTTTAAACTTAACTTCCTCGTAAAGCAACATTTTTCAATTACCTACTCCACCCTGACTCATTCCGATTTCCTACCCCACCCTGACTCATTCTGATTACCTACTCCACCCTGACTCATTCTGATCACATGCTCCACCCTAACTCATTCAGATTACCTGCTACCTGCTCTGCCCTGACTCCCGCCAAAGCACTCACCCCGTCATTCTCTTTAAATTAGCCAGTCGGAATTTGTTTAGCCTGTGCGGTCTAACCCTAGCCAATAGGGAAACGACACAGCAGCAGGGGCCACGTGCCTCAGGGATAAGAACCTCTTCCCCTCCCTTGTCCAAGTGCACCCTCACCTTTGCTCCATCTGTAAGGGCGCACCGTTCTATAGTAATAACTTGCCTTGCTGAGAATTAAAAAGAAAATTTTATATTCTAGTGCTATTCCTTTTGCAGCACCGAAATTTTATATATAACATTTCCCTGTAAGATCAAAAACAAGACAAGAATTTCTGCTCTCACCACTTCTATTTGACATTGCATTTCAGGTTTGTGCTAGGTTAATTAAGGAAGAAAATGAAATAAAAGGCATCCAGATTAAAAAGGAAGAAGTACAACTAATCTCTATTTGCACATGACATGATCTTGTATAGCAAATCCCAAGGAATACTAAAAAATTATTAGAACTAATAAGTTTATCAAGGTTTCAAGATATAAGATCAAATACCAAAATCAATTATATTTCTATACCATAGCAATAAACAATCTGAAAATAAAATTGAGAAAACAGTTCCACTGGCAATAGCATCAAAGGAATACATAGGAATGAATTTAACAAAAGAAGTTCAAAATGTGTACTATGAAAACTACAAAATGTTAAACAAGGCCTAAATAAATGGAAAGGTGTCCCTTGCTCATAAAATAAAAGACTTATTTATTATTAAGATGGCAGCACTGGCTTGCAGATGGCCGCCATCTTGCTGCGTCTTCGCATGGCAGAGAGAGAAAGGGAGAGAGGGACAGCCAGCAAACTCTCTAGTGTCTGTTGTTTTAAGAGTACTAATCTCATCATGAGGGCCCCACCCTTATGATCTCATCTAAACCTAATTATCACACAAAGGCCCATCTCTAAACACTAGGATGTTGGAGGTTAGGGCTTCAACATATGAATTGGGGGTGGGGACAGAATTCAGTCCATAGAAAATGCAATCCCTATCAAAATCTCAGCTGGCTTCTTTGCCAAAATTGATGGTCTGATCCTAAAATTCATATGGAATTTCAAGGGACGGACATAGAATAGCCAAGCAATCTTTAAAAAGAACGAAGTTGGAGAACTCACACTTCCCACTTTTAAATATGCTACAAGGCTATAATAAACAAGATAGGGTGGTACTAGCACAAGGATAGGCATAGAAATGAATAAAATCAAAAATATAAACATAAACTTATATTTATGGTTGGTTAATTTTCAACAAGGCTGTTGAGATAATTCAAGAGGGGAAGAATGGTCTTTTCAAAAAAAGGTGTTTGGAAAACTGAATATTCATATGCAAAAAATGAATTCACACTCTTTCTTTACACATACATAAAAATTAACTAAAAATTGATTGAAGACCTAAATGTAGAAGGTAAAATTGAGAAACTCTTAGGAAAAAATATAAGAATAAATCATTGTGATCTTGAGTTGTGCTAAACCTTCTTACATATGACACCAAAAGCTCAAGCAACAAAGAAAAAATATATCAATTAGATATTATCAAAATTTAAAACTTTTGTGCTTCAAAATACACCATCAAGAATGTGAAAAGACAACCCATAGAATAGGAGAAAATATTTGCAAATTATAAATCTGAAAAAATATTTGTGTCTCAGCTATGTAAAGAATTCTTACAATTGCATAATAAGAAGACAAATAACCTAATTTCAAAATGGGCAAAGGATATGAATAGACATTTATACAGAGAAGTTATACAAATGTCCAATAAGCACATGAAAAAATGCTCGACATCATTAGCCATCAAAGAAATGCAAATCAAACCACAATGAGATGCCACTTCACATCTACTAGAATGGCTATAATCAAAAAGATAGATAACTAGTGTTGATGAGCATGTGGAGACATTAGAACTCTCATACATTGCTGGTGGAAAGGAATGTAAAATGGTGCAGCTTCTTGGGAGAATAGTCTGGCAGTTCCTCAAAAGATGAAATTAGAGTTACCGTATGACCCAGCAATTCCAAATTCCACTCCTCAGTATATACTCAAGAGAAATAAAAATATATGTTCACACAGAAATATATACATGAATGTTCATAGCAGCATTATTCGTAATAGCCAAAAAGTAGAAAAACTCAAATCTTCATCAACAAATGAATGGATAAATAAAATGTGATCTATCTCCACAGAGGGATACTATTTAGCAATAAAAAGGAATGAAATACTAATAAATGCTCCAATGGGAATAAACCTTGAAAACACGTAAAAGAAAACAGTCACAAAAGGCTACACATTGCAGGATTTCATATGTATGAAATGCTCAAAACAGGCATATTATATAAAGACAGAAAGCAGATTCATGGTTATCTAGGGCTGGGGGTGGTTGGAGGAAGATAAGGAGTGATTTGTAATGGGTTTGTGGCTTGTTTTGGAGGTGATGAAAACGTTCTGGAATTAGATAGTGGTAATGATTGCACAACTTTGTGAATATGCTAAAAAATGGTTGAATTGTACATTTTAAATTGTTGAGTTATATGACTTGTGAATTGTATCTCATTAAAACTGTTAAAATGAACTGGGTGCAGTGGCACACACCTGTAATCCCAGCACTTTGGGAGGCCGAGGCGGGTGGATCACCTGAGCCCAGGAGTTTGAGAGCAGCCTGGGCAACATAGCGAAGCCTCTTCTCTACAAAAAATACAAAAATTAGCCGGGCATGGTGGTGCATGCCTGTAGTCCCAGCTACTTGGGAGGCTGAGGTGAGAGGATCATTTGAGCCCAGGAGGCGGAGGTTGCAGTGAGTTGTTATCACGCCACTGCACTCCAGGCTGGTGGACAGAGTGAGTCCCTGTCTCAAAACAAAACAAAAACTGTTAAAATAAAAGACCCAAAGCAAAGTAAAAACATGTTTAAATTTTTTAAAACTGAATTTACCAACAACAAACTCTCATTAAATGAAATTATAAAATATGTTCTGTAAGCAGAAGAAAAATGATCCCAGATGGCAGAACTGAGATGAAAGATGGCATGGTTAGCAAAATCTTAATGAAAATCAGAAAACTCTTGAAACCGAAAGATAACAAAAATGCTATGTATCAAAAACTTGCATTACAAAATGTAGTTTAAAGTGGTACTCAGAGGAAAATGTGTAGCCTTAAATTATCATAATAGAAAAGAATTAAGTTCAAAAACCGTGAACTAAGTGTTCAACTCAAAAAGTTTGAAGAGCAGAATGAATCCAAGTAAAATAGAAGGAAGGAAATAATACAATAGACATTAATCAAAGAAAAAACGCACAGTGGACAGGATTAGCAAAAGTTGATTCTTTAAAAATACAAGTAAAATAGACAAAATTCTGGCAAAATTATTCAAGTAATGGGAGAAAATATACAAATCAACAATATTAAGAATTAAAATAGGGACATCGCTGTAGTTGCTATTAAAATTAAAGACATAAAAAGAAATATTATAAACAATTTGAGTAATAAATTTTAAAACTTAGATAACAAAATTTATCAATTCTTGAGTGCAAATTAAAACCTACTCAAGAAGAAATTTTGAAACCTGAGTAGTCCTATAATCATCCAAGATATTGAATTTGTGAATTTGTAGTTAAAACTCTTCTACGAAAGAAACAAAAATCAGCATTGGAATCAAGTTCTACAAAACATTCAAAAACAAATCATCTATGTCTTATAGAAAGTCTTTCAGAGAAGAGAAAAGGGTACACTTCCTAACTCATTTGAGCCAGCACAATACCAAACAAGGAAAAATAATCATATGTCCATATCATTCATGAACATGGATTTTAAAATCTTAGACAAAATATTAGCAAACCAAGTTTAGAAAAGTGTGAAAAATATAGCATAACTGACCAAGTTGAGTTTATTCTAGAAATTTGAAATTGGCTTAATATTAGAAAACTGGTTAATGTATTTTGCTATAAAGATAAGAAAGGATAAAAATATTTGATTATTTTAATAGAGTAGAAAAGGTGCTAGATAAAATTTAACACCCACTTATACCTAGTTATTTTTATTTTTATTTTTTTGAGACGGAGTCTTGCTCTGTCGCCCAGGCTGGAGTGCAGTGGCACGATCTCGGCTCACTGCAAGCTCCACCTCCCAGGTTCATGACATTCTCCTGCCTCAGCCTCCCATATACCTAGTTATTTTTAAAACTAGGAGGAATTGAAGAAAGCTGTCATAATTGATAGATTATGTATACAAAAATTATAAAGGAAACATTTAATAGTAAAATGCTGAAGGCATTCTCTAAGATCAGGAACAAGATAGAGGTGCTCACTGTCATGACTTCTGTTCAACATTTGGCCTGGAGGGTCCTAGACAATCCAGCAAGATATAGAAATAAAAGTTATATGGTTTGAAAAGGAAAAAAAAAACCTATTATTTTTAGATTATATAATTGTCTGCATAGAAAACCCAAAAGAATCTACAATTTAGTAAAATCAATAAGAAAATTAGTCTATAATAAGGAGAAAGGAAAAGAACCCATTGGTCACTTTTAGATAATGCTGGTGAAATCATTATTTTGAAACAAATAATATGGGCAAAGAATCAAAACTTTAACCTATTGTACAAACTGTACAGTACTTAACTGTAAGCAAAGGGTTAATGAAAGTTTCTATCTACAGAAACACTCCACCTACGGGGCGCCTGTAGTCCCAGCTACTCAGGAGGCTGAGGCAGGAGAATGGCATGAACCTGAGAGGCAGAGCTTGCAGTGAGCCAAGATCGGCCACTGCACTCCAGCCTGGGTGACAGAGCGAGACTCCGTCTCAAAAAAAAAAAAGAAAAAAAAAAAAAAGAAAGAAACACTCTGCCTAATAAATGAAGAATTAAATAATTAGAATATTTTAATTTTGCAAAGCTTTAACGAAATAGTGTATCTAGCAATGATCATCAATAGCCATTTCTACTCACCAACACCACCCCCCAAATCATAGAAGTGCAGAACATCAATGTAGTATTATTCCTAAAAAGAAAAAAATAATCAGACCTGAATTTCAAGTCTGTAGATATAACCACCATTTATAGAAAATGTAAAAGAGAGGAGAACAAGTTAATCAACACCATAGGGATACAATCAGCAAAATCCAAACTGCAGAAATGACTCAGTCTCTTTAATAAATACATTGCAAGGAGAAAATAAGAAGGAAAAATAACTAGCAATTAAGGGACTTAAGAGGTACATCAGACAAATGCAATGTATGAACCTTGATAGATTTTTATTCAAACAACTGGTCACTAAAACAAAAAAAGAAAAGAAAAAAAGGATGGGATAATTGGAAAACTTGAACACACTGACTTGATAATGCCTTAATAGACATTATTTTCAGTGCTTTTAGATTATTGTGGTTGGCTTTTTTAAAGAGTCCTAATATTTTAGAGATACATTCTGAAATAATAATACTAAAAAGAAAGTCAATAAGAATTTATTAAGGTTACTAAATACAGAATAAATATAGAAAAAAATTGCATTTGTATTCACCATTAACAATCAAGACGCCATTTACCTGAACAAGAAAAAAAGTTTAATTTAGAAATAAATTTTATAAAGTTGTATAAGATAAAAATTATAAAATTGTTAAATTTATAGAATATCATAAGAAAGACATTAAATACCTAAATAATTTTTTAATATGCTAAATTCTCTGATAGAAAGATAGAAATATCAAAAAGATGACAGTTCTACTCTGGTTGAACTATATAGTCAAAACAATTCTAATACATTCCATAAGGTTTTCCATAGAAATTAAGAAATCAGTTAAAATTATATTCTTGACAAAAGGCCAGGAATAATCAAAGCATTCCTAAAGAACAACAAAGCAAGAGGGCCTGTCCTACCAGATATCATCATTTGTTATTAAAACCTATTAAGACCATGTGATCTTGGATTAAGGACAGATAAAAAGACCAATGGAACTGAATATAGAACCAAACACAAACTTTCATACATATGGAAACTTGCTTTTTGCAGATCAGTGGGGAAAGATTAGACTGCTTAATAAATGATGCTGAGATGATTAATTATGCATGTGGGAGAAAATCAGATCCCTACTGTATATCATTCCCTAAAGTCAATTCCAGGTGGATTTGCTTTACTATGAAAGGCAGCTCAATAAAATTTTTAGAAGACAATATAGGAGATACCTTTTTAGGATTTCAGGGTAGAGAATAATTTCTGAAACATGACACAGAAAGGGCAATCCATAAAGGAAAAGATTCACAAATTCAACAACGTAAAAACTGAGAACTTTGGTTCATCCAAAAACAAGAAAAGGGGAGCAAAAGCAAGCCCCAAATTGCAGAAGATATTTGTAATAAATGACTGAAAAAGGATTGATTTCCAAAATATATTAAGAATTTCTACAAGTCTAAAATGTAAAAAATGAGCAAAAAACATTAGCAAGTATTTTAACATTTGAAAAAAATTCTCAATTTGATTAACCATTAGGGAAATGAAATTTAAAAATCACAAAATGATAAATGATATCATTTCACATCCACTATGTTGACCAAATATGTCAGATATTACTAAGTACTGTTGATGATATATATCAGTGGGAACAGCTGGTGGGAAGGTAAATAGGAAAAGCTCTTTGGAAAACAGTGAGGCATTACCTCACAAATGCAAGAATGTTTAGAACAGCATTTCCATAAAAGCAAAAAACTGCAAGTAGCTCAAATGCCCTTCAGCAGTGGAGTAGACCAACTGTGATGTATTCAGGCAGTGGAATACAGCACAGCAGTGAAAATGAGTGAACTGCAGTTACGTGCATCGACGTGGATGAATCTCAACACACAATACTCAGGGAATGAAGCAGGCACGGGACAATTGCAGTATGACTCCATCAACATAAAGTTCAAAAAGTGGCCAAACTAAACAAAATATTGTTTATGGATACATCACAGGTGGTAAGACTATAAAGTAAAGCAAGGGAATGATAAACACATAATTAGGGACGGTATGGGACAGAGGTGCTCTTAAGGAGAGGAGAACAGGCTTCTAAGGAATTGGTGATGTTCTGTTTCATAAACTCGGTAGTGGGTACATGGGAGTTATTTTATTATTCTTCTTTAAACCATACATACATATTCTATACATTTTCTCTATGTATAATATATTTCACAATGAAATGTTCTGAATAATGAATTAGATCACCCTCAGGGGCCCTTCTAACTCTTGGATTTTGAAATTTCATAAAATCCAGTCTCATTCAAAAAGTTGAAAATCACTAAAACTGTATGACAGAGTCTTGCACTTTCTGTTCTAGATGTGTCCTCAGTTAACCACCCAGCCCCTTCATCTTACAAATGAGCTCCAGAGAGCTGGGATAACTTTTTCAAAATCTCCCAGCACTTGAGTGCTAGAACAAGACCACAGACAAAGGTCCAATAACCTACAAAACATCACATTGTTCACTGACGCATTCTGGGGCTGTGTGCAAGTCCTCCTTCTGGGCCTTATATTTACATTGAGCATTTATTCCGGATTTGCTCAAAGCAGTTTTAACGTTCAATATTGCGTTTCACTCAGCCTCAGATCCATCTGTCATGCTGGTCCAGCTTGCCTTCCATCCCTGTGCTCCCCACTGTATTTCCAGGAACCCCTGAGAGGCTTATCAACCTTTACATCCTTTCTACCAAAAGCTTCCTCCTTCAGCTCCTTGGGGGCAATGGAGGACTGATTGTTCCAAGTTTTCCTATGGTGGCCTGGATTTCTCCACTGGGAGAGGTGGCTCTGGGGGTGGAGTTGGCAAAGGAGACAAAGGAGAGAAAAAAAAAAGGGAAAAAACCGGAGCTGTTTCCAATGAGGTTGTAGGCCATGACCTAATTGATTCCGCAGCCATGAAGTCAATTGTTCCACCACCTGCACGGCCCAGAACAGCCTGTGCTCTGGTTTGCCTGCTCGTGAGACCAGACATTGTTTGATGTGATGAATTTTCATAATGCCTGATGGAAGATGAACCCTTCCCAGACTTCTGCCACCACCACCATCTCCACCACACTCCTGCCTCTTCGTAGGGGTGGGGTCGGGGGCCACAAGCAATGCTCCACACTGAGTTTAAAATGTTTAGGCGTATAGTAAGCGCTAAAGGAAGCTTTTCTTCTCATAGACTTACAGCATGTCAGTTCTAAAAGAAAAGCTCAGCCTCTTCATTCTGCGTACAAGTGAACAGAGGCCCCAGAGAAGTGAGGGTAAAGTTCACTGTTGTCCAGAGACTCAGTGGCAGTGATGAGACCAGAGGTTGGGTGGTCTGACTATCAGACCACTGTGTCTCCCACTGTCCTGAGCTGTTCCCTCCCCTCATGCAGTGACTTCTGAAGCTGCCTTCTCCTCACTCAGCCTCACCCCTTAAGCCTCCAGTCCCCAAAGGTGAACAAACATTTATGAAATATTTCTGGCATTCACCTGGCAGTCTCTCCTATTTTTAACCTGGCTGCTTTTGCAAAACAACTTCCCCTGTTAAAGGTGAGATAGTATTTGCTGGGGTGTTTTCACTCAGTTCCAGGTTGACTCTTCAGACTTACAGTCTTGCTAACTATCTTATTGGTTTTCCCATCATTGATCACCCTTGAGAAAGCTGACTTGTACTAACCAACTCCTCAGAAAACTGATGTAGAAAGCCCGAATACCTGTTCATCAATGTGGATGAGAGGTGTGACCTTGAGTTGGATTGTTTCATGGTGGCCTGGCCAGCACCTGGCCTCTCAGAGGCAATCTAGGTGGAAAGTCAGTCCATCAGACAGCAGCCTCAGAACCAGGGGAGCTGGTGACAGGATTTGAATGGGCACCGCAGTTGCCTTCCTCTGATTGCTAATCAGGCCCCTTCCTCGCTGGTGCATCCTTGCTTTAGCTGATTGGTACATTCAGTGGGTTTCTACAGTTCTGGTGGCCCTGTGAGCCATTTATTGCCTTGGAAGAAATTTTGCATCTTTCTGCTCTGCCCATCATGTGTTGATTTCACAACTTAACTCCTTACAAGTAAATCTCATATTTCTAAGTCCTTCAGTGGGGGTGGATCTCACATAATTCAATTGTTGAAACACCTATAAATCTACTTGTTTTTCTGTTTTGTCCTACATTTATTTCTCCCTATTATCCAAAAGAATATTCCAAAAGACTAGGAAATGCCTTGTAAAATCCTGTTGCATCTCTGTTCAAAAGCCATCGATGCAATTGATCATTTTTGCAGCTGAGTGATGGAGAATTATTACAATCTTCTCCCATTTTTGTATATGTTTGAGATATTTTTCTAAATTTTTCTAAACTAGGGAAAAAAACGTCCACGGCTCTTCAGTATCCTACAAAACCTAATCTTCTTAAACTGGATTCAGGCCTTCCTCCAACTGGTCTGCACAATCTTTTCCTGCATTACTTCCCACCACTTCCTACAAACACCACCCCTACTTCTAGCCTTTACACAAATATCACTTGCACCTTCCTGCCTCTGTGCTTTGGCTCATTCATTCTGTTCCTTTAGTGTTCAACTCAGATGCTACCTCCTCTGAAAAGCCTCCCATGATCCCTTGCAACTGACAAGGCTTCCTTCTTCTACCTCATTCACAGTCCTTACTGCTTGCACCGGTTCCGTGGACCATCACCGATGATATGGGACATTTTTTCTATATGATCTTCTCTCTGCAGCATTTTTAGCTCTTTGAGATTCAGGGATTGTGTTTTATTCTTCCTGCCTGAGAATAGACACCCCCCACTCCTTATGGCTATGGTGAGCACAGATTCTAGACTTCAAATCATCCATCCCATTGCCATCCGAAGGTGTCTCCAGGTTGGGATTTGGAGCATATGGTCCTCACACTGCTCTTCACCTGGCACAGAATCATGCACATAGGAAGTACCCAGGAAATGTTTAACTGAATGATTCTTTTATTACATTCATATTTCCACCAGCTGTGTGGCCTTGCGTGAGCCACATGGCATTAAACTTTTCATTCATGTATTGGGAGGATTGTACACCACCAGTGCTTCTTAGTGTGCATCAGAATCAGCCTATCCGGGTGAGGGAATGCTGTTCAAATGCAGATGCCCAGGCCTCAGTCCCATGGAGTCTGATTCAGGCCCGGGCATCTGGATTATAAGAAGCTCTCGGGGTGATACTGATGCTAGTGGCCTACTGGCCATTCTTTAAGGAATACTGGCCCCAAAGGCCTGTGAAGTCTGACATGCTACCATTCTGTGGCCACTTCTTTAAGGAATACTGGCCCCAAAGGCCTGTGAAGTCTGACATGCTACCATTCTGTGGCCACTCATGACACAGTGAGACACCAGCCTTTCCCCCAGCGAGGACCTTCTGCTTACAGACCCTCCCTGGACTCAACCTGCCCTTGTTTTCCTCCTTGTTCCCCAAGTATGTGGCTGTGGCCTGGCCCAGTCAGGCTTCTTCTTCAAGAACCAGGAGTACATCTGCACCCAGGACTACCAGCAACTCTATGGCACCCGCTGTGACAGCTGCCGGGACTTCATCACAGGCGAAGTCATCTCGGCCCTGGGCCGCACTTACCACCCCAAGTGCTTCGTGTGCAGCTTGTGCAGGTGAGTGGGCGACCAGCAGGGCCTGGGACCCTCTGCATAAGCCCCCGGGGCAGGGGAAGACCTGGCTTTTTCCAGGAAGTTCTGGGGTTTACAAGGTTTGTGCTGCACATTTAGATTTCTGGAACCTCAGGTGTGGAGGGATCTGATGGGCCAGTGGTTTTCAAACACTGTAGCATCTGAATCTTTCTTATAAAATACAATCTGATCTAAAACACTGGTTTGTCCTGTGATAGAGGCAGAGTGAGGATCTGTACCTCTAAACTCAGCCTCCCAATTCCTCTCAAAAGGCCCCCAAAGAAACCACTGATTCTCTCAGAACTCAGTTTGGAAACTGTGGATCTGGCCCATCCTCCCACACCCTCATCCACAGGTGGGACAGGGATGTCTGTACATAGCCTTCCTCCATCATCCTGGCACCACCTCATGCTGTTGGAGTGACCCTGGCAAGTGACCCCCACCTCTGTAAGCCTCAGTTTCTCCACAGGTAAAATGGAGGTCAAAGCCATTCCAACCTCATTGGGTTTTCTCGAAGATCAATGAGATGATGATGCAAAGGCATTAGCTCAGTGATCAGTATGTGAGAGTGTCTGTTTTTATTATCCTTTTCATTATCATGATGATAGTCATCTATCTTCTCTCAGGACATCTCCAGGGATGGAGAGCTCATCCCTGCCTCCTGCTTTACCTTCCGCATCACCATCACTTGTTAATTCAGCAAGTGTACGTTAAGACTCCACTGAATGCCAAGCAACACATTAAGGAGATGAAAAAATGAAGAAAGCTCAGCCCTACCCACAAATACATTAAATGTTAATGGACAGCTCTGATTACATCATAAGTAAAGCATGATTAGAGTATATACGTATTTTTTAATTGGGAAAGGAATGTATGGATTAATTATTCTCCGCATAAAATAACCACCAGTCACTTACCAGTTAGAATAACTAGTTAGAGTTTCTGATTGAGACTAATGACAGAGTGTGTAAGAAAACATAATCCCCTCGTGGAATTCATTCATCTACCCAGCTCTTAAAACCTGAGCCCTGAGCCCTGGAATCCCAGACCCATCAGAGGTTAGCACAGAGGGTTCCTATGGTACAAGATGAGGTCTCTGTCAAGCCAGGTGACTCCCCAAGATCACGCAATGTCTTTCTACCAAAAGCTAGTGGCTGAGCCACGATAAGAACATAGCTCCCCCGACTCTCACCCTGGTGCTCCCTCCATCGTGCCACAGTGCTAATACAAGGGCAATGGAGCCCCTGGGAGCCAATGTTAGGTGCTGTGCTGAGAGTCCTCATAACAGGCATCCCACTGCATGGGCGAGAACAGCTCAACAGTAGGCGTGGTGGTGCCAGGGATTCTGTGTATGGTTCATAATTTAGTTGGGGAGGCAGAGCATGTGCAAATTTGAGACTCCCCAGCTGTGGAAACTGAACAAATCCAGATGAGGAGAGTAAAAGATTATTTACAGACTTACAAACTTCCTCTTGGGAAGGGGGATTTTGAAAAATGCCTGAGTAGTAAAAGGAAGAAATTTTGGTAAGTTTGTGAGTTGAATGAATTCTTAACATATGGGGATAAATCAAATTGGGATGGAAAAAGTCCTTCCAGAAGAGAGAACAAGTATCTGAGGCGTTAGTAATCTCTACTTCTTACAGCCTAGACAAGTAAGGTCAGATAAGCATCATGATCTGCCCAAAATATACAAACAGCCTAACTGGGCTCCAGTTCTTGCTGCCAGGCCCCTAATTGAGCAGTTTAGTTGGCCTGTCACTGTGAACAGCATTTGAATTTGCGTGGTGCTCTAGAAGTCAAGCTGTATGTGTTACCAAAGTGCTTTGAGCACATGTGTGGTCAGCTACAGAATCCCTCAGAAGAGGGTGTGTTGAATTTCTCCCTCATCCCACTTGCAGGAAGCCTTTCCCCATTGGAGACAAGGTGACCTTCAGCGGTAAAGAATGTGTGTGCCAAACGTGCTCCCAGTCCATGGCCAGCAGTAAGCCCATCAAGATTCGTGGACCAAGCCGTGAGTCCTCCCCACGGGTATCTCCCTGTCCATGGGTGTGATCTCTCTGGGCTCCCCTTTCCCAGCACTGCCAACTGCTCCCACGGGCCTGGAGGGAAGTGGGAGAGGTTCCCAACCTGGAGGCCTCCTGCATCATGACCCCATTGGCATGTGGCCCAGACTCACAAGCTTCACAAGCACAATGCAGGGAAGAGGGGCTGCCTGGCCATAAACAGTGGTAGCCAGTGCCAATATTTGCCACATGGTATGTCTCCTCTGGGACAAGCTGAGTTCCTGATCTTATGTCCCATGGACGCCTCAATAGGGCTGATCAAGTGTTTTTTCACCAGTGGCTCTGAATTTTTACCAACTCCACTAATAAGAATTGGCAGACATGGCTTACAGAAGAGGTAGTATGGGGTGCCCTGGGAGCAAACCACAAGAGCTGTGTTGGTGCCTCTTAGAGTGTTCCATAGACCACTGCATCAGCTTCACTGTGGGACTTGTAAAAATGCAAATGTCTGGGCTCACCCTGCACCTCTAGGGATGGAACCTAGGAATCAACATTCCCAGTAAGCTTCCTGGGTGATTCATTTGCTGTTCCTGAGATTCAGAACCACTGTCTAGGGATAAAGGCAGCATCTGTCATGCCATGATGAATGTTATGTTTTATCACCAACCACAGATTTGGAGGGAAACTGAGGACCAGGAGCGCGCCTCAGAATGGTCATTCTAATTTGTGGGATGTCCATCCCACTCAAGTGTGCCTAGTGATAAGATATCTAAATCACTGTTCCCAGATGCAGTTGGCAGGCTGCTGCTGCACATGCCCACACACACATAGACCCTGCCCCCTTGGTCTTGGTAAGCCACACTAGGCTCCAGTGTTCTTTCATGTTATATGACACTCTCACTGGCCTCGACAAGAAAATCAATGAAAATTCCATTAGCCTCCTGTGCTGCATCACTGTGCGGGTGCAGGGTGCTGTTGGCCATGGCACCAGCAGAGTCAGCATGCTGGGCTGCATCCAGCCAGAGAGAGTGAGCACAGATCACCCCGAGTCAGCAGGGCTTAGCTCCCAGGGGCTCCCCGGGAGTCCATCCAGCTATGGTGAGCTGAGGAGAAAGACAGTGGGAAGGCTCCCTCCCTTGCCTGCTCTTCCTTTCAGCCAAATCAGATCTGTTCCTGGAATGTGCGGAGCCCTTTCTTTGGCATCCTTGATGATGCTCAAGAATAGATTGCTGCTCCAACCAGGTTTCCATGTCAAGGTGACTGAGTGCATACAGTGTTATCCTTCACAGCTCCTTGAAAGCATCATCCAGAGTGACAGAAAAACAAGGAGGCTGGGATATGGGACCACGACCCTGTGGCCAATGCTGCTGAGGACCTCCGAGACTGATGGGGCCATGTGTGAGGCAGGAGAGGGAGAAGTGAGCCTGAGTCGGGAGGCTGCCAAACTTCTGCATGCTGCAAAGCAGTCATGAAGCCTCCCTGAGACTCAGTTTACCCAGTTATGAAAGAGGGATGGAATTTCCTATCTTCCTCACAGGAGCGTTGGGGAAAGCAAATGTATTAGTTCAGGGATCAAACTAAGATACATTGCTTATATAAAATGCTCTATAAATACAGAGTGAGGGATGATATTGGCATGGAGGTTTAATATAGAAAGCACACCAAAAGAGGTTGAGAATGAGACTCCTGGGTCGGTTGTTATTTCCCCTAGTTTGGATTGTGTGTTACTGTATGCATTTGTGCTACACCTATCACCTACTCTTTAGGTGGGATATTTCTTCAGCTGAATGTGGGAGTCTCACATGTGAGTATGTTTTCAAAGAGAGGCTCCCAAATGTGTCCACCATAATTTGGATGATTAGGAGGTGGAAGAAGGTGAGGAAAAAGTGAGTCAAGAGGAGCAAATGAGCACATGGACAGTTTCCAGTGGGGGCATACTTAGTATTATAGCTTATCTTGTTACTCACAAAGTAAAGACATCAATCCGTGATTGATCACTGATTGTCTATAGTGGTATGTTTTATAGAGGTATTTTCTCCAAAGGTGGTCACTATTCATGCTGCAAATGCAAAGTAGCTCCTGACTAGATGGGGTGTTGGAAGGTCTTCTAAGCTCCCATGGGATACAGGAAACCAAAGCCAGGTATAAGAGATTGCTAAGAAAAAGAACATATCATGGAAAAGGAAAAGAAGAACAAAATAATTGGGGTTTTTTAAGCTACAATTGTGATGTTTCATCTCTGGAGAGTAAATAAAGATATTCTGGAAAGTCAGGAGCAGTGTCTACTCCAAAGAGACCAAGAAAAATACTCAGGAACTGTCAAGAGAAAATAATTCTGTTACTTACCACAGGAAGAAGAAATGTTTCCTCACCGACCTCACTGAGAAGAATCAGCAACAGTAGCAGCAGAAACCCCACCACCACAACCTTCACCATCACCATCACCACAATAATCATCATCATTGCAAACATTGATTGACTGTTACTATTTCCAGGCACTGCACAGACCTCAGTGAGAAGAATCAGCAGCAGTCTCAGCAGCAGCACCACCACCGCCATCACCATCTTATCACCACCACCACCATCATCACTAACATCACCAGCATTGCCATCACACCACCACCATAACCATCATCATCACTAACATCAACACCATCACTACCATTGCCATCACCATTGCACCACTACCCTCACCATCATCATCACTAACATCACCAACATTATCATTATCATCACTACTATCATCATCACCACAATCATCACCACCACTATCTTCACCATCACTACCATCATCATGAACAATACCATCAGTGCCACCACCATCATCACCACCAACACCACTGCCACCACCAATACAATCACTACCATCATCCCCACCACCACTACCTCCATCACTACTACCACCATAACCACCATCATTGCTAACACTGATTGACTGTTACTGTTGCCAGATACTGCAAAAACCTCATTGAGAGCAATCAGATGCAGTAGCAGCAGTACCACTGCTACCACCATCATCACCATCACCTTCTCCACCATCGTCACCATCATCATGACCAACACCATTGACACCACCACCACAATCACCAACACTGTGTCTCCAACACGATCACTACCATCATCACTACCATCACCACCCTCATCACCATTATGAACAACACCACCATCACCATCAATACCATTGTCACCACCAACACAATCACCACCACCTTCGCCAACGCTACCATAATCACCACTATTACCACTATCGCCAGCACCAGCAGCATCAACACCATCACCACCATTATTATTACCACCATCATCACTGTCACCATCATCACCACCAACACTGTCAACACCAACAATATCAGCATCACCACCACTAACATAGATTATTACTATTGTCAAGCACCTCACTAAGTGTTTTATACAGATATTTCATTTAATCATTACAACAACCCTATGAGGGAGATAAGAGTAATTATTTTATAGATGAGAAAACTGAGACTCAGTGAGCATAAATGACTTGCCCAAAGTCACCCAGATAATGAGTAATGGAACTAGAATGTGAGACCAGCCAGTCTGGCCTTAGATCCTATTCCCTTAACACTCTGTACCAGAGACATGACTTGCAACTTGGGAAGTGTCTAGTCTTCCTGGATTAGTTGCCTAAAACAAGGTACGGAGCTTGCTATGACTCACAAAACCCACTCATTTCTGCTGATTTAAATAGAATGAATGACACAGTCTAAAAAGGATAAAAATGGCTGTCTAGCGTCTTTAGGAGGCCTCAGTTTATAACTGAGGGATCTGAGAGGGACAGGTGGTAGCATCATACATTCTGCCAGCTGAAGATTGTAATTTTGGAATAGAGAGGAACATATGGAGGAGTGGACAGCTGGCTCTGCAGACACCAACTTGGAACAGGGTGTGGTTTTCCTGATTCTATTTATTACACCAGACCCACGGGCTCCTGGGTGGCATGCCTGAGGCTCCACTGGTGGTCAAGAGTGAAAGGAGGAAGAAGAGGGCGAAAAGGTCCTAATAAATAAGAAGCTGATATAATGGAGGAGCAGCAGTATAATATAAAAAGAAAAGCCACATGGAGAAGATGTCCCAGAATTCTCACGGGGAATCAGCAGGCTTCCCTACAACAGGACTATCGCTCCTGGCTTCAGAACAGGGATTGGGTAATGCACAGAATGTGGGTTAAAAACAGGAGAATGTAAAATAATAATGACAACAACCACGTATTGGATTCATATGGGCCAAGCATTGTGCTAAGGCCTAATGGGCCTGATTTTAATTAACCTTCACACCAGTGTTTTAAGGAAGATATTCAGATGAGCAAGTCTGGGCTTAGAGAGCATACAACTCATAAGAAAAGGAGCTGGGATTCTCTCCTGGGCCAATTTCCCACTGCTCACTCCAACTCTCAGCCCAGCCTCTAACCACTGCGCTGTACTCTCTCCTACAGCTTAACTCAAGGGGTTAAATTTATCTCAGATGTACCACTGAAAGTCGAAGAGATAGGATTCATTTCTAGAGTATGGCCATGAAAGGATACAGCTATGCAATAAGTTTTGTTGAAGAAACAGAGAATTGTGTTGTTTGCCAATTACATGTCTTTCTCCATGGAATCCACAAGTGAATTTGATCACTGGATGATCATGTCAAGCAAGAAAAAGTGTAAGGAATAAAGAAGAGAGAAACTATAGTTGTCTTTAATTCTTTAAAAGAACTGTCGTATGGGAAAAGAGGTGGATTATTCTTGATGCGTAAGAATGGGAGCAGTCACGGGAGTCAAGTCTCAGCTCCATATAAAGAAGACAGTCATGACAATCATACCTGTCCAAGGGCAGAGTGGACTTCCTCACCACCCCTTCCTCAGGAGGGGTTAAACTGCCCACTACTGGAGGTGATTAAGCAGAGGAGGGTGCCCACTTGTCGAGAATGCTGTAGGTTACTGCATTGGGTGGGATGTTTGACCAAATACTCTGTGAACTCCAAACCCCTATGGAATTTTTAGGCCCTGCTGGGGAGGCCCACAGAGATACAAGTTCAGTATTAGTGACCTAGAAAGCTTGACCAGGTGTCTACAGTCCTTGGGTTCCTCTATACTGAGCTTGGGCAAGTCATTTCAGACCCCTGTCTATCTGTAAAAGAGAAGGGGGTACCTGACCTCTCTAAACTATTGCATTCTGGAGTCTAATTATTGGGCAGGGGGTGCAAGTAGACTTATAGACTTACCCCAGGAGAATAGAAAGGAAGAGAGATAAATCCCGAAACTCTTTATTCTCTCAGCCCCCATCTGAAGGCCTGGGGCTTGAAGCATTTTGCAAGTAGAGACCTTTCTGCCCCCAACTTGTACTAAGGGATGTTAGAAAGGCACGCAACAGCCAAGAGGCGGAGTACTGTGGGAACTGACTCATACAAACACTTCATCAAGGCCCCAGACCCTCCCCACAGCCGGCTGGACCCACCACCCTTCCTAGATTTGCAGACACATCATCTTTTCTTCTAGGACAGGCTCCCAGCTGGATGTGGGGGCTGTCCAGCCAGAATCCCCTAACTTTACATGCAGTTTCTGCTCTCCTCACTACTCCCAAGTGTGCATTTGTCTTATGGAGCCAACAGGGAAGTTTGTCCTCTGGTCAACTTTGCCCCATGACCCTTTCCTCCGCCAAAGTGGGTCATCCGGTTGGCTAGGCCTGAATTCCCAGCAGTTTCCAAGTGCCTTGGACGTTGGCTCCATTTCCGGACCCTCCTCAGACATTCATTGAGCAACAAGCTGATGCTAGGCTTGTCCCACATTCTCTTGGCCCCAACTCACATTCCAGGGTGACCGTGTCAGGGAGTGAGGGCACCTTTCTGGTTTGGGACAGTCTCATCAGACCCTGTAATCCTTGCCACTTGGGAAGGCACATGTTCGATGTGTGAAGCACAATGGGGAAGGGGTGGGTGTGGTAATTCTGTTTGTTGCCTGGGTACCATCAGGCCCATTCATTCATACACATTTGGCAAATATGCTTTGAGTTACTGCTATGGGCTGAGCACTGTGCTAGGCAAAGGAATAGGTTTAACCACAAAATATAAACACAGCCCTTGCCAATGTGTATATAGCCTAAGGGTTTGAAAAACTGTATACTTAGCCCATCCCCAGGAGCAGTGCTTCTTAAACTTTTACTCTGCACGGAGGTCTTGTTAAAATTCAAGAGGTCTGGGTGGGGTCTGCAATGCTGCACACTGCCAGCTTCCAGGTGATGCTGACGCTGCAGATGGCAAGGTCACGGACAGCAGCAGAGCTTAGTTAGCAATTTGAGGAGGGCTGGAAGCAGTGCAGGGTCCACTTTCAGTGAACAATGTGGTCTTGATGACAAGCAGGGAGGTCTTTCTTTCTCTCCTACACCAAGACCCCTTGTCAAGAGGCCAGGACTCCAGTGGCTTTTTCTCTCCCCTGGGAGAGCCTCTGGGAAGCTTCCAGTGTCAGGTGGGAGCAACTATGGGAACACTGGCATTCAGGGAGGGGTTTCCTTGACGTGGGCCTGAGATAGCGGGGGTTAAAGGGCCCAGGGTGCTTTGCTCAGCAGTGTCCTCTTGTCTTGCAGACTGTGCCGGGTGCAAGGAGGAGATCAAGCACGGCCAGTCACTCCTGGCTCTGGACAAGCAGTGGCACGTCAGCTGCTTCAAGTGCCAGACCTGCAGCGTCATCCTCACCGGGGAGTATATCAGCAAGTGGGTCCCCCTGCTCCTGCCCCAGCTGCCTGGGCCTCTGCATTCTGTGAGGCCTGCCCCATTGAGCCCATGCCTACATCTCCAGCATCATCTCCCTTCCTTTCCGTCTGCTGCTGCATTCTGGCCAAACAGCATCTTTCCCAGCAGCCTCTTTCCCCCGTTGGACCCTCCCGGGGGGGTTTCCCTCTGCCTGAGACACCCTCCCTGTTCCTTGCACGCCTGCTGCCCCTTCTCTCCCTTCTGGTCTCGGTCCCCATGCCTTCCCCTCCGGCCGTCTCTCATTTACTGCCCCGTTTTGGGCCCTCAGAGTACCTTGTTGTTTCCTTCACACAGGCTACCACCATTGGTAATTACATATTTATCCCTGGTAACTTTGTAATAATGCTAATAATACTATCTACCATTTATTGAGCTTTAATTATGTAGAAGGAACTCACTACTTTGTATGAAGTATCACTTTAAATCCTCATAACTGCCCCTTTGAGGAATTTATCCCCACTGAATACTCAGACTTGAGAGAGTAAATAACTTGCTCCAGTAATAGTGTTTAATCTCTGTACCCACCAGGAGAGGGGCTTTGTTTTAATCACTGCTATATCCCCTGCCCTGAGAGCAACACCTGACCCACAGTCAATAATATAGTTGCTGAATGAATTTAATGGATATGAGAGGAGGTGATGGGTGCATAGTTATCCAGAGGGGCCAACCTCCAGTGACCCACACACTGCAGTATTAGACAAGTGTCCTCTTGTTGCTGGGCCCCAGTGACCACATTTATATACTCAAGTACCTAAAAGTAATTATCAGCACAGATCCTTTGTCACAGCTTTGACATCATATGACCCCAGACCCTTCTAGGTGCCACTCTCTGGCCTGATGCCAGGCAGTGGCAAGCACACAGAGCTGCAGCACACATGCTTCTGCTGTCAAGACCCTGCAGTCTAATACGGGAAACAGATATGCTGCGTTCATGAAGAATTATGACACCAGGAAATGTGTGATCAGGAGCCCAGACAAGCTTTATTCTTTAAGACCTTTTTGATCCTAAGTGACAGAAAACCCACCTCCAACTCAATTAAAAGCAAAAATAGGAGTTTATTAACTCACAGAAATGGGAAGGCCAGAGGCACACTGGCTTCAGACATGGAGGAATCCAGGGGCTTAAGGATGTCATTAGTACTTCAGAAGTCTCTGTCTTTCTCTATCTATCTTTTTGTCTCTCTCTCTCTCTCTCTCTCTCTCTCTCTCTCTCAATTTCTCTTTCTCTCTCTCTGTCTCTCTTTCTCTCTCTCTGTCTCTCTCTGTCTCTGTCCCTGTCTTTCTCTGCTGTCTTCATGGTGGATTAGTTCTCAATCTGGCCCTCCCCAAGTGCTAGCAAAGAAGATTGCCAACACTCCAGGCTTCCATACCAAGCCTAGCAGAAAAAGAGGCCTCTTTCCCAGGAACTCCAGCAAAAGTCCCAGGTCTGCCTCTGATTTGGCCACTGTTAGGCCACATGCCCATTCCTGACCAATCACTGGCCCAGAGGATCTGAACCCTAGAGCCAGAGAGCAGCCTCTTGTGACCCACAGGGACCTCAACTGGGAAGGGGTGGCTTCCAAAGGGAAATCCAGGCGAGGTACTATTATCAGCAGAAGGGGAAATGGATGCTGGCCAAACAACACCTGCCTGTGTCCAAGATAACAAATAAAGGGCTGTGAATATTCAGAGAAAAAAAGGATGACTGCTAACTAGCATGAAGTAGAATCTTGAATCTCTGAGAGTTCCATGGAAGGTGGGGGTAAGATTCAAAAATGCAAAGAAGAAGAGCTTCTAGGCAGAATGGCCAGCCTGGGCAAGGCCAGGGCAGTAGGGGAGTGTTGGACATCTCCATCCTGTATAGGAGCTCAAACATGTGCCCAGGTGAAGCCAGATCCTGGGCTGCATAGGTGAGCTGAGGTCACATCACCGAGAGCTCTCGATGCCATGCTAGCAGGAGTTTGGCATTCCCCTCTATGCCCACCAAGCAAGGAGTGCCCTTAGTACATTGCCAGCCAGGAGTGCTTGAGTCTGGAAGCCTAAATCAGAGTTCTCTAGGGACTTAAGGGATTGTTCAGAGCTCCTCTCAAGGAGGCCCAGCCCAGATTGCCCACCACACCTGGTACCTCTGCAGCATAGCTCTGGGCCCCTTACCTGGCTGCTGGCAGAGTGGCAGGGGCTCAGAGGCACTGGCTCAGGCATCAGATGCCCAGGATAGAAGCGCAGCCTATGTGACCTTGGCAAGGGACTCCACTGCTCAGAGTCTCAGTTTCCTCATTTATAAAAATGGAGAGAAGATGATCTACCTGTAGGGTTGTGTAAGGGCTCAGAGATCTGTGCTTAGCACCCAATAACTGCCCAGTAAATACTCATTTTACCATCCTCTTTTAGAATTGTGTACCGCTAATTCCCCAAGAGAAGGATGGATCCAAAAGAGATTGTGTTGGCATTTATACTCAAATCTTGTTGGCTCATCACATCCACCTTCTGACAAATGACTTTTTCTCCCTGCAGAGCTACCCTCCCGCACCCACAGAGTGAGAACCTGATTGAGCGGGGGAGGAGGGAGGAGTTGAAAGGGTTGGGGGAGGTGTGTCTCAGGGGCTCACAAACAAGTCCTTGCCTTGTGGGCACAGTCACACCTCCAGACCTTGGTCGGACATCTTCAGACCTTGGTCCTCACTGCTGCTTCTCCAGGAAAATGCTGCCCAGGGTGGGCCCCCAGCAACCTCATCAGGGCAACAGCTTCGAGATGGAAAAGTGATGTGCCTCTCCTTTAGGTCTCTCAGTGTCTGAGCCAAGTTCTCTTACACCCAAAAGTGAAAGAAATGTTTCTCCTCAGAGTTCAGACTTGGTCATTAGAGCGAGGCAGAGCCCGAAGCAAAGCTAAGCTCTCCGATGCCCCCAACTATCTCTACCTCAGTCCTAGAGAACTGAGAACCAAATGTCCTCCTCAAAGACTCCTCTCAGCAATCATGGCCATTCCTCCAGCTGCCATTTGCTGAGTACTCAGTATGGCTAGGCACTGTCCTGAGCCCTAGGGTACACTGGACCCATCTCCTTTAATCCTCATGACAACCTGGGTGAGAAACCAGACAACCTGGGTTTGAATTCCAGCTCTAGGTCATCCTGGGTGGCCTGGGACAAGTTACTAAAGTGTGCTATGCTTAGGTTTTCTCACCTACACAATGGGGATACTAATAATTCTGACTCATAGGGTTGCCATCAAACACCATCAAAGAGCCCGGCGCACACCAGCAACAAATGTTAGTGGCTATTAGTCATAGGGGGTGGTATAAGAATAAGGGATAACAATCTTATCACTGTCCGCCAAGTGATAAACATTGGGTAAAAAATGGAGCACACAGGAGGTGGTCCCAGGAGGCTTCCTGTCATCTACTGATCTGGGAGCACAGTCAGATGATTCTTTCATACAGATGAAATTGTTTATTAAAGGAGAAGTATCGAACTTTGGCTCAGTCAACATAGGCTGCAGGTCCAGAATCTAAATGCCATGTGCACCCTCACTGATCCTCCCTAACTTCCTCATCCTATGTGAACTTCTTCTTGCAGGGATGGTGTTCCATACTGTGAGTCCGACTACCATGCCCAGTTTGGCATTAAATGTGAGACTTGTGACCGATACATCAGTGGCAGAGTCTTGGAGGTGAGTGGGTATAAGTAACCGTGAAGATGTGGCAGGGTGATCTGTGCCTCCAAAAAGTCATCACAGAAGAAGGAGAAAGTCATCCCATACCTTTTTTTCCATAGCCTTTACCTCCTCCACCTTTGCTTGCTACATGACCTTGAGCAGATAACCTTGCTGAGATCTCTGGGAAACCCCAAAATGAGAAGGTAGACAAAATTCTTCCTGGTTCAAAAAATGCTGTGCTGGGAAAATCAGTTGTATCTTTGATTCGGACCCAGACAGATTTCTAAAGAGTGACATTAGGATTTTCCTCCCAGCCCTGCCGGAGAAAGGAAGTCTTTTTTATTTATTTATTTATTTATTTATTTAATTATTTATTTTGTTTGTTTGTTTGTTTTAGTATTTGGTAATGTGCTGATTTAAGAGCCAGCTTGTCTAGCAGCTTGCTCCCTAAGCCCTTCTTTGGTGGGTCCATCACCATGGCAACGCCTCTCCCCAGCCTTTGATGTATGACTCCTTCTGCAGTGACAGACAACCTGCAAAACCCTTGCTGAGGCCTTGCTGAGCCCCTGTGCACTGGTCTTTCCGGCCTTTCTTCCTATACCCTGTGGGCCTGGAAGCTATCTTCCTATACTTTGGGACCACCCACCTTGATGAATTAGAAACAGGGAAGGGCTCAGTGGAAAGGAAAAATAATAGCCTAACAGGAATAATTGAGTTCTAGTATTGACTCTACTCCTGCTCAGATTTTGAGTAAGTATCTTTGCTTTTCTAGGCCTCAGTTTTTCCATATGACAATAGCTAGAGGATCAGATTGGATCAGGTATTGTCAGCAGAATCATTAATTCTGCCAAATCTGGCCAGTTGGTTGTGGTTACCATGAGTGCTTTGTTGAGAACAAGTCTGCAGCCACATGTAGACTCAGCAGGAGGGGATGTAGCAACCAGGAAGGAACTCTCTGAGGACATGCATTGAAGCAGAGCCCTGAGGATGAAAGAACTATCCCTGAAGGGCCCTGAGGTGGGAAAAGATAGAGGAAGAATGAGCTTGACCCATTCAAAGAACAGAGAACCCACACAGAATTGTGGCTGCAGAATTTTTCTCAACACAAGCACTCATGGTAACCACAACCAAGTGGCCAGATTTGGCTGAATTAATGATTCTGCTCACAATAGCTGACCCAGTCTGCCAATGTGGCTGAATTCTATAAATTGAGGGTAGGGGAGGATGAAATATAAGAGTATATCATATATGGCATACCATGTAGGACTTTGTAGACCATGTTTAGAAGTTTGGGTTTTATACTCAGTGCAATGGAAAGCCATTGGAGAGTTTTAAGCCAAGGACTAACATGATAAGATCATGTTTTTAAAAAGATTTCTGTGGTTACTGTGTGGAGAATTTTCAGAGAGAGTCAGAGACAATGAGATATAAACAAATGAGCAGAGCTGGGAAACATTTAAGCATCTCGAGAGCTGTAAGGAGTGCGATGCAGAGGACAAGGCATGAGTCCAGGAAGGGTTGTTGGGGGTGGGTTTCTGAGGGCCTGGGATACCAGGGTGGAGTTTGCATGTGACTCACTGGGCAAGGGAGCATTGTGGAGAGACTGGGAAGGAACGTCCTGGTTAGAGCTGGGCTTCTGGGAGGATGACGTGATAATGTACACAGGCTACATTTGAAGGAAGGAAGCTGGAAGGGATGAGTGAGGAGGCCCCTGCGTGACCCAGGCAGGAAGGACTCAAGAGGTACAGTAGCAATGGAGAGGGAAGCCACCCTTGTGCCCAGCCCTATGGAAGTAGAATTCCAATCACTCTGCAACTGAGGGGCAGCTTGTGGACATGGGGATTGAAGGAGAAGCAGCTAAAAGTTGCACCAAAGAATTATCTATTTCTGAGGGATAGGAAGCCTGGTGTCATTGGCAGAACTGGGGATGACAGGGGAAAAAGCTGATCTGGCAGAAACATGGCGAGTACCATTTAGGATGAGTTGTGATTGAAATCCCAGGAGTGTTTCCAGAAGGCAGTCAGAAATACGGATCAGAGGCTGGGAGTGGTGGCTCACACCTGTAATCCCAGCACTTTGGGATGCCAACACAGGGTGATCACTTGAGTCCAGGAGTTCAAGATCAGCCTAGGCAACACAGTGAGACTTCATCTCTATAAAAAATAAACAAAACTAGCCAGGCATGGTGGTGCACGCTTGTAGTCCTAGCCATTCCGGAGGATCACTTGAGCCTGAGAGGTGGAGGTTGCAATAAGTTGAGATTGCACCACTACACTCCCGCCTGGACAACAGAGCAAGATCCTGTCCGAGGCAAGAAAAATGAGAAAAGAAAAGAAATATGGATCAGAGCTCAGGAACAAAGCTCAGGCCTGGAGGAGCCAATCTTAAAAACGTGAGGCTTTGAATAATAGCACCACCAGAGTCCTCAGGATTTCCAAGACAGAGGAAAGAGAGCAAGGAAGGAGGCTGACACCAACCTTGGCGAGCAGCTGCTCACAGTGAAAGCGACTCAGAAAGAGACTGAGGAGGTAGCAGAGGAAGATATGGGAAGAGAATCGGGCATTCAGTGAAAGGACAGAGCTTCAGAAAACATGGTGAGGTCAGAGTGTTGGTCAAACTCTGTAGAGCAGTGAAGGACTGCGTGGGCTGCGGAAAAGCTGTTGGATGTGGGAAAGGTCACCTTCAGAAGAGTCGTTTGTTGGCTTTGCAGAACTGTGGGGAAGAGGCATCCAGAGTGTAGTAGGTTGAAGGGTCAATGCGGTGGGAGATATTACAAAAGGAAACTTTTCTTTCCAGAAAGAAAGAACTTAGATTACAGACAGGGCCACAGATGGAAATTTGTTCAGCATTTCCAAGCTGCTTTGAAATCCTGTTGGTGGCAGCTGCCGTTTCCCCGAGAGTTACCGTTGTTTAGCATTGCGGTAGACTGTTCCTCCCAGGCAGCTGTTGTGACTGAGTTTCGATTGATCCCATTTCTACAAGGCTCCATTAGCATCTTCGACTTATTGATTTTTTTTTTTTCTTAGAGCTGGAAGAGACTTTTAGCAATCAACTAGTTCAACCTCTTCATTTTACAGATGAGAAAAGTGAGACCAAGACATGCAGTGTTTTTCCAAGGTCACAAGCAGCATTTCTGGTAGAGACAGAGCTAAAATCTAGGACTCCAGGCTGCTGTATCTACCGATACCCACAGCTCTCAGCCACTTGGGGGTCTTTGAGGTAGCATGATGTCAGGAAATAGACATGGCTGCAGTAAAACAGACTTGGATTCAGATTTTACCACTTCTAGCCCTGAAGCCTTAAGCAAGATATGTCCTCTTAGTCTGTATCTATCAACAGACAATACTACTGTCATTTAATTCCTAATGAACACGTTAGTCAAGACTTTTTGGGCTGCAACAGAGAGGAAGTTTCTCAGCTCCTATAACAAAAAGCCCAGGAGCTGGATCCAGTGCTTAAGCGAAATCATTTAGAATCCCCAGCCATCTTGGCTTACTTTCTTCCAAGTTAAGTTTATTCTCAGGAGGGCGTTCTTGGTGATGGGAAAGTTGGACACCAGTTGCCCCAGGCTTAGATTCTATCAGCCGGCACGCCCGGTGGAAAAAAGAACTTCTCTTTTCTAATAGCTCAGCAAGCATTCTGGGACTGACTCTCATTGGACAATCTCAGGCCCATCCCTGGGCCACTAATTGTGCCCACAAAGTTGGAATATGCTCATTGGTGGGGTCAGCACTACTTAACCCTGTGGACTGATATGGAGAAGAGGTAGCCCCACCAAGGAAAGGCTTGGGACTGTTTCTGGAAGAAGGAGGAAAGAATGATGGCCATGCAGGAACAACAGTCGCCCAAGCACATCGTCTGGCACACTGCAGGCATTCAATTAAGTTGTTTCTCCTTCTCTTCTCATCCTGTCCCTTCCCATTTCCTCCCTAGGCCACCCCATGGTCCCTTCCTCAGTGACAGAGCTCAATGGCTGTCAGTGTCACTCCTTCCATCCCTGTCTGTTTCCTCACCAAAAAGGACCACAACCTGGTTTGCTTGTTGCTACATTTTTGAACCTGGTTTGCTGTTTTCGGTCCTCTCAAATAGGGCTCTGTTTTGAGGGTACCAATTTTTTGCCATTTTTCTTTACTATTTTCCTGATTTCAGTTCGTTAATAGACAAAATGGTTCATCTCAGCTAGCTGACGTGGCTTTTCCTTACTCTGGGTGCAGGCTGCCCTACCTCCCTTTGCTCAAACTGTTTTCAACACCATCCAAGACTGGGGCTGCTGAGATGGGCACAAAGCCTCTTTCAGCTGGGGTGAGGTAGTGGGGCATGACATTTAGGAAAATGCTAGGCTTCAGTTTTGCCAAGGCACTGTTGCCACACTGGAAAACAGGTCTATAATCAAAATGATAAAGAGACACAGAGTAGGAAGAGGCTGCTAATTAAACTGATTATCCTTGTCATGGTACAAGGGAATCAGTCCCACACATTCCAGCTTAGGAAAATAGCAGGCTCCTTCCAAAGTTTGAACATATTCGCTTTGATGATGACAAGGACACTGTCTCATTGGTGCGAGGCCATATAAACAAACGGGGGGAAAAAGGAATATTGGAGATTTTTTTCTTTTTGTAAAAATCTGCCTTTCCCACATTCTTGCTAAGTTTTTAGAATAGAGATAATATCTCCAGAATAGGCAAGCCCATCCCAACAATCTTCCACTCCCCCCACATAAAAAAAAAAAGAAAAAAAAAACTAAGTTTGGAAATAGGTCTTCTTATTATGCAATTATAATTTTTGAATTGGAAGGAACCCATTAGCATCAGATCAAGTGATGGCTTGGACAGGGACCTTTAAGAACCCCTAACATCCATCAGTTTCCCCTGGGCATTACCCTCCCCCAAAGAAAACCCTGCCCTGACGTTGCAAAATATTTCTTCAAACAAGGCCCACCTGCCAACCCAATTGCTGCACCAAGCTCCTGCATATACAAATGCTGGAGCCGCCGCTGAAGTTCCCTTTTACAAGCCCTCTTGGCTGGGATTTTGGTGTTAGAATTGTGACTCCAGAAGCAAGTGCTGAGCTGGTGACTGACTCACACACATCCGGACCCAACACTGCTGCTGGCTTGCAGTGAACCCTTGAGGCACAACCTTCTCAGGGGCTGTTTCTTCCCCCCATGGAAGTCTTTGCAGCTGCAAATTATTTTCATTTTTAATTTAAATAGTGATGGGGAAGGAAAGTGAAAATAGGGAAGGCACTCACCAAAGTCACACTGGGGTGAGCTGCGGTAGGGCTGGACACACCAGGGCAAAATAGTCACAGGACTGGCCTGGGGATCTGGGGCTCTACAGTGGGTCCTAAATCACCCACTGAGCCCTAAAAATCTGTCCTTTGTGTGCCAGTCTCACAATTTTTGCCATGTCTGTGAACCTCGTGAGCTGATTCTTCCATAATACTTTAAGTGTCTTGAGGTTGGCTCCCTTATATGTAAGGAAACTTATATACGACATAACAGGAAAGCAGTATCACTTGCCATATTGCATGTAACCTGAAAATAAATAGAGTTCTAGCTAGATTCTATTGCATGTGGAGGTTCCAAGCCTCACACCTGTTCTCATTCTTTAAAAGGCAGATTTGTAGGTTTTGGATAGATGTTAAAGACACATAAGCACCGAACTGGTACTTCGTCCTTGACAAAATCAGAAGAATGTATAGAGGACTGAAAAGATCTTTTTTTTTTTTCCATTGGTCCAATGTTATTAAATCCCAAGTTCATGTACCACTTAAAATCATTTCATGTAACATTAGTGGTAAGGGCCTCTCACTTGGGGAAATGCTGGGATGTCCTCAAAGCAAGCCTGTTTCCTCCTCTGGAAATGAGGAAGTTGGACCAGTGGCCTCTCAAGTGTCCTTCCCAGTGTCAGAATAGAAGAGCAGGTATTCAGGGAAGTCCCCTGAACTGCCATCAGGGATCCATGGAGTGAATCACGAAGCTTCCCGGCTGGTCTTTTAGATGGTTGTGGACTCCCTTGGGTAGCTCCAACCAACTTTAGGGCCATGAAGATGCAAACAACACTAATGTACCCAGGAAAGATTCAAACCCAATCTGCCCCACTAGACAGCAGCCCTGGCTCTGACCTCCTGTTTCATCTTTTCATTTCCATAGGCAGGAGGGAAGCACTACCACCCAACCTGTGCCAGGTGTGTACGCTGCCACCAGATGTTCACCGAAGGAGAGGAAATGTACCTCACAGGTAAGTAAATCTGACCCTCTGTAAGGCCTTCCGACCTGCTCATGACTGGAAAGGAGATGCGATCTTCAGGTTCAGTGTTATCTTGGCTTCAGGTTCAGTGTTATCTTGGCTTTTGCCTTGTCCTCAGAATTGCAATTAATTGGCCCCTCTCTGGGTGGATTGGGAAGGTTGCCGGTGTGGCTAATATGAAGTGACATGTAATCTGCCTTCCGTCTCTGTGCACCTCCACCCGCTGCCCAGCTGGACTGCTTCCCTGGCAGTGCTCTGAGCAGACTCTCCTGGCTCTGCCTTGGGGGTGGGAAGCTGAGCTGCACAGGCCCAAGGGGTCAGAGAACCTCAGAGGGATGCCTGGGTTGCAAAGTGTCTATAGCATCACAGCCTCTACTCTACCTCCTTCTCCCCACATCTCAGAGCATCATGCCAGGCTGCTGCTCAGGGCTTCCCAGGGACTCTCAGAACACACAGAGGAATGAGGAGTGCCAGTCGTCCCCACAAAGCTAACCAGGGCTGCTTTCCATCTGCTGCTTCCCAGCCCTCTTACCCCAGGATTCTTACAACAGTCCCCTAATTAGTCTCCAGATTCTGCTCAGTCCTCTACCCTCTGCCCAGCCCACCATCCCAGGGCATCACGTGCTCTTGGCACTGCCCTGCTCTTCAGAGCCCCTCCCTGTCTGCCTATTTAGCTACAAACACTTCAGCCTAGCATTTAAAATCTTGCCAAGGTCCCAGGCTTCCTTTGTAGCCTTGAACATACCCGACACCTAAGCTACCAAAGCTAACTTTTGATCATTTATTCATCCACTCAATGATTGTTTCTTGAGCCCTGCCATGTGTAGGCTCTGTGCCAGCGTCCATGGTGAGGCTCACCCAGCCCTACAGTCCCCTGAAGGAGATGGGCATTAATCCATAATCACATAAATAAACATCAGCTGTGGTAAGTGTTATGAAGGAGAGAAGTGTGGGCCTTTGAGAGCACATAACGGGGTAGGAGGAGCCCCAGGAGGGCTCCCTGACGAAGGGCCAGGAGCTGAGATCCAGACCATGAGTGGGTGTTAACTGATGTTGTAGTTCATCTGGGCTGTTATAACCTCAGCAGACTGAGATACAGACAGGGCAGCTTATAAGCAGAAATCTATTTCTCACAGTTCTGGAAGCTGGGAAGTCCATGACCAAGGGTCCAATAGATTTGGTATCTGATGTGGACCCACTTTCTCAGAGATGGCACCTTCTCTCTGTGTCTCCACATGGTGGAAGGGGCAAGGCAGCTCTCTGGCGCCTCTTTTATAAGGACACTGGTCCATGACCTAATCACCTCCCAAATAGCCCTACCTCCTAAGACCATCACCTTGGGGGTTCGAATTTTGGCATATGGATGTGGGGGACACAAAAACATCCAGACCATAGCAACTGAACAAAAAGTGGAATAGGATGCACCAAAATGAGAGGACAGAGCCTGCAAGACTCTGAGGTGGGTGAAGAAATGGCGAGTGCATAAGGGCAAGTGGAGCCTGTGTGGCCAGGGCGCAGACAGAAGTGAGATGCAGCCAGGAGGCAAGCAGGGTGTATGGGCTGGGCCTTGTGGAGAGACTTTGTTTGGACTTAAAATGAACTCATGGCCCTTTCCCTTGTCTTCCTGTGCCCTTCTTTGGAAATCCTATCATTTGAGGCCCAGTTCAGTCACTACATGCTTCATAGGCACCCAGGATTTCCCCAACCCCACCCACAATTTAACACAGTCCTCTCTTCCCCCATCCCCACAGCCCTCTGTCTGCCCCTGGTCCCCTCCAGCTTGTATGAGAGTTGTTGGCCTCCTCCCTAAGGTCCTGTGCTCCTGGCACTTGTCCCTCAGCCCTGACCCTGGCCCATGCATACTCCCTCCACAGGTGAATGTCATTGGTGGAATCGCTGTGATTGGATAGCCATCTTGAGAAGGAATTAGGGCCCTTCCTCCAGGTAGATCTAAGGCCAGGGCAGCAGTTACAGGGAGTGTGTCAGTATCAGCTTGTCCTAGCCACAATGCCCACAGCCATGAGTTCCCTCAAGATGCAATGAGTCCCCCTGTGCCTACAGCTGAGTTCCTTAGCCTCAGCACTGGTGACACTGTGGGCTGTCCTGTGCATTGTAGGGTATTTGGTACCATCCTTGGTCTCTACCCATTAGATGCCAACCACGTGCTTCTTCCCACTGACAATCAAAAATGTCTCAGATATTGCCACATGTCCCTAGGGGGTCAAAATCATCCTCAGTGGAGAACCACTGGCCCAGAGCTACCCAACAGAAACTTGTGCCATCTGCTAAGAATCCTGGAGCAGGAATTCCTATGTTGGATTAAACAAAGTGACCATTTCTAAGATGCTGTCTACTTACTTATATGAACTGATGCTGGAGTGGTAAGGATCCCAGAGTCACTCTAAACTGTAAAGTGCCAACCCTCATTGTAGAGATGGGGAAAATAGACCCAGAGAAAAGAAGAGACTTGTGTGAGAATGGGAGTGCGTCAGGGCAGAGCAGGGCCTGGCCTTGCGTCTCCCCTCCAGGGTTCTTTCCACTTTACCCCTGGGACCCAGGCCCTGCCTGATATTCAGGTCCCTGTCCCTTCCTGTGCACACCAATCCCTCATTGCCTGGGTTCTTGAGTGATTCCTGCTGCAGGAACCAGTGTTATGAGGCTCAGCAACCTGCACCCTGCCTTCATCCTGACCACCATGGGAACCTGGAGTTTGCACTTGGCTTGAAAATTTGTTGCACAATATTCCTCTCCTCCTTCCCTGGTGAACAAACCTCCTAGTATTGAAACTGCCCTCCCATTCTCATCCCTACCTGGATATCACTAGAATAAACCACGTCTTTGCCTCCCTGCCTGAATTCCTAATCTTAATCTTTCCCTGTTGGGTGCTTTCACCCAGAGTGCCTCAGGGGGGATCCTGGCTCCACTGATTACTAAGTTTTTGACCTTGGGCAAGTCTCGTAACTCTCTGAAACTTGGCTGTCTAATATGTAAAATAGACCGAGAACAGTTGCTATAAGATATAGGTGTAGTAATTTCGTGACACATGGGAAGCTCCCATTTCAATCATTCATTTAGCAAATATCTATTGAGGATCTACTGTGTCCCCGCTGCTGTTCTCACAACTGAAGGTGTGGCAGTGAGCAAATCAGTCAAAGGCCCTGCCCTCATGGAGCTCACAGCCTCACAGGTTAGTGCTTTCATTCTTCCAACTTCCCACAGGTGCTAAAAGAGTTAAGCAAGGAAGTAAAGTGCATAGCTTTGTGATCCTGAGAGAGAATGCACCATTAAACCTACAGTGGAAATGCCTCCAAGGGTGGGAGATATTCTTAGTAATGAAGATGAGCCTGTCACCTTCTCATTAATTATCCCCATCCCTCTCCTGGCTCCTGGGAGAGTGGGAGTAATTGCAGGGCATTCAAGGACCTGCCTGAAAGGATGCTAAGTGATCCTGGAATGAGGGGGACCAGGCCAAGCAGTGCTAGAGTCACGCTCACTTGGGCTGTGAGTGTCTTGTGGGGGTTCTGCTACCACTGAGATCTGGGCCTTGGACACCCTCACCAAGTGGGGACACCAGGATTCAATATGATATCCCCCAGAATTGGCAAGAAAACCCTGCTCCTGGGTAGCTCAGGAGTGTAAAGAAGTGGCTGAGAGCCAGGACTCCCGGGTTCAAGCGTCAGCAATTCCACTAATAGGCTGTGACCTTGAGAAGTGGCTTCCTTCTCTGGATCTCTTGCTTCACCTGTAAAATGAGGATAACATCATCGTCTTTCATTGATCCACTCAAACTGGGGGCCACGCTATGTGCCAGGCTCTCTGCTACATGTTGGGCATTCAGAGATGAGTGAGGCAAGCATGCTTGCTGTCCTGGTGGAGTTCACTCTCTGGAAAGAGAAACCAACAGTGCCAAATAGAAGTGTAAACATTCAATGACAAGCTGTGACAAGTGCTGCACAGAGAAAGTTTTGAACAATGGGCATGTGTTATAAAGCCCCTGCTCTAGTCTGGGAAGCCAGGGAAGGTGCCCCTAAAAAGGGATATTTCAAGCCAAGACCTTGAAAATGAGTAGGAGGTGGGAGGCTGAAAAGGGCAGGAAGATTGAGGAGGCAGTGAGAACAGTGAGTGCAAAGGCCCTCCCTGGGTGGGTGGAAGCAGAACGAGGTGGAGAAACTGAGGCAGGCCCACTTACCTGGCACACAGAGAGCAACCATATGCCACAAGGTCCTCATGAACATTAGAGGAGAGAGTGAATGTGAAGGCACTGGGGACTCCATAAAGCAACTTATATAAGAGAGAGAGAGTGTTGGGATGCCTGCAAAGCTTACAAACCCAGCCTTGTCAGTTCTGGAGCTGGACACAGCATGGTACTGGCAAATGGTCCTTGGGAGATTCTTTGGGTGAGTTTGTTTGTGTTTTAATTGCTATGTGATGGCTTTCTGATGGGCTCTAATTGGGAGAAGTCTGACGTCTGTCTGGAGGAGAACTTCTGGGGCCCCAGGAGACAAGAGCAAGTTTTATTTGTTTTAAGTTCTGTTGTGTATTCAATCTTTTAACTGTGTTTGTAAAGATGCCAAATATCTAATCTGTTTGTTATCCAAACCCTTCATTTGGGCTTCACCAGGAAATTAGGTCACTCATTTTGTGCAGCAAAATAATGGCCAAAATGCTGCAGGTTCAGGGCAAAACTTATACTGAAATCCCAAAGGTTGCAGTTACTAGATCAGTGAGAGTTTTTTTAAAATCCCAAATGTGGTTCATGAGACAAATTTTGCTCTTGTTCTAAATGTGCCTGTACCCAGGAAAAGGGAGAAAATAGACTCTTCTTCTACCCTTCTGTCTACACCAAATACCCTCCTGTTCTAAGACCTGAGACAATAACCCTGGAATTACGTAAGTTCAGCTGCACATTTTAAAACAATTCGCTGTTATCATTTGTATATTTAACTAAAACCCACAAGGCAGGAAATCATTTATAAAATACTGGACAAACCTCACTCTGCTAAAGAAAAGTATTATAACAAATTATAGGTCTCACCAATAATAATGATAATAATAAAAATATTAATAATAATAAAATGCCATCATTTTATTATTATTATTAATAATATAATTATTATTTGTTGGTATACTTTGAGCATTTACTATGTGCCAAGTACTGTACTAAGAGTTTGAAACACAGTATCCCATTTTATCCTCACGACAACCCTGTCAGCTAAAAACTATTAATGTCCTCATTTTAGAGGATGAGAATGAAAGTTTCAAGAGCATACGCCACTTAGCCAAAGTGGGCCTGTCTTGCTAGGGTTCTTGGAGGCAATTTTCTTACATCTATATTACCAGAATTCTTAAACTGGTTCATGGTCAGCCTTTTGAACTCTATGAGTCTTCTGAAATTGCTTGCTAAATTTTGCATGCTAGGTGTGTTTCTTTAGGCAGAGGGTCCATAGCTTTCATCAGATTTTCAGAGGTGTCCATGGGCCAAAATAAAGTGAAGAGACTTGGTTCTGTGTTAACACAAATCCGAAACGGAGTCTCAAAAGCTTGTTTTGATAATTACACCAAACCCCAAACCCTTCTCTTGTGTAACTGAATCTATTTCAGATTACTTTTTTTTTTTTTTTTTTTTTTTTAGCTCAGAGGATACAAGGTCCTGGTTTCAGGAGCTGTGTATTTCTGGCATGGCTGGGTTGTAACTCAGAAAAGGTGCACTAAGCTGAGAGATGTTCAAGTGAGGGCCTCCCATTGTTATGGGTTGTGGAACGCCAGCCCTCAGTCATCATCTACGCATTTCATGAAACCACCCTCTAAAAGGCACTACTGTAGTATTGGTTGCTATAATTTCGTAGTTTAGCATTATTACTTTAAATTGGATCTCTCTACTGACAGCTTAGGTTGTAGGAGTTATGCTTAAAAACTTTAAATCTTATGTTTCCCCAATCCTACTACCTAATTTTAGATTTTTCAGACATATTCTGTTACTGTACTAAATTGATACTTCCTGAAGTCTGACTCTACTAAGCATATTTCATTTTAAATAGAGTATATTTTAATTTTTGGCGAGCTGCCATTTTTTTTTTTATTTAGATTTTAAGGGTTACCAAGCATCTTGAATCATATAGAAAGTATTACAGTGTAGTAGCTTAAGGTTTGTATTTCTAAAGTTTGTTTCCAGCTTCTCCTCTCAGGTCACCACAGACTCATGCCGATGTGGCCATTTTCTCGCCTGTCACATGTCACATCGACTTCAGCAGTCAATTTGTCCATGTTGGTCAGAATTAGGTCTAGAGTAGCAATTTCCCGGCTTACTTCCTCTATTTTCTGAGAAACAAAATTGCCTGCTGGGCAAGTCAAGAACTTGTCAGATATTCAGGTTTTAGCTCGATGAGACATTTTATTAGTCTAGACATTTTAGGTGACAGAAACCTAACTCAAGCTATGTTAGGCAAAAGAAGATTGATCAGCTCACAGAACTAAGAAGCGTCTAGGAGCAGCACAGCTGGGTCGAGGGGCCCGTGAGCACCATCAGGTGGTTCTTCTCCCTGTTTCTTTTTGTGTTTGGCCCCATGCTCTCCTGCCCAGACTGGCTGTCTCCATGCAGTAGGACAGAGGGCCTGGCCAGCCCCCTGCCACCATCAGTACAGAGAGGCAGCATGTCCCGCTAAGCTCAGCAGAGAAGTTCCAGAGAGTCTGAGGACCTGTTGCCCACACTCAGGCCAGGGTGGGGAGACAGAGACGGACAAGCAGGTTAGACATCCAAGCTCCCTAACCCCCAACTTCCCATCTGTAAAGAGGGATGAGGCTAGGCTCCATCTCACAAGGCTGTTGTGAAGATTAAATGAACTAATGAATGCATGGTAAAGACTCAGCACAGGGACTAGCATTGCTGGTTCTGCCAGTCTGAGCTCATGATAATCAGCCAGTTATATAGAAATGGCCATTCCCATGTTGCAATGCAGTAGTAAGTGCTTGCTGTTGTCAATATTATCAGCATTTTTAAGAATACTTAGCATAAGGTGCAGCATATATACTCAATAAATGGCAGTTATTATTTTTTATATTTAAGCACTATTGTTATAAAGTGTGTGACACAAGGCCTGGTATCGACACTCTATAAATATTAGTTATAATAGTAACAATAGGAATAATAAGAATACTTAGGGCCTGGCACATACTAAGCACTCAATATACTTTAATTACTGTCCCAACTGTTATTATCAGCACCTATTATTTCTCGTGAATTACAAGGCACCTCAGAATTGCCATTTTCCCCTTCTCATCCTGCCCGATATCCTCCATGGTAACCAGCCTCATGGTAACTAAACACTTTTCTCCCTCCAACCTCTTTATTAAGCTTCAGGCCCACTTCATCATGTCAGCTCCAGGCAAGTAGGTCTTTCCCACTTCTCCCGAGGTGCCCTTGTCCCTGGGCACAAGCCCAACCTCCCAGGAGGGTGCGCTGGCAACCAAGCCAGGCTTCTGTTCAGTGACTCCACCTGCATAGCCAGCCTGCCATGTGCTGCAGCCCCCTCGCTCACCCAGGCCCCAGCTCCCTGCTCCCCTCAAGTCTCCCTTTTACTGCTCTCCCCTTACCCAAACTAGATCCTGGCACACAGATTATTTTTGTAGGTGGAGGAGAGGAGACAATAAGAACAACAATACCCAACACTTATATAGTCCCTGACATAGGCGGACACCGTTCTAAGTGCTGGGCATGGATTAACTCATTAATCCTCAAACCAAACCTATGAGGCAGATACTGTTGTCATCCCTGTTTTATAAATAGGGAAACCAAGGCACAGAGAGGCAACTGACTTGCTCTAGACAATGCAGCTAGTAAATGATGTAGCCAGGATTGGAACCCCTTAAGAATATTACATGAAATGATGCACAGAGTGCCTGATACCAGTAAAGATTTACTAACACCCAAGATTATAATGATCACACTGTTGTTATTACAGGGCAGATTCAACAGCAGTGTTCACTCCTCTCTCTGGCCGAGTTTGGCACTTTCAGTAGCAAAGGAGGAACAGAGTGCCTTGGTCTACAGAAGCAATTCACCTGCTGGGAGGAGAGGAGTGGGAAATTTTTTATGTTAATGTAAAATTCTCATAACACAAAATTAACCATTTTAAAGCGCACAATTCGGTAGCTTTTAGTGCATTCACAATGTTGTACAACCCCCACCTCTATCTAGTTCCAAATCATTTTCATCACTTCAAAAGGAAACCTCATACATGCCATTAAGCAGTCATTTCCCATTCCTCTGTCCCCGAACCCCTGGCAGTCACCAATCTGTTTTCTGTCTCTATGGATTTGCCAATTTTGTATAGCTCTTACAGATGGAACCATACAATATATGTTCTTTTGTGACTGGCTTCTCACCCTGAGAATAATGCTTTCTAGGTTCATCCGTATAATAGCAGGTATCAGCAGGTCATTCCTTTTATGGCTGAACAATATTCCATTTTTGGATCTACCACATTTTTTATGTGGATGAAGATTTTTTAAAAAAATTTTTATTTCCATAGGTAATTGGGGAACAGGATGGTGTTTGGAAGTTCTTCAGTGACGTTTTGTGAGATTTTAGTGCACCCATCACCTGAGTGGTATACAATGCACCCAATTTGTAGTCTTTTATCCCCTACCCCTTTCCCAGCCTTTCCCCCTGAGCCCCAAAAGTCCATTGTGTCATTCTTATGCTTTTGCATCCTCATAGCTTAGCTCTCACTTATGAATGAGAACATACAATGTTTGGTTTTCCATTCCCGAGTTACTTTACTTAGAATAATGGCCTCCAATTTCATCTGGGTTGCTGCAAATGCCATTATTTTGTTTCCTTTATGGCTGAGTAGTATTCCATCATATATACATATATATATATATATGTATGTATGTATATAATATGTGTGTGTGTGTGTGTGTGTGTGTATATATATATATATATATATATATATATATATATATATATATATCACAGTTTCTTTATCTACTCATTGATTGATGGGCATTTGGGTTGGTTTATGTGCATGGAGATTTTAAAGGAGCAGTTCCAAGGTTCCTCCCAGTCTATTGCCACAAAGATAGTGCTGCTGTCATAAAGGCAGAGGTCTGAGAAACCTCATCCTGCTATGGTGAAAAAAAAATCCAGAGGCCAGGCGCAGTGGCTCACACCTGTAATCCCAGCAGTTTGAAGACTGAGGAGGGTGGATCATGAGGTCAGGATATCGAGACCATCCTGGCTAACATGGTGAAACCCCGTATCTACTAAAAATACAAAAAATTAGCCGAGTGTGGTGGCATGCACCTGTAGTCCCAGCTACTCGGGAGGCTGAGGCAGGAGAATCGCTTGAACCTGGGGGCAGAGGTTGCAGTGAGCCTAGATCACACCACTCCCCTCCAGCCTGGTGATAAAGCGAGACTCCGTCTCAAAACAAAAAAAGAAATCCAGAGAGGAAACCTGCCGTAAGAGAATGCCCTAGCTAGGGTCAAGGCCAAAAACTCCAATGCCCACGTCAAGGAGTGGGAAGGGCTGGGAGTCAGAAAGTAGGGAGGGTCACTGGTGACCTGCAGTATCTAAAAACCTTCAGACTCAGAACTGTTTAAAATCATGCTTACTAAACAGAACCGTCCAATGGACCACTTTCAATCACTGTACTTGTAACCTCTAGAATGCCAACATTCTAGAAGACTATGATACCAACTCCAGCTTTGGCATTAAAAAACAAAAAGCATTGGCCGGGCATGGTGGCTCATCCCTGTAATCCCAGCACTTTGGGAGGCCGAGGCGGGCAGATCACCTGAGGTTGGGAGTTTGAGACCAGCCTGGCCAACACAGAGAAACCCCATCTCTACTAAAAATACAAAATTAGCCGGGTGTTGTAGTGCATGTCTGTAATCCCAGCTACTCAGGAGGCTGAGGCAGGAGAATCACTTGAACCCAGGAGGCAGAGGTTGCAATGAGCCAAGATCGTGCCATTGCACTCCAGCCTGGGCAATAAGAGCGAAACTCCATCTCAAAAAAAAAAAAAAAAAAAAAAGCCTTGGCAAATTTAACATCAGGGTGTAGCAGAGAGGTGGGTGGCTTCCCCAACATTAAATCAGCCCCAAATGTTACAGGTGTGGAGTGTGCTATAACCAATCAGAGAGATAAGACTGACTGCTGACTCTGCTAACGATTAAAAATGGCCTTAATACCTGGCTGACAGATAGTTTTGGAGATTAACATCTCTATCTCTGAGTCAGCTGATACAGAAATAGCTAATCCTTCACTTCCATAACCTTCATAGTAGGTTTTAACTGCAGAGCCTGGAATTGTGGGTGACAATCTCAGAGGACAGGAGGAAGTGACTCATGGAACCAGGAGTTGAACAAGCAGAAAATGTTGTACTCTTACAAAAAGCTAGAGCTCTGCCTTATAAAATTGGTTTCTTTATCACATAACATTCCAAGAAAATAAATTTAGAGTGTTATCTGGTATTTAGCCCTGTGGTTCTCAAATTATGAGTCATAAAATCACCTGGGGAGCTTGTTAAATCACAGATTCCCAGGTCCCACCTCCAGGGAGTTGGCGTCAGTGGCTTCTGCAGGGGGGCCCAGGAATCTGAATTTTACCAGACTGCAAGACAGGTGATCCACAGGTCACAGTTTGACACACCCCAATATAGTGAATATGTTTGTAGACTCAGTCTGGAGTTGTGGCTGTCTAATCAGAGTCTAGATTGTACTACTTGTCCAAATCTCTGGGCCCAAGTTAGAGAAGCCAACTGCCTAAGATAGAATGCCATGTTTCTTTTGTTTATTTATTCACTCAATGAGTATTTATTGAGAATCTGCAGTTCCTGCAGATATATCTGTAGGTATAACAGACATGAATCCTCTCCTCATAGAATTTACATTCTTATCAGGATAAATGGGTGGGGCAAATAATTATCTTCTCGGTACAGTAAAACCTGTTAAGATGGAAACAGAATCTCTAAGGATTTGGGGGCTGGTAAACATCCCTTAGTGTAAGTACTGTGTGCTGAGTCTCCTTCCTAATATCACTGCTGAGCATTTATATACCCAATGTGTACTTAAACACTTTTAGGGACAAGGGCTTACTGTCAGTTGAATAAGGCCATTCAGTTCTTAGGTGTTAAATGTTCCTTGCCTGAACCTTCTGCCCTTAGTCCTAGTTCTACAAAACAAATGAATGCCTCTTCCTACAGAGAGTCATTAAAATCTGTAAAATCAGCTTTCACCATTCTGTTAAGTCTCTTCTTCAGGGTAAAGACCCAGCCTTAGAATTGCATTTGAGTCCCCTTCCTAGGATAGTCACCATCCTCTCATGGGTGCATTATACCTAGTATCTTTTTGAAAAAAAATACAAAGGTAGGGTCCAATGAGTCATTCACATGCATTTCTTTGTTAAACACACATGGGCCAGGCACTGTTTTTGGCTCTGGGGATAAAGTCCACTGAAGAGAATAACCATCTTCTTCACCATGATGTTATCCTTCTGTTAATGTCACATTGTTGAGCTATTGGCCTAGGGAATAAGCTCAGAAGACCGTTATTTCACAGGGATCTTCATGAACAAATCATCTTTTCTTGCATTCTTTATGTAAGTTTATTGCTAGCTACCAACTAACTTTTTTTAGCCTCTTTTATTTACAGATATACTACCAACTCCTAAATTCTGATTTTTTTCATTTCTAATTATATTTTTTTTCTTGTTTGATCCTCCTCTCCTTGTTTCTTATGTAAATATGCTTTCCGGTATGCAGAGTGCTGAAGTTAATGGCCATTTTTGGCTCAGTTTTATTTCAGAGTGAAATGCCAATGTTATGGGGTTAGAAAGCAAAAGAGACCCTCTAGTCTGACCCCCTCGCTTGACACATTATTTCCTTGTATGAGGACTTCTGCCCTCTTGATCTTTCCTATGTCTCTTTAACTTAAGTTCATGACCTCCTCAGACCTCTGTGTCCATCTCATCCATTTCCTACAGTGACCTGTAACATGTGTTTCCTGCCACAGCCACAGTCATAAACAATTCCTGATAGATTCGGAAGCAACTCAGAGAGGAACCGGAAACGCTCTCTCTAATAACTCCCTAAAGTAAGAATCCCAACACACAGCTTGGTAGTGGACACACCCTGTGATTGCTGGATCAAGCCACAGACTCAGAGTCCCTCTACTGGGCTCTGAGAACCATTGCATTTTACTTTAGAAAGAATTAAACCCAGTTGAATAATAAGGAATACCCAAGTATGTCGGCAGACAAAAATCAAAGATTCTTGTTCCACAAAAGACAAAACTGCCCGTAAAATTAGAAACTTGGAGATGAAAATAATCTTCAAGGCCACCCAAATCCCACCTTATTGTTCTTCAGATGAGGAAACTGGGACCCAGAGAGAGGATGTGTTAGGGGCTGAGCAGAGACAAAAAACACAGGCCTCCTCACTTCAGGCCTCTCTTCTCTTTTTCACTCCGATTTATTGACCTTTCACCACCATCTCATCCCTTAGCTAGTATTCCGGTCCTGGGGGTTCCAGGCAACAAAGCATAATATAAAGTATATCCTAGAGACAAAGTCAGACAAACAAATGCCATCTGGATGCTCAGGAATCCAGCCATTGCTGGCTTCTTTCCTTTTAGGGCTGGTTACAAGGGGAATGGCTCCAGAGGGATAATATGTTCCTATTTTTCCTTCTAATCCAGGACACCTGTCCCTTCTTTGGGGAATGTGTCATATTTGGGGCTGCTTCTCAACATGTGAGCAGCCACCTGTTGCTCATGCCTTTCCAAATTGGCCTTTCGGGTTTGGGGCTGGCCAACTGGACCCCCACCCACAATAAAATGTGGGCGTTAGCAGTATACTAAATTTGAAGAGTCTGGAGTCTCTGAGGAATTAGCAGGTCAAGGCAATGCTCTCAAGCGGAATATACACCATGACACCTCCTCCCCCTTAAATGTGATAGCTCTGGTAGACAGTCATAAGTCTTTAAGAGAAAAGAAAGCTGGAGTTCACCATGCTCTGTCACTCTTTTTTATCCACACTGTCATTTATTCATTCAACAAATATTTATTGACCACCTGCTATGTGTCACTGACTGCCAATCATGCACTCACCTCTTCACCCCACAAACATGTACGGATCTCTTCTAAGAGCAAAGTCCCGTGCTGGGGACTGTGGGAGATGTAGCAATGAATAAAGCTCAGCTCCCGCCCAGAAGAAGCTCTTGATTTAGTGGGAAATGAAAAATCCATAAGCTACTGTGCCTTAAGGCTGTATGTGTGGAAAGAGACACAAAGAACTATGGATCACAAAGGACAGAGAAGTCACCCCCAACTGGCAGGTAAGAAAGTTTGCAAGAGGATGTCATGTGAGCCCTAGACCTTTAGGAACAGGTAGGATTTGGACACACAGAAAAAGGATGTGAGCGGTCGCATAGGTCTGAGAGGTGCCAGGAGGGAGCTGGGAAAGCCAAGAGGGCCCTTCTGGCAGATGTGTAAGGGACATACGCTGACCACGGAGTGAATCAAGGTGGGACATGGGGAGAGTGCTGGAGGGTTTGAAAGGTCTGAGTCTTCGTTATTTTCATGACCCCTTAGGTTCCGAGGTTTGGCACCCCATCTGCAAACAGGCAGCCCGGGCAGAGAAGAAGTTAAAGGTAAGCAAGCTAGTAGATTCCAGACCAGCACTCCTGCTTTGCTACTTTCTGCCACAGGCTAAGGGAGCTGTGCTTTGGGACAGGGTCAGCATTCCTTAGTGTGCACACTCCCAAATGTGTGCCTATGTCCTTGGATTTTCCTAACGGTAACACCTGCCCCATGGGGTTTTTGAGGGGGTTAAGACATCGGATATGAAAGCACTCTGAAAACTGTAAAGCACTGTATTCATGAGAGTTTTGTGTTTCTGGGGTGAGGCTGTAACTCTACCATTGCTGACCAAGATGGCAGCCTCGCTGAGAAGCTCTCGCCATGGTTTTTCCCAGCCTAAGGTCACTCGTTAATAATAATAGTTAATAATGTCACAGTAATTGACAGTTTACAAAGCATCTTCACAGGCACTGTCTGATTTTACTCCTTTAACCCTGTGAGGCAGATGGGCAAGAAATTCTATCTTTGCCTTGCCTGTGAGAAAACCAGTTCTAAAGAGGTGATGATGTGCCTGCAGTAACAAAGCACAGCCGACATCCCCAGGTACGCGCTGGGCCAGCTGAGGTCCTGTGTCCCTCTGAATTACTGTGTTCTGACAAATGTCAGGAAGGCTTGTGAATCTGGGTTCCTGATACTGCAGAGAGGGATTGAGCCTCCCAGGCTGCAGGAAGGATCCGGCTTCTGGGTCTTTGATGATGTAGAGGAGACACCTGGGGTGTGTGTTGGGGGATGGGGAATGGGGCCTTTACATCCTGGCCCCCGGATATCAAGTTGACCCCTTGGGACTCTATTGTGTTACCTGCTAGAGTCTATCCAACTAGAAAAGCAAGTGCACAATTTCTGACCAGCTAGTTAAACATGTCTTCCTTGCTATCTCATCCACTTAATGAAAGTTTTCTGAAAGAGCCAGTTTATTGATGCATAATTATGTTTTAAGCCCTGAATTTCTTTCCCTGTTTCTTGCAAGACCCTCTCCCATTTAAGGTATAAGACCTAATTGTCCCTTTCTTCATTTTCCTCCCCTTTGGTGGCATTTCCCAAACTTCAGTCATCGTCTACAACCCTGATGCCTGTTGCCATATCTGTGCACCACCTGTTTCATTATATGCTTAATCTTTTTCTTTACATCAAGTCACTACTTTTTATTAACTAACCTTATTTTAAAATAAAACTTTATATTGCCACGTGAAAACCAGTAATACTTGCTATAAATAGAAGGTAATCATAAAATAAATTCAATGATAATGAAATAATTCTTAAGAATAAATGTTTAAAATCCTAGCTAGACAATGTTGTCTGCACTCTCTTTGTTTAAAAAGGGAAATTGGGCTGGGAGTGGTGGCTCAAGTCTGTAATCCCAACACTTTGGGAGGCCAAGGCGGGTGAATCACTTGAGGTCAGTAGTTCGAGACCAGGCTGGCCAACATGGCGAAACCCCAATTCTACTAAAAATACAAAAATTAGCTGGATGTGGTGGCACGTGCCTGTAATCCCAGCTACTTGGGAGGCTGAAGCAGGAGAATCACTTGAAAATGAGAGGCAGAGGTTGCAGTGAGTCAAAATTGTGCCTCTGTACTCCAGCCTGGATGACAGAGCGAGACTCTGTCTCAAAAATAAAATAAAATAGGAAATTGACAATTGTTGAGAGAGTTGTTGAAAAGAATTAGCACCAAACTGAGACGGCCTCCTTGATCTATCAAGGGGATTGAAACGTTAGATTTTACTCTCTAACTCTATGATTCAGTATTATCAAATGTTCCACCTTCATCTTCCCAGAACCACCGCTAGTTCACAGTCCACAATTTAGGAAACTTTATAGCCCCACTTAGAATGCTTTAAATTGTAGGATGAGAAAACTGGGAGAGAATCAAGTGATCCTGAAGCTCAGCCTCTTCATTTCACAGATCAAGAATCCAAGATGCCTAAGACCACATACTTCACCTGTGGGTCCTTGATTCCTAATCCCTTTACATCAGGCAGGCACCCTCTTATGCATTAAGACTGGCATCATGCTGCTCTGCTAAGGAAGCTATTAATCCATCATTGCCATTGTTCAGAGACAGTTTTTTTTTTAAGTTTATCACTTAAGTTGATGTCAATTTGCAATTAATACACTGTAAAGAATCAGCATATTGTGCAATTACGTGAAATTTAACCCACTTTTACATTTTGAATAAACAAACTCCCAAGGAATGAATGCTAACCAATTTTATTTTTTAAAAGAAATACATTATTGACTGGGATAACTCAAAATGAAAAGTTTTATGAGTAATTTCCTATTTAGACTGCTAGCTGCAAATACGTAGAAAATAAATCCATATTCCACCCCTAACAGCCTGAAGTCCTTGCATTTTTGGTCGCATTCATACTCAGACCTTGACTTGAAAGACAGAGAATAAAAAGGAAGTACAGAAGTAGCCAGAGAGTACTTTAATGGTATTGCTAATGTTGCATTCTTAACCCCCTGTCTCACCCTCCCCACCAAGCTCAGGTTGCAGCTTCTCACCTTTTCTGTCTTCATCTCTCTCACAGCATAGACGGACATCTGAAACCTCCATCTCACCCCCTGGATCCAGCATTGGGTCACCCAACCGAGTCATCTGCGTATGTATCACTTTTCTACCACCAAAGGGCCTTCTTTATTCCTGACCTGGTATATAAAGAGTCACTAAGGATAAGGGAGCTCTCAAGTTTTCATCCAGCTGACATTTGATGCATGCTCTTCATGTGCTAGGCTCTGTACCAGGTCTTGAGGATCCAGTGGGGTACAGGGAGGACATAGATCCCGCCCTCATGAAGCAAACAGTCTAGTAAACCCAGAGTTTCAGGGATAATGCAGAGTTCCATGGAGCACGAGAAAGAAAGTACAATGACAGCAAGAGCCCTTGCTGAGTTCTAAAACCAATGCAAGGTGCCTCATTTCCCACTACTTAACTGAGAGCAAGAAAAAACTGAGGATCAAAGTGGTATTCTGAATAGGTATTAGGTGGAATATTGATGTGGAGATAGTGGTGGGTGATAAAGAGGCAGAAAGGAGAAGGAAGCCACATACACATGTGGAAACATGGCTGTAAAGAATTTGCAAACATAAGGAAGAGGTTTCTAATCATGTGGGAAGTCCAGGGATGGAGCAGACCCACCTCCATGTGTCTGAGCTCCCATCTCCACAGGCATTCAAACACAGAGAGACTCATCATTTGCCAGGGATGTAGAAGAAGAGACAGAAGTTGAGTTCAATGACCTCAGAGGCCCCTTGTATATGTCATTCATTCATTCAACAAACATGTGCCAAGCATTTACTCTGCTAAGCACAGTGCTCTGCTCTGGGGAAATGGTGATGAACTACACAGACTTGATGCCTGTCCTCATGACATTGAAGACATAGTGCCATGAATCATCAATTGCAGTTATAAATTCCAGGAAAGAAAAGCACAGGGTCCTCTGATGATACTACAGATAAACAGAGGGACCTGACAATCTAGGACTAGTTGGGAGAAGGCATCCCGAGGAAGAAACATTAAACTCAAAGCAGAGGGATAAACAGAAATAAGCTAAAGGAGGTGGGAAACGCAGAGCCAGGGAGAGCTGAAACGAGCAGAAAACCTCAATCTGATTGACTCTGGACTGTTCCAGCCTTCCACAAGCCAAAGGAGCCAAGAAGACCAGAAATGTGGGGAAAATGGTCTGTAACAAGAAACCCATTCCTGACAAGAAGCTCTAGATAGAGTCAGCAAACCAGCCAGCCCTGGCCCTGTCCACTACTGCCAGATCATTACTTCAAATCCACATCCAGTCTCCTCTTTGATCCCTGGATAATGCCCATTGATGGGACTATGGGCACCTTTCCTTTCTTCTCTGGTCAAATGGAAAAAAAGAAAAACACTTAAGAGTTATCACTGACTGAAATTTCAATATGGGTCAATACTACCATGTGGCTGTCAAAAAAGACAAGCTGCTTTGATCACAGGCTGTACTCATGGAAGATTCCTTTCTAAAGCAAGAAAGGTAATAGTCTCCCTGGCACTGTGAATGGGGCCAGACCACAGCAGGATTAATGGGCTTAGTTTCCAGGCATGCACAGTGAGAATGTTATTGACAAATATGAGTATGTTTCCAGAAGAGAGTTACTAGAATAGGAGCACTCAGGAAGCTGCTGCACTGTAATACTGTTCATCACAAGCTGGTCTCCCGGTGCTACTGAGGGGCCTTGTAAACCTTTGTGAAATAAGTTAAGCCCTGATGATGTTCACCGTGGAGTCCTGGAGAAAGATTCCCAGAATTGCCCCTGTGATGAGCAACTCCATTACTGAATGGAATTTATGATGGCAGCTAGGAACACCTGCGCTTGTGCCTTCCAACTAGGGGCTTACACATTGAGATCAGTTGTCCCTCACATCCTAGCAGAGGCATGTGTCTCCCCTTCCAGCCTCTCCTGCTCTCACCGTTTATGGTGCCTCATGCTCAGCTGCTCCTGGGAATGACTGAACATGTCATAGAAGCCCTGTTTTCAGTGAGCCCATCCCAAGCATGGCTTTCAAATTTGGAAAAAAATTCATCCATCTGCTTTGGATAGATGCAATAACAAGCATAAAGATGGATTTTAATTTAGTTTTAATAGACATTTGAGATTTTAGATTCAAATAGAATTATCAGTGAACCTGAAACGAGCAGGTTCTTTCAAACTTTCAAACTTTACTCCATCTCCACTGACTTCTAGAATCATCTTCAGGTGGTTTGGCTTTGACCCATGTGTTCTCTTCCTTCCTTCCTGGCTAATTATGTTAGGATGCCTCTGATCAATTGGTGTGTCCAGACCTGAGGCTCATTTATAGCCCTGTAAACAAAGTGGCTATAGGAAGAAATATAAATTTAGTGTTTTTGAGGTTTGGGGTAAAGTGCCAAAATGAATAGTTATGGGTCGAGATGAGTTTGGAAGATGCCAAGAGCTCTCAAGGTCAAGATCTAACAGCCAGGACAAAAGGCAGCAATTACTTCAGCAAGTGGACTCTCATCTAATAAAGGCTTTTTTTACCCACACACCCCCAGAACTGGTGCAGATGTGAGTGTCTGTACCAGGCAGGCTCTGGCAGAAATCAGGTGGCCTACCTCAAAGAGTTCAACTGAGGAAGGTTTCATGACGGAGTTGTGGGCAGGGTTAAGTGGACCCACAGGAGACAGTGAGGTATTCAGGGACTACAGCAACATAATGTTGTTACCACACTGGACCTAAAAAGATGAGGGAAGGGAACAGCATTACCAAAGCTGGCAAGAGCTGGGGAAGCCCAGCCTCCAGAGAGAGTCATGCCCAGCCCACAGCCAGCCAGGAAGGTTGCCAGGGGAATAAGTGTGCCAACCTCTCTCTCCATTCACCCTCTAGTCTCTGCTGGTGCATCCCATTGGCTAAACCCAACTGAAAGTCAGAGAGCAAAAGAGCCTGTGATACAGCCCAGGCAGTGTTCAGGACATAGATCCAGGCAAGGAAGGGTGGACACTGGGTCTAGGGGCAACAGAGAATAAGCAACCCTGCCCTAATTGCAGTGCTGATGTGGCAGGGATACAATAGTGGAAGGGCTTTGGTAGGTTTTCAAAATAGCACAGCTTATAGGTATTTATGAATGGTGCTTCCTATAAAGTAGTCTTGGCCCTGAGACTGTACTTGGCTCCTATGGCATTGGGAGAATGTTATCAGACTAATACAGTCTCTGAATTCTCTATCTAGCAGCCTCTGTTGTAATTTGCAGCACCTCAGGACCTTGCAAGACAGATCCTGGTTGATCATAGCAAACACCAGGTCACAGAGGGAACAGCTGGAGGACATGGCCGTGGAAAAGGCATGGCTTCAGGGGCCATGAGATGCGGGCTGTCACATGCAAGGGGAAGCTTTCTTTCAATCCATGCAGCTCTAGAGGGATGAACTCTGCCAAAGTCAAGCAGAAGGTAGAGGCTCATTTCAGTTCAATGGAAAGAGCAGCTTTCTGAATGCAGCCTTCTGACGGTGTAAGACAGTGAACTCCCCATCCCGAGAAGACAGGAGAGGCCGCTGAAGAGGGCAAGCTCCCTGTGTTGAAACTTGGGCTCTTGCAACTTGGACAAGTTAATTGATTTTTCTGTGCCTCTGGTTCCTTATTCAAAAGGAGGATAATGTTGGTGCCTACTACTAGAGTTGTGAGTTGTATGGATGAACTGGGTTAATCTATATAAGGGACTTGGTACAGAGCCTGGCTTATAATAAGTACTCACCAAATGTTAGCTAGTGTTTTACTATCATGATTATTTTTGTCTTTACCATCTTCATCTTCTTCTTCAAGGATGCTGTGAATTGGGATGTCCTCACTCTGTGGGATCGGAAGGCAGTCAGTACCCAGGCTGTGTAGTTCAGGCTGAATTCAAATCTATTAGCTTAGTGGTGCAAACTGTATAACCTTTTGAGCCTCCATTTCCTCAGCTAGAAAATAGAAATGATATTGACATTTACTTCACAGAGGCATTACAACATCTAGAGGATATAATTATTATAAAGCACAGGGCTTACAAACAATATGTGCTCAATAAATGTTAGCCCTGTTGGAATGGATGGCCTCTAAGACCACTTTTATTCTAACATTCTACTATTCTTCAATTTGATCCTAATCTGTTTGTGGTGGAAACTGGAGAAGTTTGTTCCTTCTGTATCTTGTTTTTGTTTCCTCTCTCCATTCCCTTTTCCCTCTTATCTTTCTATTCCTTTCCTGTCCATTTCCCTCTTCCCTAGGCTAAAGTGGATAATGAGATCCTTAATTACAAAGACCTGGCGGCTCTCCCCAAGGTTAAGTCTATCTACGAGGTACAACGCCCCGACCTCATTTCCTATGAGCCTCATTCCAGATACATGTCCGACGAGATGCTGGAGAGATGTGGCTATGGAGAGGTATCGCATCTTGCCCTTCTCTCTGGGGCTATTGTAGGAAAGGAGATTGCTCTGGGGTCCCCAGCCCTCTCCATCACAGACAGTTTGGCCTCCACAATGCTGGCTCCCAGACTCTTCTACACTGGGATTTATGGCCAACGTTTTTTAAATGAAGAGATTTCATTTGGCTTTCTGGCTCTTCTTGAAAAATCAGAGCCGACAACCTTAAACCTACATTTCCACCATCTGGAGATGGGAAGCAGCACCCCCTATAGACAGGACATGAGCTTTCCATTCCCCCCAGTCCCCCGACTCCCTGTTAATCCCAGCATTGAAGCTAAGAGCCTGTGACCACTTATTACTCAAGCTGTTGTATTTCTTATACTGTAGGAATTTTTCATGTACTCAGCCCAAGGCGCTCATCTCCTGCCAGGCTCAGTGGCCATTTAGATTTATAATCCCTGATTATAACATGTCTAATCAGACATGTTCTCTGGTTTTCCCACCTGGCCTTTAGCCCCAGTGTCTCTTCAAAGGAAGAGACGCTTTTATAAAGACTCAGTAACAGATAGCTTTTGAAATCATTAAATGGTTGCTAAACAAGAGAAAGTGTTTTCTGGAGATGGCAGCAGGGTTGGGGGCAGAATTACCCTGGAGGTCCTGGCAGTCTATATCCTAGAAGATTTCTAACCTTATCCCAGACCCCTTGAGTTAATTTGAGGCAGCAGAAGCCTGTCCTGGTGGGCAGGGACCCAGGTTCTTGTCCCAGCTCCACCATAACTAGCCTCATAACCTCAGGCAAGTTCCCTTCCTCCCTAAGGGATTTGGGTTCCATTTGGTTGAAGAGCCCAGTGCTGAGATTCTCTGGTTTCCGGCCCCTGAAATGCACCAGGAGAGGAGGATCAAGTGTTTAGTAGAAGCCGCTTGTCCTTCAGTTAGAGATGGCAAACCAGGGCCCACAGGTTGCAGCCAGCCCTCAGATTTGTTTTGTTTCACTCACAAAGTGTCTTTTGAAAATGCAAACTAGTTGTCAACAAGTAAACACTGGGAGATTTCATGTAAGAATCTGCACTTCTGTCTTTCTTGGAAAATTAAGATGCTGTGTAAATGCTGGGCAGGCATTCCAGCTGCTGGAGCTGAGGAACTGCTGCCCTCTTCAGTCGAGACATCCCATCTCCAGCTGCTGCACCAGCCACCAGCTCAACTCCCTTGTTGGTGGCCCCAGCCTGGCCCCTGCTTAGCCAGGGTGCTGGCTGCTGGGTGCCCTGCCCTGGGCATCGTCCTCATGAACTGTAGAGGGGTCATGAACCAGTAGAGAGACAAGGAAAGGGTGGTGACAATAGCCCTGAGCATGCAGCACAGAAGCCTGGGTCCAAGTCAAGTCCCTGCCACTTCTGCCCTGAGTGGCCGTGAGCCTTCGTATTCTCTCTCTGGGCCTTGGTTTTTCCCTTCCTAAAAGGCGGGCATAATCTCGAGGTTTCCTGCCTCCTGTCAGTAGTCTGACCCTCTGGAATTCCCAGCGAGGCTGTTATCTGGAGAGGGGTACAAAGGAACTGCTGCAAACCCTCTCTGCCGAGCCATCTAACCATGCTCTGTCCTTCGTCTCGTCCTCCTCTCATTCCTTCTGCTCGTTCCACAACTGCCTTCAAACTCTTCACTTCTAAGTCGCTGGGAACATTATCTCCCTACTCCCAGGTAATTCAGCTGATAGAGAATTAAGTTGATATATAATTGTGCCCCTTTATGTGGACTTCACCCATCCCCAGCCCCCCGAAGGTGTCTGAGCCCTTGCCCAAGGTATTCCCTGCAAGCAGGGAAGTGCTGGAGAGACTCGGGTGCATGTCCTGGAGGAAGTGGTAGTGGCATACAGGATGGAAATCTGCCCTTCCTGCCCAGAGATGGCCTCCCTCAGGCTTCTGGGATCCCTGGTCAGGATTCCAGGGATTGACCCCATAGATTCCATTCAAGGGCCTGCAAGTAATGGGGGAAAGCCCTGGAAATTCTCTGCCATCTTCCTCGGGCTGTGTGTGTAACTCAGGGAGGAGGGGGGTCTCTGTATTCACACCTCAAACCCGAGAATCCCAGATTCCATGTCATGCCCACCTGCCTGCTAGACCCTCGGGCCACAGGCCCACTTAACAGCCAGCCATGCTCACAGCCCCATTTCCTCTCCCAGGACATCTACGAGAACCTGGACCTCCGGCAGAGACGGGCCTCCAGCCCGGGGTACATAGACTCCCCCACCTACAGCCGGCAGGGCATGTCCCCCACCTTCTCCCGCTCACCTCACCACTACTACCGCTCTGGTAAGGAAGGGGGAGGACCTGAAGGGAGAGGAAGAGCCAGGGAGACAATGCAGTCACTTGGGGTCCCTGCTGCAGAGGGCACAAGGCTCCCCCATGATCTCCATCACAGTGTGGCCCTCTGGAGGCCTATGGCCACCCAGGTGACCAGCTGGGCCTCTCTGAGTCCCTGAGATGGCAGGGGGGATGGAGGAGTGTGTGGCACTGAGAAGCAGCAGGAAGGTGGGTGGTGAACTTCCAGGAGAGGGGGCTGGCAGGTGGCCCTGTGGCCCTGGTGGAAGAAGACTCCACCATCCTCGTGGCCTGCCCCATCCGGAGGGCAGAACCAAGAGACCAGAAATATGGCTATGAACTGGCCTTCACCCAAGGGCCACCCCAGCCAATCCAGTCAGACCATCCACAGTCACCCTCAGGTTGGGGGTGATGCCAGCACTTGGATGGAGGAAAGGAGCAATTAAGGGAGCGTCCAAAAGGGGGAGGTTCAAGGATGGTTGGGGAGATAAGAGGTTCAAACTAACATGCCTTCCTGGAGCTCAGTAGAGTTGATCTTTACATCTCACAAAATCTGACTTTGGGATCAAGCCAGGAAGCAAAGTCAAGCTTGTTTCTGCCAACGTGGTGCATGAGAGCACATGCTGCTTCCGCCCCGGAACCTGAGCACGCTGAGACGCCCCAGCCCATCCCCCATCTCTGCTGTCATCACCTCACCACTTCCTAAACTGCCACCGCGTTAATGCCTGTTTTCTCTGTGCCTCTGTTTTCTTTGGCGACCACTTCCTGCGTGCTCCAGGGCCCGAGAGTGGCCGGAGCTCTCCATACCATAGCCAGTTAGATGTGAGGTCCTCCACTCCAACCTCTTACCAGGCTCCCAAGCACTTTCACATCCCAGGTAGGCACTGCCAGCCCAGAATTCCTGGGATGGATGCATGCTCCATGGGGTCACAGGTGCCTGAGTCACCCCCTCGATGCCACACAGGCACCAAGAAGCTGGTTCCTGAGGGACCTCCCTAACCAAGCACCTGCACCAACCCTGTCCTCCAACCCCAACACACCCACGGGCTTCAGATTATCCACTTGACAGAACCAGCCTCCATTAGGACCTCAAAGAAGCAGTCCCGGGAAGAAAAGAGGCAGGGAGCTCGAGTGAGATACCGTGAGTGCTTGAGGGCTGTGAGGGGCGCAGCAGGGGCACACAGCGGTGAAGGCTACACACTTTGGCTTCAAAGCTCTTGGGATGGAATCCGATGCAGCTGCTTATAAGCTCATGACTGTGAGCCAGTTACTTGGCTTCCCAAGCCACTGTTATTCCTTCTGTACAGCTAAGCACTGTTCTGGGCTCAGAGGTTGCAACTGTGCTCAACCCAGCCCAGATCCTGCCTTCATGGTATTTGGTATTTACGTACTAATGTAGGAAGAGAGATAAAAATGAGTAAACAAATAGGTAGAGGATAATTTCAGGTAGCCATAGGTGCCATAAACATAAATAAAACAGGCCATCCTGAGAGATGATGAGGCTGAGAGAGGCCAGGCTAGATGGGGCGGTCAGGAAGAGCTTCTTGGAGGAGGTAACATTAAAGCTGAAAGATGAGAAGGGGCCTGGCGTGGTCGCTCACGCCTGTAATCCCAGCACTTTGGGAGGCCGAGGCGTGTGGGTCATGAGATCAGGAGTTCGAGACCAACCTGTCCAACATGGTGAAACGCTGTCTCTACTAAAAATATAAAAATTAGCTGGGCATGGTGGCTTGTACCTGTAATTCCAGCTACTCAGGAGGCTGAGGCAGGAGAATTACTTGAACCTGGGAGGCGGAGGTTGCAGTGAGCCAAGATCGTGCCACTGCATTCCAGCCTGGGTGACAAAGTGAGACTCTGTCTCAAAAAGAAAAAAAGATGAAGAGCCAGCCTATGAAGAAGCCAAGGAAAGACATCCCAGGCAGAGGGAAGAGCACTATCATGTCATGTGACCGCAGGTCATGACAGGAATTGAGAGGAAGACAGGGGCTACAGGACTGAGTGGGTGTAGTTTGGACAAGGTCTCCCTCTGAGTCACAGCAGAGCCAGGGCTGAACCTCAGTCTCCTGACACCAAGCTCAGTTTTTCACTCCCCACTCACGTTCCCCTCAAGAGCTCATGCTGCTGTTTCATCTACACCTTCCTCAGCTGCCCTAGAGGGGTCCCATCCTGTCTGTCTTTGAGGGAGGGGGAGGGAGGTAAGCTGAAATTCGGCTGCAGCATCCTGGGAATTTTCACATGGAATGAGGTGTGGCCACTGGTGGAGGCAGTGGACACCTTCCTGCATGGGGCTCTGCTGAGCACACACACCCCTGTGCCTGCATGCTCACCCTTCAAGCCCCAGGTCTCTTCCTCGGCACCACTTGGATCCATCCATTCCTCTTCCCGCACCTTACTTGGAACCTGTTGGGACGAGGTTGAAAGTTCAACTTTGGAAGAGGAAGTCACCAGGGGAAAAAGATGGTGGCCCCTTGGAAAAAGTTGTTGCCCATCTCTCTCTTCTGAGATCAACTGACCAAGTACTATCTCCTTTTCTCCCTTTTCTCCTGTCTCTCTCTCTCCCCTCCCCACTGTCCCTTCCTGGTCTGTCTGGCAGCTGGAGACAGTAACATCTACCGGAAACCCCCGATCTACAAACGGCATGGTATGGTCAGAGGTAGATAGGGCTTGGCCACACAAGGAGAGGGGGGAGGTTAACCATCTATGCAGATGGCCCTGCACAGGCCACCAGGAGCCACAAAACACAAGGCTGCATCTTGGTCCTTCTTGTTGACTGCCCCATCACCCAGGGTGACATTAGGGCAGAGTTTGGTATCATTTCAAAAGAACAAAGTCCTCATGTCCCCTCAGTTCTTTCCCACCACCTTTGCAATCTCCCCCTTACCTGCTCTCTGTCATCCTAAGTTCCATAATTGGTAAAACCTTTGTAAAACGCACATGCCCCTGGGAGAGTCACACTCCAAGGCATTAATACTTGAAATGTTCATTAGAATAACAGGGGATGCATACAGATTCCTGGGCCCCACCCCAGGCTTACTGAATTCGAATTCTGTATGTGTCACGGTTTCTCCAAGTGATTCTGATACTCAGCCCAACTTGGGAACCCCTGCTGTAAGTTGTTCTCAGTCACAGTCTCCTGAGAGTGGATGGAGACTTGCAGAGGAGATGTAGATGAGTAAGGTTGCAGAGGGTGACTTCCTTCTTTCATTCATTCATTGATTTAGTGTTTCTTAAAGAATGATCTATGGACCATCTGCACCTGAGAGACATTTAAAAGGCAGATTCCCTGGCCCCTTCCTTGCCCCAGACTCCCTTAATTATAAATATTGAGAGTGTGAACTAAGAATCTGCACTATAACTGGCTTTGTCCATGATTCCTCCCTGCACTTAGTATGAGAACCACCAAGTCATTCATCACTGACACCACCTGTTCACTTTTGCAAAAAGTACTTACTAAGCCTCGATTGAAGGAGCACATCCCTTCCATTGAAGCTGCAGAGGAGCAGCTGCCACCCTGTGCACCCACACTTGCTTAAGGGTCTAGCTGGATAACAAAAGGAGGCCCAGAATCGGTGGAGCTTGGAGATGAGCGAAGCAGTCCTGCACCAGGTTCTGAACTAATTAGCTGGTGGAGGGGACAATACGAGTTTAAACAGCGGCTCTGGGTGCCTAAGATTCTACATTTTATACAGACATCCTTGGTTCCAGAGGGGGCTGAGCAGGGGGGTCCGAGGTGAGTCTGTGAGCATGTGCAAGTCTGTACCAGCTTGTGAAGGACATGCCATGTCCCCTGAGTACTCATAGAAAGACACCAACATGACAAAGGTAGTTTGGCTTTATACCTAGAAAAGGCCCCCAGGTCACAAGCTTCTCAGGACTTTGTGGGATTTTCCAGGTGGGCCCTGAGGGGTGGCACTAAAGCAGACTCAAGAGGAGTCTGGGGTGGAGGTGGGTTGCTTGGAAAAGAGGGCGGAGGAAAAAGCTAAATGCAGTCAGCCAGGAGGGGCTGCCCAGGACCCAAGTCAAAGAGAAGAATTTGAAAGCTTTGGAAGCAAGTGCTGTTGTGGGGGCTGCATAGCCCAGGGCTGGCTGAAGCTGATCCACCACGCTCTGCCACTCTGGCTCCACAGAGCACAGAGCTTGTCCCTAAAGCTTCCTGTAGCTGACCATGAGAAATGGTCATGCAGCCACACACACTTCCCCAGCCCCTCTCTCTGCTCTACCAGCCTGTCACCCACGTTTGGGCCACGAGAAGTCACTGCTCTGTAAGTAGTTGTGACTGCAGTGGGTCTTTTTGGTCACCCCTGTCCTGGGCTTACTTCAGGTGGAAGCTTGAAGCTGGATGGCAGCTGAGCCAGCAGACCGATTCTGACACTTACAGATGAGGAAACTAAGGCAGAGATGGTAGGACCTGCCCAGTGTTACAGCTGAGTAAAGTGGCAGAGCTGGGACCAGAACCCAGGTTTGCTGACTCCCTGTCTAGCACTCCTTCCTTCAGGCTATGTAGTCCCTGAGCAGAATGTGGCATCTCAGGTTGTGAGAAATGATGGAGTTCAAATTTATAACAAGGAAGGCTTCTAAAGGGCTAGGAAGGCTTCTAAAGGGCTGGGGCTCACCTGGGACCTGTCCAGTCTTATTTGAGGAGCCACACCCTTAGAGGTCATTCTGGAACAGACCTGGGAATCCATGGAATGTGCTGGAAAGAGCCCTGGGCTGGGATCTGGTCCAGTTCTGGTGCTCACATGCTATGTGGTCTTAAGCAAGCCCCTTCCCCTCTCTGGTGCTCCAATTACTAAATGCAAAATGAGGGTTTGGCCCCAGTGCTTTTCCAGCTCCGATGCTCCATGGCCCAGTTCTAACAGAGAGCCCTGATCTTGAAGTGGACTCACTCCCCTGGGCTGGAGCCTGGTAAAGATAGGAAAAGGGTACACAGTCCCATCCCGGTCACTCTGCCTTCCTGAAGTGCTCTCCTTGGGTCCTCTGCAGGTGATTTGTCTACAGCAACCAAGAGCAAAACAAGTGAAGACATCAGCCAGACCTCCAAGTACAGTCCCATCTACTCGCCAGACCCCTACTATGCTTCGGAGTCTGAGTACTGGACCTACCATGGGTCCCCCAAAGGTAGTACCCCCATAGGAGCCTGGGTCCAGGGCCCTAACACCTGTGCCAAGGACACGGGTGTTCAGAACAGTTGCCCACTCCTTTATACAATCATTCTGAATAAGAGTGCTTAGAGGGTTTATAACTAAGGGTGTTTATTCATTCAACAAATATGTACTAAACACTGGCCATGGACCCTAGCAATACACTGGGGAGCAAAACAGACCAGGTCCCTGCCCTTGTGGAGAAGACATAGGCCCCAGCCATGAGAGGGAGGTGATGCGCAGAAGGTAGGAGAGCTGATGGCAGGGGCCTGCTGTCCAGCCTGAAGATGACAAAAGTTTCTCAATGCAGCCACTCAGCTGCCATCAGGAGGGTGGCAAGGATGTAACACAGCAGAGAGTGTAGAAATACTTCTGCAAAGACCCAGGATGTGAGAGAGGATTCCACTGGAGGAAAGAAAAGGCTGTCCACTTAACCTTGAACTCAGAGAGGAAGAGAAGCAGTAGAGGTGAGGGAGGAGGTCCCCCAGGGTTTTGAGGGTTGAGGTAAGGATTTTGGTTGTTATCCTAAACAGTGAGTGGCATGATCACATTGAAAGTAGTGGCATGATCACATTTGTGCTTTTGAGAGACCACTTTGGCTGTAGGGTAAAAAATGGTTGGGAGGATGGAGAAAGAGAGGATGTGGGGAGGTGGAAGGCTCCTGGTAAGGGGTCTCAGTGGTCCTCAGATACCACCTCACCCAATCATACAACCCAAGCTGTTCCTTTCAAGTATGGGGGGAAATTTTTCCCCCCATCAAGATCCACTCTGATTCAATGTCTTTACTAATTCAATGTCCATTCTGAGCAAAGCTTCACAGAAGCTCAGAGATGACTCTTTGGTGCTGGGCACAGTGGCTCACGCCCGTAATCCCAGCACTTTGGGAGGCCAAGTTGGGAAGATCACTTGAGCCCAGGAAATTGAGACCAGCCTGGACAACATAGCACTTCTTCTCTACAAAAAAATTTTTAAAAATTATCTGGGCATGATAGTGTATGCCTGTAGTCCCAGCTACATGCAAGCCTGAGGCAGGAGGATCCCTTGAGCCTGGGGACTTGAGGCTGCAACAAGCCATGATCACACCACTGCACTCTAGCCTGGGTGAGAGTGAGCCCCTGTCTCAAAAATTTAAAAATTTAATAAAAGGATGACTCGTTCGCTACTCTCAAAGAAGTCTTCATTTAGAAAAGAAGGTAAGACACAAATACGACTATAACCAAGTGGGCAGTGATCCATCCCCACAGGAGAGGAGTGTTCAGAGACCACAAAGGCAGCAGAGACCACTTTCAGCTGATGTGGGGCTTAGCTTAAACGAGACTGTTTCCATTGAAAAATAAGATTAAAAAGAAAGAAAAGTGGCTTTTCTTTTTTAAAAAAAAAATGCCTTAAGCCAGGCTGAGTGGGGTGCACATGCCGGAGCTGATCTTTTCTGTCTTTTGACAGTGCCCCGAGCCAGAAGGTTCTCGTCTGGAGGAGAGGAGGATGATTTTGACCGCAGCATGCACAAGGTGGGCAGAGACCACAGCACTGAATATGATGCTTAGAGCGTATATCACTGAGGGTCTTTTCATTTACAAGCAACAAAAAACAGATTCAAGCCCACTTATGATAGAAAAAAGAAAAGCATAGCTTTGCATAACTGAAAAATCAAATGGTGGAATTAGCTTAAAGTATGACTAGATCCAACTGCTCAAAAAAATGTCATAGGAAATTTGTCTCTTCACTTCTGGGGCTTGCCTCTGCATTGGCTTCATGCTCAGGCAAGCTATTTTCACATAATGGTAAGCAGGTGCTTGCAACCCTTGTTCATTGCTGGTGAAACCCTTGTTTCAGCCCCTGTGGAAAACAATTTGGTGGTTCCTCAAAAATTAAACATAAAATTACCACATGATCCAGCAATTCCACTCCTAGATATATACCCAGAAGAATTAAAAACAGGACTTAAACAAATACATATATACTCATATCCGTGGCAGCACTATTCACGAAAGCTAAAATATGGAAATAATCCAAATGTCCATCAGCTCATGAATAGGACAAAATATGGTATGTCCATACAGTGGAATATTATTCAGCCATGAAAAGAAATGAAGTAATGATACATGCCACAATGTGGATGAACCTTGAAAACATTATGCTTAAGAAAAGAAGCCAGACACAAGGTCGCATATTGTGTGATTCCATTTCCATGAAATATGCAGAATAGGCAAATCCATAGAGACAGAACATAGATTGCTGGTTCCCAGGGGCACGGGGAGAGGGGAATGGGGAGTGAGTGCTTCATGGATATGGGATCTCCTTTGGGGGAAATAATGGTATTTTGAAACGAGATAGAGGTGGTAGTTCCACAACATTGTGAATGCACTGAATGCCACTGAATCATTTCCTTTAAAATGGTTAATTTGAAGTTAAGTAATTTTCACCTCAGTTAAAAAGAAAAAGGTGGCTATCTGCCCATTGTTGAATCAATCACTGTGCCAAGACAATGGGATCCTGTCACTGGCCAGGCTTGCTTTTTTGTGCCCACCACCAGACCCCCACCCAGACCACAGGACAACTTGTGGAAGACAAGATGAGATTGCAACAGGAAACATGGGTGCCACAAGGTGGGAGGGACGCTGGGAAGGCAAACATGAGAGCAGGCTGCTATGGAGGATGTGATCCTCAGCCTTGCCCAAGCCCGTTCCATCTCAGTGTCCTTTGTTTTCCTTCTAACTTTATCTTGCTCTTCCCCGACCCTCAGCTCCAAAGTGGAATTGGCCGGCTGATTCTGAAGGAAGAAATGAAGGCCCGGTCGAGCTCCTATGCAGATCCCTGGACCCCTCCCCGGAGCTCCACCAGCAGCCGGGAAGCCCTGCACACAGCTGGCTATGAGATGTCCCTCAATGGCTGTAAGCATGGCTCTGGAAGCCCAACGGGGCGGGGACACCTTTCTCTGTGACTAGCTGGCAGTGTCAGCTGTTTGCTCTGAGCCAGGCTCCCTTGAGGCACAGCCCATGCATCCTCTCTCTTCTTCCTCACAGCAGCCCTGTGGTGGGTGACTTGCCCAAGATCACTCAATTTATCAGTAATGGAGCTTACTTCATCAGCTTCCTTGCCTGCTTTTATAAATTAGGTTCTATTGGAATGTAGCCAGCCCCGTCTCAATCCCCTGGGCTAACAAAAGAATCAGAAGAGGCTGGCCACAAAGGTTAGCCCCAAACCCTGCAATGCCCCTTCTGGGAGCTTCATTGAGGTCTAGAATACAGATTTGGAAAGGCGCTCTATGGGGCACTATGTAAGACCATGCTGCCCTGAGCAGTCACTCCCATTGCTTTGGGGCATCTGAAGCTCTGACTTCCAGTCAGATTCAGTATAAAGAAAAATGGCTTGGCTGGGCGCAGTGGCTCATGACTGTAATCCCAGCACTTTAGGAGGCCGAGGCGGGCAGATCATGAGGTCAGGAGATCAAGACCATCCTGGCTAACATGGTGAAACCCGGTCTTTACTAAAAATACAGAAAATTAGCTGGGCATGGTGGTGGGCACCTGTAGTCCCAACTACTCGGGAGGCTGAGGCAGGAGAATGGCGTGAGGCAGGAGGCGGAGCTTGCAGTGAGCCGAGATTGCACCACTGCACTCCAGCCTGGGCAACAGAGCGAGACTCTCTCTCAAAAAAAAAAAAAAAAAAAAAGAACGATGTCTTATAATCATCGGAATGGCTCAAAGATGTAAGGGATGGCCTCCTGAGGTAGTGAGTCTACCATGATTTGAACTTATACAAGCAGGGGCTTTATTCAAATACTTCTTGAAAATCTCATTGCAAGCTCCTCCTATTCCTGGACACACACACACACACACACACACACACACACACACACACTCTGTCTGCCTCCTCCTTTTCTTACTCCTGTGAGATGCAGTCCTGCCAGGAAATCTCATCTCGGATCAATACATTATGGATAATAAAATGCACCATTTATTACACTTCTATGTGCCAGGCATTTGTAGGAATGTTACACTCCTGGTAGAGCTGCAATGTAGAGGGATTATTATCACCCACTTTATAGATGAGAGAACTGAGGTTAAGCCACTTGCTCCAAGTCAAAAGCCAGTAAGTGACTGAGCCAGGATCAGACCCAAGTTGGAGTGGCCCCAAGGCCATGAGCTCTTCCCTCTTCCCCATACTACACCTTGACTCTCAGTGAGATTGAAGATGTTGGTGTTGGCGGCAATATGATAAAGCCAGTCTTATGGAGTGTTATAGATGCGTCAGGCACTATGCTAAGTATCTTACTGTATTGTGTCACATATTCTTCACAATAATCCTACAAAGGAGGCACTATCACTCCCCATTTTGCAGATGAGAAAACCAAAGCGTGATTAATTAGATTGTCTGAAGTTAGAAATCTACTAATGGCAGAGCCAGGATGAACTGCTGAGCCTGTTTTCCTGCCTGACCACTGAGGGCCACTGTTTCCAAGCCCTGGCTGCGGGGTCTGTGCAGTGCACCAGTGCTGTTTGCAATTCAACCTTGTTCAACCACATCTGTGCAACAAATATCACAGAGCACCTGCCCTGTGCCAGGTGCCAGGCTGGGAGCTGGACAGGGAAGGGAGATGGGGTGCAAGTGCAACAATTAAAAACTGACCAGTTCAGGAGGGGCTGCAGGAGGCCCCTTTTCCCAGCCAGCCAGGGGGATCGGGTATGGAAGCCACATCTCTTTGTCCCCATGAATTGTCTTCACCATGTTTGTCTTTCCTCATGAGCAATGACCTTCAGCTTTTCTCTCCTGCAGCCCCTCGGTCGCACTACCTGGCTGACAGTGGTAAGTTCTACCTGCCCTACCTTCAGCCCATCATGTCCCATGAGGGACAGAGCTGTGTCAGCTGCAGTTCTCCATAGTTCTAATGACCATACAATGTGGATGTCCCAGCCCACTCCTGATCTCAAATAGTCTACTCCATTGTATTTGTCAGATTGTGGGTCTGCATTTGGGTTTCTGGAACTAGGATTGCCATCCCCAATAGATGGTCCCAGAGGAAAAAAAGTGCACACACCTCTTCCACCACCTGGGAGCCTTCCTACCTGAGTTCTGAGCTTGACTTCAATTCCAGGGCCTTTGTCCAGAGCCAGCCTGTGGCCAGGACACAGGGGTCTATCACAAGAAGATAGAGATGTGCAGGTCAAGGATAGAAGAGTGTATGAGTGGGTGCCTTGGGCAGGTACCTAGAATTCTGCTAGAGTGAAATGCCCCCAGAGATGGTCAAGTTGCAAATCTGGAGAGCATCAGGAAGAGTTGGTGGCCTCTGGCCTCCACCCCTTCCTGCTAGGTTGGGAGCAGTGTTGGCCATTGGTAGCCAGATGACCTCAGGGAGAGGGACTCATGGCTTGGGACTCCTGATAATTGCTCTAGATCCTTCTTTTCAGATCCTCTCATCTCCAAATCTGCCTCCCTGCCTGCCTACCGAAGAAATGGGCTGCACAGGGTAAGAAGCTGTGCTGGAGGATGGGGGAGGACGTTGTCCCCAAAATGCTAATAAACCCAACATTAGCTTATTGTAAGGTGAAACCTGAGCAAAGGTCCTGGGGCTAGTGGTGGGTTAACTGACACAACTGTATGGCAATGACTTGCTCCCCTCCCTGGTGACCCCTTCGTGAAAAGGGGCCCCCATGGGAGGGGCTTGGGAACAACTAGTACTTATTGGGCAATAACCCTGTGCCAGGGACTCAGCTAAACACTTTGCAAGCACTAATTTGTTTTGCCTTCACAACCCATGGAGGCAGTTACTATCATTTACCCTACTTTGTGCATGCAGAAAGGCACAGAGAAGTGAGGTGACTTACCCCCACTCTTCAACAAGAAGTAGTAGAGCCAGGATTCAAGCCCAGGCCAGCTGATCCCACAGCCCACCCCCAACTGCTATGCTCCACTGGCCTCTAACATGGCCTGTACATTTTCTGAGCTCCCTGAGCGTGCTGTTATGGAAAAAGAAAAGTGATGAGCAGGGTAAGGAGGATTGAGAGTTCATGGAAGGAGTGACTTGCAACTTCCAGCCAGGTTGTCAGGGCAAATCTCCTAGAAAAAGGGGTGTTTGAGCAATGAAAGAAAGCATGAAGTGAAATTCACCAAATAAATGGATATATATTGAGTAGCCACCATGTGCCAGGACAAAGCACAGGGATATAGCAGCGAGTTAAGTTTCCCTAACTTGAGACAGAGGCTGCTGAGAAGGCCCTATGTCCCACAAGCGCCAGTCCATTTTCTGGAGGTGGGTGAGTGCTTCAGGGAGGCAGAGGTGAGCTTATCTCAGGCCAGCCGTGGTTCTGTCTCTTCTGCAGACACCCAGCGCAGACCTCTTCCACTACGACAGCATGAACGCAGTCAACTGGGGCATGCGAGGTGAGTGCAGGCCTGCAGGGGGTCTGCAGGGAGAGTGCCTCCAGATGTACCACTCAAAACTGCAGCTTGACCTTCGGCAAATGATGGCTACAGATTCTGTCCCCACGCTGGGCTGTGTCCAACCCTGAGTTCTTACTCTCTTTCACTTCCCACCCCCTCCCTTTTCCCCTGCTCTTCCGTTATCCTCTCAAGTCCTGGCCTTGGGTGGTCTCCAAGCCACCTGTCCCATCTGGGTTCCCAGAACCATCACAGAGTTCTGCTCTCTTCTCCCTGGACTGTGGACCGAGGGTTGCCTGCCAGCCCCAGTGGAGGGAAGCACTCAGAGCCAATTGCACACTGTTCCCAGTAAGAATTCCATGAGCTTCCTGCTCTCTGCCAGTGATGCTTTCACACCAAACTCGACCAGCTCCTATGAGCAAGCTCAGGCAGAAGGGGCCCACATCAGAACCTTGAAGGATTCCCCACAGAAGATAGAGGATCTTGTCCATGCGTTTCAGATCTCAGATTCTTCTAATTTCTATTCTAAATATCTCTAAGGCCATTTTTTCCTTAGAACCATCTCAAGATCAGCCCAACCCCTATCTTCAGCCTTCCACTGTGCTCATACCAGCCTTGATTGTCCTTCAGGGTGAATTCAGCAAGGACAAGGTCTCTGATGGTCAAGAGAAGGAGACAATAGAGGCCAGACCCCCTGAGAGAGTAGGACAGAGGCCTGTGTAGTGATGCAAAGCAAAGACTGATGGGCTCCATTCTGTGTGTGTGTCTCTTTTTCTCTCTGCAGAGTACAAGGTAAAGGATGTGCATAGACCCTGGGGGTCTCCAGGATTCTTGGAGCCGCTACACTGGGGATCACCAGGAGGATGACAGCACTGTCTATGTAGGGAAGGGAACATAGATAAATAACCCCAGGGGTCCTTTCAAGACCAACATTTCCTGTCCCTTCTTGGCCCACTTTTCCTGAATCCTGCCCTAGGTCTCTTGCCTACTGAAATCAGATACTCTCCCTGGGCTTCAGAGACACTCTGTTGGCTTGCCAGTCACCAAATATTAGACACTTACATTCGGGAGGTCATGTGCCCATATTATTCCATGGGCACATGGCAAATACCTCCAAGCTTATTCCTAGTAGTATTAGGGGACTCTCTTGGGCCTTGTCTTTTGAGAGAAGGTATCTTAAGACTGCTGGGCAACCCCAAGAAGGGCAGATCCAGCTCTTCCTCCAGACTTAATTTCTGGCCATTTCTGGATAGAACAGAGAGCCCAGACACAAAATGTACCTGAAAGGAACAAGCCCACCACCCTCACCCAAGCTGGAGACCACCCCCCTTTCTCCTTAGATCTACCCTTATGAACTGCTGCTGGTGACTACAAGAGGAAGAAACCGACTGCCCAAGGATGTAGACAGGACCCGTTTAGAGGTAAGTCTAAAAAACTGAGCAGGAGCTCTTGGGTTGGAAGAAATTTCAGAAGTTGCTTGGTATAATCCAGCTCAAGAGGGCTGGGTGGAATGAGTGGCTTTAAGATCACACAGCTTATTGAAAAAGCAGGGACTTGAACCAATTTCCTCAGCCCAAAACTTCCCCATACTATTCCCCAAAACTGTCCCATGCTGTTCCCCCAAAACTGCCCCATGCTGTTCCCCCAAAACTTCCCCATGCTGTTCCCCAAAACTTCCCCATGCTGTTCTTTGCTGCCTCCTCTTCAATTCAGTTAGTGTCTGTGGTGCACAGGGACAGTAAGTCCTCAACTAGGGCCAATGCTTCTGCAGAATTGCAGAAGAGCTAGATTTGCTCCCTGCCCCCAAGGGGCCCTCTGTCTCAGGATTGTGCATAAAACTTGTGCTTGTGATGGGGGACAGGGGGAGGCAGCACTATGTGGAAGGAAAAAAAGCATAAGTAAGTCTTGAGTCAAACTCCCTAGGTTCAAACTCTGATTCTGCCATCACTAGGTTGGCAGCTTTAACCAAGCGACAACCTCACTGCAACTTGGTTTTCTTCTCTGTAAAGTGAGGGTGATTGGTGTGCTTCCCCCATGCTGCCAAGAGAAGTGAGTGAGCCAGTACCCATAAAGCCCTTAGCATGGAGTCTGGCAACATATTGAGTATGAAGTGCCCAATGAACATTAGATTACTGTTGTGCAGGGGAGACCACTAAGGCCTGAGGCAGTCAACACAGGTTTGCAGAAAAAGGAAGGATGTAGACGGACTAGAAAGACAAGTAGAGTTTGTGATTGAGAGATGGAGAGGAGAACAGCATAAATAAAGGTGCAGAGGTGGGCCAGAACATGGTGCTGGGCATTTGAGCAGTCCAGACCACCTGGTGTGGAGTTCCAGTTCCTGGGCTCCTCTGGTGCTGGAGCACACTCTGCCCCTTACAGCCTGTTGCCACTCCCTGCCTCTCCCTCTCCCCAGAATGCCTGTATTAGTCTCTAATGCGGCTAATGAAGATATACCTGAGACTGGGTAATTTATAAAGAAAAAAAGGTTTAATGGTCTCACAGTTCCACATGGCTGGGGAGTCCTCACAATCATGGTGGAAGGCAAAGGAGGAGTAAAGTCACATCTTACATGGCAGCAGGCAAGAGAGCTTGTACAGGGGAACGCCCTTTATAAAACCATCAGATCTCATGAGACTTATTCACTACCAGGAGAACAGTATATGGGAAACTGCCCCCAAGATTCAATTATCTCCACCTGGCCCCATCCTTGACACGTGGGGATTATTACAATTCAGGGTGAGATTTGGGTGGGGACACAGCCAAGACATATCAATGCCCTTCGCATCTCACCAGCCTCCTTGCTCCTCAGGGCTCCGCACTAGTAATCCCTGTGCCCCAAAGCCTCCTCCAACCCTCCTATAGGAGGGGTCACTCCCCTTGTCCTCTGACCTCCTCCAGCTTTCTATCCAAAGTACATCAAGCACCTTTCACTCTCCTGTGTATCAGATCATGGATGTGTCCATTTCCTCTGCCTGACCCTGAGTTTCTTAGGGACAAACATTGTCTGCCCTCTACCACAGGGTCTGGGCTGGGAGAGGTGTCAGAAAACGTTTGTGGGATTGAGTGCAGGCTTCTGAAATAGGAGGCTCAGCACCCCTCAGGAAAAGCATATGAGCTGCCCTTGACTTGATGGCGTGGAATTGGCCCAGGGTAGACGGTTGGGGCAGAAGGAGGGGAATGTACGTTAGCCAGGAAGCTCTGTGAGTTCTTCCAGCTCTAGCATGCTGGGTTAGCACCCCAGGAAGTGGGTGATTCTCCTCACATTTCAACAAGGGCCTCCTCCTTTCACTGTCTCCAAATGAAAGTGTCCACCAGTGCTGAAGGGGACAGCTCCCAGGGCAGCTCAGTGAAGCCAGTTTTTAGGGATGGAAACATTCTCCAGGACATCAGAATCACCCAGGGACCTTTTTAAAAATACCATACAGGGGCCCCACAGTAGACCAATTTAATCACAATTTGGGGAAGGAGCTCAGGTCTAGAACTTTTTAAAAGCACCCAAGGATGGCTAAAATGTAGCCTGAGCTGAGGCCCATGGGCTAAAGACACTGCCCCAGCCTCCTGCACTAGTTCTAGGAGGGGACTGAAGAAGGAAGACTATGACCCTGTCCTCAAGGAGCTCAGAGAATAGATATTCATTCATCCAACAAATATTTATTGAATCATCCTCACCTTACAGAGGAGAAAATAAAGGTTCAGCAAGGCTGTCATTTGGCTAAAGCTGATCACCTAGTGATGACAGAATCAGAGTTTGAACCGAGGGAGCTTAACTACACAGTGCTGCCTCCACTCTCTTCCACCATCACAAGCACTCGTTTTATGTACAGTCCTGAGACTGTGGGCCCCTTGAGGGCAGGGAGCAAATCTAGCTCTCCTCCTATGTCTGCAGAAGCATCTGGGTACGGTTCGAGGTGCTTGCAATATATCAATGAACAAAACAGAGACCGCTGCCCTCTTGGAACTTACATTTTTGTGTGAGAAGACATAAGATGTGTCTCCTTTATTTGTGTCAATATTGTTGACACAAAGAAAAAATAAATGACACCATGTGTTAGAAGGTAATAAGTGCTAAGGAAAAAAGTTAAAGGAGAGAAGAGAAGGGGATTAGGAGAGGAAGAGGTGAGTTGCAGTTTTAAATAGCATCATCAGATTTGGTCTCATTGGATGCATGACATGTAAGCAAAGACTCGAAGTAGTTGAGGGAGTGGGGCATGCTTTTATAAGAAGGAAGAACTTTCTGGGCAGAGGGAACAGCCAGTGTTGAGACCCTGATGCAGGAGGGAGCTTGTTGTGTTTGAACATAGCAGAAGGTTAGTGTGTCTAGGGTCACAGGAGCACAACAAAGATGAGGAGGAGAAGATGAAGTCCAAGGAAACTGGAAGCAGATCACACAATGTAACAGGTGCATGAAAAGATCACCATGATAGTGAAAGTGACCAGACTGAGTGCTTTCTGTGTGCCCTTGAGTGTTGAGCACATGACCTGTATCTGCTCATTCACCCTCATGGTATTCATGGTGGAGACACTAGGATGCTCCCATTTTCCAGAAAAGGAAATTGAAGTTCAGGAGGGGTTAGGTAACTTGTCCATGGTCACATGGCCATTTCTCCCTGGCTGTAAGAGCTGCACTGTTAACCTTCCTGCTTTAACGCCTTTCTGTGGCAAATGTCAGATGGACAGTAGTGGCATTAGGGGCCTTGAGAACTGGAGGGAGAAAGGAGGCCCCAGCTGGCCCTTAGAGGAGAGAAGCCCTGGTCTCCTTCCAGTGTGTCCTGCTTGTGAACACATTACTTGAGGGTGAGTCTACCATTCTTTTATATCAAGACTCATAACAAAGATTTTTTAACATGATAGAGAAACTCAACTGGAGAACCAATACAGACCACCACCCTCCAACAACAATAACAAACGATTCCAAAGTGCAGTTTCCCTCTGTCTTTACTATGGAAGGAGCAGAGAAGGGGACTCTCCTATCCAAGGTGTCTTTCAGCACTCACTTGAGTAGCACAAACATGGACAAGTCAATAGTACAAAGAAAGAGGCAGGGTCTTAGGGATCTAACAAGCAAATGTGATGTGTAGGCACTGCCTGGGTCCTAGTTCAGATAAACCAACTGTGAAAAGACATTTTCAAGACAGGAACTTTGTAATGGACAGGTATCAGGGAATTCTGAAGAATTCCTGTTAGATTTTCTTGAGTTTACTCATGGCATTGTGTAACCACAATGTGAGAAAATATTCAGTGTGTTTTGAGAAACATTCTGAAGTGCATAGGAATGAACTGACACAATGTCTAGGCTTTGCTTTAAAATATTTCAGAAAATAAAATAGGTAAATGAAGCAAATGTGGAAAACCTCACAATTACAGGATCTGGATAGTGGACATGGGCTTTGTCCTATTTTCTCTCTTTTGTGTAGTTTTGACATTTTTCATAATAGACTTACTTATGAATTTTTTTAATGGGGTTGACCAAGAGGGGCAGTGAGAATGTAATGCATTTTGCCTGGACTTCGGTCCCAGCTCTACTACTTCAAAAATTATTGACCAAAAATTATCAATATTACCTTTGTTTGAAATTCTGAAGGTATGGGGAAAATGTTAGTTCACATGGCCATGCGCCGTGGCTTACGCCTGTAATCCCAGCACTTTGAGAGGCTGAGGAGGGCAGATTGCCTGAGCTCAGGAGTTCAAGACCAGCCTAGGGAACATGGTGAAACCCCATCTCTACTAAAATACAAAAAAATTAGCCCAACGTGATTGTGTGCACCTGTAGTCCCAGCTACTTGGAAGGCTGAGGCAGGAGAATCACTTGAACTGGGGTGGTGGAGTTTGCAGTGAGTTGAGATCATGCACTGCAGCCTGGGTGACAAAGCAAAACTCTGTCTCAAAAAAAAAAAAAAATAGTTCACAGTGACAACAAGCCAGAGAACTGACTGTGGTCACATAAATAATTTTCACTGAATCTCCTTCAGCACCCAATTAGCTCATGTAATTGCTACCAACAAGCCAGCTCAAGTGAATCCATTAAGTTTGTAAGCAGTATATATGCCATATATTTCTCTTTGTAAACTTAATTTTAAATTTCATTTTGAAAAACTGTAGCTATCCAGGAAAGTTTCAAGAATAGTAAAATGAACATCCATCTACCATTCACTAAATACAACAATTGTTAACATTTTGCCACATTTTAAGTGCTGTATATTTCTAACTCTAAAAGCTTTTGACAATGTATCACACTTTTAAAGCTGCTTAGAAGGGAGGAAGGGAAGGAGGGCAGAAAGAGGGGAAAATCCACTATAGAATGCAGACAAGGGTTTGATTATAAAGCATATTTGTTTTCATATCAGAAAAAGATAAAAGGACATTTTGGTGAATCAAAAATTAAGAGCAGAAATTTTTTTCATTGACTGGCCTGATGAACAGCCTTCCAGATCATTTGTTAAAACATCAGTAAGAGGAAATATCCCCTAAAATCTTGGACATGGCTCCTTTTTCTCTCAACGGGGAGTGGGATAACATGAATCCACACACACTTCTGGATGCAAATACATGGATCAGGCATGCAGAAAGCGGAGGGGTCAACAGGGGACTCCAAGGGGTGTGTAGTGGAAGCGGAAGTCCCACTTGAGTCATAGGCAGGGGAGGCCTCTTCAGCCAAATCAGCTCCAGAGTCCTCCCTGGGAAAATGTTCATTCCATATTCACTCATTCAACAAATATTCATCACACATTCCCCAGGCTCAGGCACCATGCAAGGCACAGGGTGCCCAGAGGGAACATGCAGCACCCACTGCTGCCTCCAGCTACCCCTGCATCTTGCATCCTCATGCTGCTCTCTTTCTCTGTCCCCCCACCCCCGCCTGCCCTGCCTCCTTCAGCGCCACCTGTCCCAGGAAGAGTTCTACCAAGTCTTTGGCATGACCATCTCTGAGTTTGACCGGCTGGCCCTCTGGAAGAGGAATGAACTGAAGAAGCAAGCCCGGCTGTTCTAGGCAGAGGCTCTATAAATATATATGCATTTATATAAAGATATATGTAAAATCTCTCTACTGAAGCTCGGTATAATCCTCTCTTGTGTAATGGGACACACTGCCTGCCATGAGACTTGCTTTTCTGTACTGTCAGGCAAGCCCACGTCATCGAGATATTTTTATGCTCCTTACTTTCTCTTTTCTAAGTGCTGTGGGATCTGGGAAGGGATTTGAGGGGACTCTGTCCTTTTATTGGGGATCCTTTTTATACTGAAACATCTGTCCTAACTTGAGTGCCCCAAGGTCCAACTCTCTTTCCTAAAGAAGGTGCCTGAAGAAGTCTCTCTTCTCTCTGCTTCGTGGCCCCTTTCTTAAATTTCTAGGGCTGATGCTGACCATGTGGTTTCCACACCTTATTGGCCCCAGAGGGGCCCTCCCATGGGAAGATCTGCAGCAGTCTCCCCAAATCAGTGAGCACCTTTGAGCGCCCACGAAGAACTTTCTCAACACCCCCAATTAGGAGCTCAGTGCTCTCTTGGGGCAATGCAGTTAAAAGGGTGAGCCTCAAATCTAGTCATTACACCAGTCAACAGAAGTGGACAGGGCCTAGGCCTCTCCTCAGCTCCTTAACCCTCCTCCTTCTGCCCTGGATTGTAACCTCTCCCTTGTCCAAATCTAGGATTCCTGGTAGGAAAAGGAAAAGGCCCTTCCCTTCCCTCCACCACTTCCAACTGGCCCCTTTGCCTGACCTGGACTTGGAGAACCAGAGGAAAAGAGAGGGAGCGGAAGTGGGAGATGGAGCAGGGCACCTGTTAGAATCAGAGCTGCAGGATTTCTTGGGACCCTCCTCTCTCCCTCACTGCTCCCAGCACCTCCTGACCCTTCCCTCTTTCAAGGAGAAGCCCATGATTGCAGCTTGTATTCTTTAGCCTTATTACAATCTATGTGCCTGACAACTCAACACACCGCAGGGCTAATGTTCCCACCAGAGCTCCAACTGAACAACCAGACAGACAACTCTCATCATCCTCCAGAGAGAAAATAGGCCGTGTCTCAAAGAAAGGTTCTTGGTCTATGCCTCTGGTCTGTGGGCTGGCAGGGCAACCATACCATACCCCCGCCAGTCCTCGGCTCCTGCTGCAAAGTTGGCCATGTTTCACAGGGAAACTTTTGGAAGAGTGGCTGCTTATGAGATTCCAAAATGAAGTGTTGGCCAACACCGCTCATGGCCATCCTGGATTTTCCCAGTGGCTTCCCTTCCTGCTCGCCTCCCTGAACAGGGGAGAAAGCTTAACCTCTCTTCTCCTCTCCAAACCTTTCACCTTGAATGGGTAATGTTTGGTGGGGGCTGTTCCTTCTTGGAGAAGCCTTGAGTCGGACCATTTTGAGATCATGGAGGAAGGATGAAGAAGTGAAAATGACAATAATGACTCTCAAGAGGCTGGCGATGTGACATGGCAAATGTAGAACTGACTTAAATTGAACAAACCCTCACTGAGCACCTCTGATGTTGAGCACCTGCTGAATACTGAGCACTGAATGGGGGAGGGGGAGGGGAGCACGGGGTGAGTCAACCTGGGACTCGGTCTCAGGGATATGCCTACCAATAGCGGGTATCGTAAGGCATGTACCCAAACATAACGGATGTAAGGCAGAAAGTGATCGGAGAAGGAATGAGAAAGTGTGCGTGATGTTAATGAAAAGTCATATGCAGCTAGAGCAGACCCAGGAAAGCTTTCTGGAAGAGATTGCATCTGAGGAAATTCAGGAAGGATCTTTGTAGATTGGGGGGAGATTCTAAATTGAAGGGGTGATGGGGTGAGGGGCCAGAGGGAAGTCTGCTGTGTTCTCATGTAGGATGTCAGCCCTCCCTGCAACTTCTCTTTTTGGCCAATGTCTTTTCACTTTCCTGACCCTTTAGAATCATCCCCAGCCAGACGCAATCATGGAAGTTGCCTTATTGTCACTGGTTAAGAACTTGGCGAGATTGAAGGGCTTTTGTTATTGTTGTTGGATATTTTTGTTTCCCATAAAAGCACATCATTTCAACCCTAAACCTGTGTGCTTCTGTTGTTTCTTGTGTGGGAGTGGAAATGACTGACATGGGAAGAGGCTGAACCCTGCACATTTTTCAAAATGAAAGCACCAAAACAGCAGCCACTCCTTTGGCCTCAGTTTCTCCTTCTGTAAAATGAGAAAGTTTGGTAAAGGTAAACATCACTTAGATTCTTTTCTGTAGAATGCAGGATCCCTCAAGATGGTAAAGGATGTTCCAACAACAAAGAACTTCTGTGATCAAAAATAATAATAATAATAATAATAATAATAATAATAATAGTTCCTTATTACTAAGCACCAGCAATGTTCCAAGTTCTATGTGAGCACTTCACACCCATCATCTCATTTAAGCTTCTGAAACAACCCAAGAGGTAGCCGTTATTAACATCTCCATCTCCTAAATGAGTAAATAGCTTTGAAGAGAACCATAATTACTGCTGGTAGAGCCAGGAGTGAATTCTAGCCTGTCTGACTCAGAGAGACCAGCTTACCACTCTTATTAGGCAAGATCCTTCCAGCTGCAGGTAAAGAGAGCATCTTATTACAAGTGGCTTCAACAGTGAGAACATGTGTTGTCTTGCATGACCAGAAATCCAAGGTGCAGAGTTAGTACATTCAGCAGCTCAGGGATGGAGTCCAGAGCCCAGGTTGTTTGTATCTCTGTACCCCACCATCCTCAGCATGTTGGCTCTTGTCCTCAGCCATGTGTCCTCTATGTTTACAAGAGGCTTCTGTGGCTCCAGGCACCATGTCCTCACACAATCACATCAAAAAACAAGACAGTCTATTGCATGTCTATTGTAGTCAGAAAAACTTTTCCAAAGTCCTCAGTAGACTTCTGCTTGGATCCCACCGGCCAGAACTAGGGATATGTCCATGATCCTGCTGCAGTAAAGGCTGGGAAACTGGGCATTTGGCATTTTCAGCCTCAACAGGGGGAACCAGGCCCTCTACTAACAAAGAAGAAGGAAGCAGGGCAGAAAAGGATGGCCTCTGGGTGACGAAATCACAGCGCCTCTGCCACAACTGCTGTGCCGTTAAAGAGCACATCACGTCCCTTCTCTCGTAGACTCACAACACACATTGCCGAAAGTCCTGAGAAGTCCCACCATAGTACCTTTGTTTAATCCAATATTTTATAAATGAATTTAACATAACCTCTGTTTAAGACATGCTGGCTTACTGTATTTTATCTATTCAAAGATGCACACTTTTTTCACGTTTCGACATCTCTGACGATGAGATGTGGCTTAGAATTAAAAGTAGCTCCTCTTCTGAGCTCTCATTCTGCGATTCTTCAATAAGAACCAATGCTAACTTTCAGCCCCAACATGGCCCCTCCAGACAGGTGGCTCAAATGTGCAAAAAGATAAGAATGCATTTTTGCTCCCTGCCTACACATGCACCCAACAAATATTCATGAGTGAGCATCTCCTGCCAGGCAGGAGCACTGAGGATACAACAGTGTGGAAGGCAGGAATGGGCTTTCCTCATGGACTCTGGTCTAGAGGAGAAACGAATCATAAATAAGGCAACAGAAAAAGAGCTGGCACATGAAGATAACTGCTACAGAGACAACAAATAGGTACCATGAGAAAGAAACTCACTTCGTATGCTAATCAAAGGATGAAAACTAAGTACCTGGGGAAAAGTGGGGTTGCCAGCATTCTTGGCACAGAGAACAGTGGATGCAAAGGCCCTGGATTGAGCAAGAGCTTGGCTTATTGGAGGAACAAAAAGCACCAATGAGGCTGGAGTGGGGCATATGCAGGGGAGAGTGAGATTAGAAGCGGTGGGAGGGCAGGCAGGGGCCAGCCATGCACAGAGTCTAAAAGGACTCCTCTCATCCATCCAGGCTTTGTAGAGGGTGTTTGGCTTGTGCTGTGGTTGTCAACATGCTGGGTGTAGGAAGAATTGTTCCAAGCGTTGCCACTCAAAATGTTCCTAACCAGGAACATTGGCATCACCCAGGAACTTCTGTGAAATGCAGAACCTCAGGCCCCACCCCAACCTGCCCAATCAGCATCTGTATTTTCATAAGATCCCCAGGTGATTCATACACATGGTGAAGTGTAAGAAGCGTTGCTCTCACCCATCTTCCTTTCATGAATAGACATAACATTTTGAGTCAGACTGTCTGAAATTCTAGAAGGGGGCCTTTCCCCACACATGCAACCCGTTTGGACACTGGAGATCAACCTTACATCAATAAAGCAGAATGTGACTTTGGAGGCCACAGAAGGTAATGCCAATAATACAATAGTTGTAATTCGCAGCCACGATACAGGCTGACTGAGCGTTTGAGCAGATCAGAACAAGCCAGCTCTCCTGTGCCTGCAGCCCCTCAACCTCACCAGGCACCCAGTTCATAGACATGGGCACCAGCTGTGGAAGATGTCAGCAGCTGCAGCTGGCCACAGAGCCAAACGTGGACTAGAAGGCTGTTATTCAGCACTGTTAGCAAAATTCAAGGGGGCAAAAGCACTACTAAAATTAATAGCAATTAACCTTCACAGAATTTTGCCAGTTCCGTGTGGAATTAAGTTTTAAACGCATTATTCCACACTGGACTTTGAGTTGCTAAAAATCTTGACTGCACAGTGATAAACACCTACCTACATACTCAGCTATGGGCAGCGCCAAGCCACTCAGGAGCCCTGCAGCAAGACTCCAAATGAATAGAGTCCAGGGGCTGTGCAGATGAGGGTCAGCCTCTCCCCAACACTCACAAGCCTTTCACCTCTGTACTTGGCCTGGTCCAATATGATTGGCCCAGAGACAGAGACGAGAGAAACCAAAGGCCGGAAGTCACCATCTATGGTCATCCTCAGGGAAAATTAGAGCTAAATGTGCAGATAAATGAGGCTTAAAATTGGCATGACTTCTGTGTCCATAGCCAGAAGTATTTCCCTCTCGGGGGAACTATCCCGGTGCTTCCCGGATTTCAGTCATTCAAGCATCACCTTCATGATTTCATCAAATTATTTATTTTCTTAATACTATTTACTTGATATTTTTCTTTCAATTGACATGTATCTGATGTTTCTATTTTAATGCCAGTGAAAAGCACAGGTTTGTAGGACTGTTTATATGGGGTTTTTTGCTTGTTTGGTTGGTTTAGCTTGTTTTGTTTAGTTTTGTTTTTTAAGAGACAGGGTCTTGCTGTGTTGCCCAGACTGGAGTCCTGTGGTGTGATCATAGTTCACTGTAACCTCAAACTCCTAGATTCAAGCAATTTTCCTGCCTTAGCCTCCCGAATAGATGGGACTACAGGCATGTGCCACCATGTTCAGCTAATTTTTATTTTTAATTTTTTGTAGAGATGAGGGGGGGTCTCACTATGTTGCCCAAACTGGTCTCGAACTCCTGGCCTCAAATGATCCTCCCACCTCATCCTCCCAAAGTGCTGGGATTACAGGCATAAGCCACCACACCCATCCTGGTTATATGTTTTTATTACAAATTCATATAAATTCATAACTCTCCAAATATGTTGGTCTGTGTAATATCTAAACATATATCACATTTTCACCAATTGTCTGAATTCCACACTTTTGGAAATGCTGTTCTACCTGATGGAAAAGGGAGGAGAGAAGGTATTTGTATTCCCTGTACATCTTCATGATAGCTGGTCTTCGGGGAGCCCAAGAGAAACCATCTGAAAACGCTGCAGAGAGAAGATAACCCAAAATTCTTTGACAACAAACAGGGCTTGCTGAACCACAGCTCGCCTGACAGCCAAGACTCTCATATACCAGTGGTATCCTGCTGGGGCATCATATAGACAGGGGGTCCCTGGACCTCACTAAGGTTTTCAGTGGATACAGCCTCTCATATTCCCCGCTGCTGAGGGTTGTAAATCCTTTGCCTCCAGGTATGCTGCCATGAGCTCCAGCAGGGACAGTACAGCGTCATGGGTAAGGGCACATGGTTAGACGCATCCTCCCTCAGGGCAGTCTCAGCCTTGCCATTTGCTAGTTGAACGGTGTCCTCACCCTCCCATTTCATATTTGGAATCCCTAACCCCCTAGTACCTCTGAATGTGACTCTACTTAGACATAGGGCTTTTAAAGAGGTGACTAAGTTAAGATGAGGCTGTTAGGGTAGGGCCTGATCCAATCTGACTGGTGTCTTCATAAGAAGATTTGGACACGTGGTGACAGCCAGGGAGCCCATGCAGGGAGGGACGGCCACGTGAAGAGACAGCAAAGGGGTAGCCATCCACAAGCCATGGAGACAGGCCTCAGAGGAAACCAGCTCTGCTGGCAGAAATTCTGTTGTGGCAGCCCTAGCAAACGAATGAAATGACATATGCAAAATAGAGGTCGCGGCATTTAGTTGATAAAGTGGTGTGCTGCAGGTGCGCGCCTGGCTGCAGGGGAGGCGTGCGTTTCACTGCTCAACACCTCCCTTGGGCTTAGAGCCTGTGGTTTACCTAGAGTATGGGGGCCTCTCTGGGCCACTGCTGGAACTGCAGGGAGAGAGGCTGCCTTTCTCACCTGGAATCTCCAGGTGTAAGGAATTCAGGCTTTGCAGCTGTGTGGCCTTCTCTGCCACAGATTGGAACAGACGGCCTGAAGATGAAGACTAAACAGAGGAGGGCAGAGCCGGGAGATGGAGAGAAAAGAGCGACTGCTCAGTTTGCCTTCCTGGATCCAAGCTTGGCTTCAAACCAGCTTCGCCCCTTCAGCTACTCAGCTACCCTTTGAGCTTTTTCATTAAAGCTGGTTGGAGTTGTGATTCTATCACTTGCAACCAAAGAAGTTGTGACAGATACCCTGGCTCCCAGAGTGAATGAATATTGGCAGCGGAATCCCGAATGTGTTCCTTTGCTGTCTGTGTGAGGGAGAATGACCACAATTTAAACAGTGCAGGCATGTGCTCCGATCAAAGCGCGCAGTGTGACATGAATCACTAGGGAACACATAGGAAGGGTAAAAGCTTGCCTCAGTCTGTCACTGAAAAGTGTTTGTAGGGCCCAGACCTAGAGCCTTCTGGTTTTCCAAAACCTCCTTATGGATACAGAATTCCTTGTCATACAAAAGAAGCGTGACTGCCTCCCTAAGGCACAGGGTCTTGCCCACCTGGATCAGGACAAATTGTCCATCTGGCCCTAGCAATCTGTCATTGTAACAAAATAATGGGACTATGTAACGTTTTTAAATGTGCATACAAAACACCACTCCTTTGCAGACTCCGTGGGTAGCAGCATTTGGAGGCCTGGTAGTCCTCCCATCCGGGAGCACTGGGAGCTCCTTCAGGGAAGGAGGAACCTGGCAGAATCAGTTGCATTTCCAGGGGTTGGATTTATATAAAACTCCCTGCAGGGGGCAGCCTGGGTATGTGGCCACGGTTTCAGCATCCCTTAATATTTTTCCATAAACATCTGACGAATTCTTCAGAGGAAACCCACACTGATTACATAATAACCAACACTTCTGACCATGGCTCAGACACTGTGCTAAGCACCTTACAGATCTCATTTAACCCCCTGGTACTACTTTCATCCTTATTTTACAGATGAGGAAATTGGGCCCTTGATAAATAACTCATCCAGTGTTTCACAGCTGTATGTGGCAGAGCCTGCACTTGATCTTAGAGATGCCTCACCCAAAGCCCGTGCACTCGGCTATATCATACAAAATCTCCTCCCTGAATATACTGCCAGCTGGCATTTGAAGAAAACGTACCATGTGCTGGCATGGCATCAGCCACTCCACACTCTACATGCACAGTTACACTGAAGCATCACAACTGCTGTGTGGGGAAGATGTTTGTAGCCCCAATTTTTAGATGAGGAATCTGAGGTTCAGAGCGGTTGAAGATCGTGCCTGGACTGTGCAGGGGCGGGGCTGGGTAACACTCAGATCCACCTTGTCCTAAAGTCATGCTCTTCACCACTGTGTCCCACACACTGAACAGAGTGGCTCAGGTGACCTCATATCAGGGCATCACTGCTCCTGGTTCTGGCTCTAAGGCCTTCTGTGATTTCAGGTAAGATTTCTCCCCTTCTCTCAGCCTCAGTTTCCCCAACTGACAAATGAAGGGACCAGATGGGCTAATGTCTCAGGTTTTGGGGGGCTTTAAAGCTTTTCTAGCTCCAGGTTATAAAATCCACTTTGGACCTCTGCAACCTGGCACCAGCCTGCAGCCACAGATGAAGCTAGGGGCGTGCAGCCCAGATCTTCAGAAGAGAGTTAGTCCACGCTGCAGTGTTAGGAGCTGCACACCCTCCTCAGGCCTCAGCGTGGAGGCCCCCAGCTGGACAGACCCTCCAGATGTCTTCATGGGTCCCTAATTTCCCTCAAGTTTCCACATTGGGGCCTGGGGGTGGCTATAGTCCAGATTAAGTTCACAGGGGTGTTTTAGTTGGCTACTGCAATGTTTAAAACAATTGGAATTCATTACCAACACTTTTAAATCAAAAGAGATTTCTCACTGAAATCTAGATTTCTGGGTTCTGCTGAAAAAGCTGAAGATTGGCCACTCCATTTCCAAGCTGACTGGTGACTGGCCCCTCAGACGGAGCAAGAGGGCTCCGCTTTGCTGTGGCCCCTCCACTTGCATGGCCTGCTTCCTGCACACCCTTCCCTGCCCGGCCCTGTAGGTGCTTCAGGGCACGAGCCTCGCTTCAGGAGCCTAAGATCTCGCTTAAGGAGAAGAATCCAAAGGGATGGAGTAAGCTTCATGCAGCATTTCAGCATAAAACAAAAGCTCCTTTTCCTTCAGACACAACCACTGGGCTTGGTTTTAACAACTGTGGAAGCTGAGCCCTGTTGCCTCCATGCAAGTAGGAGCCCCGTGCCCTGGAGCAGAAACCTGAAGGCGCATGGGAAGAAGGAGTTTTCATCCATCCATGAAACTCTTTCTCTTTCTCCCAGAAACAGCCACTGAGATCTCTATCTGCTTTCCGGGGCCCAGGGTGGGCCAGCAGACGTGTGTCATTTCCCTGGATAGGGGCTATAATGGCAACATTGTGCTAAGTGGAACAAGAGAGGTTTTCATTGCAGCCAGCATCAGGCAGACACCCGATCAGAGGGCTCTGGGGATCACCCCACACAAAGGAGCATGGGAGAGGGGCCCTGAGCCAAGGAGAAGCCACACATCCACAGCAGCACACAGGGGCTGGGCAGCACAGCAGCATGTCTCCAGAAGGCCTGGTCACAAGTTCATTTCCCCCTGCAAATAAATAAGCAAATACGACAATCCCAGAGGACAAATGGGACCCCCAGGACACATGCATTAATAGAAGCCAAAACTGGCAGGCCTTACACACCCTTGAGTATGTTTTCACTGACTCATTCCACAAATACTATTACCATTTACTAGGTGTTTGGGCACTGTGCTAGATTCTAAGGATCTAGCAATGAGTAAGACAGCGCCCGCTCTCACAGCATTTGCAGTCTGGTGGGGGACAGGGAAGCATAGGTAAAGAAGCACATAAGAAATTATGTACTATTGACCCAGTGGAAGAACTGAGATTCACACGGCAATGAAGTTGACTTAGGAACCCAGATCTGAGCACCCATCTGTTGTTTTTCTTACTCTTCCTGAAGTCTCCTGAGATCACTGCAGGCTCAGTGAAGAAGGCACCCCAAACACCATAATAAGAAATCTGGACTCTCCGCTGAGGGCCCGGGGAGCCATCACATATTTTTAAGGGGGTAGTTGCACGGTCTGATTGGGATCATGGAATGGTCGCTCTGTTGGCCATGGTGGAAACAGTCCCTAGAGGTAAGGTGACAGGTTAGGAGGCTAGAGTATATTTCTCTCCCTGGAACAAATAGTCCTGAGCCTCCAAATTTTTCTTTCCCAGGGTTTCCCAGTTCCACCTGATAAGCGAAGAATGAGACTAGGGAGTATCATTTGTTTTCACAAGACAGGGAGCAGGAGGGAGTTGAAAGCTTTCTTCCTGGTATTGTTCACTAAGGCTAAATTTGATACCTTCTTACAGAGCTGGAGCTCCCCACATAGCATTCTTTAGACAAAATCCAGGCAAACCTGGAAAACTTGGAAGTCAGCAAAGTAGGTAGTGAAAAGGAAGATATGAGGCAGATTCTAAAAATCCTTGCCAGAGAGTTGCACTCAAAATGAAATGGAAAGGGGAAGAGAAAAGCAGGTATCACAACCTTCATTCCTATCCTTGCCCTGATGCTTATCCCCCAATAACCCACGATCCAGCCAACCTGAACTGCTTCACAGACACGTCCTGCTGCCTTTGAGCTCAATGTCTTTGCTCTCACTGCTCTTTGCCCATAATGTTATCTCCTCATTACACATTCTCAGTTGCCTGCCTTCCAAATATCTGTCATCCATTACAGCCTCCATGATTAGTAAAAAAGTCTTACTTTGTCTGATGGACTCCAAGACCACTTTATTTCTCCTCTGGTACTTTTCATACAATAATTTATATTATATTATTTTATACATGTCTGTCTCCTCTACTAGATTGTAGATTCCCTGAGGGTGAGAATCATTCCTACTTAGCATTTCTTCTCTCAATAGAAACTTGCACAGAGTGCAATCAATATTGCCTAAGCGAATTTATGGGCAGTGTGGATTGTTAGTTTTTATGAGGAATATAGAACTCACTAAAGGAAACATACAGAAAAAAAAAAAAGTTATTCCTTGTCCAAACCCGCAAATAACTTTTTCATCCATCTCAGTTACTCTGACAGCAACCAAGCTGTAGACAACTAGTCAACATTGCCACCTAGTGGACATTATGGGTAATTATTTAAACCAGAACCCCTATACCTTGCCAGCAACAATTTTTTGTTGATTCTCAGAACTGTGCACAGACTGTGTTCTCCCATTTCTATATCCTTCCCAGACCACAGCTCAGTTAATTCCACTCCATAAATTATTCCATTTTCCTTAGCCTTTTTTACTTTTTCGTTCCAATTCTCTGAATATATCTCCAAAGTCCTTGAAAGTTTCTGAAAGTTCTCTAAACATCTCTACAGGCTCATGCCTGTCATCCTAGCACTTTGGGAGGCCGAGGCCGGAGGAGCATTTGATCTCAGAAGTTCGAGACCAGCTTGGGCAACATAGTGAAACCTTGTCTCTATCTTAAATATTTTTTTAAACATTATAAAAATAAAAATATTTACAAAAGCCTCCGTCTGTTTTTGCAATAGTAACATTTCATACTGTTTTTCTAAATTATTTCAAATGAAATATTATGTTTTTAGAAGAATTAGTGAGCTAGCCTGAGAACTTAAAATACAATTTATGGGAGGCCGGGCGCGGTGGCTCACGCCTGTAATCCCAGCACTTTGGGAGGCTGAGGCGGGTGGATCACGAGGTCAGGAGATCGAGGCCATCCTGGCCAACATGGTAAAACCCCGTCTCTACTAAAATACAAAAAATAATAATAATAATAATTAAAAAATAAAATAAAATACAATTTATGGCCTTGTTTCCAAGTGTTCAGAGTTCAAACAATAAACTTTTAAAACTTAATCCACTGGTAAATTGTTGGTTGGCTGCTTTAGAATTGAAACTGACCTTTTCAAATTGGAAAAGGGGACAGCAACAAAAAGGAACTCAGAAAATAATAATGGCTCATATTTTATAGCTGTTTGTGGTTTATAAAGTGGGTTTGTATTATTTCATTTGCCCTACCAACAGTCCTGTGAGGACTTACAGTATGAGGCTTCCCATAGCACAGATGAGCAAGAAAACCTCATTGACGAAAAGTTATTATACTATGTAGTATTTAGATTGGAGCAAAAGTAATAGCGTTTTTTGCCATTACTTTCAGTGGCAAAAACCACTATTACTTTTGCACCAAACTAACAGAACAAGAGCCATGCACAAGTTTTCATACACTGTTCACAACATCACATTTGGTCTGAGTGCTCACACACACACACACTAAATTACTGATGCAATATTTTAAGAAAATGTTAATTTTAATTTGCCCATAAAAGCAATAGAGAAAATATTCCCGGCCAGGCTAGGTGGCTGGCGCCTGTAATCCCAGCACTTTGGGAGGCCGAGGCAGGTGGATCACCTGAGGTCAGGAGTTCGAGACCAGCCTGGCCAACATGGCGAAACGTCGTCTCTACTAAAAATACAAAAATTTGCCCGGAGTGATGGTGGGCGCCTGTAATTCCAGCTACTCAGGAGGCTGAGGCAGGAGAATTGCTTGAACCCGGGAGGCAGAGGTTGCAGTGAGCCGAGATCGCGCCACTGCACTCCAGCCTCGGCGACAAAGGGAGACTTTTCAAGAAAAAAAAAAAAGAAGAAAAGAAAATATTCCCAGTCCAGGAAAGTACAGGAGGGTCTTTCCCAGGCCTTTTGTTGCCTCCATACCTCTGTGGTAGCTGTTCCCTGTTCCAGAATGTTCTAAGTAGGGAACAGTGGTCAGCTCAAAGCTGAAAACCATGGCCTGGCCCATGGTGGGAGGAGCAGTGTCTAGGAGAACAATTGGTCCTGGACTTTATGAAGGGTCTTAAAGTCAGACATTTGATATTGTGTATAAATGAGTGAGACCTATTTTCACAGGGATATACTAATAAGGTGAAGAAGTTGACATTCTTCATACAGCTTTAAACTTAGATCCCATTACTGTTCCACACTGGTCATAGCAATATTTTCTACAATCTTGCGAAAAGTACACTTATATTGCACTGTATTTTGTATGCTAAAAGTATTCATTTCCACATTTTTTATCACCCTGTTCTGCATGTTTTCACGTGTTACTCATTTTTCTATTCTTTTTCTGAATTCTCCCAGATCCTCGTTATGTTTTCACGTTTTAGTACACAAGGAACCTCAAAAGTTGAAAGTGTCCCAAGCCCTTGCCCACCTTTCAGCAAGCCTCTCTTTCTCCCTTTCCCAGGTGCTTTTCTTTCTGAAGATCTTTGTTATTATTTAACTCCTCTTTCGCAACACCACTGACATTGCACCGGCATCGCCGCGGGCCCACTGTCTGGCTTAGAAGGTGCTCAAGAAAGACCCGCGGCGAATGGAGAAGACAAGCCCAAAGCCAGGAAATGGGTGGCGGCTGCAGGGAAGGGGGTTTTGATTCCCTAGGATAAAAACGCGCTCCAACAGTCTCCGCATTCCGGCATGGAGCCGGCTGAGGGGTGCGGTGGTAAGACCCCATCGCTAGCGGAGTGCAAGCAAAGCCGCACACCTCCTGGGTCCGGGCTGGGGCAGGCCGCGCGGGCGCGGGAACGAACGCGTGCGGACGGGGAAAAGGGTCCTCCAAGCCCAAGTGGGAGCGCCGCGGAGGGCGAGCGAGCGGCAGGGCGCGGCGGGGCGTGTGCGGCACCACGGGACAGCGGGCTGCGGCCCAGGGGGCGAGGCGTGCTCGGGTCTATTCCGGGAGCGGCTCTGAGGGGCGGGCGCGGGCGCGGGCGGGGCGGGGGCTGCCGGCGAGCATCCTGTCTGGGGGAGGGGACCGCAGAGAGCGCCGGCCGCTGGGCTGGCCTGAGAGCGCAGCGCGCCGGCCGCTACCAGCCGCGCCGGAGCCCCTGCGCCCTGCGGCCCGCTCCCCGGGGACCGGGCCGGCGCCATGGACCGAGGCCAGGGTAAGAGGGGCCGCGACGCCCGCACTTGTTGCGGCGCCGGGCGGGAAAGGGAGACTGGACGATCTGAAGCCGGAGAGGAGGAGGGAGAGAGGCGGGCGGTGGGGCGGGGGCTGAGGAACGCTCGGAGGGGACTGGGAGACGCGGCGCTTATGCAAAGGTGCCTTCGGCTGCCGGGACAACCCGGTGCGTGTCAACGCCCGTGTCCTGGGGCCAACTCGCCTCTCGTGTGTGAAATCAGAGTTTTCATAGGCTAACGATTTGTAACTTCATAAAAGATCCCCCTCTAGTTTCCGGAGGACAGCGAGCTCCTCCCACCTCATTCCACTCTAAAGGGGAAAACAAGGTGTACAGGTTCAACTCCCGAAACACCCGCTGTGGGCAGCCCCTAGGGAGAAGCTCTAGGGGACCGAAGTTTGCAGCTGCCTAGGGCATTGCGAGAAGGAGGAGCGCCGTGAGCAGGCGCGCGTGTGCATGCATGTGTGCGCCAGGGAGGGAGGAGGCGGGGGTGGTTCTATCCCGCACCAGCTGTGTCCTCGGCCCAGCCCTTCTCTCTGGACCAGCGACAAAGTTGGACTAGATGGTCTCCAAGGCACCTTGCCGACCCTTTTCCAGTGTATTTGGTAGACGTTTCACAGAAGTGGAGGGGACTTACTGAAATTGAGATTGACATAAGCCGAGAGGGCAGCATTCGTAGGGGGCTAGCGCACATTTTTTTCTGTTTGTTTTGTTTTGTTTGAGACGGAGTTTCGCTCTTGTTGCCCAGGCTGGAGTGAAGTGGCGCGATCTTGGCTCACTGCAACCTCCGCCTCCCGGGTTCAAGCGATTCTCCTACCTCAGCCTCCCGAATAGCTGGGATTAGAGGCATGCGCCACCACACCCGGCTAATTTTTGTATTTTTAACAGAGACGGGGTTTCACCATATTGGCCAGGCTGGTCTGGAGCTCCTGACCTCAGGTGATCAGCCGGCCCCGGCCTCTCAAAGTGCTGGGATTACGGGCGTGAGCCACCGCGCCCGGCAGCGCACATTTTAAGTAAAGGTCTAGACATGGCCTTTGGCAATGGCCAGATGGGCATGTGTGTGTCTGTAAAGAAGTGGCCTGCTTGGACATGTGAACAGTGTCAGAGGCTGGGAATCAGAACCCCAGGGTTTCAGTCTGCACCTCTGGGATCCAAAGAGATCACAGGTGTGACGGCACTAGATAAACTAGTGAGTGCTGTGCCAACAGGCGAAGTGTTGTTGTTGTTGCTGTTATTAATAATGGAAAATTCATTCCCCTCCCCACGATAATCTCACACCTCTCCCCCATCTGCCTGTTTGCTGTGCTGAGCCCCCGAAGGGAGGAAAAAAAGAAGGGAACAGGGGCATGGGAGCAATTAGCAGGCACTGGGGCAGGGATGAGCCGGGAGCAGGTGTGGGGTAACCTCCCTTACTCCTGTTAAACGGAAAGTCAGGCTTGGCGAGCTCAGAGGGCCAGAGGGGACTCCTGGCTTCCAGTTCAACCTCCTCACTTGCCCCTCCCCAACAGAGAATACTGCATTCACCTTCTCCTTCAGGGACTGGGAAGGGCAGGCAGGAAAGAGAGTGGGCTTCTGTTTGGTTCTTTAGCAACTGAGGCCTAGATTTGTAAAGCAGTTCTCACCTGTTAACTGATTTCTAGGCAAGTGTGAAGAGTGTACATCAGGGAGGAAAAACAGAGAGAAGAGGCACCTCTCACACCCCTCAGTCCTGCTGTTCCCACCTCCTGCATAATGCGTCTAAAGCAAATACCACCATCCCCCCTCCCCTTCACACTCCTAGTCGCCCGCCACCTCCCCAACCTCTCCACCACCCCCACTCCCCACCAGTTTTTAAATACCAACCTGTCTGATCTCCAGTACAAAAATCCATACCTAGGCCTACCCAGGCCTGTGGAAAGTGCACTGTGTCATCCTAAGACAGAGTGACAATAGTTCACTTCACTTTAAATGCTTGGTAACCAACAACCTCCACGTCAGAAGGCTGCCTCCAGAGCACTCTTCCTAGGAAGTCAGACTTCCCAGGAATCCCTTGGTGCTGAGAGCCTAGGAGGGCTCTGACCTGCTCTCTCCCTGCAGGCTTTTCTAGCCTGCTATCTTTCTTTACACCTCTTGTCACAACTTTATAGACATAGTTATCTGACTCTTTAGTGTCGGCCTCCCTACCCAGAAGTAAGCTTCAGGAAGGCAAGGAGTGGATCTATTGTGATCAATCTGCTGACACTGCACCTGGCACATAGTGCACAGTGAGGAGCTCCAACAGTGGTTTAATTAGTAAAATACAACACACTTTATAGTGCACCTCGAATTGATTACTTGTACAGCAATACTTAGTAGTATTCTCTTTTTAAAAATCAACATTGCTGTACAAGTAATCAGTTTGAGAATAGTACTAAGTATACTCAGATCAGTTCTTGGTGACTTACAAAGGCCATCTCAAGTAAAGTGGTCTTGTGGCTGGGCACACAAGATCAGTTTAACTGTCTGGCTCCTCAGTTCTCTACTCTGATAAATAATTGCAAACACAACCGTTTATGAATCAGAATGAAAAATCTGCATGCATTTTTAAGATAAAACATGAGACTTCAAGTATTCCAGGCTGGGCACAGTGGCTCACGCCCATAACCCCAACACTTTGGGAGGCCAAGGTGGGTGGATCACTTGAGGTCAGGAGTTCGAGACCAGCCTGCCCAACATGGTGAAACCACATCTCTACTAAAAATACAAAAATGAGCTGGGTGTGGTGGCGGGCGCCTGTAATCCCAGCTACTCGAGAGGCTGCGACAGGAGAGGAGGCATCGCTTGAACCTGGGAGGTGGAGGTTGCAGTGAGCCGAGATCGAGCCATTGCACTCCAGCCTGGGCGACACAGCAAGATTCTGTCTCAAAAAAAAAAAAAAAAAAGTATTCCAGCAGACCTTTCTTGTACCCCTGTTCCCAGGCAGGTGTGCACTCTCTTCTGTCATCAGGGAAGGCTTAAGAAGCACAGGTCTCATTTCAGCCTCCTGCCTACCATGTGAGAGATGGGACTGTCATGCCCAGCTGACTAGGGAAGAAAACCACACATTGGTATTCACGATAATAACTGAAATCATCAAACTGTTGCCATGTGCCAGGCACTGTCCTCAGCTTCTTATGTGGCTCCTCTCAGAACAACCCATAGGATGGGGCCTATGAGCTGGGACTATCATGAATCATACCTCAGGGGAAAGCAGGCTCAGCCAGGGTATTAGCCAGCAAGGGCTGCAATAACAGAATACACAGACTGGGTGGCTGCAACAACAGAAATTAATTTTCTCACAGTTCCAGATGCTGGAAGTCTAAGATCAAGGTGCAGTCAGGGTTAGTGTCGGGTGGGACCTCTCTTCCTGGCTTGTAGGGACACTTTTTGCCATGTCCCTTCGTGGCCTCTTCTCTGTGCATCCAGAGAAAGATCTCTGGTGTTTCTTCTTCTTCTTCTTCCTCTTCCTCTTCTTCTTCTTCTTTCTTCCTTCTTTCCTCTTTCTTCATTTTTTAATTTTTTTTGAGACAGAGTCTCACTCTGTCACCCAGGCTGGAGTGCAGTGGTGGGATCTCGGCTCACTGCAAGCTCCGCCTCCTTGGTTCATGCCATTCTCCTGCCTCAGCCTCCCGAGTAGCTGGGACTACAGGCGTGCACCACCATGCCCAGCTAATTTTTTTGTATTTTTAGTAGAGATGAGGTTTCACCACGTTAGCCAGGATGGTCTCCATCTCCTGACCTCGTGATCCACCCGCCTCAGCCTCCCAAAGTGCTGGGATTACAGGCGTGAGCCACCATGCCCGGCCGTCTCTTCTTCTTCTAAGGACACCAGTCCTATTGGATTAGAGCTCCACCCTTGCAACCTCATTTAACCTTAATTACCTCCATAAAGACCCTGTCTCCAAATACAGTCACACTTGGGGTTAGGGCTTCAACATATGCATTTGGGAGGGACAAAATTCAGTCCATAACAACAAGCTTAGGTCACTGACATTAATTTGCTCATTCATTCTCCATATGAGACACAGAGCTGTGGTTCAAACCCAGCTGTCTCCATATCAAAGTCCTGATCTTAAGCTTGCTGCTGACTGCCTCCTTGGTGGCAGGTGACCTGCCCAAGCCTTAGAGCAGAACCTAGATGCCAAATCTTCCTGTTTCAGGCCCCAGACATCTCCATGGCACTTAAGCTGCACTATTCAGATATTTCACAGCAATTGCTGTGAATTTGCTGAGCATAAAAAGCTCAGCATCAAAGTCAAGTGACTTGAGAATGGAAACAAACGCCGAAAGTAGAATTTCTCTTCCAACAGGGTATGTGTTTTCCCATGGGGAGAGAAAAGGATTCATAAAGCACAGTAACAAACATAGAAACCACTTATATCATAATGGCAATCCTTCCAGAGGGTTTTCTGATTCACAAATACCACACAAGAGAATCAACCATCAGGTAAAGCCAATGTCTATGGACACCGCCTTCTACAGAACAAGTTAATTAGCTCTCTGTCCCTGTCTACCACATCATACATCTAAAGCAAATGGCACCACCCGCAGATGAGGATAAATTATGATACTGATAGCACCTACTTCTTGGATTTGTTATAAATAACCTACAAATAATACCTAGCATAGGGGATCCACTCAATAAATGCTGGCTATTTTAGTAATTACAATTTTTTTTTCCCACACTCACCATTAATAAGACTGCTTTACAGAACTTCACTTGCTTCTTCCACAAGCTACTCCAACTCTGATGTTGCTTTTTGAGTCCCTGCTCTGTTTTAAATACTGAATTAGACAGCTTTGTGTACAACTCAAAGACAGGGAACAGGTTATAATCTTGTTTGTATCACAGTGATCCCTTATGGTGCTTATCTCTTGGAAATCCACTTATGACCTTCAATAACTGGACCACTGTCCAAATGACATTGCTGAGTGACTGAAATGTTCATTTTCTGTTATATAGTCTCTCTATTCAAGCCTACTGACTGTGGCTATGTCATCACAGTTTTGCTTTTGTGAACTTTTCATTCTTCTTGGATCACCATCTCTTTAAGGCTATGGTCTGAATTTTTTCTGATTTTTTAAAATTTGCCTTCTTAATGTCCAACATTATGTCTGATCTCCCAGGCTCATGTGGAGTGATTTATTTCCCTCAAGGTTCCTTTCCTTTCCCCTTCACAACTGGTTCTTTTTCAACTACTGCAGTTGAATTGAACCCAAGACAGGAATTTCTTTTGCTGCGTTCTGTGTTCTTGGGGAGATCATGTTGTCTACTGGGCAATTCAAGAAATAATCTGATGCTCTTCTTTTCATGAAATGAGATTTTCATTGCTCAACAGATGATCTGAGAATCCATTCTGCCTGTGTCTTGCCTCCGTTGAACCAGCTTTTGAGATCCAAATTAGGAAGGCCATGTCTTCCCTACAGTGTCCATTGACCAGGCAGCCTGTAGCTAATCCATATGATGACCTCCCCCTGCAGTGACCTGAGACCCAACTTCTGTCCCCAAGGCTGTGAATTTCCATGCAGACATACCTCTTCCCTGACATCCAAGTTCATTTCCTACTCCTTCTATGGTAATGGTCTTTTGAAAGGAACCCTTATCCATATTCGAATCATCTTTTTGATCCAAACATATGTCATGGGTCATCTTTGTCAGTGTTGGGACCCAGTGGAGCTGAGTGGTTCAGAGAATGGACAAATTTGAGTTTGAGTTTTGACTGCAACTTTTTGTATGACCTTGGGCAGTCACTTTTTCTGACCCTTCAGTGTCTTCATTTGGAATGTCATAGCAAGAGTAATACATGTAGTCTAGCACTCAGAATTTAACCACACTCTGCAATGGGTGTAAGGAGTCATACGGGGCCGTATGACTTAACTCTGTTCCCTATGGAGGCTTCTCCTGGTCACTGGGCACTGCTTCCATTTCTTTGTCTCCCACAGAAGCTGTTTGGCTTCTCCATTTTTGTCAAAGTTTTGCCAGCCTCTCCCTCAAATATCAGTTTCAAACTCCCGTTTTCACATGAGTAAGCATTCTGCCAAGTAAGTTCCTCCCTCCCACCCTCTGCCAAGAACATATCGTTACTCCATTCTCATCTTTGGTCCAGAAAAACAATCCTGGTTTTAGATACCATCAGCTTCTCATACCCTTCTTAATCTTCAAGAAAACCTCAGAACCAAACAAAAAAGTGAACCCATCTGTGTGCAACACCCCCACCAAACCCCAGCATTTTCCTCCTTCCTTTCCTGGCCAAACTTCTCAAATGGTCAGCAACTCCTCTTGCACACTCCTTTCACCTCCTGCAGCCTTGCTTCCAATCACACCCTCCACTGAGAACCCTCTCTGACGGGTCACAAATGGCTTCCACTTCCATTGGACCAAAGTCTAGCCTTTCACCTCCATCAAATCCCATCTCCTGGCCTGTAGCTCTGTTGATTGAGCCTCTACTCCTTTCTGATGTATTCTCCTAATTTGCAGAGATGTGAAAATCATGGATTTGGGGGTCGAATAAGTCTAGGTTAAATAACCACTGCCTCATCCCTCCAGGAAGCCTTTTCTGCCTTCTCCCTGCCCCATCCCAATGTTATAGGTGCTCATAGCCTCTAGGCCTCTCCCACACTAAGACAAGTTACCCAACCAAGTTGTTTCCTCAGTCTTTGTAAAGCAAGAAGAATGACACCCATAGTTGGGAGACTGAAATGCAATAATATTTGCCTAGCTCCCAGTGCCTGGCCCATAGTAGGTGCTTACTAATTGTTATTTCCCATCTTCTCCCACTTGCTCTATCTTCCCTCTTGCTCTGTCTCTATCTTCTTGCTCTGTCTTTTGTGGTGCTTGCCCCTCTCTCCCCTGATCTCCTGACCACCTCAGCCCTCTTGCTACACTCACTCCTGTGAAGAACTAAACCCCTCTATGAGAGTAACTCTCAGATGTCCATCACCAGCCACGATTTGGCCTCCAGTTCCTCATGACCTCCTGCCTATAGTACATTTCCATTCCGAGGTCAACTCCGCCTTTGGGTGACCCAATTTTGAGCTCATCTTATTCACCACCAAATCAGATGACCCTTCCTGTTTCTCTTTTTATGCCAGCAACTCAACCACATGAGAAGTTATTGAAGGAAATGGGGGTGTTTGTGAGCAAGACTAAAGTTGAAGTGGGGACATGGAATCAGTTCTCAAATTCGTTGTCCTGTAGAAGAGGTAATAGAAAGTTTCTACAGAAGGAGATTAAACAGAGGCCAGTTTGGGCTCAATCTAAGAGAAGCATACAAATGAAAAGAACTGTTCAATGGTAGAATACAAGTTGCCTAGGGATGCAAAGAGTCAAAGTTTGAGTGACCACAGATCAGGGAAGCCACGGAATGGCTTAGTATGTAGCTTAAGGACTACTCTCACGTAAAATTCAAGAAGCTTTCGCAGCTTGACCCTTTTGCACACTGTAGAGAACAGGACTTCTAGGAGTGTATGTTTCAACCTAAAGCATTCTTTTTTTAAATGTACAGTACATTATAGCTTTTAATAGGACTTATGAATTATCTATGCTTAAGGATGGAATTTGGGGAGACCGCCTGATGCAATTAAGGACAGTTATTTATAGCTACTGGTCTGATTATGCTTAAACCCTTCAGTGGTTTCTCATTGTTTATAAAACATCAGCTACTGTCCTTGTGGTGCCTCAGGTCTGCCCTGTCTGCCCTCTGCACACTTTGCCAGCTCGCTTTGGACCCCCACCTACCTCTTGCCCTGGGCTCTTCTCACACTGGCCCTGCTCCTTGCAGCTTTGAATATTTTGTGCCTTCACCTGGTTCACCCTTGCTCTTCCTTAGCTCACTGCTGAAATATGACTTCCTCAAGGCAATGTTTCCCAATCTCCCAAGATACATGCCTGTTGTAGATGTTCAGAGCACCCTGCACTTCTCAATCACAGTTCACTGTGGGCTTGAATTAGCTGTTCATATGAGCTCTGTTGGGGCAGGGCTCTCCTCTCCTTGGTCTCTGCCCTTCCCCCAGGACCTAGTGTAATGCTTGATGCATAGTAGGTGCTCAATAAATGTCTGTTGAGATGATGAATAAATGAAAGTGAGAGTACATAATTCACGGAGGAGGAGTTGGATATGGCCACTTTTAACTCCAGGATTCTCCATGTCAATGATTCTCACTTTAGGGACAGAAATGTAGACTTCATCATTATCCATCATTTCCTTTGCCTTCATCCTTTATACAGTCAAATCCCAAATCCTGTTGACTATTATTGGGAAATATATCTTGGATGGCTTCTGTATCCTGTTGCCTCGGATAGGAGCTTCCTGTTTCTGCTCTTGCCCTCTCCAGCCTGCCTTAAGGACCACTCCCTATTTATCTAAAGCAGTGGTTCTCAAATCCAGCTGGGCTCAGAATCACCCCCTGTGGAGCCTACTGAAAATACACCCACAAAGATTTGATCAGTGGGTCAGAGGTTTGGGAATCTGCTTTTTTTTTTTTTCCTGGCACATCCCCCAGGTGATTCTGATGTTCACACAAGGGTGATAATTACTGTTTTCATGCACTGCTTTTATCTTGACCCTTGACCTTGCTCAAATACCTGCTTCTAGTTCTGTCTTTCACACTTTTCAACTGAATGAGACTCTAGGGTCTGGGTCTGTTACCCAAAGCAACCTCTGAAAGCATGAAATGTCTCATTTTATCTTTAAAAAGCCATGCAAATTTTTTGTTAGCATCCATAATATATCTAACCCCTTCTATCACCCTCTCAAAATATCTTTGTACAAAATGGACCTTCGGAGATGCATTGTGTTTATCTTGGCTTCTCCCTCCCCTTCCCTCCCCTGCCCTCCACCATGGACTCCCAGGTGATGTGAACTCCAGCCTCCAATAAATATCCCAGCACAGAGTGCCAGAATGGAAATGGATCTGGACATGGAAGCAGAACACCCACATCCAAGCCCTGGCTCAGCCGCTCACTTCCGTGTTATGAGAACATACCTTTTTTTAACTTTTAGAAGCACTTTGACATTCACCAGTTATCTTCATTTCAGCTTAGCTTCAGGGACATTGCACATCATCCACAGAGTGCTTTGTGCAGAGGCTGGGCAACCCCTGCCCATGTGATCATACACGCTGTCACTTAGCAGTCATTCACGGTGGGGGGGTTGCTATGGGCAAGAAGGAACCTGTGTAATGGGGGACTCATCAGACAGAGAATTGACCCACTAAATTCTTTTTTCTGGAGACCCTTCCAGCCCTGAGTTTCTTTTCTGTCGCATCTCTTGACCCTGGTGATGGCCCTATGAAGTAGATAGCAGAGACATTCTCCCCATTGGACAGATGCAATAACTAAGGTTCAAACAGATGACTCTGCTCTTCCCCCTTCCTGAAAGATGCAGCTCAGCGTCATCTCCCTGCCACATCCACCTCTAGGTCTCTCCTGACTTTGGGTTACCACCACCCTCCTCAGACTGGGCTTTTGGAAGTTTTCACCACACTTGTTGAAATATCTGTTTTATGTGTGTATGAGTCCTGAGGCCTAGGAGTATCTTTTGTGCCATATTCCCAGTGTCTAACAATAGCAAATGCTTAATAGTTACAGTCAAGTGTACTTATTGCTGAAAGCCCACCATGACTCAGTAGATACTGTCATATTCCCATTTTATACATGAAGAAACTGAGGCTTTGAAAGGCCTATTTATGCAGCCCAACTCACCTCCATACCTGAGTTCTTTACCATTGCTCTCTGCTGCTTCTCCATGAATGTTGGAGGGTTATCTCCAGGTTAGATATACGAGGGACTTGCTAGTTAAGATGGGCTGACTAGGTAAAGATTTCTAAGTGGGGACAAGGAGGGTGCCGAGAAGACGAGGAAAAGGAGGTCTGAATAATTCTAGGGAACATCCTTTATCGATGAGGGGGTATAGCCGGGCAGCCTGCATGAGGTTTTATTTCTTATCCTTCACACTCTTCCTGCTGTGGCCCTTGGAGTTCTGGTATTCAGCATTCATGAAGCTCTCATTATCCCGGAATTAACAAAGGAGGCTGAGCCGGGAGGGCCCGGCCGGGGTCTATCCTCCATCTACAATTCCATTCGGGGAATCCCAGCCTTGCCCCAAGTAGGGAGTGAAGGTGCAGAGCTGGCCTGGCGTGATTCTTCTCCCTGGCACAGCTGTCAGGCTGCGGCAGGGGCAGAATGTGGCACCACATTGCAGTCATACCAGTTCTGGGGAATTGATGGACAGCACGCCTCACAGGAGGCAAGCTTGGGGGCTTTTTATAGCCCTCTAAGAACCTAGAGGAAAACTGATCTCCTGAGAGAGAGAAATGGAATACGTGCCTTTTCCAGGCGCCATTCCCTCAACCATGTAGTCCCCAGATGCCTGCAGTTCAACTTAGGGCAAGAGTCACAGCTAAATGAGTAGTGTAGTGTGGTGGAAGCAATTCACTGCCGGGAGATAAGGATCCTAACCAAGTTCCTTGAATTCCCCCCTTGGGCTTCAGTTCCTTCACCATTAAGGTTGAAGTATTAGAGTGCAGGGACCAGCAGACCTCAATCCAAGGGCAAAATCTGGCCTGCTACCTGTCTTTGTAAAGAAAGTTTTCTTGGAACACAGCCACACCTGTTCATTATATATTGTCTAGGGCTACTTTCTCACTATAAGGACAGAGTTGGGTAGTTGAAACAGAGGCCAACAAAGCCTAAAATATGTAGTATCTTGTCCTTTACCGAAAAGGTTGGCCAACCCCTGGATTAGGCTGTAGAGAGATTGGGAGTGTCTCCCTGGAGCACTGTGGTGAGAAGGATTCTGAGGGTGTGTCCAAACCAAGGAATGAAGCACTGTCCTTAAACCATACGAGAGTGTGTATTCAAGAGTAGTGTTGGGAAGACCCCAGAATGCCATTTACCAGTGTTTTTCAAACTACTTTTGGCCTCAGAAACCTTTTGCAAACAAAATCTTAAGCAACAGAGCTGCTATGGGTGAAGTGGGAATGAGAACACTGAGCACAGCCCATTCCATCCCTCTTACCACCGGGGCAGCACCTAAGGAAGCTATGCAGATCCCATAGGCTTCATCAGAAGAGCATTAGGAAACCACTTACCTAATCCTATCTCATTGATTCTACAACTGGGGAAACAGGTACAAGGAGTAGTGGCTTGCCTACAGTCACCTGACAGGTTCCCGTTTGGCTTTCCACATGTCATTGACGTGGTTACCAGGTATCAGCAGAACACGGACATATTTCTGCTGGGGAGAAAGCCTGTCCATTGGCTTTGCAGGGCCTCAGGGCTGCCATTAGTGCACGGGTGACCAGGAAGTGTCCTTGCTGACCTGGAGCCCACCTAGGTTCAGTGGTGGGACTTGGCTGGGACACATTGTTGATATCTGCCCATGTTTCACCGTGGCCTAGTCAAAGTTTTGGAGAATTTTTTTTTCTGACAGCACCGAAGCCAAAAGAAGAAAATCAAAATTAAATTAAACCATATGTATTTTTATTTCATTGATACAAAGATTTTTTTAAAAAAAAACTCAGAACATACCTTACAATTGACATCTTAATTTATTCATTTTGTTCTCTTTTTTTTCAAAAAGCTGTTGTTCAATATGAAAATATCTTCAAATCAGTGGCATCTTAGAATGGAGAAATTATGATAATTTATACTAAGGTTTTCTTTTGAAGATGGAACCAGATTTATTCATTTGTAGAATAAATATTTACTCTTCCTGCCCGTTCTTGTTGAAGGGTTTGCTGAAAGCAGATCCTGCTGATGCAAAACCAAGGGGGATTTTTTTTTAGCTCCACTTGGACCAAAAAGAAAACTGATCTCCTGGGAGTGTGCCAGGAAGCCAGAGAGCCTGATGGCCTTTCCTCACCTCCAGCCAGCAACCAGGTGCAGCTCTCAGAGGTTCCACAGAGGAAGCTCAGGGTCCCTGAATCTCCCAGTGTGGCAGAGAAAGTGAAACTTGGTCACCGATGCCTGGAACGTGAGGTCATATCTAGTCAGTGTCCATCAAAGAGAATATATAAAGGACCAGAAGTTTCAAGGGACACTTCCTAGCCAGGAGCCCTGTAGAGATGGCATTCCAGATGGAGAAAATCGTGGAAAGAAGAGCCCAGAAGCATGCTCAGAAAGCAAAGCGGGGCAGCATGCCGAGAGCCCAAAAGAGCAGATGGAGGTGACATGGGGCCTCCATGTCCTTCCAAAGAGTAGGGATGTATTCTCCCAGTCGCTTACTGGGTGTGTCCCAGTCCTTACAGGTTGTGCGGCTTGCAATCTGTAACTAATAATAGAGAAAGGAGAGTATGACGACTGAGGGCTCTGGCCGTGGTGTCAAGTTGCCTGGGGTTTGAATCCTGGCTCTACTCCTTTTGTTTAACCCCCTGAGTTTGTCTCTTCAACTGAAAATGGAGATAACAGTCTCCTATCTACGATGAGGGCTCATTGGATTCATATAGTGAAAGCACTCAGCACATAAGAAGCAGTCAACTTTTTGAAAAAAGAAAGCAAATGCCTAAAACTCAGGTTTAGAAATGACTGCCTTTCTTAATAAGTTAGAAAGTAATCCAAGTTATCTCTGACACTTTCACCCTCGCTCCTTGCCTGCCCATCCTGGGAAGGGATGGGATTACGGAGACGTTGGAGATAAGCCACAGGGAGTGCATGGGGCACGTGAGGATCTTTCATCATCTATGTCACAAAGGAAAACTGGTGTTCTGGGCCCTGGGGAGCAGTGGATGAGTTGTGAGCAGGAAGAGATTATGATGTGTTGCAATTTGGGGAAATTATTAAAGCCAGCAGTGAGCTCACATTCGAATGGAAAGGGAGAGATTGGAAAGAGGTGGCCAGTTAGGAGGTAGGGCAAATATCTCAGGTGAGCAGCAGACTGTAAGACCAACTCACCTTGATGTTTAAAAGCAGAGATACATAAAACTTTAAACTCTCCACTTTGAGTTAGGGTTAATTGTACACAATTGTTAGTCTAATGCAGAAGCAGAGAGATATTTGGGGCATTTCAAAACTCAAAACATCCATTTCCATGACTTTTGATCAACGTTTTCTTGGATCCTCAACCCCAATGATGGAGGCAGGAATCACCCCGGGGTCTCCTAGAGCCTATTCAGGGGTGGATTCCTGTGGGGCAGGTTCATGGGGGCCTGGCCCAGAACCAAATCCAGGTTTAACACTGAAAGGTTTCTGCAGGTGAGAGGGAAGGAAAAGAGGGAAGACTTCCTACCTGGGCAGATAGTCAGAGTGGCCATCTGAGCTCAGCTTCCAGCCTCCCACCTAGAATATCTAATCTAGGCCCTGGGTGATTTCCTTTCATCACTGACAACCGCAGCAACATTAGTAATCATAATGAACCCTTACAAGCATGATTCATATGTACCTGGCATGATGCATACAGTCTTCATACATTGTCTCCCTTTCTTCTTGCCACAACCCTTTGAGGTAAGCACTGTTATTATCTCTGTCTTACATTGAGAAAACAGGCTTGGTGAAATGATGAAACCTGCCTGGGTGAGGGAAGCCAAATCCCAAGTTTGATGTTGGATACATCTCACCTGGGTTCACAATGCCACAGCTACCTACTGTACTGACTCCTCCCTAGCCTTCCTGAGGAGGGACTATCCCACCTGGGCTCCATCCCTCTTGAAAGGGACACCTATCTGCCTCTCTTAGTTCAGATTGCTGGAAAGTTCTTCTATACACCAAACCTAATATTGTGGTCTTGGAACTGTCACTCCTGATCCATGTCTGCTCCCCAAGGCCCCAGCTCCCCAGGTAGCACATCTGCTCCACCCCTTCTCTTCTCCCACTCCCAAAGAGCCCTTCTGTTCTTGGAGACATTTGTCAGAGGCAGGATTCTTGGGGCCTCCCTAGTCTGTGGTCCTTTCTATGAATTCCAGGTTGTCACTTAGCCCCTCCCCAGTGCACCTGCTGTGTACCCATTACTGTGCTGAACACTGGGCAGATACTAAGTCAGGCATCATCTCAGTCCTCATGGATTCACAGTGGACATCGAACAAGTCATCTACTCTGGCGCATAGAACAGGGGAATCTCACCTGTCCAGGAAGGCTGGATCAGCCTCCCGGAGGAAGTGGCATCTAAACCAACTCTCAGAGGATAAGCAAGCACTTTCTGGGGTGTGGGGGAGATTTTAGATAATAATCATATCATCAGCTTGGCATGCATCAGGGACTTCTCTAAGCACTTTATGTAACACCTCACTGGATCCTCACAACAGCCCTGTGAGGAATAAGTATTATTATTATCCAAATTTTGCAGATGTGGAAACAGACACAGAGAAGTCACTTGCCCAATGTCACACAGCTACCAGGAGGTAGCAGTTGGAGAACAGATTATGCAGAGGAAATGCCGCAAACAAACAGCACCAGGGTAGGGTCTCAGATATTGCAAATAGGTCAGAAATAGTAAAAAATAATTTTTAAACTCTATTGAATAGAACAAAGCCAACCACATACTCCTATTAGTGTAGCCTGTGGCATCTGCTGATGATTTTCTGATTCCTTGATCACACTGAGTTTTCTGCAAGCCGATTGTCCACCTAATGCTTTGTTTTTCTGAATGAGGTGCTATTCAGTCTCTTCTGAATTCTAAATGAGTTCCGTTGTTTGATTGGAAGTGGGAGGTAAGAGGATGGCACATTTATATTAATCACAATTTACTGATTTATAAAATTTCAGTATACAGGGTGCTCCTGCTTCTCAACAGCATCATCAGCCTTGAGTCTCACAACAGGCCTGTGGAGGTAGGGAGGGCAGTTATGATCACCCCACTTTGATGTTGAGGAAATTGAGGTCAGAGACACACAGCGACTTGCCCAAGGTCACACAACCAGTAAGTGTGGAGCTGGGGCTTGAGCCCTGAGATTCTGGCTCCAATGCCTGTGTTTTCTCCAGAGCACCAAAACACAGCGCACTGTGGGAGGTGGAAAGTTTCCAACCCTGGCTCCTATGGCCTCTGGCAAGTTTAACCTTGCTAGGCCTCAGTTTCCTGTCAGTAAAACTGGGATAAGAGTTCCCACCATATAGGGTTGCTGCAAAGAGCAAATGAGGTAAAGGCACTGAGTGTTAGGCACAGAGAATATTCCTACAATGGAATAGCATGTAACAGTCAAAATGAATGAACACGATGACAAGCAGCAATATGGATAAATCTTAGCAGCATAATATTAAAGAAAAAGTCACAAAAGAGTACCTATAGCACTGTATATTCTTTTAATAAATTTTTAAACTAAAAATTTAAAATAATATTTTCAGGAGTACATCTGGTTGTACTAAAACTATATAGAGGGGAAAGCAAGGACATGGTGAACACAGCATTCAGGATGATAGTGAGATTGGGCAGGGTAGGCAGGAGGGCGGGATCATAAAGTTAGATGTAAGATACTGTCAAGATCCTGGCTTTTGCTTTGAATGGTAAGTTTGTGTGTGCTTACTCCATTATCAAAAATAACTACATAAATAAATAACTAAATAAAAATATGGCATGCATGGGCCTATAATGAGAGTATCTCATGAAGCAAGGATTAGGATTTTTGTCCACCTGAGGTTCTATTTTTATTTATTTTTATTTATTAATTTATTTGAGATGGAATCTCACACTGTCGCCCAGGCTGGAGTGCAGGGGTGCAATCTTGGCTCATGCAGCCTCCACCTCCTGGGTTCAAGCGATTCTCCTGCCTCAGCCTCCTGAGTAGCTGGGACTACAGACATGAGGGTTTTTTGTTTTTTTGGTGTTTTTTTTTTTTTTTTGTATTTTTAGTACATGTTAGCCAGGCTGGTCTCAAACACCTGACCTCAAGTGATCCGCCCACCTCAGCCTCCCAAAGTGCTGGGATTACAGGCGTGAGCCACCTCACCCGGCCATGAGGTCCTATTTTTTAAAAGAAGTAAAAGTGTAAGGCACAGTACCCATCATATAGGAAGTGTTCAATACATCTTGGCTGTTATTATTAGATAGCTTTATTATTATTGATTATATCATCCACATACCCCTAGTCAGAGGCTTTGCTGTCAGCCCGGGGAGGTTGATGAGATGGGTCCCCAAACTCAGACATCTCAAAAGCAGAAATCCCCAGCCTCACCTAGGCCTCAGGCCAGACATCCGACCTGGTGAATGAACATCAGTTGGGGAATGGTCAGAGGAGCTCACTGCTGGTTCCAGCAAGCTTTGCAGGTAGGAGACACCTATGAAAAGAAGGCCAGAAGGTACGCTAGTGCTGCGATTGAAAGCTTAGGCTCTGGAATGAGGTCTAGGTTTGAATCTTAACCTGCCAACTGTGTGCCTTTAGACAAATGACAGTGCCTCTCTGAGCCTCACTTGGCTCATGTGTAAACGCAGGCAAAAACAGAACCTACCTCACAGGGTCATTATGAGGAGTAAGTGAGGTAATCCATGCAAAATGCTTAGCACAACATCTGGAACATCACTTTAGCACTTGAAAATACTACCTGCTTTTACCATCAGGCATCCCAGATTACTCCCTGGGACTACTCTGCTTCCCCACGCCATTGGTGAAGGAGGCGGTGCAGGACGCTGGATGCGGAAACAGCTGCCATCTTGTGTGAGGAGTGCGCGTGTGTGTCACAGTTTTCCACTTCCTCCTGGACCCATTTCCTTTGTGAGCTCAACAGGGAGGAATCCGCAGACAAAGGAACAATTCTGGGAGAGCCCAGTCCCACAGCCAAAAGCTGTTTCCTCAGAAGCGGGTGGCCTTCCTCTACCCCCTCCTGTGTGGTCTGGAAATGCCTTGGGGAGAAGAAGTTGTGGCTTCCCTGGAGGCCCAGAGCTGAGAAACAAAATGCCCCAAGTGACAGCCCTCCTGGTGGAGGACAAGAACCTGGGCAGAGCTGATGCGAGTAAGGCCATTGAGGATGTGGGGCTTCCCTGAGCCTGTCACCCTAGCCTGACTCCTGGGAAGAGTGGCTCCCAGAAACTCTCCATGACCACCCTGTCTTCCTGAAATAACAGTGCATCAAAGAATGGTACTCTACCATCTCTAACAATAATCCCTACGATTTACCAGCCTTTTCCCAGCCATTCCTCATTTCCCCCTCACACAAACCTGTGCATGGGCTTTCTAAGCCCCTTCTTACAGAAGAGGAAGATGATTCTGAGGGGGTTAAATAACTCATCCGAAATTACGTACGGGCAAATGGGAGGAGTTAGAGCCCAAACCAAGTCCTCCAAGTCCCAAATTCTTCCCACTATTTTTTGCCTTCTCCCTTCTTATGAATGCTTTTGTGTTTCTATCCTGTGGAGTCAAATTTGTACTATTCTCTTAAGCATAAAAGGATATTCAGTTTCCTGCAATCGCTGTAATTAACACACACAAAAGTCTTCCAAGGTGACCTCACTGCCTCTGCCGTCCCTCACACAGGGGCTATATTTAACTCTTGGAAAGTACTAAGACGAAGGCATTGGCTTTGCAGCTGGGTTTTTTTTTTTCTGCGCCTTTGTCATTCTTTTCCAGCCCGCATGTACAGTGGGCTTCCCTATCCAAGCTGGGACAACAGGAAGTGTTTGTCTTAGTGATAAACAATGCGAGTCCAACCAGTGCCGTCTCCTTCTACATTCTGCCCACTGTTTGGCCTTCACTTGGACTCAGAGAAGTGCTTGTAAATTCAGAGGAAGGAAGGGAGATGTCCTGATAGCCCCAGCTGGGTAGATTTGCAACAACTTGGAAGAGTCTGTGGGCAGGGGAAGGAGAGATTTCTCAACCCAGGAAGTGAAGGGCAGTTCTGCCAGCCTCACCTGAGGAGCTGGTGACCGCTCTGCGGAGTAAACCCAGAGCTGGACACAGACAGAAAAAGCATCCTGAAGGAAAACTGGGGGAGGCATAACAACTAGATCCTCCAGTATTCTCATTCTAGCATCCTCAGTTTCCACATGTGTAAGTGGGGGTAATCCACCTTATTGTAAGACTTAATTTATGGGCCGGGTGCGGTGGCTCACGCCTGTAATCCCAGCACTTTGGGAGGCCGAGGCGGGTGGATGACAAGGTCAGGAGATCGAGACCATCCTGGCTAACATGGTGAAACACCTTCTCTACTAAAAATACAAAAAATTAGCCGGGCGTGGTAGCGCACGCCTGTAGTCCAAGCTACTCGGGAGGCTGAGGCAGGAGAATTGCTTGAACCCGGGAGGCAGAGGTTGCAGTGAGCTGAAATGGTGCCACTGCACTCCAGCCTGGGCAACAGAGCCTCTGTCCCCCAAAAATAAGACTTAATTTATATAAATAATACATGTAAATCACTTAAAGCAGAATACGTCTTATAGTAGTAATGGAAGAGTAATGGAGATAGCTAACATTTACTGAGAGCTTACTATGTGCCAGACTCTGTTCGAGGCACATTCACATGTGTCGGGGCCTGTTCCCGCTAGTGAGGTAGATATGCTCACGTTACTGATGGTGTACATGAGGCACAGGTAGTTACGGGAGTGCCCCAGAGGTACACAGTTTGGAAATTGGGGAACAGGAATTAAACTCAGGTGGTTTAGGTTGCTCAATATCTGTTATTATTTCTGAATGTATATGTTAGAATTAAAATCCACCAACTACAAAATGTGCATCACTAAATCAATTGGCAGCCGTATTCATGTGAGGGATATAAGTTGAACAAAATAGAGCATTTGGGAGCCTAGCCAAGTGAAAAATTGGTCTTTTGCTTCCTTTTACATGCTGAGGGTACTTTTTGTTGCCTGATTTTTTTTTTCTTTTTTTCAAGCATCTCTTTACTATACTGAGCCACTATAAGGCCAGACATGGTTTTAAAATCACATTAACTAGCTGTTAGACTTTATCAACTCTTAAAAGAAAATAAAGTTTGCTCCAAGAATTTATTGTTCCATGTATACTTAAACATTTGCCCTATGTTTGGCGCTAGCCAAAGCTGGCAATGTTCGTGCACTCAAGGAACTCAGGCTTAAGTTGGGGAAAGTGACCATCATCAAAAAATACATAAGTAAATACAAAATCTTGCCATGTGAAGTGCCACAGGGAGAGATACTTGATGCTACCATGGCATAAAATGGGGGGAGTAGGTGCAGTGAAGAGAACAAGGAAGGTATCCCTGAGGAAGTCAGGATTGAGTAGAGAGCTAAAGAGGATGTTACTGGCTGGCAGCGGAAGGGAGTTCTGATAGGCAAAAAGAACAGCTCTTCAAAGTCCCTGAGTTGAGAGGTGAGGAACAGAGCGTGAGGACAGCCTGGAAGGAGGTGTCTCTGGAAAAGCCTACAGGGTGCCTCACGCCTGTAATCCCAACACTTTGGGAGGCTGAGGTGGGCAGATCATAAGGTCAACAGACCGACACCATCCTGGCCAACATGGTGAAACCCCATCTCTACTAAAAATACAAAACTTAGTTGGGCATGGTGGCGCACACCTGTAGTCCCAGCTACTCGGAGGCTGAGGCAGGAGAATTACTTGAACCCAGGAGGCGGAGGTTGCAGTGAGCCGAGATCGCACCACTGCACTCCAGCCGGACAACAGAGCGTGACTCCGTCTCAAAAAAAAAAAAAAAAAAAAAAAAAAGAAAGAAAGAAGAGAAAAGCCTGCAGGGTTTGAAAGTCACAGAAAAGGCTGCTCTTCCTTTCCTTCACCCTACCCAAGCACTGAGCTCACATCTGATCAGCATACTGCTTTTCTTTCCAGGGCGACTTGCCTCCCCACTGGTACTGTGGGTCATACCCCACTGATATGTTAATACAGTATGCAGAAAGTTAACTCTAAAATCATGATCAGAAATGTTCAAAGTAAGGCACTGGTTCTTTCTCCAGAACAGGAGCCTTTATGAGATGGAAATTGGGTCATTTTCCTTTGCATAAGAAAGGAAATTTGAGTAAATCAAAAGAAAAATTGTAGGCCCTTCATAAAACCACAGTCTCACAGTGGTCTTTTTCCATTTTTAAATGGTGCTAGTTGCATTTACTCTGACTTTGAAAACAAAGAAGGATAAGTTATCTTTGTGATCTCTGTAAAGAGGCTGGTCAAATAGTGAGGTGGGGAAAAGAGAAGTTGTATATTTTCCTATGGCTTTGCATTTAATGAATTTGTAATTTGCAAGCTGTTTCCAAGCATTTTTGTACGCTCCAGAGTCTGAAAGGTACACAGGAATGAGATCATGAGTCCAAGTGCCCAGCACTGGGCCTAGTTTGATAGGAGCCAATACAGGGTTTATTATTCTTGTGACTTGCTGATATTTAATTACTCACTTGTCTTTTGTTATGAACTCATTATCTTTGCGATCTCTAAATAAATCTGACCTTCTGAGCGCTAGTGTCCTTTCTGGTTGTGATAAATACCTCTTGCTTTTCACTCAGGCTGCATCAGGGATGTGAACCAGGTAGCAAGTGGTAGTACTTTTTATTGGTAGCTTAATTTCTGCTATCTAACATCTTATTTTGATTTCAGTCATGTGGGGAGGAGTGAGGAGAAGATAGAAAAGTGATCTTACTCTTAGTTGGGCACTCACCAGGAACAATAAGCATTTAACAGCCTAATCTTAGATATATTTTAAATAGGTTTCTAAATTTATTTGAAAAACTTTTTTGCAACCCAGAGAATAATTATCCTTCATCTTGGGTTTCTGAGCCTCTGTCTCACTTAAAAGATTGAAAACTTATAAACGATGATTAGTCCATTTCTTCCTGTTGTATCTTTTTCTCATCATTGGAATTCACTGTACCTCCCTAAGACTCAACTAAACCAAGCAAGATAGATGGAATTTATTCGTGGTTCTAAATAAACTGGAGACATAGAGACAGTTCTGTCCTCATGCCCGAGTCTGCCAAGAGCAAAGACAGGAGATGGGGGCAGCTTAGGAATTGGGAACAAAGTTTTTCCTGACCGGGGACAGCAAGGACCCAGGATTCCTGGGTTGCGTTACTACCCCTCTGTCTAGAAGATATTGTCTCCTCACCTTGCTTGGAGGGGGTCCTTGGAATGTGAGCACTCTGAGGGAAGGGGCTTCGCCAGCTCCTTGTGCCACAGCCATCCCAAGCTCAGTGTCAGGGCCAGAGCCATGAATAGTTCACAGGATGAGGCTTGCAGAGTCCCACCATGCCCTCTTGTCCCTGTACCATCCTCCTTTGTGCCTACCACTTCCCCTGAAACTCCATGGGGCGATCACAGATGAGTGAAGAGAGCAGCCATCGAGTGCCTGAGCACCATACACATCAGTTCATTTCATCTTCACCGTGACCTTGTGAAGCAGCTACTGTGATCACCCCCACTGTTTGCAGATGAAGAATCAGAAGCTTAGGAAAGTTTAGAAATTTCCCCCAGAGGCCCACAGCTAGAAAATGACAGAGCTGGGAGGGGAGCCCAAATTCTCCAAGCCTGTGCTTTTAGCCACTCTTCCATGACTTATCTTAAGCATCAAGCTTTGTGTTAGTATTGTGTGAACTTAACACAAAATACTTTTTCCCCCAACTGGTTGTGTGACCATAACTAAGTTAAATAACCTCTTGGACACTCACTTGCTACATGTTTAATATAAGAGGATTAGACTAGGCCATCAAAATATTGTATTCATTGAGTAAATGTTCATTGGACATCTACTGTGTACTGATTGAAACACAGACCCTGTCCTCCTGGAGCCTATTAGAACTATAGCAAATCTGTTCCTAATGCTATCTGATCAATACTGTGGAGTCTCCATAGTTGTGGAAAGTATTAGAAAATAACAACAATGACAAAACAACATGCAATATGGCTATCATTTAGTGAATGTTTGTTCGAAGCACGGTGCCATGCAAAGTGCTTCACAAGCATAACCTTACCTAGTTTTCCAGCCCTATGCGGTTGGGATCCTATTATTCTCATTTTGCCTGTCATAAAACCAGGGCTCAAAATTTCTAATGTGCCCATCATTGCACAGCTCAGAAGTGGCAGTGCAAGAATCCCAATATACATGGGTCCGACCCCAGAGCCCTAGCCACTGCACTATTCTAAGCAAGACTCCATGCTCCAGCTATTTGTAATCTTCAGGGGCTCCTATTCCCACCTTGATTCTCAGTTATTTCAGAAGAGGATAACTAATGATATTTTTTTAAGGAATAGGAGAGGTTTTCCCACATTCCTTATGTCCTCTGTAGCATATTTTTTCTGGTGGAGTATTTTGCAGAGGTTGAACCTTGGACTGCCCCCATCAGAATCACTTGGAGTACTTGTAAAAATGCAAGTTCCTGGATCCAGGACAGGCCTAGCAAATTAGACTTTCTGGATAGGAGGTCTGGGAATGTGCATTTCCAACAATCCCGCTGGAGGAGTCTTTTCTTACTAAAAATCGAAGTTACTGTCCTGTTGGTATCACTTTTCATATGCCTTATACCCATACGACCTCTCCAATTTAAATTCTATAATGTTTTAAATCTCTTTGGTTTGAATTCTCTAAAATTAAAGATGAAGCTGTCATCAGACTTCTGTATTCACTGTGATTGAAAGCTAGCTTCTTAGGGTGAGCTCTGTATTGTTCTGGAAGAGCCCAGCACTGGCTGAAAGGTTTCTTACATCCGTGATGTATATCGGGTTTTCTCTGGGATGAGATCCCTGCTGTTAATTCAGGTATTTGCTTTCAGTGGTCTATTTTTTTTCTATGAGATCTTCACAGCTGAAGTTCTGAAGTTCAAACAGGCCCAGTGGGGAGAGGGCCTTCACGCAGGAATTTCAGCCTCACGGTGAGGGTTTCCACCCACAGGTAAAGGTATCCCCAGATCAGGAGCCCCATGAAGTCATGGCCCAGAGCACTCCACTGGAGGGCTGTGAGAGGAAGCCCAGTATTCACATCTGCCCACCTCCCCCCAGCCCCAGCCTGGCCTCCTAGCCTCTGCTGCACTGAGCTGGGCTGAAGTCTTCTGATGGAGCATTCAGATGTGGGGTCAGACAGGCCAGGGTTCAAAGCCTGACTTTACTGCTTACTGGCTGAGTAACTTCACTTCTCTGAGCCTCCATTTCCTCCTTTGTAGGGCGCTGGAGGATTAGATGAGATAATGTGCATTAACTGCCCAGCACAGGGTAACTGCTCAGCTCCAGCGAAAGACTTGCAGGTTCAGTGCAAGCTGTGCTTTGCCCCATGGTTCCCCTCCCTCTGCCCCTGCTGCCTGCCAGATCCGTTCAGGTCGCAGAAACCCCACCAGGACTGGCAGCCCCTCATTCTCCATCTGCTTCTCTCAGATGCATTCAGTCCCTTTCTTCTCCTTTGGTCTGTTTGAACTTTGGTGATCAAATCTCAGTTAAAGGAAGAGCACTTAGATGTCAAGGTCCCATGTTAAGAATCCCATCAAAGACCAGGAAGGAAACAAAAAAGGTATTACAAAGCTTGGGTGCGAGAGCTCAGGTTTTTAAATGCAGAGCGCTCATGCAGAACCAAACTGTTCTTACTTTAGAAACGACTATAGCAAACCTTAAATTAGAAGCAGTAGAGCATTTAGAAGCCAGAAAGCTGCCACCCATAGGCATTTACTGATAGCAACAAGAAATTGCTGGAACCTCACAGCAAAAAGAAAGAAAGACAGAAGGAAAGAAAGAAACAAAAGAAGGGAGAGAGGGAAAAATAAAACGAAAAAAGAAAAAGAGGGAGGGAGAATGGAGAGAAAGAGGAAGGGAGGGAAGTGGGGAAGGAGGGAAGGAAGGAAGGGAGGGAGGAACAGATTTAAAAATCCCAAAAAGTTTTGCAATCCTTAGTCGTTCATTGGCGGGGGCAGCAGTTTTTAAAGTTTTAAAGTGTAGCTAGGGATGAGGGAGTTGCCTGGGGGCAGTCCCCAAGATGTTTTCAGGGGGTTTGTAAGGTCCAGACAACTTCTGTGTAGTACTAAGACATTATATACCTTTTCACTCCCATTCTCTACAAGCTTACAGTGGAGTTTTCCAGGCACAACCTGTGGTGAAGGGGTAACTTTGAAGGCTAGTGGGATAAGTATCTTTGTGTTCTTGTGTTTTAAAGATTTTTCAGTTTTAATGTTAATGCAATAAATATTGATAGATACAACCCACATAAAACAAAAGCAATTTGGAGTCCTCAACAATTTTTTTTAAGAACGGGTTTTGCTCTGTTACCCAGGCTGAAATGCAGTGGCACAGTCACGACTCACTGCAACCTCCTCCTTCCAGGATCAAGCAATCCTCCCACCCCAGTCTCCTGAGTAGCTGGGACTACAGGCACATGCCACCACTCCCAGCTAATTTTTTGTATACTTTTGTAGATGGGATTTCGCCATGTTGCCCAGTCTGATCTCAAATTCCTGAGCTCAAGTGATTCGCCCACCTCAGCCTCCCAAAATGTTGAGATTACAGGCGTGAGCCAACACGCCTGGCCCAATAATTTTTAAAAGTATAAAAAGACCCTGATACCAAAAAGTTTCAGAATAACCGGTATAGGGATAAACAGCCCAGTGCACCCCTGAGCCATAACATCCTGTGGGAGAGCAGAGAGGTATCATGTGCTTTTGAATGTGAGTCGTGGCTGCAGGGCCACAGGAGGGCTCCCAGGCCACCTGTGGCTGCCTTCTTGCATCTGCCGTTGCCTCCCTTGTGAGTAATTACCTATGAGGGAATACGCATGTTTGTGTGTATGAGACAGAGAGAGAATGCGCGTTGGGACAGTTGGAACAATCTCTTATTCATTTTTTCTAAGCCCTGCCCAGGGGCCAGGCTGACACATAGTTAGTGCTCAGTAAATGTTTTGGAATTGAGTTAACCAACATTTAGTGTATGTATTAGTCTGTTTTCATGCTGCTAATAAAGACTAATAAATAAATACCTGAGACTGGGTAATTTATAAAGGAAAGAGGCTTAATTGACTCACAATTCATCATGGCTGGGGAGGCCTCAGGAAACTTACAATCATGTCAGAAGGGGAAGCAAACACATCCTTCACATGGTGGCAACAAGGAGAGATGCCAAGAAAAAAGGGGAAAAGCCCCTTATAAAACCATCAGGTCTCACTATCACGAGAACAGCAGCACAGGGGTAACCACCTCCATGATTCAGTTACCTCCCACTGGGTCTCTCCCATGATACGTGGGGATTCTGGGAGCAACAATTCAAGGTGAGATTTGGGTGGGGACACAGCCAAGCCATATCAGTGTGTCTGTTGAGGGCGCTAGAGAGGTTTGTTATTCCATTTGAAAAGATTTCCTTGAAAACAGCTAAAGTTTGGCTAAAATGATTTTAAATAATTACCTGCTTTAAAGAGGGAAACATATTCATCCAGAACCTGTGTTTATTTGATATGGCAGGGCCCAGGCCCTGGAGGCAGCAGGACCTCCAGGCGCCTTTCGCCTGGGCTCTGGAGGCAAGCAGTGACCCCCCAGAGCTGTGCCACTCTGATCCCTAGGGATCACACAGACTTAGAATCAGTCTGGCTCTACCTCTCAAGCTGTGCCACTATCCCATAGCTGCCACAGCCTCAGCGTCATCTTCTGAAAAAAAAGGCATCCCAATAGGACTGCTCACAGATGTGCCCTGGGGATTGGATGGAAACACGCACAGAAAGCCCCTCCCTCAGTGTCTAGCAGCTGAGAGTGCACATGAGATAGGAGCTGTCCACATCAACCTTCAGCTCATTGTCAACGAGTTTGGGGTGATGATGGATTTTGCCACAGAGAGACTGCAGCATCATGTTTTCCTAACAAGGGTCACTATCTATACATAAGATTTATATTTAAAAGAAGGTCCTAGTGTGGTCATCTGTTCATTCCTGTCTTGTCAGACACATGAAGAGCACCCACACTGAGCAGGCCCCAGACCAGATGATAAGTAAGCAGAGAGTCACAGTCCAGTCCACGCCTGCTAGAGCCTCACAGCCTGCCAAGGGAGGCAGACACTCAGGGATCAGCACAGATCAGTGTAGTAAATTCTTCAGTGACAGCAAGAATAGCTGACTTGTGGTGAGCATTCACTCTGTGCTGGGCAAGGCCCTTTGCATGTCTGGTGTCATTAATTCTCACAGCCACCCTATGAGGCAGGTGCTGTTATTATCCTCCGCCTTTACAGGAGGAAACTGAGGAACCCATAGGGTAAGTGATTGGCTAGTGAATGATAGGGCCTGAATTTGAACCCAGGTGATCTGGCTCCAGGGCCTGTTCTCTTCTGCAAGGTGCTGTATCTCCTCCTACACCTCCAGGCCCTGCAGCTCCGGGTCAGTGTCTCCTGTTTCCTCAGGAGGGCCCAGGGTGGGGAACAGCACATGGAGTTAGGAGTCATGGCTGGAGCTGAAGTCCTGGCTTTTCTTCTTGCCTCTGTGTAACTTCAAGCAAGTTATTTATCTTCTCTGAGCCTTAGTGTCTTCATCTAAAAGGTAGGGGTGATCATGGGACCTACTTCAAAACTTGCTGGGAGGAACAAAGAAAATACTGTGAGTCAATATATCTCTGTGGTTAAAAGAAGAGAATGAAGAAAGCAGCTTCACTCTAGGCTCTGCTAGCTGTGTGATCCTGGAGAAGGTATTTAACCTCCTGGAGCTTTAGTTTCATCCTCCATGTAATGAAGATAATAAAATACTTGATATACGATTTAAATGAGACAATAAAATGTAAAAGGGCTGAATATAACTGATAATGATTGTTCAGTACAGGTTAGCTTCTGTTATCATGCCTAAATGCTTAGTGGGTTGCAAAGCAGGGCAATACTACTGTGATGAAGCTGGTCTTTGGCTCTAAGGCAAACCAAGTCCCAAGTTACTTTTCAGGACAGGGAGACATCAGTGACATCATGGTCTTGGCACACTGAAGTCCTTAAAGGACTCTGTGCTCTAGGATCTTGCAACTCAGATGGTCCAGGACCACCAGCATCAGCTGCAGCTTGGTGCGGATCAGAAATGCAGAATCTCGGATCCCACCGCACACCTCCTGAATCAGAATTTGCATTTTGACAAGATCCCCAGGTAATTCTTACACACACTCAAGTTTGAGAAGCATTGGTGTCACGTGGAAAGAAAGAATGGCACTGATAACATGGAGTGAGGAGGGTTAATGTTTAGTTTGGCTGTGGCCAAGGCACCGGAAACAGAAGGTTCCAGAGATTGAAGCACATGAACTGATGGGACAGGAAGGCTCTCTTTCCTGCCTGTGTCCTGGATGGCCAGGGGCTCCAGCCTGAGACCTGTGCTGAGCTTCGAGCTGCAGTGAGAAAGGACCCTGGTCAAGCAAAGCAGAGGGCAATCTGGGACAGAGGGAGGCCTGAGAACCTCTGCTCGGGGCTGCCTGAGCTCAGGGTTGCCAGATGAGCCCAGGGAGGTCCAGTCCTTGGGCCAAGGCCATCTGAGGTAGAGTGGGGAGACCCGGAGAAACACCACAGGACTAACTGAGCAGGACCCTCTCACGGGAGCTGCGTGGCAGGTCTGGGACAGCTGAGAGCCCCCAGGTCCGCTTGCACACCCGGACCTGCCCTCTGACCCCTTCCGCCCAACTCTAGGTGGTGGGGGGCCGAACTCCCGGGCACAGAGCTGTGACTGTGCAGCTGTGACTGTGCCCGTCTGCCTTCCTCCGCAGTGCTGGAGCAGCTGCTCCCAGAGCTCACCGGGCTGCTCAGCCTCCTGGACCACGAGTACCTCAGCGATACCACCCTGGAAAAGAAGATGGCCGTGGCCTCCATCCTGCAGAGCCTGCAGCCCCTTCCAGGTTAGCCGCCAGCAGCCTGCCTGGAGGAGCTCCACTTATGTAGGACAACAAAACCTCCCTTCACTGACTCAAGAACATGCAGGAACCCTCCGCCCCACCCCCACCCCCAGGGGCTGCCGCAGGAGGAAGGCTAAGCCCTGGACACAGCGTCCAATGCATTCCATGCGAGCTCTTGCCCAATGTCCTTGTCCACTGGGGCCCCACCTCCCCACCGACAGCCCTGGCTGTGCTCTTTGTACTCCTTCACCCCTGCCCTCCACACACACACAGAACACACACACTCACATAGAACACACACACCCACATACCCCCCACACTGACCTACAACACACACAGCCCCTCACACACCCACCACACCTGACACATGACATGCACACACCCTAGCATACGCCTGACAGCCCCAGTAATCTGTTTCCATACTGGGCTTCTGGACATCCTTTTACTTGGAGAAAGAGATCCTCAATAACAGTGTAAAAACTAAAACAAAGTTTGAAAACCAGTGAAATAATTTAGGACTTGAATGCGCTTTGCAAAGTGAGCACTGTGTCCCATGTGGGCTAGAAGTATGAGTGGGACGGGGGAGACCTGGTCCCTCCTCCTTCACAGCTGGCATGTCCCCCTTCTTCCTCACAGCAAAGGAGGTCTCCTACCTGTATGTGAACACAGCAGACCTCCACTCGGGGCCCAGCTTCGTGGAATCCCTCTTTGAAGAATTTGGTAAGTGACCCTCTCCCAACCTCAGCTACGGAGCCATCCCTCTTTCCCTGTGTATGCAGAAGGGTCCCCCGACTGGGCTGGGCTTGGCTCTAACATCGCATCATTAAGTCGCTTTGGGCCAGTCCTTGGCCCCTCTGGGTTCTGCCAGCTCTGAAAGTCTAATCAAAGTCTGCATAGGAATAGGAATTCAGCTCAGAGACTTGAGGAATGGTAGGGATGACCATGCAGTCCAAAGAAGGCATGGCACATTAGGGTGTTTCCTCACCGGCCACTCCCAGGTGATTGCCACTTGAGACACTGGGCTGAGCGATGCAGTGGCTCAGCAGAAATGATAGCTTGCATGGCTGCCACGGGCATGGGAGCAGCTGAGCTGGCTGCATGCAGAGTACCTGCCGTCCTAGCCCTATCCTGAGGGAAGACAGCTCTGTTCAACACAGAAAGAAAGCTACAGGCCTTGGTGAGAGAGTTTTGGGGACTCATAGACTTAGGGAGCACACTGTGCCTTTATAGCATAACCCTCAAAGATTTCCAAAGTACCAAAACAAGTATGATTTTATTTGATCCTCTCTACAATCCTGGAAAACAGACAAGGCAGGCATCATTGCCACCACGTACAGATGAGTTTCAGAGTCAAAAGTCATTTGTTTAGGGTTACTAACGGAGGGGTGGTGGAGCCCGACCTCACACTCAGGCCTCCTGACCCCAAATCCAGCCCTCTTCCCCTGGTCTGTGCTGCTCATCCTTGGCTTTCTTTGCCCAATGGCCTGTCCCTCTGTAGACTGTGACCTGAGTGACCTTCGGGACATGCCAGAGGATGATGGGGAGCCCAGCAAAGGAGCCAGCCCTGAGCTAGCCAAGAGCCCACGCCTGAGAAACGTGAGTCATGGCCTGGGTTCCCACACCTCAGGGCCTCTGTCCCTCTGGAGGAGGCAAGGGAAGCTCTCCCCTTCCCACTGGGTGCTCTCCTGGCGGTTCTGGACCCTGTTGTCTCTCTCGGGTTGTGGGTGAGGGCACAGGCAGCACCATGTGAACATTTCAATGGCCCGTGATGTGCTCGCTGTGTGTTTTTTTTCTTATTTATTTTTATTTTTATTCTTTATTTTGCCACCTTCCTGACTGGGAAGTCACAGTGTTTGTGCTGAGCAGGGAGAATGTGGTGAACTTACCTGTGCCCTCAGGCCCGAAGGACGTCACCAGCCCAACTTCCGATTGCATAACATAAGCCAGGCTATGGAAAAAGCTCTGGACCAGGAGTTGGGTGACCTCTGCCCACCCCCATGACTCTGCTGTGTAGCCTTAGGCGAGTCGCTTCTCTTCTCTGAGCCTGAGTTTGTCACCTACAGAATGAAAGACTGGACCAGATATAGGATGCGCAACCTTGGGGCCATGGAATTAGAGCAAGGGGCTCATAATCACAACAAGCTTTGTCTGTCAACTGCATAATTCATTGTCATCATCACCAGCAACAGTACCAGTCACTAGCAACTTACTATGTCCTTTACATGCTGACAGCAACTGAATGAGGCTGGCACAATTGTTATCCCCATTTTACAGATGAGGAAACTGAGGCTCAGAGAGAATGAGTGATATGACCCATGTCCCACAACTCACACGTGGCAGAACTTAGCTGTAAAGCCACGGTTCCCCTGGCCCAGTGGCTCAGCACTCAGCTGCGGGTGGTCCTGCCTCACTAAAGAACAGGCCTCACGCTTCCTTGTCCTACTGCACCTCGTGTGTGTGTAGACGTGGTTACAGAGTAGTGCAGAACTCACAGTAGCTTCTGGTAATTCTGCATGTGCTCAGTAAAAAGTATGACTACTACTGTTTGGCAGTCCACAAAACTTGCAGACATTCCAGGGGAACCCTGATGATTAAAAAAAATTGGGGTAAGAATCACTGGATAAATATGCCCTCGAGTTTTACCAGCTCTGTGGCTCTATAAAAGGTATGGCTTCACATTCACACTGCCTCCTGCCTTCTGCGAGCTCCTGCCTCCCTCTCCCTCAGCCTCTCTCTCCCTACCCTGCTCCGCTCCCCTAGCCCTCTTTTTTGTCCCCTTGCAGGCGGCCGACCTGCCTCCACCGCTCCCCAACAAGCCTCCCCCTGAGGACTACTATGAAGAGGCCCTTCCTCTGGGACCCGGCAAGTCGCCTGAGTACATCAGCTCCCACAGTAAGTTCTGGTCCTCTTGGTGGGGCTGGGGACTTCCTGTCCCTGAGAAGCCAAATTTAAGTTCCTCTGTGTCCTGTGGGAGCTGGAACTGCAAGCCTGTCACCCTCCCAACCATGTCACCATTGGCTTAGGAGAAGCTACCCTGGGCACCTGGCCTCTTCGGTGACAGCCTGGGTGGACCAATATGTGGGGCCCCAGGGGCTGGGGGCTTAGGTTCTAGTCCCAGATCTGTGTGGCCTTGGAAAATCCCCTTGCCCTCTGGATCTCTGTGCTTCCACCCTTAAAACAAGAAAGAGGAAGCAGACGCACCATGTCAGTGTGCTAGGAGGCAGCTACACAGATGACCACCACTATACTGTTCCCCCTACTAAAACTGCTAACCCAAGTGCTCCTCTTGAGTGGGTGGTGAAATTGTTTCAGTAGAATGACCTCCTATAGGTGGGTTAGGTTATCGAGTCAATGCGTAAAATAAAAAGCACGTGGTCTAAACCAGAGGCTGTCAGAGTAGAGTGGGGGTACCCAGGGGTTCATAACATGATGTAGGCAGAAATATCAGAAGCTTTACTTCTATTTAATTCAACATATCTTTTAATAAATTCCATGTGAATGTTTTGTAGCATTTATAATCTGATAATAGCATATTTGTAAAAAAAAGTTTATATATACATATATAACATAGAAAAATAAACATAAATATATGTATATATTTTTACTAGTAGGTGGGTGCAGTAAAATAATTTAGTGGGCACTGGTACAAGTTACCATTGAAAATCCCTTAAACTGGCCATAAAGGAGAGTCTTTGGTCTTTTCATCGGCTTCCTCCAGCATTGCAACACATGGACGTTCTTTTGAATGAAGAGATCAGATGAAGTCACTTGTTTGGGTAAAAGGACTTAACGTTACATATAAGAAACTACATCCTAATGTTTGGATGGCTCAGCATGAGTAGTTGAATTTGTATAAGATAATGTTTGTGTGATGCTGCTCTGTCATTCAGTAGCACAGTGGAATGCTCTCCAACCACCAAAAAATAATCAAATTTCTAAAATGAATTCTGATCAGCAAAGACAGATCGGTTTTATTATGTCATTGAAAATGTCAAACACAAAATACTGCATACAACAATTCCATTTGTTTTTTTAAATAGGGTGTACACAAACACACACACACACATGCATCCGTTTTAACAATTTTTCAAGGATATGCAAGGAACTATTAACAGGATTTTCCTGCGGGAAATTAATAGAAATATGGGTGAAGGGAACGTATTTTTTTCATTCATACTCTTTTCTATTACTGTTTGTGCTTTTTACCATGGGTGAATTTTTTTACTGTGGTAAAATACACGTAAGATTAACCATTTCCACCATTTCAAGCTGTCCAGCAAGTGGCATTTAGTACATTCAGTACATTCACAGTATTTGCAGCCATCACAACTATCTAGTCCCCAAACATTGTCATCACCCCAGAAGGAAGCCCATACCACTAAGCAGTCACTCCCCATTCCCCACCCCAGCCCCTGCTAACCACCAATTCACTTTCTGTCCATATGGATTTGCCTATTCTGGACATTTCACATAAATGGAGTCATATAATTTGTGGCCTTTTGTGTCTGGCTTCTTTCACTTAGCATGTTTTCTAGGTTCATCCATGTCGTAGCATGCCTCAGAACTTCTTTCCTTTCTATGGCTGAACACTATCCCACCATACGGATAGACCACATTGTGCTTATCCATTCCTCAGCTGATGGACCTTGGGCTGATTGCACCTTTTGGCTATGGTGCTTGGATCAGGTAATCCACAGCCCTCTTCAGCCTTGATAGTCTCAGGTTCTGTGTTATCGCAAACAGCTGTGGGGGTGTGAAACAGGCAACTTTATTTTATACACTCAAGGACAGGGAACAAAGTGCTGCTGGGCCTTGAATCCCAGGTCAAGCCTATTGGCTATATGGGGTTCCTTCACCTCCCCAGGGAACTCACTTCCCTCTCAGACAGGGCAGAGAAGACACCTCCCAGAAGCAGCTGGAATCCTGGGGCAGAAGGAAAGGGAGGGCTTCAGGAAGGGCCAGGAACCTTGTGCAGGGAGAGCACGCCAAGCCCATCAGGGAGTATCCTTCCTCTCGCTCACAGCGTCCAGCCCTGCCAGGTGTCTGAGTACTGTGTCCCCACGCCCCCTCACCCTTCCCTACTTCACACCTGACCCCCCCGTTCACCTCCCAGGAGATGTCCAGCGTCTGAGGCCTCAGGGTGCCTGCTGGAAAGGCGGGCTCCGAGCCTCACTTGGGAGATAGAACTGGGTGTCCCAGTCACTGGGAATGTCAGTGCTGCCGTCTTCAGGAAACAGATGCACAGGAGGGGCTAGGAGCCCAGAGCAGCATTCTGAAGAGCAGTGTGCTGTGAGAGTGAGTTGGACTGGGTGAAGGAAGGCTTCCTGGAGGGGGATGTGCACCATCCCCTGAGCTGGCACCCTCAGTTCTGATCCAGGCTCTGTCACCAGCAAACTGTGTGTGGCTTGCTTCCTTGTCTACAAAATGGGGCTGATATCTACCTCCCTGCCTTGTGGGAATCAAAGGAGACAATCACAGTAATAACAGCTGGCACTTGTTTAGCACATTGTGTGTGCCAGGCGCTGTCCTAAGAATTGACGTGCATTGTATCACTAAGCCAAGGTGGGAATTGCTCATGTCACTTTCCAGATCAAGAATCTGAAATACAGAGAGGCTTTTCTTTTTGAGGTCACTCAGTAAATGATAGAGATAGGATTTGAACTCAACTCTGATTGATCCCAAAGCACATGCTCTTAACCATCTGAGCTTCAAAGTATGTTCCAGGGACTGCCTGCATCAAAATAACCTTTTAAAAACATCATTGAATAAATTTTTCCCAACTCATTGGAGTCCAGTACATTTTCTATTTTTATGGATGTTTAGAATTTTCCTATTAAATAGTCATTTTTTAATGCAGATTCCTCAGCCCAGCCCACTCCAATGAACCAGAATCTCTGGAGATACAGCCCAGGGGTCTGCATTTTCAGACAACTCCCAGGTGATTCTGATACAGAATACAGTTTGAGACATCCCACTAACCCCAGCACTGCACCGTACTACCTCCCAGCTCCAAATGGGAAGGTGTTGTGAAAATCTGCACAGGTAGTTGTAGTCACTATTATGCACGATATTATTATCTCCTCTAGTCCAATTCTTTCTTTGCAGTCCCAGAGGTTTAGAAGGAAGTAAGAGGAAGGGCTGAGGTGGAAAAAGATGAGAAGGCAGAGCAGGGAGGGAGGTCTCAGCCCAAGCAACTGGTACATTGCTCCCTGCAGTGCAAAAATCAGAGCTGCGACCAACACACCACACACACACACACACACACACACACACACACACACACACACCATGCACACATGCAATGCTCTGGGGTCATTGAGGAGGAGCTGACCACTCACTGCCTGAGAAAGTCAGAGGAAAGATCTTTGATCTGGGTCTTGATGGATGAGAAGTCCTCTGGTAGAAGACAGAGAGCACAGGGAACAGCATGAATACAGGCCGGGAGATATGACAGCCTGGCAGGGCAGTTTCTGGTGACAGGAGCAGAGGGACTGTGGAGAGCTAGAACAGATGAGATGCAGAGAGGAGGCCTCACACCCTGGCCTGAGCTGCTCAGAGTGCCTGCTGTCTCTTCCCTGAGGTGGAGCAGGGGTGTCAGGGTCTCCCCCAGTCCTGGCCCCTGGAGTCTGCCTGCATTTCTCCAAAGTGCAGCTCTTTCTGACAACCCACAGATGGCTGCAGCCCCTCACACTCGATTGTGGATGGCTACTATGAGGACGCAGACAGCAGCTACCCTGCAACCAGGGTGAACGGCGAGCTTAAGAGCTCCTGTAAGTACCAGGTGGGCGTCCAGATGCTGGGCAGGGCTTCTGCCCTTGCAAAGAGCAGGCCTTGTCCTGGCCCTTAGCATGGGTGTGCCCACCAGCCCCTCACCCAGACCATGGTCACTAGAGAGGCCCCAACACCCTTGTTTTGGGTGACCCCAGCACTCAGTGGAAAGACCGCTGGAATGGGAGTCAGAAGGCCTGGATCTAACCCTTTCCCTGACTTTTGATAACTGATCTTAGGTGAGTAATTTCTTTTCGCTGAGCCTCAAGTTTCCTTATCTATAAAATGGAGATTTGCTGGGTTATTGCTGAAAATAACGAGAGACAACAGATGTCAAGATGAAGGGGTATGACAATAGCATAAATTTATTGAGCATTTATTGGGTGCCAAACACTTGGCTAAACACTGTCCATGCATTGGTCTTCAAATAGCCGGCTGAAGTGGGTACTGTCATTTATTATGATCATTTTACTGATGAGGACACTGAAGCTCTGAGAAGGGAAGTAACCAAGATCGCAAAGCAAGGGATAAATCAGTACAACAAAGTGCAAAAGTAGGGGCCAGCCAGGTGTGGTGGCTCACACCTGTAATCCCAGCACTTTGGGAGGCCAAGGCAGGTGGACCCCCTGAGGTCAGGAGTTGGAGACCAGCCTGGCGAACATGGTGAAACCCCATCTCTACTAAAAATACAAAAATTATCCAGGTGTGGTGGTGGGTGCCTATAATCTCAGCTACTTGGGAGGCTGAGACAGGAGAATCGCTTGAATTCGGGAGGTAGAGGTTGCAGCGAGCCGAGATCACGCCACTGTACTCCAGCCTGGGTGACAGAGCGAGATTCCGTCTCCAAAAAAAAAGTAGGGGCCTTAGTCATTACCAGTGTCATGCCTAATGCCCATGCCTTCCTAGCCTCAGTCCCCAGTGCAGGGATCGCTGCAGAGGGGTGAGAAGGTGCTTCCCCAGGATGGCACAGTGATGGATCCTTTCCCGTGACGCCTGCAGATAATGACTCTGACGCAATGAGCAGCTCCTATGAGTCCTACGATGAAGAGGAGGAGGAAGGGAAGAGCCCGCAGCCCCGACACCAGTGGCCCTCAGAGGAGGCCTCCATGCACCTGGTGAGGGAATGCAGGATATGTGCCTTCCTGCTGCGGAAAAAGCGTTTCGGGCAGTGGGCCAAGCAGCTGACGGTCATCAGGGAGGACCAGCTCCTGGTGAGTGGTCAGCAGCAGCCATGTGCCTCGGCCTCACATGGACTTGCATGTGGGTGTGTCTCTACATACATGTGGATATGTCTGCCTTGGGCATACCTGGATTGACTGTGTGCACAGAAGCTCAAAGGCCCCATGCTCCCAAGATCAGGACTTTCCCCACTGGAGCAGAATTTAAACACACACACACACACCCTGTGCCTCTCTTTCTCTCTCTCTCTCTCTCTCTCTCTCTCTCTCTCTCTCTTAAATTTAAAGACCTGGGCTAGGCACGGTGGCTCACACCTGTAATCCCAGCACTTTTAGAGGCCAAGGCAGGTGGATCACTTGAGGTCAGGAGTTCGAGACCAGCCTGGCCAACATGGTGAAACCCCATCTCTACTAAAAATACAAAAAATTAGCCAGGTGTGCGCCTGTAGTCCCAGCTACTTGGGAGGCTGAGTCAGGAGAATCGCTTGAAACCAGAAGGCTGAGGTTGCAGTGAACCGAGATCATACCACTACACTCCAACTTGGGCAACGGTGAGAGATTCCATCTCAAAAACCAAAAAAAAGACCTGATACAGGCTTTACCATGTTTTTGTTTTGACAAAAAAACAGAATTTTTAATCACTTTTAAATTTTTGTTGTTTTTCATTATGCAAGTAAATGTGCTTATTTATAAAACTAGAGAAAAACAAATGAAAAGTGATTTTTAAAAAACTATTGACCAAACATCAATAATTTCCTTGACCAAGAGATAACCACTATTGTAATAGCTTTAGTGTACACATTTCCACCCTCATTTCCTTACATCTGTCTTTTATAAAACGAATCCCCTACAAAACTCAATCGTTCTATTACTTGCTTTTTTTAAGAAGGATTTTTTTATATTTACCATCTCTCATCCTATCATTTCATAAAAGAAAGAGCACCTTTAATTACAAAGTAAGAGGATAAACATAATTTCAGAAAAAGAATAGCTTCTCTCCCCAGAAATCTGTTGACAAGCCTTGCCCAACATCAATGCATCTGAAACATGACCTTTTCTCACTCCAGGGCGGCACTAGTCCAGGGGACATGACCATCCTCTTTCCAATCCTACCCCTTCTATATTTTTCTCCACATATTGCAGTAGCTAGGACCTCAAGCACAATGCAAACAGAAGTGGGAGAGCAGGCATCCTTGTCTCAGTCTAGAGCTCAAAAGGGAAGTCACTGTTAAGGCTGAGTATGGTGGCTCATGCCTGTTTTTCCAGCACTTTGGGAGGCTGAGGCAGGAGGATCACTTGAAGCTAGGAGTTCGAAACCAGCCTGGGCAACAAAGCAAGACTCCGTCTCTACCAAAAAAAAAAAAAAACCAATGTTTTTTAATTAGCCAGGCATAGTGGTATGCACCTGTAGTCCCAGCTACTTAGGAGTCTGAGGCAGGAAGATTGCTTGAGCCTGGGAGTTTGAAGCTGCAGTGAGCTATGATCACAGCACTGCACTCCAGCGTGGGTGATAAAGCAAGACCCAGTCTCTAAACATAATAATAATAATAATTTACCATTCAGGATGACATTTGCTGTGGGTTGTTTGTAGATGAAAATGTTCCTTATTATTACATTAAGGAGATCCCTCTATTCTTAGTTCACTTAAATGGATGCTGAATTTTATCAAATACTTTTTCTAGCTCTATTCAGATATGTGATTTCTGGCCTTTTTTTCTATTCATATGATTAATAATACAGTTGATCTTTGAATGGTAAACCGCTCTTGCATTCCTAGAATAAACCCCACTTGGTCTTGATGTAGCTGCTTTTTATATACGTCTGGAATCCAATTGCTAGCATTTTGTTCAGGGCTTTTGCGATTGGGTTATGAGAGAAATTAGCCTATAATTTTCTCTTTTCGTAATATCATTGACTGGCTCTGTTATGAAGGTAATACTGGGCTCATTAAAAAAATGGGGAAGTGAGAATCATTATTCGTAAACTATTGACTTCCCAAGGCCAACCCTCCATCGCTGTTAGAATTGTCTCCCAAATTCCTGCCAGATAGATTTTTAACTGGCTTCCTCCCGAGCCAGCCCATTTCTTCTCTGGTTCTTTAGGCTAACCTGGTCTTCCTAGGATTGTGCTACATTCTGCCTCTTCCTAAATAGGTAGTTATGACTGAAAATTGCCCAAAGATGCCTCCTCCCAGGCTTCTCTTCCAGGGTGAACAGCCTGGACCCTTCAGCTATCCTCACACAGTGCCCATGGCTAGGCTGGGTGGGGGAGGTCTCTAAAGGGAGGTCGGGCTTCCCCCGAGCCTTTGTGTGAGGATGTCTCCCTCCTCTACCCTCTACTTCAGAAGATCCTGATGTGTTTCTCTCCCTGTCCAGTGTTACAAAAGCTCCAAGGATCGGCAGCCACATCTGAGGTTGGCACTGGATACCTGCAGCATCATCTACGTGCCCAAGGACAGCCGGCACAAGAGGCACGAGCTGCGTTTCACCCAGGGGGCTACCGAGGTCTTGGTGCTGGCACTGCAGAGCCGAGAGCAGGCCGAGGAGTGGCTGAAGGTGCGTGGCCTGCACCTGACCTTCCCGCCTTCTCACCCTTTCTCTCTTCCCCAAGCCAGCCCTCAGTAGAGCTGGCTCCTGTCCCTGGAAGAGCCTCTTGCTCAGTGCCTGAGCCCAAGTGCCCTCTGCGTGGCTAGGGCTTATGTATGGAAATGGGCCTCGGATATCTCCAAGAGGCAGACTTCATGCTGGAGACCTGTGTCCCTTCTGGTTATTTGAATTCCCTTTCCAAATCCTTACTGTGGGCTTATTCAGCCTGCACTTGTATACCTCCTGGAACTGGAGGCTTAGTATGTACAAAGGAAGCTGATTTCATCATTAGACCAGTGAATTCTTAAAACAACAACAACAAAGGAAAAATCCTTCCTTGCCTTGAAACGTACATCCTTATAATGACCACCCATGGGCCAGTTTCTGCCTCTGCAGCTACACAGAACAATGAGAGTCACCACAAAATGAGCACTTACTTTGTACCATGCATTGTGCCAAGAGCTTTACATACGTGACCTCATTTCTGCTTGAAAATGGGACAAAATATTATTGTTCCCATTTCGCAGATGAGGAAACTAAGACACAGCTTTGAGAACTTATGTGACTTGCCAAACGTCACACAACCAAAGTGGTGGGAGCCAGAATTTGAAGCTAAGTAGTAAATCTACTCCAAAGGCCATAGGCAGGATGACATAGTGATGACATGGGAGAGGGGACTTTGTGGCACCCATACTGGAGTGCAAGCCCCAGGCCTAAAGGGCACTTACTGGCTGTGTGACCTTCTGCAAATGACTTTGACCCTCTGTGCCTGTTTTTTTCATCTGTGAAATGGTCCTTGGAAGGATTCTGGAGAGCACTTGGCACAGCGCCTGCCAGGCAGTGAGTGTGTGGTAACTGTCAGTAACTACTGTTGTGATGACTGCGATGCCCCACCCCCCATTCCTTTACAGCAGACCTCATCCTTGCACCGCCTCTACTTCACTCTGACACCATCCTTTCCTCCTCTGATCTTCCTGCTGGAACAATGAAACCAAACACCTCCCTCTCTACCCAGCCCCTTCCTTCCTGTGATAACCAGCCCCCATGATGGAACATTTGGTGTTTCTCATTACCCCTTTGTCTCAGGAGGGAAAGAAGGGAGAGAACCTGCCTGTTGGGGGAGCCTGTACCCTCCACGAGCTGGTTGGGTCGGCAGACGAATCCCTAGACTGGAGTTAAAAGAGACTTGCCTTGACATTGATCCTGGGCGGCCGTTAGCCCAGAGGTTAACAGTGGGCAGCTGAACTGCCTGCATTTAGTTTCTGGCTCTGCTGCCACCTAACAGGTGGCTTCCCCTCTGCGAGGCTCATCATCTTAAGCTGTAACTCAGGGCTTACAAGGCTGGTGGGGGATAAAATGGGATAATCCACAGAAAGCCACCAATTAGGTGAGCAACAAATGGTAGCTGTGATTATTCCCTGATCTCATGCTTATTGCTGTGTGGCCTTGGCAAGTGAGCGGATGCCTTTAGGAGATGGAGGTGATAACTCCAGCTACCCTACAGGTTGCTGTAAAGGTGCACATGGTCACAGAAGCAGGTCCCTCATGCTTGTGAGGCTTTATGGTTCCCATCACTCTTCGCATCCATGGTCACACTGTCCTCAGGCAACCCAAGGAGGGAAGCAGAGGACTAGTATATTCCCATGTTGCAGATGTGGACACTGAGGCCCAGAGCAGGGAAGTGGCTCTTCCAAGACCACACAACTAATTAGCAATAAGCCTCTTGGTCCCCATCCTTGTATCTTTTCAGCCCAGGGGACAGATATGGGAGAAAGCCTTTACAAACCCATGTGCCCCACACATATGCAGGTAGCTGTGTCAGTCCATCTGTTCCCCACAGTGGCCCTGACCCTCTGTTCTACAGCATTCACCACACAGTCCCCATTCTTCCTTTGCATCAACAGCTTCCCTGCCCACCCGTTCACAGCTGTGTGTCCTCTTCACAGGTCATCCGAGAAGTGAGCAAGCCAGTTGGGGGAGCTGAGGGAGTGGAGGTCCCCAGATCCCCAGTCCTCCTGTGCAAGTTGGACCTGGACAAGGTATATCTGTCTCCACTAAGTCTTCCCCAGGCCAGGCAGTGGCCACTCAACACGGGCTCAACCCCAGGGGAACTAACTGGCTGGGGGGAAAGTCAGGCAACTGCCAAACTGTAGGTGCCCAGCACAGAGCTGGCACAACAGTAGGTGCTTAATAAATGTCTCCTGAATTCATGAATGCATGAACAAACGAGTGCTTATGCCCAAAGTGCAGTACAAGCCAGAGGAGGGAGTGATGCACCCTGCCAGGACAGGAGGAGGTCACATTGCAATTGTGCCATGAAAAATAAGTTGAAATTTGTCAATTAGAAAAAGAGGGTGTATAATCCCAGCACTTTGGGAGGCCAAGGTGGGCACATCACTTGAGCCCCGGAGTTCAAGACCAGCCTGGACAACATAGTGAGACCTCATCTCTAAAACAAAAAAGTTACAAAACAATTATCCAGGTGTGGTGGCACATGCCTGTAGTCCTCACTACTCAGGAGGCTAAGGTAGGAGACTTACTTGAGCCTGGCAGGTGGAGGCTGCAGTGAGCCACGATTGCGTCACTGCACTCCAGCCTGGGCAACAGAGTGAGACCCTGTCTCAGAAAAAAGAAAGAAAAGAGAGAGAGAGAAAGAAAGAAAGAGAAAGAGAAGGAGTAGGCCGGGCGCAGTGGCTCACGCCTGTAATCCCAGCACTTTGGGAGGCCGAGGCGGGTGGATCACCTGAGTTCAGGAGTTCGAGACCAGCCTGACCAACATGGAGAAACCCCATCTCTATTGAAAATACAAAAATTAGCCAGGCATGGTGGCACATGCCTGTAATCCCAGCTACTCAGGAGGCTGAGGGAGGAGAATTGCTTGAACCGGGAGGCAGAGGTTGTGGTGAGCCGAGATTGTGCCATTGCACTCCAGCCTGGGCAAAAAGAGCAAAGCTTCATTTAAAAAAAAAAAAAAAAGAGAAGGAGCGTGCCTGTTTGGAACATGAGAGAAGCAGTCATTAGCCAGTTGGTCAGGCTGTTAGCAAATATGTCCCAGTACCTACACATTGCCAGGTATTGTGGGTAACAAAGGGCCTCAGACCCAAGTCCTCCCCTTAAGGAGATTACAGTCAAGGGGAAGGGTTAAGACCCACAGACATGGGCCTTGCACGATGTAATCGAGGCTAGTATTTATAGACTGTGACTGCATGCCCTGCAGTGTACTAAATGCTTTATGTGTATTAACTGAGGTGATTTTCATAACAACTCTTTGGGTAGGTACATTTTCAGAGGAGAAAGCTGAGACACAGATTTGCCCAAGGTCACATAGTAAATAAGAACCGTAGCCAGGATTTGAACCCAGACAGTCTAGTTCTTGATGACCATGCTGCCCCTCCTCTCAAGGCCAGGATCCTGAGCACCTGCTTGACACATATCCGGGGCACCCCAGGAACTGTGCTAGCCACTGAAATGCAGTCCAAACACAAACAGGTGCAAGCCCTGCCCTCACAGCATTTCCAGCTCAGTAAGAAGCAGACATGAATCAAATAGTCACACGGACTTATAAATGCCAAGCTGTGTAAGTGCTAGAAGGGAAAAGTACCAGGTACCCTGGGCCCCTGCCTCTGCCTCAGCACCCCAGGAAGGCTTCTCTGAGGAAGTGACATTTCAGATGAAGATGAAAAATTAGCAGGGAAGAGGAAGGAAAAGGCATTGTAAGCAGAGGGAAAAGGTGCAGGAGCAGGAAGAAGCATGGAACTGAAAACGGCCAGTATGGCTAAGCTCAGAGAGAAAGGAGAGCCCACCAGCCTATTAGAGTATCCCAGAAAGCTACAGTGAGTGGAACAGGGGCCCACGCTGGCTGGAGGGGCAAGAAGGATGAGGGAAGACGGGCACCTATGTTGAGCCTTAAGGCATAGGCAAGATTTCACTGAGGCAGAGGTGGGCCAAGGGGAGGGAACAGAAGCAAAGGTATGGGATGAGGCAGAGTCACCAGGAGTGGAAGATGGGTACTCATGTGCCCAGGTGGATGCAGGAGGAGAAGCTCAACCCTATCCTCACTTAGCCTTTGCCATTGGTGAGGCCGGAGGGAAAGCAGCGTTGACAGTGTCAGTGTGTGTGAGTGTGTGTGTGTGCACGCACTTGCCAGCACATGCTGAGGTGCAGTTTGAAAGATGTGTAGAGGGGAAGAAGAAGCAAGCTTGCAGAGTTGAGCTTTCCTGTGGCTGAGCATCCACAGGGAGGGTAACTAGAATGTTGGGGGTGGTATTTTGGGTGGAGAGTGAGGGTGAGGATGTGATATTGGTGGGTCTGTTCTCCATAGAATCATGTGATTGCAGTGTCACCATCGAGTTCTTTCCAAAGTGCTCATATTACCTCTTTGTATTTGCTCTATCTGATGAAAAACTTACCATCTGTACACCATTGCAGAACACATAGAGCCATAACTTCTGTTTCACCATTTGAAGAGGTGATTCTTTATTCTTGACAGTTCTGTCCCCTTTCTGACAGCTGTCATGTTTCCAGCCCTTTGGAAACTGAGAGGTGCACATGATCTCCTGTCCTCTCCGTCCCCCGGTGCTATGCTTATGGTGAAGCATAAGCTGAGCCTGGTTTGAGAGGATCTTGGCAGGAAAGGCTTTGGGGCCTCAGAGCTCTGTAATTCCACCTTCTTAAGTGGGTGGATGTCATTTAATCCTGGCCCAAGTGTGGCTGGCACAGTTCAGCTTCTTGAAGAAAGATGGCAGCACATCACACAGGTGTTAGAAATGATACAGTCCATGGGCCTTCACTTGAGCTGGCTCCGTCACAGCAGCCCTCTGAAGTGGGTGGAATTCAAGTGAAAAAACCCAGCCTTGGGGAGACAGAAGGACTTTCCCACATTCCCACAGCTAATAAGTGGTAAGAGAGTCATCATTGCTTCCACTCTACATCCCGTGGTACCTAATAGACACTTAATGGACCTTGTATGAATGAATCGATGAATGGTCTAGAGTTGGTGTCATGAGTAAAACTAATTTGGGCTGGCAATGAAATTGTTGACATGTTGTGTGTGGGTGTGTGGGTGTGTGTCCCCTTCCCATCCTCTCCTCCGAGTTAGGATCATAATGGACTCCTGCTGGTCACCAGGTCCCGCCATGACTGTTTTGAAAATGTCTGCCAGCTCATCTCTTTTTCTCCATCCTCACTGTCATCTTGGTTCATGCTCTTGTCGAGTCTCATCATGACCAGGATGACATTCTTTTAAGTGGCTCTTCTGCTTCCAGTCTTGTCTGCTTTTGTCTGTCCCCACAATGCCACTGGAAGTAACTTCCTAAACCAATTTGGATTACATGAGTGTTCCACTTAAATACTTTCCCAGCTCCCTGTCACCTGCCAAATACAGTCCAAATTCCTAAGACATTCATTTCAAAGTGTTATAATTAATTGCCTCCCTCCCCAAATGGACTGTGAATTGCCCAAAGACACAACCATATCTAAGTCATGGTTGTCTTTTCAATACCTGGTATGGTATGAGGCACAGGATAGTTGCTGACAAACATTTGTTAGCTAATTATCATGTGCTGGGGGAGTTGGAGGGAGATTGAACCAATAAAGGGAAATTTGGGTACTTCTGAATGTGCCCTCTGATGAGGGACTGCCTGTGTCCCTCCTCAGAGGCTGTCCCAAGAGAAGCAGACCTCAGATTCTGACAGCGTGGGTGTGGGTGACAACTGTTCTACCCTTGGCCGCCGGGAGACCTGTGATCACGGTAGGAGCCTCTGGGGGCTCAGGCTGGGGAATGCTGGAACTGGGCCGGGCCTTGCCCATGGGCACACAGCGGCAGAGCAGGTTCTGACCATTCTGTAGACCTGGGTAAGGTGACCTGGCCTGCCATCCCTGGAGCTGCAGGCCCATCCTGTATGCAGGCTGAAAAGGCCACAAGGAAGACTAAGGATGGGTGGGACTCAGGGCTCCCTCCACTCCCCTGACCCATTTCCCCAACAGGCAAAGGGAAGAAGAGCAGCCTGGCAGAACTGAAGGGCTCAATGAGCAGGGCTGCGGGCCGCAAGATCACCCGTATCATTGGCTTCTCCAAGAAGAAGACACTGGCCGATGACCTGCAGACGTCCTCCACCGAGGAGGAGGTTCCCTGCTGTGGTGGGTCCAGGGCACGGGGAGGAAGGGTGCTCAGGTCCTGTGTGCGCGGGCTTTGGGGGCTGAGGCCAGGAGACCTCATGCCTCGTCCACCTCACCCCCAGGGCAGGGGAGGGAATCCAAGCCTACTGGGAGGCTAAGCCCCACTCCATTAACACTCTAGGCCTTCCCATCACTTTCCTTCCCAGAGGCCCTGACACTCAACGAAAGGAAAAGCCAGCTGACCACTGTATTTCTATGCTCCCTGTGACCGTAGCCCAAATCACTGCCCATCCCTGGGCCTCAGTTTCTCAGTTTCCTCCACGATAACAAGACAGGGGTATCTTATTTTCCAGCATAGAACGTGCCAGGTTTATAAGTAACAACCCATATTATAGGGAAATTTATTGGAGAAAAATATTTAGGTACTTTTTATTAAAAATGCATTCAATGTGAATTAAAGGTGATTTGAAGGTGAAAACATTATTTTGCTCATGTAAATGTAGCGTTCCATGTACTGGAATCCAGTTTTTAAAAATCGTATATTTTGGATATGCAGTAATATTCTAACCCTGAAAAAAATATTATAAAAGTACATGGCAAGGCCAGGCACAGAGGCTCACCTCTGTAATCCCAGCACTTTGGGAGGCTGAGGAGGGAGGATCACTTGAGCCCTGGAGTTTGAGTCCAGCCTGGGTAACATGGTGAAACTCTGTCTCTACCAAAAATACAAAAATTAGCCAGGCATGGTGGTGTATGCCTGTAATCCCAGCTACTTGGGAGGCTGAGGTGGGAGGAACACTTGAGCCCAGGAGGTTGAGGCTGCAGTGAGCCGTGATAGAGACACTGTATTCCAGCCTGGCTGACAGAGGGAGACCCAGTCTCAAAAAATAAATACATAAATAAATATATGGCTACAAAGAAATATTTTGTAATTAGTGAATCAGAGTGCGTTATGGTAAAAATAGGCAAATTTAAATCTAAAACATTAAGAGGGAATTCTAAACCTGTGGGTCATTAGCTACACAGCAGCTGTGCCTTGGTCAATTTTAAGATTATGTGGGTGAGACATTTTTGTTCCCACATGCTGCCACTGGGTGTCAGCATCATCCATTCTTTTCCATCTTTCAGTAACAGTTTTGATTTGGGGAGAAAAGGCAAAAGAGTTGTGTTTTTTATACACCATATGCAGTAGTTCCTGCCCTTTTCATCAAGGTTGGTGTGGCCCAAAGGCTGTGCAGAGATGTAGGAATGCCATTATCAGTCCATGTTTCACAGCTAAGAAACAAACTCAGAGAAATGCACACCCAAGGTCACCCTGAGGTCACAGGGGAAAGAGAGCTGACCAGGACCCCGAGGCCTTCTTTCCAGCAGACACATGGAGCCGCCTTGCGTCCCCATGCTGTCCCAGGGCAGGCTATGGGAACCTCACACCATTGTCTCCTCCAGGCTACCTGAACGTGCTGGTGAACCAGGGCTGGAAGGAACGCTGGTGCCGCCTGAAGTGCAACACTCTGTATTTCCACAAGGATCACATGGACCTGCGAACCCATGTGAACGCCATCGCCCTGCAAGGCTGTGAGGTGGCCCCGGGCTTTGGGCCCCGACACCCATTTGCCTTCAGGATCCTGCGCAACCGGCAGGAGGTGGCCATCTTGGAGGTGAGAGGAGAGGGTGGGACGTGGGTGGCTCTTGGTCTGGGGACTCTGGCCTGAGTGTCATGTTTTTGTTTGGGGGAGCCCTTGCTACTGACACCATGGGGACTGAAGGGGAAGGAAAGCAAGCCTCACTCCTGTCAGGTGACCCAAGTAGATTATAAGACAACACACAGGACACCCACTTAATTTGAATTTCAGGTAAGCCACGAACATTACCTGAAATGTTTTCATAATAAAATAGGCATGTCCCACGCAACATTGGAGCTTTATTGATACTAAAATATTATTCATTGTTCATCTGACATTCAAATTAAACAAAACATTCTGTATTTTTATTCACTAAATCTGGCAGCCCCAGAACCAAGGTTTGTTTTTTCTCCCTTACCTTAAAATCCCAAGCCTGAAAGGCATTTAGTCTGGTCTAACCATTCAGATTCTGGAATCCCCTCTAAGACTTTTCACCAGTACCCTCCTCTGGTGGAGGAGAAGGTCCACTGCCCCTCCCATTGAGCAATTCAAATTTTAGAAAGATTTTCCCCATACTGAGTTGAAATCTTTAAGCTCCAGGAAGGCAATAATTAGGCCTATTCTGCATACTTTTGTTTTTCCAGAACTCAGCATGATGTCCAGCACTAGAATACTATGGGCTCTAGAAATATTTGTTGAACAAATGAGTGAATGAAGTGTGATTTCATTTCACCGATTCACTGTCCTTCTTACTCACGGGCACTAGCCTCCTCTCTGAGGTCATGCAGAATACGTGGACTCTCTCTTCCACATGGCAACCCTTTGGCAATTTAGAATTTAAAATGTTAACACTACAGGAAAACAGAAAACTACCTTCTGCCATTACAGATAAGGAAACTGAGGCCAGGGCAGCCACATGCTTTATCCAGGGGTCCACAGAGGGCCAGTGGTCTCTTAGTCTTGTCCTAGAATCTGACCTCTTGGTCTTGTTTTCTGCCCAAGACCCCCTGCCTCTCTCAGTTCTTAAATTTCAAAAAATATCGCCTCCGTAACTCACTTTTATTTTTGGTAGTTTGAGATAGGTCTCTTATTTATCTTATACACGAAGGTTTCTGGCAAAAAGTGTGCTTTATGTATTCAAGTTTAGCATTTGTGTGCTAATTTAATTTTATAAGATGCTCTTTAAATGAGAATTAACATAAGTCCGTGTTTAGCTGACTGGCAACTTCTTGGAGATTTTCCTATACACAGTATTGTACTTATTTGGCAACTATAACACAAGAAACTATTTTGATTAAGTTATATGAGAAATGGCCTCTTCTAATAAAAAGTAAATATTTTTTAAAAAATTCAGAGAACACCCAAATGTTGGTTTTATATTCTAATGGTTGGGGAAGGCTCTGAGAATGGAAAGTGAGGGCAGGGAGGCCTCTGTCTTAGAGAGGTCATCAGGGAGGGCCTCCCTGAGGAGGTGACATTTGATTGGAAACCTGAATAGATGGAAGAAGGGAGCCTCTTGGATTTCTGGATGTGTGCTATAATCTTATTCCTCTTTGACCCGAGTATCGGGTACGTAGTCAGTACTTACAAATATTTCTGGGTTTGGCTGAAGTCAACAGGTCTCCAGGAGCCCTGACAGTAGGAAAATGAACTCCATCTTTGCCTCCTGTCCTTCAGGCAAGCTGTTCAGAGGACATGGGTCGCTGGCTCGGGCTGCTGCTGGTGGAGATGGGCTCCAGAGTCACTCCGGAGGCGCTGCACTATGACTACGTGGATGTGGAGACCTTAACCAGCATCGTCAGTGCTGGGCGCAACTCCTTCCTGTAAGTGTCAGCTGCACTGGCCACACCTGCCCAGGACCTTTCCTGTCTCCATCCCTCTCAGAGGCTGAGTCCAGCCCTGGGCACTGGGAGGGAAGGGAGGAGCTAAGGAAAGCTCCGCTTCCTTGGTAAGCTGGAATGAGTGTCTTCCTCTTCCAGCAAAGAGTGGGGAGCTGGCTGAAGGAAGTAGCCCAGAGTCAGAGGCAAGCTGTGGATGGAAGGAGCAAAAGTAGAGAAGCCTTGGAGTAGTGGCCTGGGCTCTGCCCTCATGTCATGGGACTTTAAGCTTTCACACACTGGAGCATGGGCACGTGGCTAGTATATGGCATTTGGTACTAGAAGAGCCAAGTTCGAGTCCCAGCTCAGTCACCACCAGCAGTGGAAGCTTGCACTGGTTGCTTGCCATCTCGGATCTCTGTTTTCTGACTCATAGAATGGTGGTGATGAATTACCTGCCTTGCAGGTTGTTATGAGAATCACATTGGTCCTGTCTGTGACGCCCTAACACAGCCCATGACACAATGCTGCCTGCCATCTTGCTTTTACCAATCTTCTGATCTGCCTTAAGAGTTTCTGCCAGAATCAATGAGAGTGAGGACACGAAAGCACTGTAAGCTGCAAAGCATCATTGTCATTGTCATTGTCATCGTACATTTTATTTTCTAGATATGCAAGATCCTGCCAGAATCAGTGGCCTGAGCCCCGAGTCTATGATGATGTTCCTTATGAAAAGATGCAGGTACAGTCCCTTGGGGCTGCCCAGGAATGTGGCAAAGGCCACTTATTAGCTCTCCCTCTTTCTGCTCCCTTTACCTTCTGCCTCAGAAAGATCATTTTCATTTAAGCAGCAGTAGCTAGAAGGGGAGCCCCTTCTTATCATAGAGCATGGCTCAGGATGAGGAATCCCTGGCACAGGAGGCTGGGTGGTGTGGTGGAAAGAGACCCAGGTTGGGAGGAAGAAAGGGCTGTGCAGACTCCCAAACACTACCAAAAGGTGAGGCATCGTCTCCGGTTTGAGCAAGTTGCTGGGGCCCTCCTCCTGTTTACCACTCTGTGAACTTATCCTGCTGATTCCGTGGTGTCTGGGGCAGGTCCTGACTCTGGGACCACCCCGCAAGCCTTCACCTGGTGACTTTGTGATCTGGGAGCTTCAGCTCCCAGGCCAGTCTCCATGTTTTGCTTGCTAAGCCAGGGAGATACCAGCTTACTGATTTACAGTGAGGCCTGTGTAGCCATCACATGACCTGGAATGCTCCTGGCAGCATGCCCTGTGCTGTCTCCTCCCTCAGAAAGCAAGAGGAGAGCCACATTCCAATCAGACGCTGGTGGGTGGGTCAGGCCTCACAGTTAGCAGGAGAGAGAGGCAATTAAGCTGCCGAGGACAACAGATGTGTCTGCAGACAGGACCTCTGTCTTGGACAGTGCTGCATGACACACTGAGTTTTCACCTCTAGGACTCTCTTTTCTAGAAATTTGTCCAGTCATCCTTCTGTTCATATGGTCTTTCTTCAGACTCAGATAAACCTGTGGATGCAGCTTGAGGTTTTTCTCAGTTGCAGAGTTTAGTGGCAAGACAGCTTAGCACTTAAGGATGTGAAGTTTGAGTCAGACTCAGGGCTGCTGGTCTTCACTTCCTGACTCCAAAAGGATATGATAAAACCTACCTTCTTGGATAACTGCAAGAATTAAATAATACTTTATGTAAAAAAGTTTAGGCGGGGTCTGGGTGCCGTGGCTCATGCCTATAATCCCAGTACTTTGGGAGGCTGAGGTGGGTGGATCACTTGAGGCCAGGAGCTCAAGTCCAGCCTGGCCAACATGGTGAAACCTCGTCTCTACTTAAAAACTACAAAAATTAGCCAGGCACAGTGGCATGTGCCTATGGTCCTAGCTACTCGAGAGGCTGAGGCAGGAGGATCGCTTGAACCAAGGAGGTGGAAGTGAGCCAAGATTATGCCACTGAACTCCAGCCTGGGCAACAGAGCGAGACTCTGTCTCAAAAAAAAAAAAAAAAAAAAAAAAACAACGTTTAGGCTGGGCGCAGTGGCTCACACCTATAATCCTAGCACTTATAGGAAGCTGAGGTGGGTGGATCACTTAAGCCCAGGAGTTTGAGACCAGCCTGGCCAACATGGCAAAACCCTGTCTCTACAAAAATTAGCTGGGCATGGTGATGCACATCTGTTGTCCCAACTACTCGGGAGGCTGAGGTGGGAGGATCACTTGAGTCCAGGAGGTTGAGGCTGCAGTCAGCCATCATCACACCGCTGCACTCAAAAAAAGAAATTAGGACAGTGCCTAGACATTGGAAGGTCCTATACAGAGAAGTAGATAGTACTGTTGTTGACAACATCATTATTATATTACATTATTATCATATTTAACTCATGGTTTCCTAAGCTTTCACTGGATTTTTAGTATTCTTAATATTCTTCATGCACAAATGTATAGTTAATCTATTAAGTTATGTCACTTCTATCACTGGCTCATCTCATCCAGGACTTTTCTTCTTGAGGGAAGACTGTTTTCTTTTTGAGGCAATTCAGAAAATCAGGATACTTCCAAATGTTCTAAAGACAAAAGTATCGATGATAAATCAAATATAGCCACCCACAGTCTTTTGAGACTTTCTAATTTTCCTCTCAGCAGGTGCTGCAGTTTAGGGTTGCCTTCTGCTGCCCCCCAGCAGAAAGGTATGAGGTTCAAATGATATACTGCTAGCAAAAGTGCTTTATGATTTTTGAGTGCTATGCAAGTCTAAAAATGTAAGACCAAGATCTCAGAGCAAGAAGACTCCATACTGAGCAAAGACCGCAATACACCCTGCATTGATGAGTCTGCGCCTGCCTGAACTTGACTGTCTTCCTCCATCTCCCACCAGGACGAGGAGCCCGAGCGCCCCACAGGGGCCCAGGTGAAGCGTCACGCCTCCTCCTGCAGTGAGAAGTCCCATCGTGTGGACCCGCAGGTCAAAGTCAAACGCCACGCCTCCAGTGAGTTGTGTGTGGGCCTCCCCTGCTGACTAGGGAGGAAGGAAAGGAAGCAGTCTATAGGAGGGATCTCAAAATCAGTTTCCCTGGTGGGTAAATAAATGAGCAAAGTGAGATGCAAGAAAATACTCTACCGTAAGAAAAATCACAGAGCAAGCACAATGATAAAGGGCAGCTAGCATGTGGCCTCAGAGGGAAAATGACAGGGAGTTGGGGGGTGGGGAGGTACTGTAGGAAACCGGTACCCAGTTTTCTCAGGTCCCAACTATAGGGGAGGCTGCTGCTCAGCTCCAGCAGATGATCCCTATGCAGCAGTACCAGGCCCCTAACACCAGATTTGCCAATTACTTAAAAGAGGCCAGAAATCTAGAATTTAGGTGAAGTCTACTTATTTTTTAATATCAGCAACTATTTTTTTTTAATTTAGCACCAAATGAGGCCAAATAGAGAGAGAGAGATTGATGACAAGCTGTATCTGTTTCAGAGGCTAACAATTTGTGATTTCTGAACTGGGGTAGTAAGTGGAGAACTGAACCTATCCAAATACCCTGGAGCCAGCTCCCATGAAAGCCACAGCTCACCTTGGTGTCCCACCCTAGCTCTGCCTAGCACCCCCCAGGAGCTCAGTGAATTGCCTGATTACCACACTGCACAATAATGACTAAGTACACCAGGCAACTCTGTTGTAAATTCTCTTTTACTTCCAACAGTAATCTGTGCTTCTGTGTGATTTATCTTTATGAACAAGCCAGCTTCCTGTGGGACAGCATGTTCCAAAAGTTTTTTCTTTGTTCCTTTACATTTCTTCCCCCTGCATCTCAACAGAGTCAAGTTCTGTTCTGTGCTTTTTGAAAATCTACTTTTATTTTTTAATACCTATTTTTAAAAAATACTTTTCTGTATTATAGCTCCATTTCATTTGTATAGATCATCCCTTCTGAGGGTCAGGAAATCTGTATTCCATTCCTCATTCCTCCCTTGACTACTGAATTACTGTGTACCTCTGGGAAAAGTCCTTTCCCCTCTCTGGGCCTGAGTTTCCTCTCTGAACAATCAGAAGGTTGTTGTGTAACTTTGCACTCTACTCTCAGAGGCACTGGAAATGCAGGGCCTTGTGAAATGCCCATTTTAAAATGGAAATCTAAACTGAAAAAAGCATGTAAGATTAAAGAAATCACCGAATGTCAACGACAACAACAAAAAACTAACAAACACACACAAAAAAGCAGACCCTTTCTTCAAATCAAATCTTATATGAAAGCCCAGTTTATAAAAGAAAAATAAAAGTGGAGCTACTCTGGTTGAGGCCCACTTGGCCTCCACTTTTCCTGTTAGCCATCACTGTGGGGTCATAAGCTTCCTTGAAGGGCAGTGGGAAACCACAGTGGAAAACTACTGATGAATTCCAACAAGGTTGTTTTTTAGATGAAGAAACTGAAGAAAATAAAAGGGAAGATATCTTAGTCCATTTCTCCTGCTATAACAAAATCCCATAAGCTGGGGAACTTATAAATAACAGAAATTTATTTCTCATTGTTCTGGAGGCTGGGAAGTCTGAGATCAAGGTGGCAGCCAATTTGGTGTCTGGTGAGGGCCTGTTTCCTGGTGATGACCATCTTTTTGCTCCCTGGGGTCTCTTTCCTAAGGGCACTAATCCTACCCATGAGGGCTCCACCCTCGTGACCTAATCACCTACCAAAGGCCCCACCTCCAAGTGCCATCTCGAAGGGGATTAGGTTTCAACATATGAATTTTGGGGGATGTAAACATCTAGTCTATAGCCAAAGGATTTTGCCCACGATCATGTATTAATTGCCTATTGCTACATAAGAAATTACCCAAAATTTAGCTCCTCTAAACAATAAGCAGGAACATGTGTTATGTCACACGGTTTCTGTGGGTCAAGAATCTCCAAATGGCTTGGATAGATAGTTCTGGCTTGGGGTCTCTCATGAGATCTCAAGACGTTGGCCGGTCATCTGAAGTCACCTAAAGGCTTGACAGGCTGAAGGATCCACTTCTAAGATGGCTCACTGCATGCCTGGCAAGTTTGTGCTGGTTGTTGGAAGGAGGCCTCAGTTCTTTGCCATGGGGATTTCTTCATAGAGTTGCTTATCCTTGTGATGTGACAGCTGGCTTCCCCCAGAGCAAGCAACCCAAGAAGGAACAGCAAGGCTGATGCTGCAAGGTCTTTTATGACCTATGGTTAGAAGTTACACTCTGTCATTCTCCAATATCCTAATGGTTACACAGGTCAGCACTGTTTAGTGTGGGAGGGGACTATAAAAGGGCATGAATATCAGGAAGCAAGAATCATGGAGGCCAAGTAGATGATTGCTGAGAAAAATGGTGGCGTGAGAAGCTGCATGGACCCACTCCCTAGCAAAACAGCAGTAGCTGGTGAAATTTATTAAAACAAACAATTACTTAAAGTCTGGAAATTTTCCTAAGGGCAAATGAAGAAACATTTACTCTAGAAAATTTGCTAAATCTTAGTAAGAACAGTGAGAGTTTGTGGCATTTGAGCCACAACCTACCCCTTTATTCCCCAACTCAGTTTGAAAGAATCTTCACTCCAGGCATGTCTGGACAAGAAAACAGGGCTCCTTCTTCCCCCAGCTGCCAGTCAAGGGCTACAGTATCTCCCCAGGAAGGGCAGGCTGCCAGTATTTTTTGTCATACCCAGCTCCATGCTGTAGAGGCTAAATTCTAGGTGATTGCAGCCAAGAGGTAGGAAGCTCCCTTCCTCTACCCAGATGATAGAGCAAAGGCTTTGCCCCAGGTAGGGTAAGCCAAGAATACTGGGGCCCTGATTGCCCTCATCCTAGCTCACTTGTAAGGCAGAGGTTCCATGCTGGGAGAGGCAAGCAGAGTAGACCAGAGGTTACTGCCCCCACCCAGCACCCTGCTCATAACAGGAATGTCACTCCAAGAGAAACAGGCTCTTAATTTGTTTTGTGCTGCTATAACAGAATAACAGAGACTGAGTAATTTATAATGAACAGAAATTATTAGCTCCTAGTCTGGAGGCTGGAAAATCCAAGATCAAGGTGTTGACATCTAGCAAGGGCCTTCTTGCTGCATCATCACATGGCAGAAAATGGAAGGGCAAAGAGGCAAAAGGGGGTTGAATTTGCTCTCTTTTAATGGCATTAATCCCATCCATGAAGGCAAAGCCCTCATGGCCTAAATCACCTCTCAAAGTCCCATCTTTTCATACTGTTACAATTGCAGTTAAATTTCATTATGAGTTTTGGAGGGTACGAACATTCAAACCACAGCACAGGCCATTGTTCCCACCCCTGGATCCAGAGCAGTGACTCAGAGATTTTGCCGAGTGGGGAAAGGCAGGCCATAAGAACAGAGAACTCCAAAGCTCTTCCTCGAAAGAACTGACTTTAGTTGGAACAGAGTGTGGGAAAGTGTAAACCAAAGGGTGCTCTCAAAAACAATGGAGATTTGGTGGTTATGAGAACAATAAACTAAACCACAGGCTAGTTTATCAGAGAGAACCACAGAAAGAGACAGCTAAAATTGCCCTCAGCCGGGCGTGATGGCTCACCCTTGTCATCCCAACACTTTGGGAGGCTGAGGCAGGTGGATCACTTGAGGCCAGGAGTTCAAGACAAGCCTAGCCAACATGGCAAAAGCCTGTCTTTACTAAAAATACAAAAATTAGCCAGGCATGGTGGCGGGCACCTGTAATCCCAGCTACTCGGGAGGCTGAGGCACAAGAATCGCTTGAACCCAAGAGGCAGAGGTTGCAGTGAGCCCTGATGGTGCCACTGCACTCCAGCCTGGGCGACAGAGTGAGACCCTGTCGCCAAAAATAAAAAAAAAAAAAAAAAGAAAGAAAAATATATATATATTTAAAAAGAAATTTTTTAAAATAAAAAGAGCCCTCCTAGGGTTAGAACAAATCTCAAAGATGGGCCTCCAGAACTATCCTGTAAAGGGGCTGAATTTAATTGGATCAGGCTGTGGAGTAATTGATGCATTGTCAAAATCAATAGAGCAAACACCTGACAATTAGTAGAGCTGGGTGTAATAGCAACAGAGGCCGACTGCTTAACAGGAGATTAGGAAAAGAGTCAGAAATCCCTGCTAATACGCTGTCACCCCAGAGTGACTGTACACATGCCAAGGCTATGGCCTCTGAGGAGCAACATCAGTGGCTTCATACTTCAAGAGGAAGTAGACTACAATAAAATAGTTCAGACAAGTCACTAAACAAATAAGAAAATAACAACCCAACAACCCGGTTGGGGGGATGCATATCAAAAGATACTACAATATATTCTCGAAAATGACCAGTTTTCAACAAAAATTTATGACACACATGAAGAAGCAGGAAAATGTGACCCATACAGAAGGAAAAAAATCAAGCAACAGAAACTGCCTGAGAGAGGGCCCAAATGTAGAATTTAACAAAGATTTCAAAGCAGCCATTATAAATATATTTAAAGAACTTAAGGAAACCATGCTTAAAGAAATAAAGGAACAGAAGATGACAGTGTATTAACAGATAGTCTGTATTATTGATAGCCTATATTATTGGTAGTCTCTATCAATATATTATTGATAATAGCTCATTCCTCCTGCTATAACAAACTTCCATAAGCTGGGTAACTTATAAACAACAGAAATGTATTTCTCATTGTTCTAGAGAAATTGGCTTCATACTGCAGGAGGAAATAGACTATACTGAGTACTACACTACACTAGACTGTACACTACAGTATACGTATATGGAACTACACTACAGTTATATGGAATATAGCTATATGCTTACTATATTATACTATACTATATAGTATAGTCATATGGAATATATTATTGATAATATATTGATGGGGCCTCCAATAGAAAGATAGAAATTATAAAAAGAAGAACCAAATAAAAATCATGAGGCTGAAAAGTACAATAACTGAAACGAAAAACTCACTCAATGGGCACAACAGTAAATTTGGCCTGGTAGAAGAATCAGTGAACTTGATGACAGAAAAATAGAGATTATGCAAACCAAGAACAAAGAGAAAAAAAGAATGAAGAAAAATGACAGAGCCTCAGAGGATTGTGGAACACCATTAAGTGCACAAACATATGTGTAGAGGGAGTACTAGAAGGAGAAGAGAGAGAGAGACAGACAGATGAGCATAAAAAATATTCAAATAATGGCTGAAACTTGCCAAATTTATTGAAAAACATTAATCTATACATCCACGAAGCTCAGTGAAATCCAAGTAAGATAAAGGCAAGGAGATCTACAAAAGAGACATCATGGTAAAAATGCTAATACCAAAGACAAGGAAAAAATCTTGAAGGCAGAAGAGAAAATCAGGTCATCATGTATAAGAGAACCCCAGTAACATTAACAGCTGACTTCTCATCAGTAACAATGAAAGCCAGAAGGCCCTCCATGCTGTATTTATGATCAGGCTTGAACTGCAGGTAGTTGTGTCAGGAACAGATTTTTGCATGGGTCACTGGGTGACCACTGCAATCCCTGCAGCAGCTGGCTAGACAAGACCCCCAATTATCCATAAACTGCAGGAATTATTCTGCACCGACTTATATAAAGCTGTGTGCGCCTCTGTATAGCGCACAAAAAAAAAAGTAAAACTTTCCCTAAGAGGTTGAACTATGGCCTTGGCCCAGCTAGAGCAGTATTGCACAGCATGGACCCTGGAGTCAGAGAGACATGGAGACATGGGTTTAACCTCGGCTCTGCCACCATTAGCAGTGGGACCTAACCTCTGTGTGCCTCAGTTTCCTCAACAATAAAAGAAAATTAATTACAGTAAGTTTTGTGGGCTGGGCGCAGTGGCTCACTCCTGTAATCCCAGCACTTTGGGAGGCTGAGGCAGGCTGATCACTTGAGGTCAGGAGTTCGAGAACAGCCTGACCAACATGGCGAAACCCCATCTCTACTAAAAATACAAAAATTAGCCAGGCATGGTGGCGGGCACCTGTAGTCCCAGCTACTCTACTCGGGAGGCTGAGGCAGGAGAATCGCTTGAACCCCAGAGGTGGAGGTTGCAGTGAGCTGAGATCACGCCACTGCACTTCAGCCTGGGTGACAGAGCGAGACTCTGTCTCAAAATAAATAAAAAAAATAAGTTTCATGATGACTAAGTGGAAATGCAAGTGAATGGCTCAGCATATAGTTCCTTGTGTGTAGTAAATAATAAATAATTTTTGCCATAATTATTTGTTTTTATTGTCCATCATAGTGTTGAACCTGCAGTAGAACACCAGGTTCCTCGCTCCCCCAACCCCTTCCCCAGTAATAAAATGGACAATGCCTGACTGTAGTCCAAAGTCTAGAATCTCTGGAGATCTGAGTTACATGGAACAGTCTCCTTGACTTATAGATATCTGAAAACTGACTATAAAATATGCTCTTTTAAAACCAAAGTATGTTCTACATCACAAATTTGTTTTTTAATAATATTATCATTATTATCTAACCCTTACTATTTGCCAGGTACTATACTAAGTGCTTTTCATTAATCATCTCATTTAACCCTTACCACAACTCTATGAGGTAAATTGTATCTGTATCCTTATTTACAAATAAGGAAACTAAGGTCAAGGGGGAAAGGCACAGAAGAACACTACCAGTCACTTATGCCTAATGTCACACAACCAATGTCACACTACCAGTCACTTTTGCCTAATGTCACACAACCTTTGACCAGCTGAAGGTCAAAAATGCCCAAATCTCAGACTGTCTGTTCCAAGGCCTTGCTCCTAGTCCGTGTGCCCTGTGGCCTCCCTTTTGCTTCTTATTTCCTTAGAGGATTCACACTAAATATATCTAAGGGACTAGGTCTAAATATTTCCATTTCATAGATGGAGAAGTTGGGGCTGAAAGAGAAGCTGACACCACACAAGTACCTTTGCCAGAGGTCAGAACTGAGGGCCTTTCCCTTCCCCATATCTCTGCAGGTGCCAATCAATACAAGTATGGCAAGAACCGAGCCGAGGAGGATGCCCGGAGGTACTTGGTAGAAAAAGAGAAGCTGGAGAAAGAGAAAGAGACGATTCGGACAGAGCTGATAGCACTGAGACAGGAGAAGAGGGAACTGAAGGAAGCCATTCGGAGCAGCCCAGGTACCTATGTGGGTGTGGTCCTGAGCACCTATGGGTGGCCAGCTCATCCTTGGGTACAGTAAAGGGAGGTCTCTTGCACAAGTCACCTGGTTTCTTACCCAAGAGAAGTGGGCTTCTCCTCCCCTCCTCCTTCTCCTCCTCCTCCTCTTCTTCTCCTCTTCATCATTATCATCATCATTCCTCCCAATTAAAGAAAGTGCCATCAATTTAATAACTTGTTTTGGAGGATGAAAAAGCATCACAATAATGTATACACTTAATGTAGTAAGAAGCAACCTGATTTTAGAAATATGAAGCACAGAAGTGTGCCTTAGAATCAAGGAAATAAGAGATGTCATTTTGAACCGCACCTTCATTCATTCACAGATATATGTGAGACATTGGTCCTAGTGCAGGGAATAATGGACATGACACTTTCCCAGGATCCTCTTCTGAAACCCAGGGACCTCAGCAGGCCCTGCCTGCTTTGGGCTTCTCCACACCCTATTTTCTGCTGTGTTTCCTTTGCATTCTCTCTAACTGTAGTTTGACACACTTTAAGCCTAAGGTTTCTTCACATGCTGGAGGGAGCAGAAGTCCTGTTTCTATATAACATGTCCACAAACATGTAGCCCTATGAGAATCTGGTGGACCTATGGACGCTTTCCTAAGAAGAAACACCACAGTTCACAATGCTGCAAAAAAAAGTTCAGGAGCTCATGTGGCTGCCTGTGGAGCCTATCCATAGATTGCCTAAGACTCCATGAACCTCAGATTAAGAACTTCTGGTTTAAAGGAGAAGACTTGTTCTGTGTGGCCAAGAACCAGAATCAATAGGAGGAAGGCACAGGAAGGCAGTTTGGTTTCCATATAAAGAATTTTCTGAGAGTCAGAACCAGGATTTGGAGCAAGTTGACTCTCCTTGTCCTGCTCAATTTTTTCCCCTATGGCACTACCACTGTGTAACATATCAGATTATTTATTATATTTATTATTTATTGTTTGCCACAGACACACAAATATAAGCACCATAAGGGCAAGGATCTTTGCCTGCTTTGTTCACTGATATATCTAGGGCCAAGGACAATGCCTGATACATGGTAAGCATTTTTAAAAAAAATTTTTTTTTAATTTTTGCATTAAAATTTTTTTTTAAATTTTGCACCATGCATTAAATACATGGTGAATGGTGAATATAAAGAGTTCAACATTACTGGAAAACCCTCCGGCACAGCCTCCCTCAGGGCAAAGAATGGAACTGATTTTTAAACCTGGTAAGACCCAACACAGCACTTGGCATGAGAAAGGTACTAATATAGGTTTGTTAGATTAAATCAAAAAAGTGGGCTGGGTGCCGTGGTTCATGCCTGTAATCCTGGCACTTTGGGAAGCCGAGGCAGGAGGCCTGTTTGAGTGCAGGAGTTCGACACCAGCCTGAGCAACATAATGAGACTTCATCTCTATTTTTCTAAAAGAAAGAAAATTTTTTAAAAATTTTTAAAGAAAATTTAAAAATAAAAATAAATTGAGGCTGGGTGCGGTGGCTCACGCCTGTAATCCCAGCACTTTGGGAGGCTGAGGTGGGCAGATCACAAGGTCAGGAGATCGAGACCATCCTGGCTAACACGGTGAAACCCCGTCTCTATTAAAAATACAAAACATTAGCCGGGTGTGGCGGCGGGTGCCTGTAGTCCCAGCTACTCAGGAGGCTGAGGCAGGAGAATGGCATAAACCCAGGAGGCAGAGCTTGCAGTGAGCCAAGATCACGCCACTGCACTCCAGCCTGGGTGACAGAGCGAGACTCCGTCTCAAGAAAAAAAAAAAAAAATTGAATAAGCAGCAAATCCTACTGAAAACTCTGGTGTCTGTAAAGCCCTGCTATGACACTTGTTTACAAGTAACAGAAACCAAAGCTAAACTGGCAGAGAAATGAAAGAAGATGTAATTGGAAAATTGAGCGATCTGGTGTAGTGGGGTCCAGGGACTTAAATGATGTCACCAGGAAGCTTATTTCTCACACTCATGCTTCTACCCTTCTCTCCTTTGGTTTCATTCTTCCCTTGTGATGCCACAATGGCTGCACAGTGCCAGCCCTCCCAGCCAACCCAAGCAGAGAGAGCTTCTCCTCCCAATGACCACCGCAGAGCCCTCTGGATTCACTCTGATTGGTCCGACTTTCATCCCTAATCCAATCACTGTCACCAGAAGATGAGTTGTGATTATGGGGCAGACCTAAGTTATGTGCCAAACCCTGGAACTAGAAGTAGAGTCAGCCCCACTCAAACTAAAGAGAATGGGGGTAGTGGGGCAGGTGCAGTGGCTCATGCCTGTAATCCCAGCACTTTGGGAGGCCAAGGCTGGTGGATTACTTGAGATCAGCAGTTTGAGACTAGCCTGGCCAACATGGCAAAACCCCATCTCTACTAAAAATACAAAAATTAGCTGGGTGTGCTGGCGTGTGCCTGTAGTCCCAGCTACTTGGGAGGCTGAGGCAGGAGGATCACTTGATCCCAGGAGGCGGAGGTTGCAGTGAGCTGAGATCACCCACTGCACTCCACCCTGGGCGACAGAGCGAGACTCCGTCTCAAAAAAAAAAGACAGAATGAGAGGGGGAAGGTGGTTTCCCAACGAAAACTCAGAGTGCTATTTCCAGGAGATGGTGAAATAGGAACCAGACATATGAAGAACATAATGAGACCTCATCTCATTATGGAGCTGGAATCCTAGTATGGAGCTGGAACCCCAAACCCAGAGTCCATCTCTTAACCAAGACTGGGGGCTGGAAGGGCCCTCTAGGAGGGGCAGACAAAGGCCTGAGGCCCTGCCAGATTCCCTGACATTTCAGGTCAGGTTCAGCTTTTTCTTATCAATGTCTCTTGATTCAGGAGCAAAATTAAAGGCTCTGGAAGAAGCCGTGGCCACCCTGGAAGCTCAGTGTCGGGCAAAGGAGGAGCGCCGGATTGACCTGGAGCTGAAGCTGGTGGCTGTGAAGGAGCGCTTGCAGCAGTCCCTGGCAGGAGGGCCAGCCCTGGGGCTCTCCGTGAGCAGCAAGCCCAAGAGTGGGGTGAGTCCAGGCCCTTCCATGCCAGGGGCAGCTACTCCTATGTCCCTCCACTCACTACAGATCTCTTCTTCATGATCATTCTTTGGAGGTAGGGGTTATGCCCACTTACAGACAAGAAAACTGAAGTCCAAAGAGGTGAAGGGCATGCCATGGGTGGCACAGCTAGGAAGAGGACTCTTGGAGCAATTTCTCTTGGTTTCTGGCCTGTTCTTGTCTCCACAACAGCAGCACCATTTGACTTTTTACCCTAAAGGTGATCTTAGAAATGGCCTTGGAGTTATTGATGATAATAGTAGCCAGCATACATTGAATAACAAACATGTGTGATCCATTACTATAGGCATCTTAACCTGTATTATCTCACACAATCTTCATGGCAGTCCTATGAGGTAGTTTAGGGGTTGACAGACAAGGAAGCTAAGGTTCAGAGATGTCGAATGACTTGCTCAAGGTCACTCCATGAAGTGGGAGACGGGATTCCAAACCCAGGAAGTCTAACTCCAGAGCCCTGCTCCAGAGCCCTCCAGGGCAACATGGCAAAACCCTGTCTCTACAAAAAATACAGCGGTCTCACATGCCCTCTCCTGAGATCTCCAGGGTACCAGGCCCTGTCCTCAGGGCTCTGCATCCATTATCTCTAATTCTCCCAGCAACTCTCTGAGGAAGATACGCTCACCTCCAATGGTGCTCTCTCAGAGAGAACTTCTCTGACCTCATCTACACCAGCGCTTCTCAACCCCAACACTACTGACATTTTGGACCAGTAATTCTTTCTTATAAGGGACTATTCTGTGCACCAGCAGGATGTTAGGGATGTTAAGGTCCTACCTAAGGATATCAAGTAGGATGTTAAGCAGCATCTCTAGCTTGTACTCACTGGTTGCCAGTAGCACCTCCCTTCCAGTGACAACCAAAATATCTCCAGAAATTGCCAGATGTCCCTCGGGAGAGCAAAAAACTGACCCTGGTTGGTCTAAATTACCAACAGCTGCCTCTATTATTCTTCCTCATAGCACTTAACCACAATTTGTGTGTATGTGTGTGTGTATATATATTTGTGTCCTTGCTTGTCCAATGTCTGTCTTCTCCACTAGATTGTATTTTTGTTAAGAATTGGACTACATCCATTTGTTTATCATTACATTCCAGACCCTTTACAGAAAAATAGTAGGAGTATAAGAAATATTTGTCAAATGAATAAATGTTTTGCCTGCTTTCGGGTGAGGAAATTGAGACTCAAAGAGATGAAATAACTTGTCTGTTAAGTATGACTTGTCAGGAGGCAATGTGTCATTATTATTGTTGTCCCAGGTCACATTTCCTGGTCACACCACACCTGATTGAGCCAGTGCTGTGTCTTACATCCCTACACTTCCTTTCCATGGGGTGTTTCCAACCTCATTGTATAGATGAAAAACATGACAGCCAAGGACAAAACAACTTCCCAGAGTCACAGAGGGCTGGTGGAGGAGCTAGCACTAGTTCATTCATCCCAGCTGCTTCCTCCCACCAGCATGACCTGATATTCCCATTCCAGAGCACTTCTCCCTGGGTTTTGGATCCTTTTAACATTCTTTGGAGATAAAGAGAAGCTTTCTCTAAATTCCTTGCAGGTTTAGCTGTTAAGATGTCACCCTTAAGGAGCTACATCTAGTAAGATATTAATACTAAGCAATTATCTGGAAAAATGTAAGGGGTAAAGTTAATTTCAAAAATGAGAAGGAATACAGGAGAGAGGTTAAAAGTCAGGCTGTGGGGCCAGGCATGGTAACTCATGCCTATAATCCCAGCACTTTGGGAGGCTGAGATGGGCAGATCACTTGAGGCCAGGAGTTCGAAACCAGCCTGGCCAACATGGTGAAACCCCATCTCTACTAAAAACGCAAAAATTAATTGGGCATGGTGGCACATGCCTGTCCCAGCTACTCCGGAGGCTGAGGCAAGAGAATCACTTGAACCTGGAAGGTGGACCTCCAGCCTTGGCAAGAGAGCAAGACTCTGTCTTACAAAAAAAAAAGAAAGAAAGGAAAGAAAGAAAGAAAGGGCTATGGGATTGGAATCCTGGTTCTCCCACTCACTAGCCACATGACCTTGCACAGTAATTTGACCTTCCCCATTTCCTCACCTATAAAATGGAATGACTAATAATAGTACCTACTTCATAGGCTTGTTGAAAAGCTAAAGGAGCTAATTCACACAATGCTTTGTACGTAGTGAGGTTCAGTAATTTTAGTTGTCATTATCGTTATCTGAAGGTCCTCAAGTATCTTCTCTCACCTTGTTCAATGCTGTCATGTTTGCCAGGTGCCTTTTATTTTAAAGTTCCTCATGCAGCCAGGCACAGTAGCTCACACCTGTAATCCCAGCACTTTGGGAGGCCAAGGTGGGTGGATTGCTTCAGCCCAGGAGTTTGAGACCAGCCTGGGCAACTTAGTGAAACCCCATCTCTACTAAAAATACAAAAATTAGCCAGGCCTGGTGGTACACACCTGTAATCCCAGCTACTCGAGAGGCTGAGGTATAAGAATCGCTTGAACCCAGGAGGCAGAGGTTGCAGTGAGCCAAGCTCGTGCCACTGCGCTCCCGCCTGGGTGACAGAGACTCTGTCTCAAAAATAAAAATAAAAATAATAAAGTGTCCTCATGCTTTTGAGGGCAGGCTGGGTGTGTAGGTAGCCATCACCAGATCTCACCTATATAATTATTTATTGCCATCAACAGGAAACTGCAAATAAACCCCAGAACAGCGTTCCAGAGCAACCTCTCCCTGTCAACTGTGTTTCTGAGCTGAGGAAGAGGAGCCCATCCATCGTAGCCTCCAACCAAGGAAGGGTGCTACAGAAAGCCAAGGTAGAGCCATAGTTCTGCTCCTCAAAAATCAGAGATCTGGTAGCCCCCTTTCTATGGAACTTCACCCAAAACCAAAAAATCAACTAGTGAGAAAGGTAGAGAATTGCCAATGCATTTATACAATGAAACTCATGAACCTTCCTCAGAAGGGGTAATCCTCAGATCTTATTCAGAACCTATTCACTCTTTGTTAACACATATTTCTAACAAGCTTAATCATCTGGTTTCTGAGCCTACAATGTGTTTTCAGACAGGACAGGTTCCATTTCATTGATGAGGTAACTGAAAATCGAGGACGATGGGACTTGCCCAGGGCTATGCAAGGTATCACTGCAAAAGCAAAGAAGCAAACCCACCTCTTCCAATTCTAAGTCCATGGCTCCCTCCAGGATGCTGGTCCACAGTCCCTTCTGTGTGACTCTTGGGGGTCAGCTGTGTTTCAGAACTTTTTGGATTTTATAAAGGTAATATGGTACCTACACTAACACATGATGAAAACCTCAATATGTCCTCAGGTGGTACCATGTAAGCAAACATGTTAATAATTCTACGGCAAGACATAGGAATATATATAGCACATGGAGTGAATAAAGATTATAAACAGTCATATCAGGTCAGGTCAAGTTTTGCCACCAAATGAGTCTATACCAAAACAATGGAGAAATATTTTGGTTTCACAGCTTTCTGGATTTCAGAATTGCAGATAAAAGTGTGGACCTGTCCTGGTCCATTTTTTGCTGCTTATAACAGAATACCTGAACCTGGATCATTTATAAAGAAACAGAATGTATTTCTTAAGAGTTTGGGAGGCCGAGAAGTCTCAGGTTGACGGGCCATATCTGGCAAGGGCCTTCTTGCTGATGGGGTCTCTCTGCAGTCTGGAGGCGGCCCAGGGCATCACAGGGTGAGGGGGCTGAACATGTTAGCTCAGGTCTCTCTTCCTCTTTTTATAAAGCCACCAGTTCCACTCCCATGATAACCCATTAATGCATTAACTCATTAATGCCTTTATCCATGAACGGATTAATCCATATTCATGAAGATAGAGCCCTCATGACCCAATCACCTCTTAAAGGCTGCACCTCTCAATACTGCCACATTAGGGATTAAATTTCAACATCAGTTTTGGAGGGACAGACATTCCAATCATAGCAGGACCTGAAAAACAAATGCCAGGCACATCAGATATGCTCAGGAAGCCTTTCTAGACCTGTCTGGCAGCAGCACAGAATGTCTGAAAAACTGGTAGGAGATGAGACTGGAAAGACAGTTTGATATAGAAGGACCTAAATTCCAAGCTAAGAAATGTGGAGACTGATGAGTTTTCAAGGAACAATCTCTTTTTTAAATATGAAAATATAAAATTAATCTTTATTAATTTAAAATAAAAGGGGGAGAATGGAATGGTGGTTGCCAGAGGCTGAGGGCTGGGGGAACTGGGGAGATGTTGGTCAAAGGATACAAAGTTTCAGTTTTAAGAAGACTAAGTTCTGGGGATCTAATGTACAGAATCATGGCTACAGTTAACAATACCATATTGCATACTCGAAATTTGTTTTAAAAAGTCACTTTTTACTGTTCTCACCACACACACACACACAAATGATAACTAGGTGAGGTGAGATGTGTTAACTAAACTTGACTGTGATAATCATTTCACAATATGTCAAATCAAAAAAATAGTTCAAATTAGAAACATAATAAAAGGGGGAACACCCTATTTAAAGTAGTGGAAAACTCCAATTTCGTTCATTCAAGAAACACATATTAAGCACCTGCTAAATGCTTGACACTTCACTAAACACTCTTGAACATGTTCCTTCATTCCATCTTTGCAATAACCAAGTAAAGTGGGCATTCTTAGCCCCATTTCACAGCGGAGAAGACTGAAGTTTAAGTGGTAGATAAACCAGTGAACAAGACAGATGAGGTCCTGGTTTTCAAGGAACTTCCAAGCCAGTGAAAGGAGACAGATAATACATAAGTGCCCTGTTAATGTAAGAAGATAATTCCAGAAAGTGATACAACTACAAATATATACATATATATATACATATATATAGAAAGGGACAGAGACTGGGAGTAGGGTTGGAGCAATATACACAGTGGTCAGAGAGGGCCTCTCCTAGCAGTGACCCAAATGATGGGAAAGGAACATGAGAAGATCTAGAGCAGAAGCTTTCCAGCAAGAGGGGACAGCAGGTGCAAAAGCTCTCAAGCGTGCCTGATGGCCAGATGGAGGCCAGAGCAGCTGGAGCAAAGAGGGAAAGCGAGCGTGGAAACCATGAAGGGGGAAGAGGCAGGCAGTGCCTGATCATTTATGAGCTGAAATTGCATATCATATTAGAATACATTTAAAGGACAGCTGTTTATTAGCTTCATATCAACACTGCTGTGGGAATCGGCAACATTTTGTCTAGGATCACACCAGCACGGACTTTTAAAATGCATGGCTTGGCCAGGCACAGTGGCTCACACCTGTAATCCTAGCACTTTGGGTGGCTGAGGTGGGAGGATCCTTGAACCCAGGAGTTCGAGATCAGCCTGGGCAACATGGCGAAACCCTGTGTCTACAAAAACTACAAAAAAATTAGCCGGGTGTGGTGGCACATGCCTATAGTCCCAGCTACTCCATAGGCTGAGGTGGGAGGATCACTTGAGCCCAGTGGGAGGGGTGAGGCTACAGTGAGCCCTGATCACACCACTGCACTCCAGCCTAGATGACACTAAGTGAGACCCTGTCTCAAAAAAAGCATGGCTCTATGTCTAGGCTGGAGCTGCATCCTCAGGTTGGAATTGAATTTCAGAGCCTAAGAGGGAAGAGTCTTTATTCTTTCCTACAGTTAGTCATTAAACAAATATTTGTTGAAGACCTACCATATGCCAGTCTTGTTCTAGTTTCTGGTTACATAACAGGGAACCCAAAAAAGTCCCTGGTCTCATAGAGTTGGGAAGACAAGACTTTAAATACCACACATAAATAAAGAATGTGATGCCAGAGAAGATGAACGTCCCAAAGGGGCTTAAGCACAGTGATAGCAAAGACCCTTTCAAGAAGGTGACACATAGGCAGAGACCTGAATGGAGTGTGAGGGAGAAACCCATGCAGGGGGCTGAGGGAAGGACGAACCAGGCAGAGAGAAGAGCAAGTGTCAAGTCCCTGAAGTGGGAAAAAGCTTGGCATGTTTGAGGAACATCAAGAAGATCCAGGTGATTCCAGTGAAAGGAACAAAGAGTGAGCATTAGGAGATGAGATCAGAGAAGTAACCAGTGAGGGGCCAGATCATCTAGAGCAGCAGTCAGCAAACTTTTTCTGTAAAGGGCCAGAGAGTAAATAGTTTAGGCTTTCTGAACCATATGATCTGTTCCACAGCCTCTCAACTCTGCCATTGTCGCATGAAAATAGCCATGGACAATATGAAAATGATGATGAAAATGGCTGTGTCCCAATAAAGCTTTTTTTTTTTTTTTTTTTTGAGACGGAGTCTCGCTCTGTCACCCAGGCTGGAGTGCAGTGGTATGATCTTGGCTCACTGCAACCACTGCAACCTCCACCTCCCAGGTTCAAGCAATTCTCCTGCCTTAGCCTCCTGTGTAGCTGGGATTACAGGTGCACAACACCACACTCGGCTAATTTTTTTGTATTTTTAGTAGAGACGGGGGGTTTCACCATGTTGGTCAGGTTGGTCTCGAACTCCTGACCTCGTGATCCGCCCACCTCGGCCTCCCAAAGTGCTGGGATTACAGGCATGAGCCACGGCACCTAGCCCAATAAAACTTATTTACAGGCACTGAAATTTGAATTTCGTATCATTTTCATGTGTCATGAGATAGTCGTCTTCTTTTGATTTTTTTTTCCAAACATTTAGAAATAGGAGCTGATGGATTATATGAGAATGGACAATAGGCCAGACTTGGCCCACAGACTATCATTTACCAGCCTTTCATCTAAAGCCTTTCAGGCCACTGAGGAACCATGGATCTTGTTCTAACATAATGGATCTTGTTGTGACATGATGGAAGGTTTTGAGCAAAGGGTTTTGGATATAAATTACATTTTTTAAAGACCATTCAGGCAACTATGTTGAGAATGGATGAAGGGACAAGAGATACCAGCATGGAGAAGTGACTTACTCAGGGCCACAGAAAGAGAGAGAGGGGGTTAGAACCCAACGCAACCTGGCTAGTGGAGATCTTCATCTAACTAGGTGCCGTGAAATCTCTTTATCCATGTCACACTAGACCATTCAGCAAATTGATTTGTCTTCTCTTTCTGTGCTTCAGGAATGGGAAATGAAGAAGACCTAGGAAGAGGATGAGGATTTCATTCCAAAGGAAATACCAGCTTGTCCACCTGAGGAAGAAATGCTTTTTTCACAAGGAGACACCAAGAGAAGACTAGGAAGTAGCCCTCGTTCTCCAGGGCACCCAAAATACCAGCCTTTATTGTCTGCATGATTTTAGGGGATATGGGGAGGGAACAAGTAGAAGGGAAGAGGGAAATGGAGAGCATCCTTATGACTTTACAAAGGGTGGAAATGAGGATGGAGGGATACAGAAGTCTGCACAGCTGTAAAGGTTTTATAGATGTCTTTGCCTTCCCTTCTGAGGAAGGGAAGAAGTAATGAAAGCACATGTGAATAACCCCTTCCATCCCATTCACAGCATCGCACTCCCAGTCCTTAAGGCAAAGGGAGGCAGTGCTGAAGCATTGGTGGTGCAGTGTAAAGAGACAAGACCTGATCATCTGATCACACTTGTGCCAACTTGATTCATATTGGGCATTACTAACAACCCCTGGTCAAGGTAAATAGGTTGAACAATCAATAACATTATCCCTGCCTGCATACATGTGAACAAAAGCTATAGAGGACATGCAAATTCTACAGTCATTCCTCATATGCTTTAGACAGAGTGCAGCTACTGGAATCTTCCAGATTTCAGTGTTTTAAAATCAGAGCTCTGAATACACAAAAGGAAAGAGAAATGGAGCAGCTGACATATTTTAAGCTCACAGTGATACTCAGTGACAGGAGCACAGAGCTCTAATGTCCACAGGATGTTGTAGGGTAGGGTCTCTCAGTAAATCAAGTCCCTTACCTATGTTCTGACACTGAGGCTCTTGGAGCTATGGGTTAGAAATCCAGGAGGCAATATGTCTTTATTCTAATGAAGTCCTCATCTTGCACTCAGAGGCCCACTAGTTTGCCCTTCTATATATTAAGTAAAACCAAGAGAAATTAAGAGGATGATGGCTTCTTTCTGTCACATGGGTGCTAAACCTTTTACAAACACTTGATACTTCTATAGAGGGACCAAGGACCTCAAGTCCTGGGCAGTCTCCTTACTGTGCTACTCACTACTGTCTCAACACTGTAGTGAGTCTGTCTTTAACACATTTCCTTCCAATAAAGATAAAACCACTTAACTCTTAAGTGCCAGTGCTTAGCTCAAGAGGAAAGAAGGAAAATCCCAGAATAACCGTGGCCACTTTGCTATAGGGGTTACATATTTTAACCCACCTAAGGTTTTACAGACTTTAGCCTCACTCAAACTTTATCACCCTCTGAGGTAGCTGGAGACCACAGCAGGAAAAATAACCTGACCAGTAATCACCCACTGATTAGTGGCAGAGCGTAGGACTTAGGGGTTATAAGCCCAGATCCAGATAGGGCTAGGTTTGAGCCATGCCTCTAATGACCAGCTGGGTGACCTTGGGAAAGTCACTTGATTGCTCTGATTCTTGTTTTCCTTATCTGTGAAATGGGACTAACAATTGTTACTTTTCTCCCAAGATTGTTGGGAAGATTTAATAAGATAATATATAGTAGGCATCTTGCATAGTGTCTGAGAAATAAGAAATGCTCAGTCAATAGTGGCTCTCATTAGCCAGGCATGGTGGTACTCGCCTGTAGTCCCAGCTACTCAGGAGGCTGAGGCAGGAGGACCGCTTGAGCCCAGGAGTTTGAGACTGTAGTGCACTATGATCACGCCTGTGAATTGCCACTGCACTCCAGCCTAAGCAAATAGCAAGACCCCATCTATTAAAAAAAAAAAGTGGCTATTATTAGCTATATCAGAAATGTCTGACTCACAAGCCTGTGTTCTTTCCACTGAAGAGGAAATTACTTTTCAGTGTTCTTTTTTAAAACGTGGATCCTGAAATGTCACCTAACTCTCCAACTATGTCTTCAGTGTCTGTCATACTCTTTCTTATGCAGTTATTTTGGGGTTAAGTGTCTTTTCTCACCAACAGATGAACTCTCAGAGGAGTGGCTGGGGGTAATTAATAATTAACATTTATCAAGCACTCACCATATGTCAGGCACTGTGTCAGCCATGGCCAGCTTCACAGGCATGCAACCTGTGCAGTCACACAGGGCCCCATGCTTAGAAGGGCCCTGTTCTTGGTTTAATGCTCTACTATTGCCTTCTTAATCATATTTGAACAAGGAGTTCTGCTTTTCCTTTTGCCCTTTAAATTAGATAGCCAGTCCTGGTGCTAACTAACCACTTTTCTAGGTATTATCCCTTTAGTTTTCACTGAAACCCTGAGATAAGTTATATTGCCCTAGTTTTCACAGTTCAGGAAATGGAAGCTCACAGAGGTCAGGTAACTTGTCCAAGCTCCCATAGTTCTTATATTTACATGCTGGTGGAGCCAGCATGTGAATATAAGAAGTCTGACCCTAGAGCCTTATTCTTAATTTTAAAGCTCTATGTCATCCATATATCTCCCTCCCCTTGTACTGCAACATTCAGAAGCACACTAGCACTTAATAAATAGACGAATGAATGCATGGATGCAAGCAGCAACCTGGTGAACGTTAGGCAGCTAGGAGAAATGTAAGCAAAATGGCTAAGGCACAGATGCCACTTGTTCTTGGTTGTTAAAATGCCTTGTTTAGGCCAGGTATGGTGGCTCATGCCTGTAATCCCAGCACTTTGGGAGGCCGAAGCGGGTGGATCACTTGAGGTCAGGAGTTCAAGACCAGCCTGGCCAACATGGCAAAACCCCATCTCTATCAAAAATACAAAAGTTAGCTGGGCACGGTGGCACATGCCGGTAGTCCCAGCTACTTGGGAGGCTGAGGGAGGAGAATCACTTGAACCCGGGAGGTGGAGGTTGCAGTGAGCCGAGATCGCACCACTGCACTCCAGCCTGGGCAATAGCAAGACTCCATCTCAAAAAAAAAAAAATGCCTTATTTGGTTGTGTTTTTTCAAAGTGTAAGCCACAGGTCTAAGCCCAACACTGCCAAGTGTTCAGTCTGTCAGAATTCTACTGTCACTGTTTCCTTATTGCGGGATCTTGCATAGGTTTACCAACCTTTCTGAGCCTCAATTTTCTCATATGTAAAAGAGAATCATAATACCTCCCTAAACCATATCACCCTTTTCATAAGGCCAAAAAGAAAATATAAGTTATTGGTCATGACACATTTGAGTTGGACCTCGGATTAGATAAAAAGATGAAAATACTCCAGCTCTGTCCTCATGGAACTCAGAGACAAGCAGGAAAGAAAATGTGACCCAAATAACTACAGTACAAATAACCCATGTTATGACAAGATTCAGAGTGCTCAAGGAACACTTCCCATTCCCTTAAAAAAAAAAATTAAGGGACTATCCAGTAACTAAGCTGGCAACTCCAAGTGCCCTGGACCCCAGTCACCAATCCATCCTCTCAGTCTGTCAGCTTTCCATCCTAAATCTCTAAAATTCATCCATATCTTCCTATCTTCACTGACACTATCCAACTTAATTAAGTCATTCAACAAATACTTGAGTACCTACTATACTAGATGTCAGAAATCAGTGGTGAACAAGACAGACACCTCATGAAGCTCACATTCTAGTTGGAGGAAAAAACCTTAACAAGGAAGCAAAAGAAATAAAATACTAAGAAACTAAAAGGGTGCTGGACACAGTTACTTTACAGTGGTTAGGAAGGTCTCTCTCTGTTCTTCCAGGACAGAATATAGCCCCATCTTGCCTGGGCTACTGCAACATATTGCCTTCCCTACCTCTTTTCTTACACCTTGCAATCTGCTTCACACAGCAGTCAAAGTGACTCTTTAAACATGAAAGCCTTTGTCACATGTTCCCTGTCAATCTAAAATAATTTAAAAGGTCAGAATCTAGTTTAAAGAGAGTTTATTCAAGCACAAAGGTTGAGGATGGCCTGCCCAGGAAGCACAGAATGGAAAAATATGTCTGTCTTAAAAAAGATGGAAGTCAGTGTTCCAAAGTGTGAAAGGTTGGGTTCAGTGAGGTTTAACAGAATTTCAACATCTTTCTATGCAAGGCTTAATGCACAGTTACAATGATCTGAGTAGTTAAGGTGGTCTTTTTCCTTCAAGAAAGGTACATTTAACATCACATCCTGCAGATGTAACTGTCATGGGGTCAGTTCAGTTCAGGGCACCATCTAGTCTGAGTTAGGTGCAGGACAATAAAGGAGGCTGTCTATTACAAACATCAGTAATTGAGAGGGAAGAAATCTGGTCTCTGCTCTTTCCTAGTCATTACAGAACAAGAACAATGAGGAAGAGAATTAAGCTATAATTCTAAGAAGCAGAACTACAAAACATGCTACATGGACTCAGACCACAGCCACATCTCTCTCAAAGCTTCAAGTATTTGGGAGGTTCCAACAGCTTTTAGGTTTTATTTATTTTCACATTCCATTGCAATCAGAATCAGACTAAATTGCATTCAGCAAAAAAGTTTTTTGAAGCCGGGGGCGGTGGCTCATGCCTGTAATCCCAGCACTTTGGAAGGCTGAGGAAGGCAGATCACCTGAGGTCAGGAGTTCAAGCCCAGCCTAACCAACATGGTGAAACCCTGTCTCTACTAAAAATACAAAAATTAGCCGGGTGTAGTGGGCGCCTGTAATCCCAGCTACTGAGGAGGCTGAGGCAGGAGAATCACTTGAACCTGGGAGGCAGAGGTTGCAGTGAGCCGAGATCGTGCCACTGCACTCCAGCCTGGGTGACAGAGTGAGACTCCATCTCAAAAAAAATAATTTTGAACACCTACATTAGGGCACTGCTCAATGGGAATGAATAGACAATATCTCTGCCTTAAAAGAGCTTATATTTTAGTGAGAGGAAATGAGAAAATACACACTATTTAAAAAAACAATTCAGTCGATAAGAAGGGCATTAGAGAAAAAGACTGGGAGGAGTGATGGGCAATGGTTCAGGCTGCGATGTTTTAAACCGCTCACGTGATCTAGCCCTTCCTAACCACCAGTCCTGTTGCCCTCCCGCCTCAGTATATTTCAGTCCCTTACATGCAATACTCTTCTCTCTTTATTAGGCTTCTGCAGATGTTTCCCTCTGCCTGAACCCTTTCTTCAGCTCAGCTCAAATACCCCCTTCCTCTGGGAAAACTTTCCACAAGGCTAGATTTCTATTCTAGGCTTCCGCGACACCTGCCCCTCACCTTCAAACACCGCTCATATTCTGACTTTACATCCCGCTTGTATCTGTTTATCGCTCATAATATCAAGTAAGCTCCATGCGGGCACAGCTATGATCTGCTTTCTTTGCTGCCGACCCTGCGCCCAGCACGGAGACTGTAGTTACTACTAGGACCTCGCCTACCCGCGGAACACACTGAGAGCCGGAAGTGTTGCCTTAGCTCCGGACGACCGGATGGGGAACGGCGCGGCCCATCGGGCAACCGGAAGCATAGCGTTCCTGTCCGGAAGTCCTGAGAGGGAAACGCCCGCAAAGGCTGGTTTTTAAGCGGGAGCATCTCTTCACTCGCAGCAAGTGCGCGTGCGCTGCCTCTCAGCCCAAATTGGAAACATGGCCGTACGGTCGCTGTGGGCGGGCCGGCTGCGGGTGCAGCGCCTACTGGCCTGGAGTGCCGCGTGGGAGAGCAAGTAAGCATTGCAGGCGGGGAGTCGGGAGCGTGAGGACTCTGAGGGGCTAGCGAGCCAGCCGGGGTGGTTGTGGGCTGGAAGGCGAGAGCTATCTGAGCGTAGGCCAGGGGACCAAGCTTCTCGGCCTCTACGACCGTGCACTCACGGCCCCATTTTACAGACGGGGAAACTGAGGCCATCAGCCGTGCCTCTTTCTTAGGCCGAGGAAGGTAAGGAGATCCGAGGTCATGCATGGCCTGGAAGGTGAGAAGTCTCTTAAGCCCCCAAGGGAGGGATGTACCACTCTCCCGGCCTCTTCTCCCAGCCTGTGGTACCTGTGGGTAAATTTGGGTTCTCTCCCCTCACTCCGTGTGACCTAAGGCCAGTCCTTTCTCCGTTATCCGGGCACTGTTGTACCTGTCAGTAAAAGGAGGCCGCTGAACTTGTTTCTCCAAACGGCCATTGCATCAGCCTTCGGAAGACAAGTTCCATCGGCAGCTTTTATTGGTCGCTTACGAGGCCGACTGCAGAATTATGGGTGGTTCTTTTTATTATTACCCATTTAGTAGTTAAGGAAAGTGAGGTTTAGAAAAGTTGAGTAACTTCCAAACTTAAATATTTGGGAAGTGGTGGAACCCGGGCTGGAAACCAGTCAGGGCGTTGGAATCGGCGCTCTTATTTAATGAGCGATGTTAATTAATTTTCTCAGAGACTGTTGCCCCTACACTGTTTCTTCCTGGGATAGAGAATAAAAATAGTTGAGTACGAGGTAGGGTTGGACCTCTGAATAGTAAAGTAAGCTACGGGAGAATCTGGTAAATGTGCTTAACTACATATGTCACCCTTTTTACCTTAACACACCTGACCCAACATCCTACCCTAGCACCTAAGTGAGAGGTTGCATTCAGGGTTTCGGGACTTGGTTTTGCTTACCGTTCTCAAGTCTTTTTGGCAGCTTGTTGGTGATGTAAGGAAATGACCAGAAGAAAAATGGTTCCTTCTGGTAAGCTGTCTCCCTACTCCAGTTCTGAAGCAGTAGGAATTGAGATTGGCCACAACTCCCCAACCCTATTTCTTGGTCTAAGCTTTGGCCATTTTCCCTTTGAACTGGCCCTGAGAATTTTTTTTTTTTTTTTTTTTTTTTTTTTTTTTTTTTTTTTGAGACGGAGTCTCACTCTGTCGCCCAGGCTGGAGTGCAGTGGCACAATCTCGGCTCACTGCAAGCTCCGCCTCCCGGGTTCACGCCATTCTCCTGCCTCAGCCTCCCGAGTAGCTGGGACTACAGGCGCCCGCCACTACGCCCAGCTAATTTTTTGTATTTTTAGTAGAGACGGGGTTTCACCGTGGTCTCGATCTCCTGACCTCGTGATCCGCACGCCTCGGCCTCCCAAAGTGCTGGGATTACAGGCGTGAGCCACCGCGCCCGGCCCCTGAGAATATTTTGACCTGCTTTTTCAAGTGGATAAATGTGGTTTTTTTAGGGAGAAGATGTTTCACCGTGTGTAATTAGCCCCAGATCTACGGTGACCATATTTTCTGACCCCAAAATGTGGAACTGTCTATAAAATCACACACCGGATTATAATAATTGAATTTAAGATCAGCTTGGAAAGTAGGAGAGATAAAAGTCCTCTTGCTTACACCTTTAAACTAGCTATTTGCTCTGCCCAGGATGCTCTTCCCTTTTCTAAAGCTGACTCCTTTACCCTCTTTAAGCCTTTGCTCAGCTGTCTCCGTGAGGACCACTCTACAGTATATGCCAGTCCATAAAAATTGTTTTAAAGAACTCATGTACTCACAGATTGATTTTCAAGATAATTTTACTTACAGTCAAATTACGAAGATCCAGGAGTTGCAGTGGAAACTTCCTTGAACTGGGCCAGGTCAGGACTGCCACAGCCCAAGATTTGCTGTAAACTAGCCCCTAGTCTAAATTTATTTCTGTGTAAACTGAACTAAATGTCAAAACAGTTTAGCTGTACAAAATTCTAGATTACATAACTAGTTGAATGCAAAGATCTATTTTCACCTGTGTCTATTCACCGGCAGTAACATATAGTATTGTATAAGTATTTCATTGACTTGATCTTATTTATAGGTGGGAATTTCTTTCTCAGCACAGGTCTCCTAAAAGCCTTACAGGTTGTGGTGAGGAAGGCTTAGAATTCTAAGCCTTAAGGTCCCTTTACTGGACTTAATTTCCCTCATCTGTAAGTTAGAAGGTTGAACCAGAACTATATGACTTTTTGAATGCCCACTTCTGACAATGCTCCTCTGGTTCTGGGTACTAGCATTTGGTTTCCTTATGCTGACTTTTGTATACCCAGTTCTGGCTATTTCTGCTGCCTGGTTCTTAGTGTCCTGACCCAGCGGAATACCAACTATGTGATCTTGAGCAGGCCATTATGCCTTAAGCCTCTCAGCATCAGTTTTCTCATCTGTAAAATAGGGATAATGATAGGACTTATCTCACATATTGTTGTGAGAGGAAAAGATGACTCAAGTAAAACAGTGTCTGGTACATGGTAAGGACTTCGTAAGTGTTCATTTGTTACTATAACTGAAAACACTTTCTCCAGAGATTCCATCTGGGAAGATCTCTGGTCTCTAAACTTGGTTGTAATTTTGGCTTATGATGGCATTTCTTCATTATGTGCCACCTCCTTCCTGTTTTAGGGGATGGCCGCTTCCATTCAGCACTGCCACCCAGAGAACTGCTGGTGAGGACTGCCGTTCTGAGGACCCTCCTGATGAGCTTGGGCCCCCTCTTGCTGAACGAGCCTTAAGGGTAAAAGCTGTTAAACTGGAGAAAGAAGTCCAAGATTTAACAGTGAGTCAATTTTATATTTCTTCTTCATATCCTCTCTCTAGTTTAAATATCCACATAAAGTTTTTTATGTCAATTTTCAAAATGAAGTTTTCTTTAATTGGCTCTTTATCTGCTACCCCTCATCCCTCCTCCACTCCTTGCTAGGTATACTGGGCAGAAAAAAACTGTAGTAGTTGAAAAACACCACTGGCTAAAGATAGTCATCTCTTTTCGGTTTCCTGTTATGTCACAGCACTTAGATATCTGATGTTTCAGCAGATTAAAGGAGGTGTACAGTGCCTGGAATATAGTAGACAATAAATATTTGTTGAATGAGTGAGGTCACTGACCATTGTTCTTTGCTGATGAGACCATGTCTGGCATACTGGACCCAGTCCTGGGTTGATAGACACACTTAGAGGGAGATAGATAAACTAGAGGAATTCCAAAGCAAAACCACCTAGATAGAATGGTAAGGAGGCTGGAAAGCATTCCTTATGACAGCAATTGAAAGAACCACGAATTGTCTTAAGAATGAGAGAGAAAAGGACTAAAGAGGGTAAAATAACTGCCTCCAAATAGATGACATACTTTTTTTTTTTTTAAATGAGACGTAGTTTCACTCTTGTTGTCCAGGCTGGAGTACAATGGCATGATCTCAGCTCACTGCAACCTCTGCCTCCCAGGTTCAAGTGCTTCTTCTGCCTCAGCCTCCCGAATAGCTGGGATTACAGGTGCCTGACACCATGCCAGGCTGATTTTTGTATTTTTAGTAGAGACAGGGTTTTACCATGTTGGCCAGGCTGGTCTCAAACTCCTGACCTCAAGTGATTCGCCCATCTCAGCCTCCCAAAGTGCTGGGATTACAGGCGTGAGCCACCGTGCCCTGCCTAGATGACATACTTTTAAAACTTATTCTCAGTTATCCTTAAGTTCAAGTCAATGAAAGGAAGTTGGAGGTTGGCAGTGTTGGCTGAATGTGAAAAAGAAAGCTTTTCCTCAAGATAATGAACTTGAAACCGTTAGGAGTTTGAACTGTCAGGCTAAATGACTACCTAGCAGTGCTGCTAAAGAGTGGGTTTCTGCGTTGACTGGGGATTTGGAGTAGCTGATCTAAGATTTCTGTAACTCCTAGTTTGTTTTATAAAAACCTATCAAAAGGGTGAAATTTGTAAAGTAAGCAAAAACATTCTCTTCCACCAATAAGTATTTGTTTTCTCATCCTTTTGATTTTGCTTTTGATATTCAGGTGAGATACCAGAGAGCTATAGCTGATTGTGAAAACATAAGGAGGCGAACCCAGAGATGTGTGGAAGACGCCAAGATATTTGGTGAGAGATTTATTTACAATAAAAATGTCTTTGGTTGGGCACAGTGGCTTATGCCTGTAATCCCAGCACTTTGAGAGTCTAAGGCTGTCAGATCACATGAGATCAGGATTCAAGACCAGTCTGGCCAACATGACACCTCGTCTCTACTGAAAATACAAACTAGCTAGGCATGGTGGCAGGCGCCTGTAATCCCAGCTACTCTGGAGGCTGAGGCACGAGAATCACTTGAACCCAGGAGGCAGAGGTTGCAGTAAGCCAGGATCATGCCCCTACACTCCAGCCTGGTCAACAGAATGAGACTCAGTCTCAAAAAAAAAAATGAAAAATGTCTTTGACTTCAAAGTCAAAGACCTAGCCTGTTTTGACACAAGGCCTTAAGCCTGTCCCTGGATTAAAGTCAGATTAACAAAGTCCTTGACTCTCACCAGCCCCCACTGGAGCTTTGGTATCGTGTCATAGACCTCTCTAATGATGACTTTCTTGCCCTCATTTCTGTAAGAAAAATCAAGTTTTAGAATTGAGCGTAATGGGATTTCTCAACAACTGAATTTACTTTTGTCTTGTAACAGTTCGTATGACTCTTTTAAAAAATCAGACAAGTTTTGTGGTCCATCTCTAGCAACTTCATAGCCAACTTACCTCATCTATGGCTGTGTCTTACTTTCGTGTTCCTATTTAGCCAGTCCTCAAGAATAAACCATTCATGACACCCCTTAGCATAGTGTTGTTGACTTTCTTTTTTTATTGTTAGTGCCCTTCTCGTGAAATATTAATGTCTTGTCCCTGTTGAGAATGTATGCCATAGCACAACTGGGACAGGCAGGAATTTTCAAAATGTACATAATACTACAAGCAAATAGCAACAAAAATTCATGTACATAAAAATAGTTGTTTTTAAAGAACAGGTTTAAGCCTGTTGTGTATAGTCTTACCTAGTTCTTGGGTTCTGTCTTTTCCATTTCCTAGTCAAGTTCCTAGTCATATATGCCTTCTGAGAGAGACACTGACTTGTCAGTTGGGTTGGGGTGGTAATCAGTGATGATCTCTGAGTCCTGTGTGGCAACCTTTCCACTTGCTGGACTACTCAGCATACTAGCCGTCTATCTAGGCCTTACCCAAACTCTATGCCCACGGGCAGAGTGATTTCCTCACAAACAATAAAAATAACTGGCTTCTCTGCAGGAATCCAGAGTTTCTGTAAGGACTTGGTGGAGGTGGCTGACATTTTGGAGAAGACTACAGAGTGCATTTCTGAAGAATCGGAGCCTGAGGACCAAAAGCTCACTCTGGAGAAGGTCTTCCGAGGGTTGTTGCTTTTAGAAGCAAAGCTGAAAAGTGTGTTTGCCAAGCATGGCCTGGAGAAACTGACACCCATTGGTGACAAATATGACCCCCATGAGCATGAACTCATCTGTCATGTGCCAGCTGGTGTTGGGGTGCAGCCTGGCACCGTGGCATTAGTAAGACAAGATGGCTACAAACTTCATGGCCGCACCATTAGGCTTGCCCGAGTGGAAGTGGCAGTGGAGTCTCAGAGAAGACTGTGAAGAGGCCATCAGGAACTGGATGTTCTCCCAGAGCGCAGTCACCTATGTTTCTTTTATTTATTAAACTAGGTTTGTATTGTACATGAGGTACTTCATGTGATATGTTTTGGATTTAGTCATATTGGCTTTATTTCTAAGATATTCTATTGATTTAATGTGACCTGTTTGGTCTCATCAGAAGTCTTACCATTGGGCATTTGAACAGTGTGACAGGTGTTCCAATGGCCTTTATCAAAACATGTTTAGGAAAATTGGTACTGTGATAAATTTGAATCCAAAATCCTTTTAACTATGGGTTTTCAACTACATGTTTCTTCCTAGCGGTCTCTATAACAGGAATTGTGTAGTATCTTGTATTTTGTGGAAAAAGGAGATGGTAGGGATTGGTTCAACATTTGGGTACTTAGAGGATAAAGCTTCGTGGTCGTATAAATTTAGATCATTTGGATTGATTTTTATACACATAGATTTTCAGGACTTTACCTTTTGTTTTGTTTTTTTCCTTTTAGCCATCTTTTGTTCTTGTAATCCCAACTAGATAGGCTTTATGCTCACATCATTGTCCCATACCCACCCCTTTCTCATCCCCATTTGCAGGGGCTAAAGGTCTAGATGAGACTTGGAAGGCAAGGAGCATCGAAATTTGAGATACCCAGGACCCTTTCAAGCAAGAATGGCCAAAAAGCCTTGTGCTGTCTTTGCTCTTCAAATTATTTTCAGCCTCCTTGTCATATAATCATTTCAGGCAAACTGAGGCAACACTAACAGCTAATGACCCAGATGGCTCTATTTGGGTAATTTACCTACAACTTATTCCACCAGCCTTTACTCCTCTGCCCTTTTGTCAATTTTACCTTATAATCCTTTATTAAATGATGGGAGGTGGTGATCAGGACAAAAGTGTTAGGTTCCCATGATTTCTCATTTCATTTATTAATAGTTAATGCTGAATTTTTTTTTAAGTTTCCTCTGGCTCTATTTATGTTACTTTTTGCGATAAGAACACTTAACATAAGTATTCTCTCCTCTTGGCAATTTTTTTTTTTTTTCCTGTGTTGCCCAGGCTGACCTCCAACTCCTGGGCCCAAGCAATCCTGCCTCAGCCTGCCAAGTAGCTAGGACTACAGGCGTTCACCACTGCGCCCGCAAAGTTTTTTTGTTGTTTTTTTTTTTAAGTTGGTACTCACAAATCACTACCTCTGTTATATTGACAAGCTCTATTTCCTATTCTTTGTATCTGTTAAGTCACATCTGTGTAAACATTGAGCTCACCTTTTATATATTAACCTCTAGAATTAATGGGCCTATGTGGTTTTTTTTCAGTCTTATAGCTGGTGTTCTGTAAAAGATTTGTCCAATAAACGACTTAATGAATGATACATCAGTCAGATTTTAGGAAGGCAGTCAATTATGGATATTTTAATGTTGGAAGAGGCCTTAATGATCAAATCTCACCCTTTCTGCTTCTGAAGTATGAAAATCTAGTCTTTTTAGGACTGGACACAAGGAAAATAATCTCTAAACTATTGACTAAATTCCAGTGAGAGTATGAATGAAGAACAACTAGATATTAATGTCAATCATTTAAGATTAATGGGCATGCAATTAAGTCTCCATTTAAGATTAATGGGCATGCAATGAAGTCTCCAGCAGACAATCAGATGTTGTTGGATGTCTAGATTATATAGGTTTAGGTTGAAGTTATAAAATAAAATAAAATTCATTTTCCACTGGAACTCTATGACATTCAGTGGAGTGGTGGAAAGTTAACCTCTTATACATTATAGATAATTCTAAGACAGCACACAAACTTATCAATAAAGCCATCTCCTTGTGGGCCTTACCATCTTCATCAGATTTAGACCCTTAAAAAACAAGTAAATATGCACTTTTAAAATGCAATCAAAAGACTGGTGGTTAAGCTTGTAAAACCAGAACATCTTTTGGCATTCCACTAAGTATATATTGTAAATTTAATGAACAATCAAGGTTCACAATAGGAAGTTGTCTTTTTTTGCCTTCCATTCTGTGAGATTTGACAGATGGTGACAATAAGAAAATGAGCTGATTGTAATTACTCTCTGTGTGTTTTTTTATTGCTAGCTATCATTACCAGTTAGAATTAACATTAATTACAATTAACAATAATTTTAGGTATGGAATGTTATGATTACCTAAAGAGATGTCTCTACCTAATGAGCTCAAGTGATCCTCCCACCTCAGCCTACCAAGTAGCCAGGACCACAGGCAAGTGCACCACCATGACTGGCTAGTTTTGTTTTTTGGTTTTTGGTTTTTGGTTTTTGGTTTTTTTTTTTTGGTTGGTTGGTTGTTTTTTACAGGCGGGGTCTCACTATATTGTCCAGGCTAGAAGAATTTTCTAATGGTCTATTACACCTCCCGTTTTGGCAAGTAAATTCAGAATAATTTTAGGTTCTTTTGTTATTCAGTAGTTTTGCAGACTTAAAAGTGTAAATTTAGAATTAGAAGATGAAGCTATAGTAGTAAGAATCTCAAGCTGAAGGGCTTTGGGGAGCCAAAGCAGCATATTAGAGCATAGGCTTGAACTTAAATCTCAGCTCAGTCACCTGCAGGACTTTAGGCACCAGTGATTTCACCCTTCTGAGCCTGTTTCTTTATTCGTAAAATGATTATAATAATTCTTTCACAGCGTTGTGAGGATTAAGTGAAATGTGTTAAATGCCTACTACAGTAGGTGCTCAGATATTTATTTTTATTTTTTTATTATGCACATTGTTTTTCCTGCCTTTTTATGGCTGTCTAAAGTCTAGGGAAAAGGGAAGACTGGTTAATGATGAGTAGAAAAAACTTGTAAGCTAATCATTCACTGACTTATTTTCCTTCCATTTTCTGGTTTTTAAAATTAGCCACACCACAGGAAACCCACATTTTTAGATGGAAAGAGCAAGAAAATTGTGTCAGTGCTCTTAGTTATTTTCATCTTAATGGTATAGTGAAAAGACATTGACTTGAGATGATACTAAGGAAGCTTTGGCTCACTCTCACTTGAAGAGGGGATCTTGGTGTTGTAGTACTTGGACTGTACAAATGTTTTACTGACTTTTCTTACTGCTGTAAAGGAATCAGGCAGTTGGGTATTGATATGTTATTTGGTGCTCTCATTCATGGCAAAGGATTTGATAAATAAAAGTTCTTTAAACACTAAAGCAAAATCAAATGAGCAAAACTAAGGATGAAATGTAATATTCATCAGAACAAGGATCACTGAGAAAAAATATTCAGAAACAACTTTAATAAAACCTGAATTGAAATAACTGCAGCTCTGGTGTTTAGAGTCTTTGTCTGCCTATTCGTATTGTATATGGAACATTATGGTCACTTCATGACTGCTGACCTGCCTTGTTGATGCTCTGGAGAGGTACCTTGAGATCTCATAGCAGCATAGCCAAGTGGATGCACTGTGGGCTTTCCCCACCCTGCCTCCGTGTTGAAGTCTTGTCTGTTTTATTCCTCCTTGACTTGCCTCTTTCTGATTGCTACATATTTCTTAGATCTGGATTCCTATTTCTGCCTTTTTTTTTTTTTTTTTTTTTTGAGATGGAGTTTTGCTCTTGTTGCCCAGGCTAGAGTGCAATGGCGCGATCTCAGCTCAGCGCAACCTCCGCCTCCCAGGTTCAAGCAATTCTCCTGCCTCAGCCTCCCGAGTAGCTGGGATTACAGGCACCTGCCACCACGCCTAATTTTTTGTATTTTGAGTAGAGACAGTTTCACCACGTTGGCCAGGCTGGTCTTGAACTCCTGACTTCAGGCGATCCACCTGCCTCGGCTTCCCAAAGTGCTGGGCTCACAGGCCTGAGCCACTGTTCCCAGCCCTATTTCTGCCTTCTTTTCTGGCATTGACTTGTTTTCTTGGGTTCGCCTTTTGGTTCTAGGTGTCTTATTTCCTTTGACTACTGCTGACTATTCTCCTAACCAGATTACAGACACTTGGCCTTGTTCTGACCTTCAGCTTCCCCATGTCCTTCCCACCTTGTGACTGCCTGGCCTTGTCTTTACCTCTGCTTCTCAGCTAGCTTCCATATACCTAGACTCCTGGCTGAATGGCCCTCTGTTGGGCCAGCCTTCCCTGGGATTTGGTCTTGCGTTTTCATTATCTTTCCAATACTGTCTGTACACTGTAGCTCCATAAACCATGTGTCCCATATTCCCAGTGCTAGTCAGTGAGTATATTCTTATTCCTATCCACTCAGATGTCCATGCTCTCAAGTTCACTGTAGTTTTAAAACATGGCTCCAGAATTTCTTGACACCTTTGTTGAGTAGGGCCCATGTCCATTCTTGAGTTTCCTTGGAGCTTTGTGATTGCTTGACCAATAGAATACAGTGGAAGTGACACTGCCATTTTCTGGACCCAGATCTTAAGAAACTGGTATCCCCACTTCCTGTCTTGGGATGCTCACCCCTGGAACCTTACCATCGTGCCAAGAGCAAACTGAAGTAGCCTGTGGAATGGAACTGAGGGCCCTGGTTGAGCTTTCAGCTGAGCCAGCACTGTCTTGCCAGCCAGTGAGCCATCTTGAAGGTGGATCCTCCCACACCCAGTGGAGCAGCCCCAAATGATACCACATGGAACAGATGAGCTGATCTCACTGAGTCCTGCCTGAGGTGTAGTGTGAGCAAAACAGATGACTGTTACTTTAAGCCACTACATTTTTTAATGGTTTGTTACACAACAGCAGATAAAATGATACAGTCACCCCACTGCATTCCCAGTCTGGCACCTTTGTGCCACAAGAATTGTGCCTACTTGCTTTTCCCTTATCAGCTCTTTCGAACCTCTCTTACAATGTTGATGAGCGCACACATTGTCAATGGGCTAGTAGGGTTGGAAGGGCTTCCTAACAGAAAAAAACAGCTCTAGATTTAAGAGTTACAAAGGACCCTAAAATTACAAGCAAAGTATAGTCAAGAAGATGAATTTGAACACTAACATGATTTACCCTACAAAAAAATGACAAGAATCAGAATAAGTTCATAAGAGAATTTGGCACATAGTGGTCAATGAGTGCTTGTTTTAAAAACTGTTTAAGGGAGTATCTTGAACCTTTGGAAATGAACTTAAAAGGTGTTGCATCCTGACACAAACATTGCCAAAAAAAAAAGTTTAAGATTATGACAAATGCATGATTATTCATCTACCAGTTTACTAGTAGTAATCCAGTTTGGCCCAAGTAAATTAAGTCTCAGTGCTGAGTTAGAACCCCAGCTATAAGCTCTTTCACCATTCTCTGAATCACTTCAGTTTTTTGTTTTTGTTTTTGTTTGAGTCAGAGTCTCGCTCTGTCACCCACGGTGGAGTGCAGTGGTACAATCTCGGCTCACTGCAACATGTGCCTCCCAGGTTCAAGCGATTCTCCTGCCCCAGCCTCCCGAGTAGCTGGGATTACAGGCGCACACCACCAAGCCCAGCTAATTTTTGCATTTTAGCAGAGATGAGGTTTCACCATGATGGCCGAGCTGGTCTCGAACTCCTGACCTCAAGTGATCTGCCCACCTCGGCCTCCCAAACTGCTGGGATTACAGGCATGAGCCACTGTGCCCGGCCCAGTTTCTTATTTTAGCCATAATCTCACTGAGTAAATATGGATTTCATTTATTTTTATATATTTATTTATTTTTAAAGACAGGGACTCTTGTCACTCAGGCTGGAGTGCAGTGGCACAATCATAGAACACTGTAACCTCAAACTACCGGTCTCAAGCCTCCCACCTCTGCCTCCTGAATAGCTAGGACTACAGGTGTGCACCACCACTCCTGGCGAATTTTTTTTTTTTAAGAGACGGGGTCTCAGAGTCTCATTATGTTGCCCAGGCTGGTCTCAAACTGCTGGCCTAAGCGATCCTCCCGCCTGACCTTCCAAAATGCTGGGATTACAGGCTTGAGCCACCCCCAGCCTCCGGATTTTCTTTATTCTGAAACTCATCCCTAACTTTATTTTCTGCCAGAGGAAGTCTGTTTTTCACAGCGTGATAAACTAGCAAGTCTGAGCTGCTGCTCTTGTCTTCTTAGAGGATGAAAATGGGAGTTTATCCCTCCTTTTCTCCTTTCTGAAAAGAGAGTAGATGAAACCTTCCCCCGCCTTTTGGTTTTTAGGAAGCAGAAAGCAGAGATATTAACTATATAAAAACTGCAAACACATAAATAACAGCAGTATAGAAAGCATAGGGCTTGTGTCAGCATATGAATGAGGTAGCGTCTTACCACCCTGGCCGCATGCTTGGTCAGCAATTTCCAGCACTTGCAGACACTGCAAAAGGCTTCCCTTATCTCATAAGATGGTTACAACCACCTAGAAAGGTGGAGCAGGATTCTTCGTCTGTGTTATAATAGAGGAAACAGACACAGAGAAGATACAGAGCTAATAACGCAGAGGCTGGACATAACCGAGGTCTTCAAAGCTTCACTTTGGTCTGTTTCATCCCTCTGCCGCAGCTGGGCCCTGGTCCTGATGCTGAGGACCCGAAGCGGGCACACCTGCGCCGGGCAAGAATGAACCCAGCCAATGAGGAGCCCGCATGCGGGGGGCGGGGCGGAACGGGGAAGCTGCCAATGAGAGAGCCTACCCCGAGAGAGATGGAGCTAATGAGGGCCTCGTGCTGGAGAGGGACGGCGGCTTGGCCAATGCGGAGCTGGGTCTGGCGCGGCAGGAAGGCGGGACTGCCAGTGGGGCGCCGGGGCGGGGCGGAGAGCCGAGCGCCAACCCGCTAGCGCCTGAATCCGGCGTGCTGCCCGCTCGCCGCCCGCCATGGCCCGCGCAGCCCCGCTGCTCGCCGCGTTGACCGCGCTCCTCGCCGCCGCCGCTGCTGGCGGAGATGCCCCGCCGGGCAAAATCGGTGCGGGAAGGACGCGGTGGGGTTCCCAGCTGGGGAGGGCCGGCGGGTAAAGGGTTCTCAGTTCTCAGCTAGGTGGGGTATAGGAGGGCGGCTGGGTGAGGGAGGGGTCCTCGGAAAAGGAGCTGGGTGGAGGAGAGGCGCCGAAGGGGACGCGGCAGGGAAGGTCCTGATGGGGCCGGGGCATGGCATGTGAAGAGGGCCACCTAGGACGGAAAAGAGGCCTGGGCAGGACTGGCCGCGGATCTCACCGGGAGGTCCAGGGTCGCTGAGCATCTGCCATGGTCCTGGCTGTTGGCTAGGCGCCCGGGTGACAGAGGACAGAGAGGCTGGGCGATGGCATTCACAGAGGTTGGTTGAGGGCTCTCTGTGTAGCAGACGTGGTGCTGTAGTTCCTGCTGGGGTAGAGCCCTCACAGTACAGGGAAGTCCGTGCTGAGCTGAGGAAGTACGGTGCATGCAGAGGAGGGGCGCTTCACCCTGTCTTTGCGGCCCTGGGAGGGCTTCCTGGAAGTAACATCTAAGCCAAACCACCCCCAGGTCGATAGGAGACAGTCCTGGCAGAGACAGAACACTAGGTCCGCTGGAGATTTGCTGACAGAACGGGGAACTTTTAACAACAGTCTTTTTGTTTATTGTGTGTGTGGTTTCCCCAATACTTTATTTTGAAAATGTTCAGATGTACAGCAAGAATTTTATAGTGGTCATCTGTATACCCACCACCTACATTCTGCCATTAACTGCTGCTATACTTGCTGTGTCACATAACTATCACGCACTGTTCTAGACATCCACGAATCCAGCCTACATTTTGATGCATCTCCAAATAAATTGCAGACATCAGGACACCTCACTAAATACGTCATCGTGCATATCATTGACTAGAGTGTCATATGTGTTTACAGTTGCTTTTTTTTTTCCTCCCTCAACAACTGTCATTTTAACTACATGACTCGTGAAGATTTTCAAGTCCCTCACACGTGATATTCCCACAGGCAGAGATCCTGGGCTTCGGGGTGGGAGGACAAAGACTCTATTCCGCTAGGCCACTCTCCATGCACCCCAGTTGGCAGGAGTGCCTGGAACATCTGATAGAAGCATCACAAACTTACAGGGTCCAGTGCAGTGCTAAAGCTTCTTGTGTAGCAGAACCACAGCCCAGGCCATACAGGGTTAAGAAGACTGAAGCATGCCAGAAACCAGTTTGAGACTGAGAGTTTAGTGCTTGCCAAGAAAAGAGAATCCTGAGGCTAGAGTAGCCAGAGAAGCCCTCATGGAGAAGGTGGAGTTTGAGCCAGGCATTGAAGGATGTGGAAGAGTTAGGCAGGCAGTATCCATGAGTGACCATGTGTTCTCTCTCTGTCCTTAGATCGTTTGAATACAGTGTGGCTAGGAGTAAGCAGAGTGTGCTGTGGGAATATGCAGGGCACTCCCCGTTTTCTTAGGAACAGGCAACAGGACAGGACATTTCTCACCATTGGGGAAGGAGCAGGACCTCCACCCAGCAGAATTGCTGCATTGTGGCAACATGGAGCTCTCTGCCTCCTTCCTCCCAGCTGGCCCTTCTGGCCCCATCCAAGAGTCATCCAGAGCAGGACACTTGGCAATGCCTCACTGCCCTTCAGCTTTCTAGATTTTCCTCAGCCCTCTGACGGGAGCCTCTGTTCATCCTTGGTGGTTTGGACTCTACCCACAACAAGAATGCGGATTCCTGTTAGGATGGCTTAATGCTTGTGCTTCTGCAGGACCAAATCTGAGAACCCCCAAGTGGCATCAGGACCCTCTAAACCCACCCATATAGTTCCATATGCTGCCCTTCTCATGCTGGTCTCTTTGCAGAGTGTGCGTGTCCTCTCACTGACAAAGCTGATTGTCCTCCAGCATCTTGCATGAAATCTTATTTCCCCAAGAAGGCTGTGTCCCCACACCCTCTGGGGCAGAATTCACTGCTTCCCCTTCAGGACTCCCTGGAACCCTGTTGCACTTCATCATGGGTTGTCGTTGCTAATTGCGCAGGAGTCTGTCTGCCCATTCCATGCTGGGGTCCTGGGGGACAGAAGCCTGTTTGATTTTTCTTTGTGCCCCAGGACATCTTACTGTAAATTAGAGAATTGGTGTCAGTTGTGTTAAATGAGCTGGTTCACAATGAAGTGGTGTCTTCTGCTTCCTGATCTTGGGCAGCTTCTAGGCCTTAATATCAATTTCTCTGGAAAAATGGGTAATTTGGGACTCTTTGCACATGGAGGGGATGGGAGCACACTGGTTAAAATAAAATCCAAAGCTGTCTTGGAAGTGGCTTTGTAAGTACTGTGAGAGGAAGTGGTTTATTCTTTCAACACAGAAAAAATACTTCATGAACTCTACTGTCCACCAGGATCTGGGGACATAGTGATCATGCACTCTCTCTCTGTCCTTAAATAACTTGACTACAGTACGGCTAAGCAGAGTGTGCTGTGGGAATATGCAGGAGGAACACCTGACTCACCTCAGGTGGGTCAGTCAAGCCAAGTTATAGGTGACATCTGAGGGCTGTTGAAGCCAGTGAGACACAGGGTGATGGCACTCCTATCAAAGGGAACAGCTCGGACAAAGGCCCAGGCATGAGAGAACAAAGCTATGTGCCCACAATAAGAGAAGCCTAGACAGACAAGAAGGTGGCATCTTGGGAGGGTAAAGCAGGAAATGGAATAAGTAAGCAGAGGCCAGATCATAGAGAACCTGGTGCTGTCTGAGGATTGCCTGTGACTTCTGGCAGGAACTGGTACTCTGTGGGTCCAAATGGGTCCAGTAAGGACAAATTACACCAGATTTATTTAATTTTCTTTTGGGGTAAGGCCTCTGGACTGTCTGATGAGAAGAGAGTGGTGTTTCAGATACATGGTGAGCAAAAATTATAGGTAGGGTGGTAGTCCAGTTCAGTAGCTTCATAGCTGGTTTATAGTTCTCTCACAGGACTGTTTAATGATTAGTGTCAGGTGAGGCACAGTGGCTAATGCCTGTAATTCCAGCACTTGGGGAGGCCAAGGCAGGAGGATCACTTGAGCTCAGGAGTTCAAGACCAGCCTGGGCAACATGGTGAAACCTCATCTCTACGAAAAATATGTCGGGCATGGTGGCATGTGCCTGTAGTCTCAGCTACTTGGGAGCCTGGGAGGTTTGCAGTGAGCCAATATCATGCCACTGCACTCCAGCCTGGGCAACAGAGCCAGATCCTGTTTGAAAAAAAACTGATTGATGTCTGTCCAGGCAGTGGTTTCCTAGCAGCACCTCCAAGCCCTGTCCCAGGAAACATTCTTATCAGTGACTTCGATGAGAATAGTGATGGCATGTAAACCAAGTTTACAAATAACAGGAAGGCAGGAGGTACAGTAAAGACAGTGTATGATAAGACCCAAAAAAGCTGAAACTTTGTAACAAGATTTCAAACTGGAATATAGTGTCCTGTAGGGTAATGAACAATCCATCATAGAGTACATTCCAGTCTCTTTTTTTTGAGATGGAGTTTTGCTCTTGTTTCCCAGGCTGGAGTGCAATGGCACGATCTCAGCTCACCACAACCTCCGCCTCCCAGGTTCAAGCGATTCTCCTGCCTCAGCCTCCTGAGTAGCTGGGATTGCAGGCATGCGCCACCACACCCAGCTAATTTTGTATTTTTAGTAGAGACAGGGTTTCACCATGTTTGTCAGGCTGGTCTCGAACTCCTGACTTCAGGTGATCTGCCCCCGCTAGGCCTCCCAAAGTGTTGTGATTACAGGCGTGAGCCACCGCGCCTGGCAGATACATTCCAGTCTTGACAAACACAGACATAAGGATGATTTAGGTGTCCGATAGTAGGTTGGACTAGACCAGGAGTTGGCATACTTTTTTCTGTAAATGGCCAGAGAGTAAATATTTTAGGCTTTTCAGGCCATGCAGTCTCTGTTGCAGCTACTCAACTCTGCCTAAAATGAAAACAGTCATAGACAATAATTGAAAGAAAGAGCATCATGGCTGTGTTTCAATAAAACTCTAGTTTGCAAAAACAGGCATCTTTCTGGATTTGGCCTGCAGGCTGTAGTTTGCCAATCCCTGGATTAAGGCCTGGTTTCCAAACACTGATCACTGAACAGAACTGGTCAGTAACTTTTAACAATTCATAGGGAAATAAGAAAGTTAGAAGCAAGGTAGTGAGTTTTATATAAAACTAAATTTATTCTCTTTAATTGGTCATCCTGACTTTCAGTATTCTTTGCTGGTCTTTTGCTGCAAAATACCTTTTTCTTTATGAAACGAAAGTATAGTAGGCAGCAGTTTTCAGGTTTGCCTTTGCTTATTAATAGCTCTACTGACAACTCAGTCCGCAGATTTCCTTTTGGAAATGTTATAAGCCTAGGAAATTTAAGCACCTGGGAACCACCAGCGCAGGAGGATACAAAGTGTGAACTACAGCCTCTCACTCTCATGTTCTGTCTCTCTTCTTCCCTACCTCCCGGGCCTGCTGACAGCGGTGGTTGGGGCTGGGATTGGGGGCTCTGCTGTGGCCCATTTTCTCCAGCAGCACTTTGGACCTCGGGTGCAGATCGACGTGTACGAGAAGGGAACCGTGGGTGGCCGCTTGGCCACCATCTCAGTCAACAAGCAGCACTATGAGAGCGGGGCTGCCTCCTTCCACTCCCTGAGCCTGCACATGCAGGACTTCGTCAAGCTGCTGGGTGAGTGGTCAGTCCTGGGGCTCCAGTGCCCAGCGCCCTGGGGCTGGTGACAGCACTGGGCCCTTCTCAGACTTCCCAGACCATCAAGGCCAGAAGGTCATGTGGCCCAATCTCATTTTACAGATGGAGCAACAGAAACAAGAGAGGGGAAGGAACTTGCCTGAGGTTACACAGTGAGTTAGTTGCAGAGCCGGGATTAGAACTCAGGTTTGACTCCTAGGCCAGTTTCTTTCCCTTTCAATTTGCTGCCTCTAAATAATCGTGATTATATCACCTTCCACATGCTAGTGCTTGCCAGGCACCTTCTGGGTGGTATGTAGGCATTACCTCAGCTCCCCTCTACCAACCTGCAAGATGAGTGTTATATCTCCTCTTAAGGCAACTGAGGCTCAGAAAATGTATAGATTTAAGCTAAAGCCATTACAGCGAGAGGTGGGATTCAAACCCAGCAGCATCTGTCCAATACACGTTCTGTTTGATGCAGAAACTCTGCTTCTCAGAAGTGATGCTACAGGTGGTCTTACAGATGTGCAAAGTAGCATAGATACCAAGTTATTCACTACAGCATTGTTTGTAATAGCAAAAGGCTGAAAGTATCCTAGCTGCCTATCCACTAGGACCTGGGGTTAAACAAATTATTGTATAACTACACAATAGGCTGTTCAGCAGTCAGAATGGGGAAGTCTTTATGCCCAGATACAGGGCAATCTCCAAGATACAGTGTATTGTTAAAGTGGAGAGCAGTGTGTGTAGTATGTGGGGGTGGGGAAGGAACAAGTCATAGCAGCTCTGTCTGTGTTTAGGAGTCCACTGCTCTGTCAAGTTGCAGAGTGCAGGATGGCTGTAAGGAGCTAGGATAACTTCCAAGTGATCTCAGTGCCCAAGGCCACCATCTCCAAACAAGCCCAGTGGCTGTCACCCCCTGGACATTCTGGGATAAAATCTGAATTTCCCTCACTTGTGGATCCTCCTGGGGAAAAAAAATGTAAAATGTTACATTATTTTCATTTTCATTTTTTTATTGACTTGGTAGTCCAAACATTTTCCCAGTGCATCTGTTTACTGTTTATTAACAAGCAGCACAAATGAACAAACCATAGCATTTGTGTTTCCTTTAATGGACCAGTCCATTTGCATCAAGAGGGCCCCAAGTCTTGGAGGGGACCTGAGGGGCTCCTCTTTGTCTCTGCAGGGCTGAGGCACCGGCGCGAGGTGGTGGGCAGGAGCGCCATCTTCGGCGGGGAGCACTTCATGCTGGAGGAGACTGACTGGTACCTGCTGAACCTCTTCCGCCTCTGGTGGCACTATGGCATCAGCTTCCTGAGGCTGCAGATGTGGGTGGAGGAGGTCATGGAGAAGTTCATGAGGTAGGGCTGGCAGAGCTGTGGGGATGGCGTTCCAGGGGAACCGAGAAGAGGTGGGGGAGGAACCAGCTTGCCTGTACTTTGTGAAAAAGGAAAAGGTCCTTGCTGAATTGAGCCAGCACAATTCAGTGCAGGCTCAGAGCAAGCCCCTGGCATGAGGAATGGCCGTATTTGGTCCAGTAATGGTCTCCCTAGTATTGTCACATTGACTCTCATTTTCTTACCCTCTACTACACTGATACTAATAAAAGCATGGGTTGCAAACTCAGTCGCTTAACAAGGGCTGAACTGGGATGCGAGTCAGTGAATCAGCAGGTGGAAGAGAGCAGAACAAGGCCCCCTCTGAAGGAGGCAGCCAGCCCTCCACCGCAGCCATCTGCAGCCAGCCGTGTACAATGCCCACCTCATGTGGCTAGATCTACTCACTTTTCAGAAGAAGCTGGAAATCCAGAGTCGTGTGTGAAATCTTTTCAGTTTTTCAACATTTGCAACCAATTCATCTTGTAAGCCAAATGAAACACTTCTGCAGGGCAGATGCAGCCTGTGGACCACTCATTTGCAAACTTTGTTGTCCTCATTTTTCCATCTAGAATAAACACCTTTCTTCACCACTCCTCCTATCCCTGGGCTCCAGCCCCCTCCCCATCACCTTTGGTCCCAGATGTGGAGGGCAAGTGGTCTGTTCCCTCCCTGTTCACCAAGCTGTCACTCCACCTTTCCCCAAAGTCCCTCCTGAAGGTGCTCCCTGCTTCCAGCCTAAGGCGCAGGGGCTGCTCCCCGGACCCCATCACTGTCTGCCTCCCTTCAGTGTCACTCAAGTGTGGCCTGTGCCCTCCTGCCCTGGTTCCTGGCACTTCTCCACTCCCTTCCCATTCTATAACTCTGCTGTTTATAGCACTTCTTCCTTATATTCTCCAGATGTCACCCAAAGCTTATTTCCTTACCTCTCTTTCTGATATTTTTCTCCCTTATCAATTATATCCAGACCAATAATGTTGACTTCTACGTTTTATGGGAAATGACTTCTCCCTCTCAGCCCTAGTTTCCTCTTCACTTCCAGACCCACATTTCAACTTTCTGGACACCTCCATCTCGTGTCCTATTGATAACCAAACTCAACATGTTTACAAAAGAAGCCCTAGAATGGGCAACATTTCAAAGGCCAGCCAGTCAGGAAATCCATCGATGGTTCCAATCCATGCTAGTGAGATTGCATGAGTGATAGAGCGACAGGACATGAGCCTGGGGGTGAGTGGGAGCCCTGTCAGATGAAGCGAGAGGAGAGGACAGGCTGGACTGGCAGAGAAGGTGACAGTATCAGCATGAAGTTGCAGTGTGTCATCAGGTCCTAGAAGCTGTGGCAGAACCGACACTGTTGGAGAAGGAGATGTGTCAGCAGGGGTGGGCCGTAGCCCCAGCTGGGTGAAGAAAGGGTTATGAACTATGACCTCAGGCAGGGAGTGGCTCAGAGCAGTGATACAGTTGTTACTCAGCACAGCCGTGATGTGAAGCCAGGCCTAGAAGGATTCCATACCTTCACACTCCCTTTAGGTGGGACAGGCCCGCCACAGTCAGAGAACAGGTGCCAGGGAACATGACCAGCCTCTTCTGCCACCACTCCATGTAGAGGAAGTGATGGGTTCCTGGTGGGCCTCCCAGGCACTATAACCCAGGGGCAGGTGGTCAGGCAAAAAGCCTTCCTGCACAAGGACTCCAGCTCTATGTGTCTTCTAGGATCTATAAGTACCAGGCCCACGGCTATGCCTTCTCGGGTGTGGAGGAGCTGCTCTACTCACTGGGGGAGTCCACCTTTGTTAACATGACCCAGCACTCTGTGGCTGAGTCCCTGCTGCAGGTGGGCGTCACGCAGCGCTTTATTGATGATGTCGTTTCTGCTGTCCTGCGGGCCAGCTATGGCCAGTCAGCAGCGATGCCCGCCTTTGCAGGTAAGCGTCCAACCCTTGGCCTGCCCACCTGCCCCTCCTCCACCCAAGGTGCTCAGAATGGGCTGGGGGTCCCCATAATAACCTCACTTTTATCCAGCTCATTGCAGTCACATAGGCACTCTGCTGCCCCATCCTGCCTGATTCTGGGACTGGCCATGAGTTGGCAGGAGATAGTATCACCCCACTTCACAGACAGTGAAAGCAAGGCTCAGATCACAGGTCCAGTGTGTTTCTACCACTCCCAATTGCTTCATAATCCCTTGCATGTGTGTAAATGTTAGAGCTGAGATAATGCTCTGCTCTCTACACTTTGGTTTCAAGAACTGCCCTGTTGAGGCCTTTGAGCCACTGTGAGAGCACCTCCTCTTCCCAGCTCTTCACGGGAGTGGCTGGGCCTGTGTGTAGCTCACTGTCTGCTAGCACAGACCACAGGAGTGGAGAATGTAGGCTTCACAAGAGCAGGAATCCTTGTCTATTGTTCCCTGATACATTGCAAACACAGAACAGTGCCTAAGTCATACTAGGCACTGGGTATATTTTTGTTAAATAAATGAATGCAAAGGTTTACAATAACAAGCACCTCCCTCGTACCCTCGATACTGTTCATCTGGCTCTGCACATGCTGGCTCCTTCGCAGCCTTCAGGCCCTGCCTCAGTGTCCCCTCAGTGTTCCTTGCTCACTCTTTCAGTATCTTGTGTGTCTCCTTCATAGCATTTTTGTGTAGAGATATATAGAATTCACATACCATATAATTCGCCCATTTAAATTGCACAATTCAGTGGTTTTTAGCACATTCGGAGTTCTAAAACCATCACCACAATCAATTTTAGGACATTTTTATCACCCCAGAAAGAAACCCCCTTGCCCTTTAGCCCTCACCTCCCCAACACCCCCCGGCCTCCCAGCCCTGGGCAGCTACAGATCTGCTTTCTGTTTCTGTGGATTTGCCTAGTCTGGGCATTCTGCATAAATAGACCTCACAATATGTGGTCTCTGGGAGCTGGCTCTTTCGTTGAGCACAGTGTCTTCCCCCCATAGCATTGTGCACTTTGTTGTACTTACTTGTATGTTTGCCATCTCCCCATGCCCATGGTTGGGAGAGTTTTGCTCTGGCAGGGAGGCCCAGTCGAATAGTACTGGACTCCCCAGCCCTCCTGCCCCACGGCCCTGACAACCTATCAGCACCCACTTCCCGCTTTGCCCAGGAGCCATGTCACTAGCCGGGGCCCAAGGCAGCCTGTGGTCTGTGGAAGGAGGCAATAAGCTGGTTTGTTCCGGTTTGCTGAAGCTCACCAAGGCCAATGTGATCCATGCCACAGTGACCTCTGTGACCCTGCACAGCACAGGTGAGTAGACAGGGCGGGAGTGGGCAGGCATGCCATTCCCAGCCAGTGGACAGACACTTCTGCCTCCTTTGTACCTCAGCCCTGGTCTGTGATCCCCCTGGGGAGTATTTCCGAAAAAGCATTGAGAAGCCCCAACCCTGCCAGGTGACACTAGAGGGTGCTGTTTCCCCAATTCAGATGTCAGCCAGAAAGCTGAGACTTCCATCGACCCAGCCTTTTTCTGTTGACCGATGAGGACTTTGAATGACATCCTTGCCCACGCTCCCCCAACTGGCCAGCGGCGGAAGCAGAGCAGAAACTGAGTCTCCTGACTCCATGCCCCTTGCTTCTTCTGCAGCCGCATCAGCATGGAGAGGCCAGGACCCACCATTTAGACAGCCCTGCTGCACCCTGAGCACCAGGGTCTCGTTGTACCTCAATGCTGGACCCCAGTAGGGAGTTCAGTGGGTAGAAGCCAAGGGAAAGTTGACTTTTGTGCTCTTTTCTTTCCAGAGGGGAAAGCCCTGTACCAGGTGGCGTATGAGAATGAGGTAGGCAACAGCTCTGACTTCTATGACATCGTGGTCATCGCCACCCCCCTGCACCTGGACAACAGCAGCAGCAACTTAACCTTTGCAGGCTTCCACCCGCCCATTGATGACGTGCAGGGCTCTTTCCAGCCCACCGTCGTCTCCTTGGTCCACGGCTACCTCAACTCGTCCTACTTCGGTTTCCCAGACCCTAAGCTTTTCCCCTTTGCCAACATCCTTACCACAGATTTCCCCAGCTTCTTCTGCACTCTGGACAACATCTGCCCTGTCAACATCTCTGCCAGCTTCCGGCGAAAGCAGCCCCAGGAGGCAGCTGTTTGGCGAGTCCAGTCCCCCAAGCCCCTCTTTCGGACCCAGCTAAAGACCCTGTTCCGTTCCTATTACTCAGTGCAGACAGCTGAGTGGCAGGCCCATCCCCTCTATGGCTCCCGCCCCACGCTCCCGAGGTTTGCACTCCATGACCAGCTCTTCTACCTCAATGCCCTGGAGTGGGCGGCCAGCTCCGTGGAGGTGATGGCCGTGGCTGCCAAGAATGTGGCCTTGCTGGCTTACAACCGCTGGTACCAGGACCTAGACAAGATTGATCAAAAAGATTTGATGCACAAGGTCAAGACTGAACTGTGAGGGCTCTAGGGAGAGCCTGGGAACTTTCATCCCCCACTGAAGATGGATCATCCCACAGCAGCCCAGGACTGAATAAGCCATGCTCGCCCACCAGGCTTCTTTCTGACCCCTCATGTATCAAGCATCTCCAGGTGACCTACTGTCTGCCTATATTAAGGGTCCACACGGCGGCTGCTGCTTTTTTTTAAGGGGGAAAGTAAGAAAAGAGAAGGAAATCCAAGCCAGTATATTTGTTTTATTTATTTTTTTTAAGAAGAAAAAAGTTCATCTTCACAAGGTGCTTCAGACTTGGTTTCTTAGCTAGAAACCAGAAGACTACGGGAGGGAATATAAGGCAGAGAACTATGAGTCTTATTTTATTACTGTTTTTCACTACCTACTCCCACAATGGACAATCAATTGAGGCAACCTACAAGAAAACATTTACAACCAGATGGTTACAAATAAAGTAGAAGGGAAGATCAGAAAACCTAAGAAATGATCATAGCTCCTGGTTACTGTGGACTTGATGGATTTGAAGTACCTAGTTCAGAACTCCCTAGTCACCATCTCCAAGCCTGTCAACATCACTGCATATTGGAGGAGATGACTGTGGTAGGACCCAAGGAAGAGATGTGTGCCTGAATAGTCGTCACCATATCTCCAAGCTTCCTGGCAACCAGTGGGAAAAGAAACATGCGAGGCTGTAGGAAGAGGGAAGCTCTTCCTTGGCACCTAGAGGAATTAGCCATTCTCTTCCTTATGCAAAGATTGAGGAATGCAACAATATAAAGAAGAGAAGTCCCCAGATGGTAGAGAGCAGTCATATCTTACCCCTAGATGTTCATCCCAGCAGAAGAAAGAAGAAGGTGTTGGGGTAGGATTCTTCAGAGGTTAGCCTGGTACTTTCTCATCAGACACTAGCTTGAAGTAAGAGGAGAATTATGCTTTTCTTTGCTTTTTCTACAAACCCTTAAAAATCACTTGTTTTAAAAAGAAAGTAAAAGCCCTTTTCATTCCTTTTGGACCTGTTCTTTTCTGTAATGGAAGAACTAAGTCTTAGGTTCCCGGGGACCAACCACTACATTAGTATCTTCTGGGGAAGGGGAGGGAGCCTTGAGAAAGATGCAGATGCCGAAGCCCTACCAGCCTTGCTAAATCAGGCTTTAGGGAAAGGGCCTGGGTGCCCAGAGTAACAACACTGCCAAATGCATGGGCAAAATACCCTTCCAGTTGGTGGAGGCCCAAACTGGCTCTGAGGTGGTTTTTACTGTGCCAGGGTGATGGTAATGGCAGTGAAAGAAAGTACAAGTAGCATGCACTTATAGATAACTATAGAAATTATGAAACTGACACATCAGTAAGAAGGCTTTTTTTTTTTTTTTTAAGAGTTTCATTCTTGTTGCCCAGGCCATAGTGCAATGGTATGATCTTGGCTCACTGCAGTCTTCGCCTCCTGGGTTCAAGCAATTCTTGTGCCTCAGCCTCCCAAGTAGCCGGGATTACAGGCACCTGCCACCATGCCTGGCTAGTTTTTTGTATTTTTTGTAGAGATGGGGTTTCGCCATGTTGGCTGGGCTGGTCTCAAACTCCTAGCCCAGGTGGTCCACCCGCCTTGGCCTCCCAAAGTGCTGGGATTATAGATGTGAGCCACCGCCCCCAGCCAAGTAAGAAGGCTTTTGATGAAGTGGTAGGAAACCAAATTCAAATTGACTTAAGCAATAAAAAGTTTTTATTAGTTATCATGGCTTTAAAGTCCAGGCATAGAGCACTGTGCAGTCTTACAGTTCCATGATTTCTCTCATAGTCAAAGATGGCTGCCAACAGCTCCCAGGAAGAGAAGGTCTTCTCTCATAAGCACTGAACCAAATTTTGGACTCTGGGCCAGTTGGACCACCCCTGAACCAATTCCTGTGGTCAAGGGAATGCCACATGCTGATTGGCTTGGGATTCAGATACGAGACTAGTAACCATGATGCAGGCAGGGAGGGTGTGAGATTAAGCTGATTGGCTTAAAGCAGTCAGGTCCTATCCCTGGAGCAGAAGTGGCCTCATCCAGACTTCAAGGTCAAAGGGGGAAAGGGTATTGGAGAGAGAGCCACAATGTCAGCCACATGCAAATGGGGCTCTCAAGTCCAGTGAACTCGAAGTGTGTAATGGCATCTTTTCATGGTCTGTTTGAAATGAAGATGGCATGCGCTGTCATGGTGTAATTAATAATTGGTATTGGCCCAGCACTGGACAATACAAAACTTATCCCTGATAACCACCCCTCCCTTGCATCCCTACAGAGAATTTGTGCACAGAAGACACAAACCAAGGCAGTTACATTTGATCCTCAGTCCTTGTCTGGGCTTTGGCTCCATGCCCAAGCATGACTGCATTGGAACTGGCTATGTCCTTCAGAAACCTTCTTTACCTGGGTAGGCCCAAACAGCTCAGAACTAAAGCCAGCCAAAATGCCCACAATCCCTGCCTCCCCAAGCCCAAACCTGATTCCTTGGAGGCAGGGAGGAAAGGACAGATTCCAGAAATAAGAACCAACAGGACGCCTTTGCCCCAGGGCTCACCCCAACCTTCTCAGGCCTGGACAGAAGCCCCCAGCAGTTCACGGAGCCCTGGAAGAAGAGAGCATTTGCAAAGACAGCCAAACAAAACAGGTAAAGGGCCACACATCCTCAGTCCTGGATGCAGTGTAGTAGACGTTTAATACCCTTCATGGGAACTCTGCCTCCTGGAGCAGGTGACCCAAGCAAAATTTCAGGACTTTGGGGGATAAGGGGCAGCTGTAGAGGGTAGAATGGAGGTGGGTGATTGGCAGTGGGGGACCCGGGAGGTTGATAAGGAATTCTTTGTTCTGACCCACCTATGAAGGCATAATAGAGGGAGGCAGGAGGCAGATCTTGGGCTCCCCCTAGAGGCGTCTGTGCACTCATTCACCAAACACGGCGCCCCTATCCGCTCTGGACACTGCCAGGTGCTGGAGGTGCAGTGCTGAGCAAGGGATGAGGCCCCTGTCCCACGGAGTGCAAGCTTCTCGCTAGAGGAGGCAAACATGAAACACACTTAGACTCAGACCAAAGGAAGTTCCAGGGTGCTGTGTAGAGCCAGCTCTCCAAAGGACCTGAGCTCCCTGCTGCTGCCTTTAAACTGGGAGCCTGGGAAGAGCCAGCTGGGACTCGGAGCTACGCCAGTGGTCAGCCCAGCCACCAAGGCCAAGCTTCTAAGTCACAGAATGGTAAGCCTGGAAAAGACCCTAGAGGCCCCCAAATCCCATTTGTTCGTTTCACGGATGAGGAATCTAAAGCCCAAAAAGAGGAGAAGGCATCATCCGTATGAGACTAGCTGGTGTTTATGGAGCATCTGGGGGCTCCTGATGCTTGGGTAGAAGTAAGACACCCCCCTCCTACCACAATGAGGGGTTTCCCCACCAGCCCCTATGCCCCAGAGCACCTAGGGTCTCCCAGGACTACAAGCAACCCTCTTGCAGCTCAATTCTTCCCACACCCTCACCCCACAGAAAAGGCTTGGAAGCTGTGGGCCCTTCATGTGGGGCTGAAGTCTTAAGACCTGGAGAGCAGCCCCAAGGGTGGAGAAGCGGCTGCTGAAGGGATCAGCATGCGCTGGCACAGGAAGTCTGTTTTCCATGTGTCTGGAACCCAGCCGAAGCTTCCTGGGGTAATTTTAACCAGTATCCACTCTAGAACAATACCAAAAAAGGTAAGTTACTTACCATCCCAGGCAGGCACATACCTAATCACTGGCCTTTCATGAATTAGACCCTTAAGACATTCAGAGCTAAAGCTGCTTTAAGCACTAAAGTCAGAGCAGCCAAGCCACATATTCCTGTCCTGGGCGGTTGGCCCTTTTATTAAAGTTAACTCTAAAGTGCTAGCTATTCTTACCCTCAGAATATAGTCTTAGCCCCTCAGCTGTCTTGTGGGAGGGAAGGTATTTTTAGACCCTAGAACAGCTGATTTGGGATTTGCTGCAGGGGTTAGAGGGCCCAGGGGGAGGATTGAATTGCTAGGGGACAAAATGGGAAGTGGGGAGTTGCATCCAGGGGACTCTTGCATCAAGAGTCAGCATGGGCTTTAGGATATATTAGTCCACACTGCTGTTTTTGGCTTTTTTTTTTTTTTTTTTTTTTTGACAGTCTCACTCTGTCACCCAGGGTGGAGTGCAGTGGCACAGTCATGGCTAACTGCAGCCTTAACCTCCCTAGGCTCAAGTGATCCTTCCACCTCAGCCTCTCTAACACCTGGGATTACAGGCGCATGCCACCATGCTGGGCTATTTTTTGTATTTTGTTTGTAGAGATGAGGTTTTGCCATGTTTCTCAGCCTGGTCTCAAATTCCTGAGGCTCAAGAAATCCGCCTGCCTCAGCTTCCCGAAGTGCTGGTGTTATAGGAGTAAGCCAACACACTGCCATTTTTGATCAACAAAGTATCTTAATATAAGCCAGTGGTTCTCAAAGTGCAGAGCCCAGACCAGCAGCACCAGCATCACCTGGGAACAACTGTTTATATATTAGAAATGCAAGAAAAACACTGCAAAAAAATGCAAAGTATCAGCCTCCACCTGAATCAGAACCTCTAGATGTGGGGCCCCGCAAGCTGTTTTAACAATCCCTCCAGGAGATTCTGATGCTCACTAAAGTTTGAGAATCACTGATATCAGCAAACCATCTAATAAGATCCCCTTTTGGACAGGGCTGGAAGAAAGAATGATCTACATTGACACTTCTCAACTTACGAGTGTCTGTTCAAAACCAGGAATCCTCAGCTCAGAAAAAGTGCATACATAAAAATTTCAGGGATGCACTATCTCTGATGCACCTGCTCTTTGGCAACCTGGAGGCCTTTCTTTGGGTCTAAGTCTGATCTGCAGAGAATCTCAGAGCTGAAAAAGACTTTTTAGATCATCTACTCCAACCAGAGCAGGGGTCTGCTCCATAATACCTTTGAGAAGCCTGGCTTTAAGTTAACACTTTCAGAGATGGGGAGCTCCCCGCCTCAAAAGAGCTTGTTTCCAGTGACCCTTAAGTGGGTAGAGTTAACTCTTGTTAACTCCTATATTGGTTTATAGCAACCAAGCTACATTAACATGGCTGAAATATAGACTTATAAACCCAGATTAAAGGAAACACATGGGCCGGGTGTGGTGGCTCACACCTGTAATCCCAACACTTTGGGAGGCCGAGGTGGGCAGAAGTCTGATCTGCAGAGAGGCCCAGGAGTTGAAGATCAGCCTGGGCAACATGGTGAAACCCCATATCTACAAAAAATACAAAAATTAGCTTGGTGTAGTGGCACACACCTGTAATCCCAGCTACTTGAGTGGCTAAGGTGCGAGTATCACTTGAGCCTGGGGAGGCTGATGCTGCAGTAAGCTGTGACTGGGCCACTTCCACCCTGGGCGACAGAGTGAGACCCTGTCTCAAATAAAGGAAACACATGATGGCCCTAGGTGGTAGAGGTGAACACATTATTTTCTAATAGGCCACCTCAGTATTGGAGAACTCAGAGTGATGAAAAATCCTCCTTTATATTAATCTGAAATCTACCTCCCAGGAACCTCCTACCCTGACCCTGGTTTTGACTTCGAAGCCACAAAAAGCAAACCCAAAGTCTTGCTTTCAAAAGTCAGTGTTTACTTTTCATAGGCCTTTCTTGGCACAAAGGTGCAAGGAGGATGGTCTCGGGCTGCTGGCCTGGCTTCTGGGCCAGGTGATTCAGAAGATGCAGGTGCAGCCCACAGCGATGGTCTCCATGACTGCGCGCTGGCGGCAAGGCCCTGTGCGGGGCGGTGGCGGGCAGAGGCGGCGGCGCACAGGAACCTGGCTGAACACCGGCACGCTCACCATGCTGCGGTCCTCCTGCATGGTGAAGGGGTTCACACAGCCCAGACACAGGCACCGTGCCTCCGGCAGGTCCACGGGGATACGGCTGGGGTCGTGGTTGATGCTGCAGGGAGCAGAAGAAAGAGCAGAGCGGAAGGTGATCAGGAAAGGGCCAGTCAGCACCCATACTCCACACCCCTGCCTTTCCTAATCAGAGTTTTAATTTCCACAGCAAGACTGTGTTGGGCTGGAGGAAAGGCAGTAATCAACTCCATGTTCCACGTGAGGAAACTGAAGATCATGGAAGGCAAGTCGAGAGCCCCAAGGTTATCCAGCTTCAAGGTCACCAGTCACCCAGCTTCCTTCTTTCGTGCAGCCAGATGCCCATCCCAGTACTAGGTTGCGCTGTGGGGATTGTGGAGTAGCCCTCTACCACCTAGGGCCCTCATGTGTTTCCTTTATTTGAGACAGGGTCTCACTCTGTCACCCAGGGTGGAAGTGGCCCAGTCACAGCTTACTGCAGCATCAGCCTCCCCAGGCTCAAGTGATTAAGGCCTCCCTCTGCCTGCCCCACCCCCACTGTGTTTATATTGTTGGGAAACTTAATCCACGGAAATAAAGTGTGGATTATTTTTATTGATGCCTAATTTCCACTGGCAAAGAAGTCAGGAGGTCTGGGTTCTATTCTGACTTAATCTCCATTCATTCAACACTTACATGCTCACCACATGAGCAGTTCTGTCCTAGATTTTAGGTATTCATTGATGAACAAAGCAGACAAGTTCCCTCCTGGTGCTCTCAGGGAGCCTTGCATACAGGGACTTGCTTTGTGACCTCTCCTTTTCTGCACCTCGGTTTCCCCATCTGCTAAATACGGGACAAGGAAGTGGGTGAACTGGACCTGTGGACATGTAGAATTAGCATCACCTTATGCTTGGGAGCTTGCTAGAAATGCAGAACCTCCTAAATCTGAAGCTGCATTTTTATCAGATCCCTGAGTGATTCATTGGCACAATCAGATGTGAAAAGCTCCGTTCTGGAGGATCTTTACCGACCCTTCCAATGGTCACATTCTGGAGCTGCACTGTCCAATGCAGTAGCCACTAGCTTCATGTGTCAAATTAATCGGGCTGAGCATGGTGGCTTACGCCTGTAATCTCAGCACTTTGCGAGGCCAAGGCAGGTGGATTGCTTGAGCTTAGGAGTGTGAGACCAGCCTGGGCAACATAGTGAGATCCTGTCTCTACAAAAAATAAAAAAAAAATCAGCCAGGTATGCCTGTGGTCCCAGCTACTGGGAGGCTGAGGTGGAAAGATTGCTTGAGCCCAGGAGGCAGAGGCTGCAGTGAGCCGAGACCATGCCACTGTACTCCAGCCTGGGTAACAGAGTGAGACCCTGTCTCAAACAAAAAATAAAAAAATTAATCAAAGTTAATCCCTCAGTCACAGTAGCCACATGTCAAGTGCTCAGTAGCTGCATGAGGCTAGTGGCTACCATACTGGACTTTACATCATCACAGAAAGTTCTGGTGAACAGTGCTATTCTAGAGTCTCAGGGTATATGTCATGTGGCTGAAAAATCTCTGGCCTGGGTTTGTGAGTGAGGACCTCAGGGTCAGCCCTTTCCTTCATCTTTGGTCCTTACTATGGGTCAGGCACTGAGCAAGGAAGCGGAGCTACAACCAAGAGAGGACGCTGCTGCCATCGTTATCCAGGGCAATGGGTCTTGATTCCCAAATCGCAGCCTGCTGTGCGCCCTGATCACGTGGAGCTATAAGAAATAGCACTTCCTGGGCCTCACCGCTGGAGGTTTGGATTGGGCATGGGAATCCCTAGGTGATTCTGATGCCGGCACTGGGAAGGCCCAGGTCCAGCATAAGAGACAGACTGGAACACCGCATGGAAGCGCCACACCTGAGAAGGGCGTCCGAGGCCCACAGAGCAGAGGAAGTGACATCTGGGGAAAGCCTTGCAGGCACTTCCATGGAGACTTGAAGAACAATGAGGGCAGTGCTCTGCATGGATATCTCACTTAACAAGACTCTGAGGTACTACTGTTGCCTCCATTTACATTGAGGAAACTGAGGCCCAGAAAGGCTAATCCATTTGCCCAAAGCCTCACAGGCAAGTAAGAGGCAGAGCTAGGGTTCGAACCCAAGCACCCAGACCTCTGAATCTGAGATCTTAACCATTACAATGACTGGGGCACAGGAAAGGTCCCCACCCCCCAAAGACAGCTTGCCACCACTGCCCAGCCTACCTGTAGCCCCAGGGAGACAGGCTCCTCTTGTTGGACATCCACAGCTGCAAGTTGACCTCACACTTTCTCTGGGCCAGCTCTGAGCTGTTCCTCAGCTGGGCCACCATCTCCTCGATGTTCCTCTCATACTCCTCCATGCGGGCATACGGTTTCATCCGTGACACCAGGTCCAGTGGCACCTGGTGAGGGCCAGGGGCCAGGGGCCCAGGCCGCCCTTGCCCCTTCCTCTTGCTTTTGGGGCTCCTGGGCTGGCCCAGCCCCAGGAAGATGGAAATGGTAAGAAGAAACAGCTGGGGAGGAAAGCCACAGGTCAAAGGTGGGAGAGCCAAGTCTCTATCTGGGCCAAGACTTGGGGTCCATGGTCCTTTCCCATTGCTCTTAGGGGTCTCCCAGGCTCAGGTCTGACTCTGCCTACCATCCCCCAGCTCTCCCTCCTCAGATTACCCCCTGTTTCCTCTCTCTTGTGTGTTCCAGCCTCTGGTCTTCTCTCAGTCTTACACTCAGCATGCTCCTTCCTGCCACAGGGACTTTGCACAGCCTCTGCCTGCAGCATTCTGCCTCTTCACCTCCTGGACACCTTCCCACCCCTCGTGTCAGCTTTAGCATCGCTTTCTTAGGGATGCCTCTGGACTTTCTTGGGCTCTCATAACCCACACACCTCTTGCATGACTTCAATCTTAAAGTTTGTGTATACAATTCTTTTATGTGTCTGCCCCCAACTCAGCATGGACTCCGTGGGGGCACGTGTCAGTTTCCACACACTGTCATATCTCCCGTGTCTGCGTGATGCATTCAGTGAACACTCACTGAGTAAATGAATGGCTGTCCCCATCGCTGCCCTTCTGTCATTTATGTCTAAGAAGGAAGACAGTGAACAAGAAGACAAACACCCAAGTCTCCCTAGCGACAAGTCCAGGATGGGCCCATTCAGGGTGTGGCTGGAGAAGAGTGGGGCCTCCTGCTTAGCTGTGCTGGGACAATGGCCTGGGAAACTTTTCTGGGGAAGGGACATGTCAGGTGAGGCATGGCAGGCATGGGCTGAGGGAGTTGAAGTCTTGCAGGTGTGGGAGGGGTGGGTTGGGGGAAGATGAGAGAGGAGGTTTGAACTGGTTAAGAACTTTGCTGTGGCCGGGCGTGGTGGCTCACACCTGTAATGCCAGCACTTTGGGAGGCCGAGGCGGGCAGATCACAAAGTCAGGAGATCGAGACCATCCTGGCTAACACTGTGAAACCCCGTCTCTACTAAAAATACAAAAAAATTAGCCGGGTGTGGTGGCGGGTGCCTGTAGTCCCAGCTACTTGGGAGGCTGAGGCAGGAGAATGGCCTGAACCCGGGAGGCGGAGCTTGCAGTGAGCCGAGATCACACCACTGCACTCCAGCCTGGGCGACAGAGCGAGACTCCTCTCAAAAAAAAGAAAAAAGAACTTTGCTGAATCGAATGGAATGTTGATTAAGAGTGGGTGGGAGGAAGAGGGGATGAGATGAAGCTGGGGAGATGGGCAAGTTATGGGCTAAGGATGTCCTGTCCGCCTGCACTGCCCTTCTCCCCTGAGCCTTCCCTCTTCCAGCCATCCCCCAAGCCCTCCTCACACACACACACCCTCACCCATTGCCATCCACTTCTCCCTCCCAGCACCAGAGTATCAGGAAAGCCTTTGGCTCACAAGGAAGAGGACTCAGGCCCGGCAGAAGCCAGACTCCCCAGGAATCCAGAGAGAAGGGACAGTGCCTGCGTGTGAGGCAGAGCTCCCAGGATGGAGGCACCTCTGACTCCTCTTAAATTGAGATAGGCTCCATATGTTCCCTGTATGCCTCACCTCACAGCCCCACAGCCCCATGGCCCATGCCTGCTTTATCCAGGCTACCCAGCAAGTCTTGACCCTAGGAAACAAGTTTCAGCAGAGCCCCTCTTGGCAGAGGTATTTGCTGGCACAAAATCTGCAACAGAGATTCAAGTGCTAAATTCTTCCTTTTTGGTCCTAGATTCTAGTGCAGAAAAAATGTCTCCCTAACAATAGGCTCTCTCTTTAGAGTTTCTCACAGGGCATTCTTAAACTCTGGCTCTCCACTCGGAGAAACGTAGAATAGAATCAAAGTCCCCCTCCCTCACTCTCCAGATGGGACACTGAGAAACAGAAGGACTTGCCCAAGGTCACACAGCCAGGACCTCAGAAGCCGGGTCTCTTTGGAAAAACCCCGATAACTGAGTTTGCCGGGATCTCCCCAGACGCCTCTGGTCTGAAAAGGCTTCAGTGTGCCCCGGCTGAGCCCCGTTCAGGAGCCTGCACTGCTGGCCATGGCTACAGTGACCAGTCTCTGTTTCTTTCTAGTCCTGGGGGAGAAGACAGAGAAGTTGCCTCTGCAGATTCTAAACCAAACAGAGGCAGCCATTAATAAATAGGAAAGAAAAACTGACATATTTGGGCTCTTAAAAAGGGGTGGGGGTGCGGCAGGGAAGCGCCACGTACCAGGTTGTGAGGCCAGTCCATTCCGCCAAGCTGCAAGGTCAGCCTGCAGCTGCTGCCCGCCTGGAACCCCAGATGCCGCCGAGAGAATGGCAGCAACAGGATGGAGCGAAGCAATTATAGCTCAACTGGGGGCTGCTGGGGGAGTGAGTGGGTGGGCTCGTCATCAGCTGGGAGCCTTGGGCCCCCAGCTGGCTGAGCCTAGCGCAGTGGCAGGCGGTGAGGGGCGTGGGGGCAGGCCAGGAGCCGAGCTGAGGTGCCCAGGGGCTGTTGACCGAGGGACAATGCCCTGTGTGTCTGGTGGGGCTCTGGCCGGTGGCACCTCCGCCTGTGGCCTGCGGCCGGCCGCCCAGCCAGCACCCACAGGGCCAGCTAAGACAATCAGCTTCGTTTGCTTAGGGGATGGCAAGGGGTTGAGGGTGGAGGAGGGATGGGCCGTTGGTTGGTCAGGAGAGCAAATGTTCTCAAATTGTGCTGGCCAGGAGTGGGACACAGGCCCCATCTCCCAGGGAAACAGCCTCAGGCACTCCAGCCTCTGCCGGCCTCAGGTGAGTTCAGCAGCCCTAGGAGACCAAAGCCCCACCCCTCTAGATCACAGTCAAGGAAACTGAGGCTGGAGCCAGAAAGGGACTTGTCACTATTAACAGTGAGTTAGAGGTGTCAGAGCTGCTATTCTCACCCTGTCCCCATCCAGGGCTCTATCCACCACCCCATGTTGTTTTTCTTGGGAGACTTTCCGCACAATTTCAGCCTGCTGTGAACATATTTCTGAAGCTGTACGCCCTCACTCTGGCCAAGTTTCAGATCCATGAGGACTTACGGCTGATTGTCCTGGCCTTCCTGACACAGCACTCTCCCTCCTGGGGTGGTCTCCGCTCTCAGAGACTGTGTGGCTGCATGTGAGCTTTACTGTCAGCCTCAGTTCCCTCCTCCATAAAATGGTGGGTGTATCCAGAAGTAGACGGTGGCCTGGCCCATTCCCTCCTGAAATCTTTCTGAGCCTCAGTTCCCACATCTCTAGAATGGGAAGAATCATGGCACCCTCTTAAAACTGCTATAAGGAATAAAGGAAATCACCTATGTTAAATAGCTGGCAACAGTACCTGGCACATAGTAAGTGCTCAATAAACACTTAGCTATTTATTATAGAGATTATTATAAAATAATTGTATAATTATTATAAACATTAGTTGTTCTAATTAGCATTAGAGGTAGCATGGTTCTCATTTCTCTACTGACTCTCCCTTCAACCCCCTCAGGCCCACCCTCCTGGCTGCTGAGAGAGGTCTAGGCCTCCAAGATTCAGGCCACAAGTTTGTGAGGTCGGATGACCTCAGGGTCCAAAGGTCCTGGAATCACATGCTCAACTGACCACCTCCTCTGGCCAATGTCTCTCACCTCAGGTGAACAGCCCAGCCCAATGTAAGCGGGCACATCCACCCAGGGAGGCAGGAATGGCGGGAGGGAATGTGAGGAGGACAGAGGAGGGGCATTGTGAACAGATACTGAGGACGGCCCTGTCGTGCTGAGGGCCGGTCTTGGCCATTTACAGGAATCGTCCGAGGGGAAGAAGGCAGGGTGAGAGGCGCTCCTGAATGTCACAAGATTAATCTGTCCGGGGCAGGCTTCCACAGCATAACTGAGATGCTGGCTGGGGCTCGAGCATGAGAGATGCCACCATATTTGGTCAAATACTAGACAGGGCTCTATTCTACCGTTGGAAACTCCAGAGGGAGGGGTACTCTGAAAATACCTCCTCAGGCAACAAGGGCCCCGCCCCCACCGCAGGCTGTCCCAGCCCCAGCCCCACTGGCCGGGCGGCCTGGCTGTGTTCTGTGCTGGCTCTCTGCACACACTCTGCTGCTGCTAGCAGTGGGGTCCCACAGACATGCAACTGGGGTGACCCTCCCATATCCACAGAACAGTGGCAAACTGAAAGATGGATGCTGGGGTATGGGGGACCCCTGAAACCAACACATTCTCCTTACCTGCTGGAAATACGCACCCCTCACTTCTGCCTCCCCAAGCCAGGACTGACTTGTCAGCTTCCCCTGCTCCAGCTGCAGTGCTTGCTACTTTAGATTTCAGGGTCCCAGCCCCAGAGATGCTGAAGTAGCAGCGCAAAAATCTGCATCTTAGCACGAGGCCAGTTTGGGAGCTACACGGGTCCTCACCCATCATCTGGCCCCCTCCTCCCACCCATTTTACTACAAGGAGACTTGGATAAGGGAGGGTCCTACCCCAGCTCACACAGTGCGTTTGTGCCAGAGCTGGGAGCAGAACTCCGTCTCCTAAGTCATTCATTGTTCTTCCCTCAGACTTTATACAAACAGCTCTGGGCCAGGCTGGGCCTCCTTGCTGGTCTGGTGGAGACCAAAGAGGCAGGCCAGTCCTTGTGGGGGCCCCAGATCCTTCACAGTGGGGAGGGGAGCTTTGGGGTCCCCTGGCAGGTGCTGTGAGGAGTCAGGCATGGGCCCAGCAACAGTCATTGGGTTTCCCATTCCTGGACCATCTCAGACCAGGAGGGAGACCCCTTCTTCCAGTCTTGGTTTCTAGAAACCCCTGGAGGGTCATCTGTCCTTTTTGATGTCCTGAGTGTGAACCCAGGCAGGCCTGTGGGACCCAGCCCCAGGACTCAGTGCCAGGCCTGAGAGGGAGGTGCAGGAACTGGGCTTCCAGGGCTCCCACCCCACGAGTGAGGCTGGGGTCCTTGGGTCTTAACACGCAGAGGGTGGTCAGCATGCGTGAATGAAGGACTGGGCAGATGAGCTACAGGGGAAGGGGCAGTGGGTGGCCGCGGTCTCGCTCAGAGCCCTCTGCAGCAGGCCCCGCCAGGAGCAGTGCTGCACTCACCAGCAGATGGCGCCACTAGAAAGCCAGCCAACCCTGAAAAATGTACTGACCCTGAGGGAACTTGCACTCTGCCACCTCTTTCTCCAAGAGCGGCCCGGGACTGAGAATGAGGGGATGGGGCGAGTGGGTGGGGCCCTGCGCCTGTGCCTGGCTTCCAGAGTGACCCTATTGTTGATGAGGACCAGAGCCTAGGAGACATCAGAGCCGGCCAGGAATGACACAGGCGGTGTCGGGGTCACCGATTCCAGGTGTCGGGGTCACCGATTCCAGGGGTCGGGTGAGGGCTTCTGTCTGCTGAGTGAGTGATTGCCTTTACTTTGAGCACCTGCTGTGTGCCAGGCCTCAGGCATTTGGCACCTGGACACCTTAATTCACAGAAAATAACAGTAACAATAATAGCTGCTACTTAATATCCACTTACTGACTGCCAGGCCATAAGCTAAATGCTTCATGAAATCCTCCAAATAACACTGGGTGAGGTCCTAGTTTTATTCTGAATTACAGATGGGGAAACTGAGGCTCAGCGTGGTTAACCACTTGCCCAAAGTCACAGAAGATTCACAGCAAGTTTGTCTGACTCCTGCACACACTGCTCCCTGCGGTGGAGTAAGGAGAGGGGCGGCAGCCAGGGGTGGAGGGGGAATGTCCAGTTGGTCAGCTGGTCATTGAGCACGGTCTGTGATGGCCTCAGCCTTGACCCATGGCCTCAAACAACCTGAACCCGGTAGGTTCGGGTGCTCACTAAACCCACGCCCAAGCCCAAGTCATCAAGGGGATCCGAGAGCTCCCAGGGTGCTCGTGGGGCACCCAACAGCATTCCTGGTATGTGAACTAAAATATTGATACATTGAATCAAACTGACTATAATACAGGGAGGCCATGCTGGGACAGAGGAGGAGGCCAGAGCAGAGGGACCTGGAGAAGGAAGTGCAGCCGGGAGGGCAGAGGTCAGCCTCCACAGATGGGCTGGCCTGAGTTTCAGCCCTGCCCCTGCCCCTTCACTGCTGTGTCATCTTGGGAATGTTAATTGACTTCTCTGAGCCTTAGTTTCTTCTGCAAAGTGAAGATAATAATAACTTGGCTCTCAGTGGATTGTTGTGAGGATCAAATGAGATAATGCACGTTAAAGCGCTTAGCACAGTCCCTGGCAAAAGTAAGTACCCCATTAATGGTAGCTGCAACTGTCATTCCTACAGTTAAAATGAGTTTTGAGTTGGGCCTTCAAGAATGCTTCTAGTACGTTCCTGGGTAGGAAGGGCATTACGAAGTGGGGACAAGGCTAGAACCAGCAGAAGAATGCAAAGGTGCCTATTTCCAGCGGGCCCACCCTAGAGCGTTGGCAAGGCCAGGGGGACCTGAAGGATTTGGTCTAAGAACTTGCCCAAGTGGACCCAGTAAGGTCAGGGAAGGCGGGAAGAGGCTAGTCGGCGCCTTTGCTGGCTGCGACCAGGAGGGTGCAGCCCCCTAGGGAGGTCCTGGCTCTCCTGCCATGCTGCCCTCCCCTCCCTCCCTGGTAGGAGTCCTTCTCCCAGGCCCATATTTGCACAAATGCTTGCCTCGCTGCTCACTCCAGAGCCCCAGCCAAGAGGTGCTATTTTAAGATCCCTGGACGGGAACATTGTTGGTGGGAACAGCCCCAGCCAGCAAGCTCCCAGTTCTCAAAAAAGGGAAAGGCCTGGGTGAATGGGCGGCCTCTGGGGTGTGCAGAGGGGCTGCCACGTCGACATGACCCTCTGCCCAGGCCAGGTGCCAGCGTCTCCTCCCCACAGGGGGAAGTCAAAGAAATGTGAGTTGGGGTAGGACTCCAAGAGGTGGTCTTGTTCACTGGAGACTGGGTCGCCTAGGCCTCTCTTCTGCAGAGCATCCAGACTTGAAAACACCAAGTTTGTGTTTCTGGGTTGCAAATTGACTCTACACTGTACCAAGTCTCTTGTTAGCACTCACCACCCACAGGCCATCAGAGGTAGGGGATACCTCATCCAGCCCTTAGCAAAGCGGGAACGCTTTCTAAGTGCCTTTGCTGGGTATCATCTCTCTAGGAATATCATTTCTCTCTGAGGATGCACAGTCCATTTTTTAAAACTCTGGTTGTTGAAAATAATTATAATTATAAAAGCTTTCTTTTTTATTTTGCAGAAGCCCTCCTCCTGTGGGGAAAGCACGGCAGACTTCAGGCAATGGTGGTTGGACATTTGCCCTGCCCCTTATTATATGGTCATGTCCACCCCCCTCACTTCAGTGGGCCTCCGTTTCCTCACGGGGTTGTTAAAATGCATTAATCATTAAAATTATTGTTTGCCTGGCACATAATGGTACTTAATATTTGGCAAGTTCGGGCTGATATTTTGTAATTTGGTTTGGTTTTATATGTGCCTGATTTTGATGTATAGTGTGTTTGTGGGTGTATGTGCTATTTTTGCTTTTTGATTATGAAGAGCCAGTATAGATTAATATTTAAAGCACAGACGATGAACCAGAGTGCTCTGAACCTCATCCCTGCTATGTAGCAGCTAAGTCACCTTGGGCAAGTGACCTAACCTCCCTGAGCCTATGTCCTTGAAAGAGAGGTGGGGGGTTAACAAGATTATATGTGGCAAGTGCCTGGCACAGGGAATGGCCCTGCTATTATTTTGTTGTATGCATTGTCCTTAGTTCTTCCCAATCAGGTGGCACAGAGCAATTCTAGTCAGCTCAATTCTAGCACTTTCTAACTGCCAGAGAGTCCCAGAAATAAAATGGACTGCCCTGGAAAAGAGTGATCTCTCTATCAGCAGAGAGCAGAACACTAGCCAGGAGATTCTAGAAGAGGAAGGAGTGGCCCAGGTGTGTGTTGTGGGGTGGAGGGGTTGTTGAGCTTTTTTTTTTTTTTTTTGAGATGGAGTCTCGCTCTGTAGCCCAGGCTGGAGTGCAGTGGCATGATCTCAGCTCACTGCAGCCTCCGCCTCCCAGGTCCCTGTTAAGCAATTCTCCTGCCTTAACCTCCCAAGTAGCTAGGATTACAGGCATGCGCCACCATGCCCAGCTAATTTTTGTATTTTTATTAGAAACAGGGTTTCACCATGTTGGACAGGCTGGTCTTAAATTCCTGACCTAGAGTTCGACACCAGCCTGACCAACATGGAGAAACTCCGTCTCTACTAAAAATACAAAATTAGCCGGACGTGGTGGCGCATGCCTGTAATCCCAGCTACTCAGGAGGCTGAGGCAGGAGAATCGCTTGAACCTGGGAGGCAGAGGTTGCAGTGAGCCAAGATCGTGCCATTGCACTCTAGCCTGGGCAACAAGAATGAAACTCCATCTCAGAAAAAACAAAAAAAAATCCTGACCTCATGATCCGCCTCAGCCTCCCAAAGTGCTGGCATTACAGGCGTGAGCCACCGTACGCGGCCAGTTTTTGAGCTTTTAAAGTTCCCTTCTAGCCTTGAGAGGTCCAGATCTGATGTCCAAGGCCTCAGGCCCCCATGTGGGGCTGTCAGGCCTGCTGTAACTCACCCAGACCTGGGACAGGAAGGAGTGCGAGAGAGCCTGTGGGGGACGTGGAATAAACAGCCTGTCTCCAGGGCAGACAGAGGCGCCAGGCCCCCTGCCCACTGGAGTGTCCTCCCCTCAGTCCCGGGGGATGTTTATCCTCTGCTCAGAGTTTACAGGACGTCTGGATTCACAAGATCTGGAATTCTGACTTTTCCCCCAAAGCTGTCAGCGTCTCCTCTGGCTGGGTGGGTCTGGGTCTGTTTTGGGTGGAAGGCCCCAACCCTGCCCTCAGCAGAAGCAGGAAACGGGTACAGAACAAAAAAAGTCCTCTTCAGCCCCCCAGAGCCGCTCCTGGCAGAGGAAGAGGCCACATCTGTGGGGACGTGAGAAGAAAACGTCAACATCTCCCAGCAGCTGCGTAGGGAGAGGAGTCCTGGGGGCTCATGGGTGGCAGGGGCTCATGGGTGGGGCAGAAAGGACTTCTTTTGCAGGTTGGGTTCAAAGGCCTGCACCCCGAACATTAAGCTACAAACCGATGGTACTTATCAAAGTCTGCCTTGCATATTGGCCTCTGTTGTTGGGTCAGAGAGTGCTGTTTTTATTGTGGTTGTTTTGGTGTATTGTGTGAGTGCAAATTTGTGGGTGGTGTCTTGTATGTGTGTGTTTTGTTATTGTTTTAAGAGCCATCAGGTAGGAGCTGTTCACAGACAGCAAGCATGTCTTACTCACAGATGCGGCTCTCAGCACCTGGCTCAGGGAGCTTGGGGCTGGCTTGCGATTAGGGCAGGATTAGCAGAGGAACGTCCTGAGAGCTGTGCACAACACAACACTTAGAGCACAGGCAGCAACTCTGACACACATCACATCACCCTTGATGGCCGTAGCCAAGGCCTCTATCCTCATCCTCCTGACCCCTAGAAAACTCACAGGCGTGAATCTCCCCCTGGACTCCCTGCAGGAGCTTATCTCTGTGGCCTGAACTGTTAGGAGGCAATGTTGACAAGCTGCTTCTGGTGGAGGTTTAAATATCTTGCCTAGGATGTTCTATAAGTTTCTAGGAGCTGTGACCTTCAAGGAATTAGCCTATGGACGATGAAGGACCTTTGAGAGTTATTGAGGAGGGTTCATTCCAATTCATTTCACAAATATATATTGAACACCTACTATGTGCCAGGCACTGGGGATATAGTGGTGAACAACTAAAATAGTTCTTGTGTCACCAGGCTGGAGTGCACGGTGGTGCAATCTTGGCTCACTGCAACCTCTGCCTCCCGGGTTCAAGCGATTCTCATGCCTCAGCCTCCCAAGTAGCTGAGGTTACAGGCATGCACCACTATGCCTGGCTAATTTTTGAATTTTTAGTACAGATAGGGTTTCATCATGTTGGCCAGGCTGGTCTTGAACTCCTGAACTCAAGTGATCTACCCGCCTCAGCGTCCCAAAGTGCTGGGATTACAGACATGAGCCACTGTGCGTGGCCTATTCCTGAGCTTATGTTCTAATGCAGGATGAGGAATCTAACAGTATCGATATTTTAGGACCAGCCCACAGCTCAGGGGCTCTTGCTGGGCCCCTCTCCTCTCAGTCCTGTGCACCTCCTGCATGCATGGGAACTGCTGGATCTTCTGGGAAGCCCATGACCTCAGCCCTCGGGGCATGTGGAGGAAGGTACAATGTCTCCAGAATGTGAAATCTTGCCAAATTTCCATTGGAAGGTCAGTTCTCATAAATACTGTGAGGAAAGAGGAAGAAATGGCTAGTGTGGAATCTGACCATTTCCAAAGTCTGGTTCCCAGGAAAGAAGCCTCGGTAATTGCTCTAATGTGAGAAGGCAGCTTCAAGGTTTATGGCTGTGGGAGATGGAAGGTGTCCAGCCAAGGACCCACGCAGATGCTGATGACAATTGCGTGATGGTAAAAGGGTTACCCCTGAAGCACTCTACAATTTGAAAAACACTTTTAGCTCAGGCGCCGTGGCTTATGCCTGTCATTTCAACACTTTGAGAGGCCGAGGCAGGAGAATTGCTTGAGGTCAGGAGTTCAAGATGAGTTCTGGCAACATAGCGAGATCCTCGTCTCTACAAAAAAATAATTTAAAAATTAGCCAGGCGTGGTGGCATGCATCTGTAGTCCCAGCTACTCAGGAGGCTGAGAGGCGAGAGGATCACTTGATCCCAATAGGTCAAGGCTGCAGTGAGCCGAGATCACACCACAGCACTCCAGCCTGGGTGACAAAGCATGCCCCTGTCTCAAAAAAAAAAAAAAAAAAAAAGGAAAGAAAAAGAACACTTTTACATCCATGACTTTTATTTACTTGCTGGATCAACACGTGAATGTAAGTATTTTACAGAAGAAGAAATTGAGGCCATACAGTGAGGAGAAAAGGGACAGAGCTTGGGATGTAAGTTGGGCCCCTGAGGTCCCTTTAACCATCAGCTACCCTAACCTTTGCCCCAGCTTAGGGAAAGTGAATGAGCACTGGAACCAGCAGCAGTTAGAGGTGGGTGCCTGTCATTAGGCAGCAGACACAGAGCACCGAAGGATATCCAAGTTATTTCTGCCATGGTCAGCTGTGCTTTATGGACAAATCTACATTGGAGAGAAATGTGTCTGGTGAGAGGGCTCCATGCCAGAGGGATAAGTTTTCTGAGTCAGCTCTGGAGAGAATTCAGGGGTCAGGCTGACCCTGATCTTTCTCTCCCCAGCAGTGTGCTCTTAGAAAAACCTAGGATTGTTTGGCCCTTCAGTCTGGCCATCACATGGCTATGTTCATAAATTCTTGTCTTCCATATTGGGATTCCCTTGTATTCTATCCCATTATCTCAACCACAGAGCTAGCTCTGACCCTGGCATTCCAGAATCACCTACAAATCTTCTCATTTTTTAGTCAATTTCTTAGACTCAAGCTCAACAGGATCATCAGGATCATTGTGCTGGCTTCTCAGTGATACTATTGTATATGCTCCCCAGCCTTTTATTAGCGTTTTAAATGTCTGTCTCCCTGCTTCTTCCATCTGCTGACTGCAAACTGACTCTTTGCGAATATACAGAGCAAAACTGTTCCCTCAGCCCCAAGGCAAGCAGTATCGGTCAGTATAGGCCAAGTTGCACTGCAGTAACAAGCAACCCCCAAATCTAAGAGGCTCGACCCAGCAAAAGTGTCCTTATCCCTATGCTACATAGCCTGTGCAGGCTAGCAGGGCATGCTGCGCTTATCAGAATCATGCAGAGACATGGTGATGGAAACTTCATCACAACACTTGCTTCCACAAGTACAAAAACAGAGTCAGAGGTCTGTAGACAACAGATCTGCAGAGGTCAAAAATCAGGTTCTGGAGTCTCTGCCCCAGCCACATATTTCCTTTGAGCAAATTCATCTCCTTAATTGTCAGTTCCTCATCTGTTAAATGAGGACAATGAGAAAGTACTGACTTCACAGGTTTGCTATGAGGCTGAGAGGATGGGTGTAAGGCCATAACGTAAAGTCTAGTTCACAGGAAGAACTCAGTAAATGTCGGCTGATAGGAAGTTGGCAGAATATTCTGTTCACTTAATTGTGGCTACCATCTCCAGAGAGAACAACCCTGGTTCTTTCCACTGTTCCTTGCTTTAACCAGTTTAATTTCTTTGAAGAGTTAAGGAATTGTCTCTTCCTAATTAATTGTCAATGTCATATTATTTTTGATGCATTTTTATCCCATCAGAGAGATTCAAAGCTGAGGCAGAAAAAGGTCTATGTGTCTTGCTAACCCCAAACTAGATTTATCCAGTTCAACTTTCATTACCAAGTCTTTGTGAGAAGTCCAAAGAAGGAAGATCAAATTTGGAAAAGAAACTTTGCTTGATATAAAACTCAATGGCAGAGAGACAGAGAAATCAAACTGGAATGTCAGAATTGGAGGGGACTTTTGGAACAAGAGCCATCATCTCCTCTCTTTTACAGATGGGAAAACAGAAGTCCAGAGAGGAAAAGAGACTGATAGAGTGTCACACAGCAATTCAGTGTCAGAGTTGGGACCAGAATCTACTTCCTTTAATCCCAGTCATGGGGCTTTCCATGTACTACATAAGGGGACAACATTCTTCAGCACTGGGATGGGGAGGAGGGGATCTCCTGGAATTATAGCTTGTCCTCATTTCACAGAGTTGTACTCCAGCAGAGCTGTAAAGTTAAGAGTCCTATAAACATTACCTTATTAAGGCTTCTTAGAAACCCAAGGTCACAAATCCTCTGGATCATGGGACATGAGCTGAGCATCCAGTGAACAAACAGATGGTAATGTTACATTTTTCACTTCGTTAATGCAACCTGGCTTCTAATTATAGGATTTGTTTAACGGTCCTGGGTGGTTTACGAAGGCTTGGAGTCAGCCTGCAGCCCTGAGCATGGCTGAGGAGTATCAGACCGGGAGACATGGGCAGGGGTTGGGGCCTCAAGGCAGGGAGGGGAGACGAGGACAAACAGAGTCAACTTCAGCCAAGGCCTGGAAGGGGATATTTAATTTTCCCTAGTCCCACTAACCGAGTTGCTCCCAGTTGGAAATCATTTCTAATAACGTCTCTGGTGCCATAACCCTTTCATACATGGGTGGTGAATATGAATTTGTTCTACAGGAGGCAGGTGAAATAATTATCATGTTACTCTAGTCATCCATGTCAAATTGAATTCCCCTGCTATTACTGGTATTAGTGACCCCCCCCCTCCCTGTCCCTGGGGAAAGATGGGTCAGGGGCCTGGCTCCATCTCTTTGTCCGTCACTATAGTTAAGCTCATGATCTAAGGAGGCAACAGGTGGGGACTGGTCGGGGACAGAATGGGATCATTATGAAGATGAAAGGCTCCCAGTCTCATGCAGCCAATCTGGGATACAAGGGTCTTGTGAAGACTCTCCCACGCCCAGATGCTTAAGGTCCAGCCCAGCTACCACGTAGTGACACCCCCCTCCTCATTCAGGGCTCTGTTGCAAGCTCAGCCTGGGCCCCCACCACTTAAGGAAACCCCCCCAAACCCTCATCATGTCCCAAGTTTTCCAAATCTCACAGCACCTCCATCCCTGAGTTAGCACACACACACACACACACACACACACACACACACACACACACAGAGATACACAAGGCCCTCCAAGTCCCTTCGCCAACCCAGCTCTGAAAACGCTTAAAGCTAGGTAAGTGATTTCCAAAGTAGGGTGTCATTTGAGGCTTAGGAAGACTATCAGGTCTTCTATTTTTACCTCTGTCTTTTCTCATTTCTATTTTTTATTTGTGTTAAAGGAACATATTAGTATAATAGCTCTTTATAGAATTTATAAATAAATATTTATTTTTAAAAATAACTTTAAATTAAAATTTTTTTAATAAACTGTTATTTATTGTTAGGAGTTTATGGTCAAAAAGGGTTGGGACCCCTGGACCAGGATTTTGGTTTTTTGTGGGGAGTTTTTCCTTTGTGTTTTGTTTTGTTTTGAGAGAACCTGATTCTGTCACCCAGGCTGGAGTACAATGGCGCTATCTCAGCTCACTGCAATCTCCACCTCCCAGGTTCAAGCCTCCCACCTCAGCCTCCTGAGTAGCTGGGATTACAGGCACCTGCCATCATCCCCAGCTAATTTTTGTATTTTTGTAGAGATGGGATTTTACCATGTTGGCCAGACTGGTCTTGAACTCCTGACCTCAGGTGATCTGCTCGTCTTGGCCTCCCAAACTGCTGGGATTACAGACGTGAGCCACTGCGCCCAGCGTTGGACCAGGATTTTGAACACAAAGCCTCTTAACTCTGGGTGGGATGGTCCCAGCCTGTCGGGACTGGGAAGAGCAGGGAGAAAGACACCCAGGCTTAGAGGCATGGAGAACCTCAGCCACGGGGGTGTCACCAAGTGACTGCCTGCCCCAGGCACAAAGTCTCTTTCCTTTAACACCAGGATAAAATGGCTTCAGTTCCCAACCCACACAATCAGAGAATGCAGGGAATTCTTCCCAATTTTAGAGTTTTAGGGGGCTTAAGTTTCTCCTAAATTAGTCCTTGGCACAGCCTGCTGTTTCACAGTGCTGGCTCCTGATTTGGGCTCCTGTCTCTGAGGCTACTACCCATTCCTCCAACCACTGGGCCCCCTAAGCACCTCTCCTTCATCTCTCAAGTGTCATTCCTGGGAATGCAATTCTGGAAGCATGGCAGGCCCGTCACTGAGCTGTCAGTGGAGGAGGGTGATTGAACTGTGTGCAATGGAGGACGGCGACTGGCCGGTGTGCAATAGAGGAGGGTGACTGACTGGTGTGCATGACTTCACCATTGGCTATAAGCTCTGCAAGCCTAAAGGTCACTGTCGTGACCCCAGGAACTTCTCATCGGCCTTGTCTCACATTAGTCCTCAGCCTCCTACAGTTCCCAGGCCTCCTCCTTCAAAGGATGTCCTCCTTTCTCCCCATGCCCTGCCCTCTTCCCCAGCTTCTCATCCCCTTACTCTCTCTCCCAGGCTGCCTGGAGAAACTCAAAATTTCTGTGACACAGGCCTCTTGTACATTGCAAGTGGGAGTACACAATGGTTACAACCTCCATGAGGGAGGTGGGTAACGGGATAGAGTAATATCTATGAGAATCACAAATGCACAAGGACTTTGATCCAACAATCGCTCTTCTACGCCTTTGTCCAACAGAGGCAGCCCCATGTGGAAATGACACAAAGACCAGGACAGGCTTTGCAGCATTGTTTGTAATCACAAAGGACTTTTACTTCTATCTTTTCTAATTTCTATCTTGTATTTGTGTTAAAGGAATCTGTTAGTACAATAGCATCCTCAAAGTGCTCATCCTTATAGGATGGGTTGCATGACTTATGGCACTTCCGTGCAGTGGAACCCTATCCAACCATTCAAAGAATGAGGCAGCCCGCTGTAGAATGATACACTCCAATAGCCAATAGCTGTTATTAAGTAAATGAAGTAAGGTGCATAAGAATGTGAATAGTACACCCCAATCTGTACCCCAAAAATGCAGGGACTGTACATATGTATACTTGTAAGTGTATGTGCTTGCATTTGCATAGACTCTCTGGAAGTCTATATAAAAATTTAGAGTGATTTTCTCTGGGGAGGGGAATGGGTTGATAAGGGAGTGGGGTTAGAAGGGAAGTTACTCTTCACAGAACACCCTTTGTACCTCTGTGATGGTGACAATGTATAGATATTATCTATTCAAACAATAAATACTATTTTTAAATGAAAACATAAATTGCTGTTACTGTATGCTGTGGATCATTTCATTCTCTCTCTTTCTCTCCCTCTGGAGGCTGGGCCCAAGAGGCCTTACCTTTGAGTCAATAACGTCATCTAGAAGTGAGTCATGTCTTACCCTCTAAGGCTGAAACAACCACAGTCTCTGCATCTGTGTACGTGTGTGTGCATGTGTGTGTACGTGCGTGTGTGCGTGCGTGTGTGCGTGTGTGTGCGCGCGTGCGTGTGTGTGTGCGTGTGTGTGCTGCGTGTGTGCATGTCTGCGTGTGTGTGGGCGTGTGTGTGCGTGTGTGTGCGCATGTGTGTCTGCGTGTGTGAGATTGTTTTCCCCTTTCCTTCCTCAGCAGCAAGTTACCTAACCCGTTTATTGTACAAATAGAAAAACTGAGGCCCAATCACCCACCCAATGTCACCCAGAAAGTCATCCTCTGAGTGGCTCTGAATCCAGCCTCTGGGCTTTGACTTATGCTGTTCCCTTTGCTTCAATGCCCTTCTCTGCCGTTTTTACTCTTCAGGTCGCAGTGCACGCTTCCAAGAAGCTTCCCAGATCCCTCAGTAGGAAATGAGCTTTCAGTGTGCCCTATGCATCCCTGTGGCTCCGTACAAATTAGCAATTGGCTCTTTACCTACCTGCCTTCCCCAACAGAGGGTGGACGTTCCCTGAAAGCAAGGACTTGGTCTTCATCTCTAGAGCCCCAGGCCTAGTTCAGTGTGAAGCCTAGAACTTCAGTGTTTAAGACCTGAATAAATAAATGAATAAATACATGAGTGCGTTAATTCCTGCATCTTCCGAAACCCTCGTTTCACTGAGCTCTCTCATATCACTTAACACTGTCTTCCTTATAGTGTAATTATTTTTGGGCATATTTGCAGTGGACACCTTCTTCCTAACTCCCTCCCTCTCTTCCTCTCTTCCTCCCTTCCTTCCTTCTTTTTTTTCTTCCTTCCTCCACAATGTATCCTCAGACAGACATAGATTCTGAGAACATTATTTAAGCCCCTGGATCCAGCCATACCTAAAGCTGAACTACCCGTGGACTTTTCAGTCACATGAGCCAATGAACTCCCTTTTATTTTGAAGCCACTAAGAGTTGAGTTTCCATTCTTCTCTGAAAAAGAGTGTTGAGGAATGTAGTGAATTGGGAACTGATCATAATCCTGCAAGACACAACACCAAATGCCATAACTCTGAATGTTGAAATCCTGAAAAATCAAAATCCTGAAAATAGAATTCTGAAAAAATCATTTTAAAATTCGTTAAAAGACATTTATTTATAGATTTAAAGGGAGTTTAATTGAGAGACATATCAAAACATGTCAGGACACTTTACAGGTCACTTGCCACAGTAAGATAGGCAATAAAAACGTACACATTTTTGCAAGCATAAACACTCAGGTACACTAATGACAGTCGCACGAGTGTAACAGTTACGCGCAGATGAACTATATTCATGAAGAAATAGGTCAAAAAGGGAAATCTACAAATGCATATCGCTATGGTTGTTAATTGTGTGCACCCAGCTTTCTAACTGCGGCCATCTGAAATACCATGACAGACAATCTGAGTCTTTTGACAAGATCAATAAAAAACTGCAATGGGTCACCACTGCATATACAGTCACCCAAAGAACCGAGATCTTGAGAAATTTTATCTTTCACAAATGCACATGTACAAAAAGGACTTCTCTTCATTTATTGAGGAAGTTTCAATGCTTTTACATACACGCATTATGCTTACAAAGTCCACGTTGTGATAATGCACTTCTGTGGAGTCAGATTTGCAAAAACACATGAAACTAATTAGGACTCTCTAAAAGTCTTTACATAATTCCAGTATTGGAAATGATGTGAAGATGATATGAAAACTGTATTACAGGGATAGATTATGGGCAATTACACAGAGGTAGTCCATAAGAGCTGGCCAACTTTCACAATCATTCACTATATTTTGACGTCTTGCATAAAAATGAAAAGCTGTTTTTTTCTTTCTTTTAGCGTATGGCTCTGCTTGGAGAATACATCACACTCATTTCCTATGTGGCACTGCTCTTTCTGAAATTCTTCTGTGATTCTATATACATGGCCATGAACCTTCCCTATTAAATGTTCCCATCTTTTTTTTAACTTTTATTTTAGGTTTAAGGGTACCTGTGCAGGTTTGTTATATAGGTAAATTTTGTGTCACAAGGGTCTGGTGTGCACATTATTTCATCACCCAGGTAACAAACGTAATACCTGATAGATACATTTTTTTATCCTCTTGCTCCTCCCTCAGGCAGGCCCCAGTATTTAGTGTTCCCTTCTTTGTGTCCATGTGTTCTCAGTGTTTAGCTCCCACTTATAAGTGAGAACATGTGGTATTTGATTTTCTATTCCTGCATTAGTTCACTTAAGATAATGACCTCCAGCTTCCATCCATGATGCTGCAAAGGACATGATCTCTCTCTTTTTTTAATGGCTGCATAGTATTCCATGGTGTATATGTGCTACATCTCCTTTATCCAGTCTGCCATTGATGGGCATTTAGGTTGATACCATGTCTTTGCTATTGTGACTAGTGCTGCAATGACACTGCAATGACACATGCATGTGTCTTTATGGTAGAACTATTTATATTCCAAATTTTCCCATCTTCTGTGCCATGTTTTTATGGTGTCTTGGGCTCACGGAAATTCATTCCACACCCACTCATATACAGACCACAGATTTGGTAGAAATAACGCTGGTGATTGAACAGCAACACCATTGTGTAAGTGTCTTCTTATCCTACTGTGCACATAATTACTTTTGAACAGGTCAGTGATTTCACTAGCTTCTTCAGGCAAATGCGACTTTAATTCATGAAACGCTCCTAAAATGTCATCAACTGGAAGGAATGCCAATGCAGTCAAATGATGCATTTTTATTTTTTTATTATTTTTTATTGTTATTCTTTTGAGGAGGAGTCTCGCTCTGTTGCCCAGGCTGGAGTGCAATGGTGCAATCTCGGCTCACTGCAACCTCTGCCTCCCAGGTTCAAGCAATTCTCGTACCTCAGCCTCCTGAGTAGCTGGGACGACAGGTACATGCCACCATGCCCAGCTAATTTTTGTATTTTTACTACAGATGGGGTTTCACCATGTTGGCCAGGCTGGTCTTGAACTCCTGGCCTCAAGTGATCCACCCACCTCGGCTTCCCCAGAGTACTGGGATTACAAGTACTGGGATTACTGGGCCACCACACCTGGGTGGCCCACCACACCTGGCCCATATTTTTAAACTGAAGTTGTCGTTGTTGCCATATCTTGTGGCCAATCCACTCATCTGAATTTTCTGCCAAATGCAGTGGGCTGAATGAAAAAAAATAAACTGCATTGCTAATACCTTGAAATTCACTTTTAGAAGCTTGATCACACCTAATTCCAAATCTGTCAGTATGGTTTGAAGATTCAGTTGAAATCCATTTTCTTTTGCAAAGTCCACTGAATCTTCAAATCAGCATTGATAAAGTGCTTCACTTTTTCCAGTCATTAATATACACATAAGCAGATATATTCTAGAAATTTCAGACCTAACAGGGACATGAATTGTATATAGTTGATCTTTTTTAAAAAAACAGTCAGGACATTTTGAAAGTGCCATTCATTGGCCAAAGTGAAGCATGTGCTAGGTATTCTGTTAGATTTAGAGTTAATATAAGAAGTCTATCTTCTTTGACAGTCAAACCTCTTATTGAGAATAGCTCGGCTGGGTGCAGTGGCTCTGTCATTTCAGCACTTTAGGAGGCTGAGGCAGGTGGAATGCTTGAGTCCAGGAATTTGAGACCAGCCTGGGCAACATGGAGAAATCCCATCTCTACAAAAAATACAAAAAATATAGCCAGGCGCAGCGGTGTACGCTTATAGTTCCAGCCTATAGTCCCGGAAGGCAGAGGCGGGAGGATCACCTGAGCCTGGGAAGTTGAGGCTGCAGTGTGCCATGATCGCACCATTGCACTCCAACCTGGGCGACAGAGTGAAACCCTGACTCAAAAAAAATAAAAATAAAAGTAAGAATAGTTCACCATGTAATGTGTTTTGTAACACTGGAGGAAAAGACATCTCAATATCAGCAAGTGCCTTTGGTTCAGAAGGTCGCTGAACTGGTCGAACTCTTCTCATTCTCTGACGAAGGGCGTTTTTTTAAGGCAAGCATGGCGCTATATGGGAAGGGGCAGAAGTTGTACACAATTGAATAATTTGGCAGGAGAGGGTTCTTGTATTTTTCACCTGTGTCTTCACTTCTTTGATATTTGAAATACTCTCTGCACTTGTACTTGGAGAGTGGTTGTGGTCTACACATTCTGCAAGTATATGTTGTACATTTGAGTGGTTATTACTCGGCCATTGCAATTAAGTGATATTCTGCTTTTGCAGCACCAATAACAACTCATTTTTAATCTTTTTTTTTCTTTTGAGATGGAGTTTTGCTCTTTCACTCAGGCTGGAGTGAAGTGGTGCGATCTCTGCTCACTGCAACATCTACCCCTTGGGTTCAAGCGATTCTCCCACCTCAGCCTCCCGAGTAGCAGGATTATAGATGCCCGCCATCAGGCCCGGCTAATTTTTGTATTTTTAGTAGAGACAGCGTTTTGCCATGTTGGCCAGGCTGGTTTCAAACTCCTGACCTCAGGTGATCCACCCGCCTTGGCCTCCCAAAATGGTAGGATTATAGGCGTGAACCACCGTGGCTGGCCCATTTTTAAACTTTTATCTTTTACCTTAAGTAGCCTTATACACTTCACTATCATGGCCTTTTTGCGAGGGAACAATTTCACAGATCCCTTCCATTGTGTTGTAAGAAACACAATAAAAAGAAATGCTATTCTGTTTCCCTAATACCAAATCTGTATTAGTCAGCGTTCTCTAGAGAGATAGAACCCGTTGGATGCGCATGTAGATATATGAGAGATTTATTAGGCGGATTGACTCACATGATTACAGTGGCTGAGAAGTCTTGCAACAGGCCGTCTACAAGCTGGAGACCCTGGGAGGCTGGTAGCATGACTCAGGCAGAAAGCCCCAGGACCCAGGGGCCACTGGTGTAAGTCCTAGAGTCCAAAAGCTGGCAAGCCTGGAGTTCTGATGCTCAAAGCAGCAGAAAAGTCTGTCCCAGCTCTCAGAGAGAGACCATTTGCCTTCTGTATTTGTTTTCTCCTGGCCCCCTGCCTATTAGATGATGCCCACCAACATTGAGGGCAGATCTTCCCTACCTATTCCACTCAGACCCACACACAGATCTCCTCTAGAAACACCCTCACACATACACACCCGACATAATGCTATATTAGGTTTCTAGATAGCCCTTCATCCAGTCAAGTCGATACCTAAAATTAAGTCCATAAGTCCACCCCTTGTCAACTTGGCACCAAGACACATCTCCAGAAACCATATCTAATTTCCAAATAAAGACAACAACAAGGTAATAGTTTTGTCTAACATAATGCAACCATCCCATGATTGTGATTTTAGGGACTTTAGATATTAGAGATTTAGACTTCAGGGATTTTAATCTTTTGGGACTTTAACATTCAGGATTATCATGTTTGAGATTGTATCTTGCAAGATAATGATCCAAACTCCAGTGAATTAACACTTCCCCTTAACTGTATCGGAAAGGGTCTGATTTCCCTTCCTAGCCACCATGGTGCTGAGCACAGCATTTTGTACACAATAAACACTCATACGTTTTTGAGAAAAGAGAGCGGCAGACACAGACACAGCCCTTACAGAGCTAGTGATGGAGGAGGGCAGACCCAGGCAGCACAATTCTTTACTGTATTTGTCCATTTTCACACTGCTGATAAAGACATACCCGAGACTGGGCAGTTTACAAAACAAAGAGGTTATTGGGGCTGGGCCCAGTGGCTCACGCCTGTAATCCCAGCACTTTGGGAGGTGGAGGTGGGCAGATCATCTGAGGTCAGGAGTTCGAGACCAGCATGGCCAACATGGATAAACCCCATCTCTACTAAAAATACAAAATTTGCTGGGCATGGTGGCAGGCACCTGTAATCCCAGCTACTCAGGAGGCTGAGGCAGGAGAATCTCTTGAACCAGGGAGGCAGAGTTTGCAGCCCAGATGTCACCACTGTACTCCAGCCTGGGTGACAGAGCAAAACTCTGTCTCAAAAAAGAAGTTATTGGACTCACAGTTCCACATGGCTGGGGAGGCCTCACAATCATGGCAGAAGGTGAAAGGCACTTCTTACGTGGCAGCAGCAAGAGAGAAGAGTGCTTGTCTAGGGAAACTCCCGTTTTTAAAACTATCAGATCTCGCGAGACTCATTTGCTATCATGAGAACAGCATGGGAAAGACCTGGCCCCATGATTCAATTATCTCCCACCAGGTCCTTCCCACAACACATGGGAACTATGGGAGCTACAAGACGAGATTTGTGTGGGGACGCAGCCAAACCATATCACTCCCCTAACATTTTCCAGGGCCCTGCCCGGGTGCTGTCAGGTGGGCAGAGAGTAGCAACCCTGTTCACAGCTGGGGCATCAGGGATCTCAGCCACACAGCAAGTTAGTGGCACAACTGGGCCAAAAGCTTGGCCTCCTGGTTCAGTTCCCTTCTAAATCCTTTACCTATCATTCAGGAAGAATGCTGGGTTTGGACTGCGCATGCACACAATTGCACACAATACTCTGGACATAAACAAGAAAAATGGTAGTGGCGGGAAGTTGATCATGGTTGGGAGAAGACAATTATCTTTTTTTTTAATCTCTGTAAGAAATAATAAAGAAACAAATTTGGGTGGGTGGGACAGCCTTGTGGAACAAATTTACGAAGTTAGTTCCCAGCATGTGGCACAAGGTTCCTGAGTGTGTTAATGACTGTGAACACTGCTGTGTTTGTTGAGTGAATTGTGGATGGTGGGATTTTGTGTCAGGTGGGTTTGATTAGCTGTGGCTGTCACCCTGTGAGTTAATAATAGGGCCGGGACTCCCGCAGTCCTCACCTCCTGGTTTCTGAGGACAGTGTTGTTTCTAATACCCCAGGTGCATGTGCTCAGTGGCAGGAATTTTTGCCAGCTGCAAAATGACCAGGGTTGGGTGGCAGACAGAGGATGTTGGATTTAGGTCAGGGGTTTGGTGGATTGGTGCTGCATCCATTCCAACCTTCATTACTGCAGAGCCTTGTAAGCTAAAAACTACATTTCCCAGACTTCCAGTGGTTCTGGAGGGAGGTTACCTTCCTGCTTCTTCACAGTAGCTACTGGCAAGCACCCCTATATGGGTTTGTCCACATCAGTGGTCCCTTACACATGTTTAGGGTTGAACTATGTCCCCCCTCCCCAAATTTCTATGTTTAATTCCCAGTCCTCAACACCTCAGAATTTGACCTTATTTGGAAACAGGGTTGCCACAGATGTAATTAGTTAATATGAGGTCAGACTGGATTAGGGTGGGCCCCTAATCCAATATGACTTATAAAAAGAGTACCTTTGGAAACAGCACACACAGGGAAAACACCATGAGAAGATGAAAGCAGATATCAGGGCGATACATCTACAAGCCAAGAAAGGCCAAAGATTGCCAGCAAGCCGCTAGAATCTAGGAGGCCTGGAACAGATTCTCTCTCACAGCCTTAGAAGGAGCCAGTTCTGCTGACACTTATCTCGGACTTCTAGCCCCCAGAGCTGTGAGATAAATTCCCATCATTTAAGCCACCCTGTCTGGATGGAGTGTTTGGTTACAGCAGCCCTGCCTGACTGACACAACCGGTCGCTGGCTTTGTGGGTGTGGCAGAGGCAGGAGTGACCTCCTAACCCTGGACACAGCTGCAGCAGTGTATTCTTCACATGACAGTGGAGCTCCCCCTCCAGAGTCCACTGTAGTCAGAGTTATCCAGCTAAACAGAGCCAACGGGATATATAGAGACACAGAAGAGGAGAGTTATCTCGGAAATTGGCTTACATGATTATAAAGGCCAGCAAGTCCCACGTTTTGCCACCTGCAAGCTGGAGGACCAGGAAAGCTGCTGGTATGACTTAGTCCAGGTTCAAAGGGCTGGAGCCAGGGGTGCCACTGGTGTAAGTCCCAGAGTCCCAAGGAGCAAGAACCAGGAGCTCTGATGTCTGAAGCCAGAAGAAGACACATGTTCCAGCTCAAGAAGAGAGAATTCACCCCTCCTCCACCCTTTTGTTCTAGTCAGGCTCTCGATGGACTAGATGCTGCCCCTCTGCATTGGCAAAAAGCGATCTGCATTGAAAAGCCAATCTCTTCCAGAAACACACCAACAGACACATCCAGGAGCAATGCTTTACCAGCTATCTGGGCATCCCATAGCCCAATCAAATTGATACATAAAATTAACCATCACATCACTTCTGATGGCAGTAGAGGTAGCATCTGCCTTGACAGGACAATTTTGTGGTTTTCAAAGTCATTCCCAAGGGTCCTTTCTAGGGCCCACTTCTCTAATTTTCCTAATTGCATAAGCTTCCGATTCCCTGTAGTAAATCCCTTTCTGCTCAAATGAGCAGGAATAATTGCTTTCCTGCACATGGACCCTGACTGGTAAGACTTGATTAGACAATGGACACTGAATTAAATTTTCAATTTTTCACAGTTGCCATACATAAATTCTAAAACAAAGTAAGCTGTCAAGGTCTCGTGGTATGCCTTTTTAAAAGTGATAATTGGACTGGGCATGGTGGCTTATGCCTGTAATCCCAGCACTTTGGGAGGCTGAGGCGGGTGGATCACCTGAGGTCAGGAGTTCAAGACCAGCCTGGCCAACATGGTGAAACCCCATCTCTACTAACAGTACAAAACTAGCCGGGTGTGGCAGCACATCTCTACTAACAGTACAAAATTAGCCAGGTGTGGTAGCATATGCCTGTAATTCCAGCTACTTAGGGGGCTGAGGGAGGCTGAGGGAGGAGAATCACTTGAACCCAGGAGGCGGAAGTTACAGTGAGCCAAGATTGCACCACTGCACTCCAGCCTGGGTGACAGAGGAAGAAACCCTCTCAAATAAATAAATAAATGTGATAATTGCCTAAAAACAAGAAATGCTCAATGAAAATCAAGACAAAAATCAAATACAGAAAACTATAGTGAAGTAAGCCCAAATCACCCCAAATTCCCTCCACCCAGAGATAACTTCTCTTCTTATTTTGTTGAACGTTCTTTCACACATCGAACGGTGCATTTTACATGCACGGTCACATGTGTTACCCTGCACTGTTCAGGGTGCAATTAGTGTGGCCCGGTTTTCCTTGAAACTTCAAGTGTTCAAGCCCCATGTGCTGGTGATAGCAGGAAGTCCAGCATGCAGCCCAGCTGCTCTCTACAGGGTTTTCACTGCCTCCCTCTTACACACAGAGGGTTCCCGTACAGGCGTCTTGGAAGGAGGTGTCCAGACCCATGTGGTCTTGTATCAGTGCACTGACCATGGTGGAAGGACATGAATAACCGAGCAGGAGCTAATCTTGGTGAGTAATATTCGAGTTGTCAGTCAGGTTCACTACTCCCAAAGCAGCCACGGTAGTGGAAGACGGTGCTCCCCCTAGACCAGAGAAGGGCTCCAAGCCAACCACCCAGGGCCCTTCAATGCAAGCCTTTCCCACAAAGATTTGGGAGGACTGGGCTACACCATTGTTCCCCTTCCCATAACCATTCTTCCCTGGCGATCAACATAAAAGGTGTGTTACATCCTTCTCTCAGGACAATGAGTTAATTCACCCTCCCCTGCCATTCCCAAAGATACTACCTTTGGGCACTCCACAGTGACTTCCTGTCCTGGCCTATCTGTGAAGTAGATTAGGGAAGAGACAACACACAAATTCAACCTCCAGCAGGGCGCCTTGCTACTCTCACACTTACCCTCTCCTGACACACACATACGTACACATCATTTGACTTAAAAGGGATTATACAATTTATCTTCTTTAATACCATGCTTTTAAAAAAAAAAAAAAAAAAAGAACAAAAACTCGTGCCGGGCACGGTGGCTCATGCCTGTAATCTCAGCACTTTGAGAGGCCGAGGCGGGCGGATCACAAGGTCAGGAGATCAAGACCATCCTGGCTAACACGGTGAAACCCCATCTCTATTAAAAATACAAAAAATTAGCCAGGCGTGGTGGCACATACCTGTAGTCCCAGCTACTTGGGAGGCTGAGGTGGGAGAATCGCTTGAACCCGGGAGGCAGAGGTTGCAGTGAGCCGGGATCGCACCATTGCACTCCAGCCTGGGTTACACAGTGAGACTCCATCTCAAAAAAAAAAAAAAAAAAAAAAACTCAATAGCAAGTTGTAGACAGTTTTTTGTTTGTTTTGTTCTGTTTTGTTTTGTTTTGTTTTGTTTTGTTTTGTTTTGAGACAAGGTCTCATTCTATAGCCCAGACTGGAATGCAGTGATGCAATCTCGGCTTACTGTAGCCTCTGCCTCCCAGGCTCAAGTGATCCTCCCACTTCAGCCTCCCAAGGAGCTGGGATTACAGGCACAGTCCACCATGCCCAGCTAATTTTTTGTATTTTTTATAGAGACGGGGTTTCACCGTGTTGCCCAGGATGGTCTCAAACTCCTGGGCTCAAGAGATCCTCCTGCCTCAGCCTCCCAAAGTGCTGGGATTACAGGTGTGAGCCACCACGCCTAGCCATGTGGGCAGCTTTCCATGGTATGATGCTTTTGAGAAAATGGTTGGATTGCAAGGCAAATAATTATAGGCATTTCATCACTAATTGTCCATATTCCCACCTCCCACATACCAACTCTACCAACAAAAAAAAAGTTTTATGTTCATTGAAGAGAACATATGGGGCTTGATTTTTAACTCAGGGGTTATGGGCCTTTTCAATATAAAATTGTTTCCCAACTGGCCACCTCTGAGCTGAGCCTCCTGGGTAGAATTAGTGTGAATTCAGGGTTGGAGATTAGGGACAGGTTGGGAGGTGAGAACAGAAAGGGTGAAGTGAAGCCCATACGATCTCAGGGCTGGGAAGGGACTTGCCAAGTTGTCCAGCCTCTGCTTGCATTCCCTTAATAACAGGGAACTCACCACTTTACCAAGACAGCTTGTTAGCCCACTTCATCCTTGGTTAGTTCCACTGGCTTAAAAAGTATTTCCCATGTGGATCTAGATTCCATCTTCCTAAAGGTTCCAACTGTACCAATTCAAGGTCTTCCTTGGTCACTCTGTAGAGAAGTAGAGCCGGCTCTCCCAGGGCCCATGAGTCCTCTATTCTCCTGGACAGGGTCCCCCTCCCCCTGACTAAATACACCATCTGAAAACACAGGACTCAACGATGCAAACTCACTCTCATACTCAGCTCCTAACAGGAACCTCCCTTCACCTCCCAAGAAGCCTTACTCACACATACCAAGCCGCAGTCTGTCGACCTGTTTTCTCTAGGAATGGAGGGATTTCAAGGCTGCCTCTCCCAGTCTGGAAAGAAAAGCCACTTCACAGAATGAGTTGTTCATAATGTAAAGTGTTCATAACTCCCAAGAGACAGTATGGGCAGGAAATAGAAACAGCTTCCAAATATTTGAGACAGATTTATGGACACTGAGTCACAAATGGCTGCCATATACTTCGCCTTTTGAGCTAGTCTGGTGGCAGAACACCTCTCTCCTGATATTCAAGGACCTGTCTCCAGGTCGCTTCAGTTCCTTGTCTTGCCTCTCGCAATGGGCTTTCTGCTGACCAAGCCCATTGACTCATGGGCGTAGCCGACTAAAGCACTCGGCCAGGTGCAGAGTTTTTGGGCATTTCAATGGTGGGGGTCTCCCCACAGCTTGCACTGCTAGTTTTTCTGTTTGTTCTTGATGACGAACTCTCTACTGTTTATACAGTAGCAGAACTCACAGAAGCATAACTTACGTTTCACAGCCTCCAGAGTGGACTTTACATAAACACGATGTTTCTGTTAGGCCGGCTTTATCTTCCCTCTAGAGTCTGTCAGTGGTGCTTTGGAGTATTCGACTGGGCCACTGTGCAGGGTTGGGGAGTGGTGTCACAAGCCTTCCCTAACCCACCATCTCTGACCTGCACCCCAGGGCATGCACATGAACGGAATTCATCTTCTTGGTTTGGAAAAGAAGGGGGTGACATTAGTGGCGAAACCTCCGTGTAGAGCTCTCGCACCGCAACTCTGAGTCATAGCTTACATCGATCAAGCACTCACTCTGAAGCAGGCTCGGGGCTAAACCTTCACAACCATTGACTCTGTGCTACAGAGGAGACAGTGATCTTCACAGAAGTTAGTTCCCAGAGGGCTTTCCCCAGCCCCACCATTGGGAGCAGAGGGGCAGGGCTGAGCCCAGTCTCACTCGAGTCCTGCTCACACCTTCCTCCAGGACTGCACGGGCCACCTCGCCCAGCCCTCATGGCAATGCTGAAGGCAGGTGTGATTCTCGCCATTTTACCCAAGGGGAAAGGGAGGCACCGGGGGAAAGGGAGGCTGGGAGCGGCAGACCTCACAGCTAGGAAGTGGCCAAGGCAGGAAGAAGCCCACCGGCCTTTCAACACCAACAGAATTCTTTCCTCAGAAGGAATGAGGGAGGGTGGAGGGGTAAGGACATGGCATTTTTAATCCTCCTGTTGGACTGGGAGGCTCTCAAGGTCAGGGACAGTGTCTGATTCAGCACCCCACCCCCTCGGGCCCTCAACTGGCCCCACTCAGGATGTCACAAGGCCCCGTGTGCTGCTGGAGGGGGTCCCAGGGTCGGTGACAGGCAGACCACAGCCTCTGGCCTGGAAGGAGGAGAGAGGGATTGGCAGGCCCATCCAGGCTGGGGGTCTGAGGAACTGTGAATGAGGCCGTGAACAGAGACCGCTGGGGTCCAGCAGGCCTGGCTGCAGAAGGGAAGCTCTGCGCAGTGGAAGGCAGGACCCGGTGGCAGCCCTGGGAGCAGGCCCCGCTGGCCCCTGGGAGAAGACCTCCATGGGCCTCAGCACGACACTCCTAGGCTGGCAGCCGAGGCCTGGTTCACGTGATCCCTTGATTTGTGTTTTCTGACCTTTCTTCACAGACACTCTAGGAAGCCTGGGGACACAGAGCCTGCCAGGGGAAGTCACACTCTCATGAAAGAGCTAGCCAGCAAGAAACTAGAACCGTGGACATGTAAGATAGGCACATGCGTGGCGAGTCCGAAGCGGGAAGCAAGCAGAGGGTGTGACAGAATACTGAGGGGGCCAGGGAATGGCTCTTCCAGAGGAGACTTCTGAGTGGGAGACAGGAGCAGGGGAAGGAGCAGCATGAGCTCTGGGAAGAAGGCATTTTTGGCAGCGAGCAATGCAAGTGCAAAAGCCCTGAGGCATGAAAAACACTAAAGAATCTGTAGGAGGCCAAGGTGGCCAAGCAAAAGGAGAAAGAGGGACTCCGGCAAGAGATGGGCATTTCTCAGGACTGCGGTGGCAGGGAAAAGAGAGCCCCCTGAAGGACATTCCACATTCAAACCCCTGCCCTGTGGTGACCCTGCCAGGTGGCTGGGTCAGGATCTTCCCTGTCAGGCCCAGGCCTCGTTTGCATGATGATGGGAGTAGCTTCCCACGGTCTGGGCTCTCCTTCCCCATGTTCTCCTGTTCCCCCAATTCCCATCACCCAGATTCCAGGAGCCAGGACTGGTGTCTCCCCTACTGGAGGTTCCCAGAAAGTCTCAGAACTCCCACTGCAGTCCTGGGACACAGGGGCTGGGGGAGGAAGGAAATTCTCACACAGCTTTCTCCCAGGGAGTTTGCTCTTGTTCCCAGGCTGACAACTGGCAACCCTCAGAACTCTGTTCCCCACCCCCTTCCTCCTCCTCCTCCTCCTCCTCCTCCTCCTCCTCCTCCTCCTCTCCCTGCCTCCCTCTCTCCCCTGCCCCCCTTCTCAGGCTTAATGACTTCCACATGGGCCTCTGGTGGCTGGAGCCAAGGCTCCCAGCATTGTCTGAAATCTCCAAATTTAGAAGAAATATGAAAATTGTCAACCACTCCTTCCTTAGGGGGTAAAAGCAACATTCAGCACCGGGGGCAGGTCAAGGCAAGGTAGTCACGTGGGGGGTGCCTGGGCCAATGGGGGGCCCTGGGAGGGCTCAGCACCCGCCTCGCCCCAATACGGGGCTTGCCTCTTCAGCTCATATAAGGTAAAAGGCAGAGTGGCCTCTGTGGCCAGGGAGCCGCAGGCAAGGGACTAAGGGGAGGGGGGCTCAGTGCCAGCTGCTTAAAAATGCCCCTGTGGCAGCGAGGGGCACCAGAGGCTGGGTCTAATTAGTTGAGAAGCAGTGACACCCCCAACCACTCCCCAAACAGGCTGGCTCCCGTCTCCAGGCCCCAAGGAGCCACACCTGGACCAGACCCCAGGAAAGGTAAGCACCAACGGCAGACCTGGGATCCGTGGGTGGGGGCCTCTGGGAATTTCCCTAGGGGGATGCTGCATCTGGGGGTCTTGCTGTCTTGCTAACTGGCTCTGTCCCTTTCTGGACACAGATTCTCTGGGTCTCAGTTTCCCCATCTGTACAGGGGCTGGAGTCAATGATCTCTAAGCATCCATCCAGCTGATCGGCTCTAGTTCTATGGTCCTGTTGGCTTCTAGGATTCCTTGTTGTTGTAGTCAATTGGGGGAAGAAGGTGCAGAGGGAGTGCACAGAGTTAACATCCTATCAGCCCAAGCTTCACCTCGGCACCCGAGTCTCAGGCAGTCTCCCTGGCTTCTACATAGGCAGTGCTTCTTCCTCATTGTGTGGGGCTTTGATTTTGTAATTCCAAGAGCCTGGGGCTCCTGGCAAGGAAAATGGTTTTCAAATAATGGTTTCGAGAAACAAAGCTGGGGAAGAGGCAATGTAAGCTCAGGCTCTGGCAGGCAGGCAGAGATCCTGGGAAGGCTGGGTGCTGACTGCACATGGAGCAATGGGAAGGGATGCTGGTGAGAGGAGACGGGGGCACTTAAGCTCCGGCCCCAGCTCTGCTCTCAGTGCCCGGCTCTGTGGTCTTGGGCTGGCCCCCTCCCTTCTCTGGGCCATAGTTTTCCCATCTGTATAGCAAGGCCATTGGACAAAATGGTCCCTCTGCAGATGTGGCTTCTGAGTTGTTTGTGCCTGAGGGACAGCCAGTGTTGGGAAGTTCCCCCAGGAGGTCCCTGAGCCGAGTCTGAACTTTGACCACAAGCTTGGAGTCCAAGCAGATGAAGTCCTGTGGGAGCTTTTGGAGGTTGAGCCTGAGTGAGGGAGAGTAGCTGAAGGTTCTGTGACTGAAGGCTTGGCCAGAGGGGTGCCCCGAGCCCTCCAGATGAACTTGGCTGCAACCAGCCTCTGGTGGGGAAAGGACTGATCTCTGGATTCAACCACACAGGAATGTGGGACATGGAAGTAGGTAAGGGATGGAAAAGATGGCAGAGGGCTTCGCGGGATGAAGCAGTGGGGCCAGGGGACTTAGAGGAATGCAGGAGGCTTGTGATGGGAGGCAGGGCTGGGTAGAGGCAGGGGCTTAGGATTGGAACTTGAAGATGTACAGACAGCATGGAGTCGGGCTCCTCTGAAAACACTCTGGCCACATCCGGAGCCCAGAACAGAACAGTCCTCTAGCACCGGCCTCTGTCTTGTACCCTCCACCTTCCCGCTTCTTGTCACACAAGACCCAAGGCCATCATGGTTCAGAAGGAGGCTCTGAATTCAACTGCCTGGGTCCAATTCTGGCTTGTTTACTTACTGGACAAGTGACCCTGGGCAAGTTGCTTGCTGTTTGAGCCTCAGCTTCCTCCTCTGTAAAATGGGTACAATTCTGAGCTTGCATGGTTGTCATGAGGAGTGAGGGATGTAGGCACATAGAGCAGGATGAATGGGGCTGATGTTACATCGCAGTCAGAGCCCACACCTCCTGCGGGCAAGATACCCTGAGCTATGTTGAGGGAGAAGTGGGAATGAAACCCGGCCAGGGAATGCCCAGAGTTGCTGAAGAGCTCTGGAACAGGCTCTGGAAAGAGGCAGGAGGAATCAAAAGTCAGAGGCTGTGGGACACAGGAAAGTGATCAGCTTGAGATGCCTGAAGGACTGGGGGGGATCTCCTTTCCTGCCTTTCTAGGGCATTGTGTGGGCAATGTATCTGAACCACTGTGCACTCACCCACTGACGGGGGACCCCAAGTGAGGCCTAGGAATCTGCATTACAAGCACCCCATGAATTCCCATGCATGTGGAAGTTTGCGAAATGCCAGGCTGTAGGGCGGCCTAGGACTCTCACAAACTGCCGAGGCAACGGAATCCACAGAGAGAAAGCACTGCTTTAGGTTATTTAGCGAGCTGATGGCAGAGGTGGAACAGAACCTGCCTCTCTGCCCAGCCAGGGATTCCATAAGGTGGTGCAAATCAGGAGAAATAGATGACACTATTTGTGGAGTTCTTATGAGGTCCAGGCACTACCTCAGATCTTCACATGAACTAATTCATTTAATCCTCACAAGAGCCAGTGAGGAAGGGGCAATTATTATCCCCACTCCACAGATGAGGTACCTGAGGCAAAGAGAGTTTAGGTGGCTTGCCTGAGGTCACACAGCTCATGAGTTGTTAAGTTGTGTGTGCCAGCTGCCCCTGGGGCTGCTAACTCCCCCAGGAGTCTCCCACCTCCTGCCCTGCCTCTTAGCTACCTCAAAACTTCCTGGAGACCCTCCAACAGACCTCATGGAAGGGGGCAGAATATGTATGGGAGACTTCTGGGAGTCAGACACTGTGCTGAACAGCTTGCATTATCATTTAATCCTCCCAGGATTCCTGTGAGGCAGGAATCAGCATCATTCCATCACCCTCACTTTCTAGAGAAGGAAACCACTGCAGATTACCCAATGTCACGCAATTAAAAAGTGGTGAAGGGGATTTGAACCTAGTCTATGCATCTGCAGAACGCACACTCTTGGGCTGCCCACCCCGACACCTCTGAGGGCAGTGATGAAGAATCCCACCTCACAGAGGAGACGGAGGCCAGGAGTGAGGCCCTGCCGGAGCCTGAGCCCAAGCCTTCTAGCTCTGAGGCCACTGCTCTCCCTTCAACCCTGTTGCTGCCCCGCAACAGAAAGTTTGTCATTGGTCCCTCACAGCCACACCACAGCCCTTTGGGCAAAATCAGCCCCTTCCCAGCCTGGCCAGTTCTGGGGGAAAATGACACCTGACACCTGACACCTATCCATTTTTTTTTTTTTTTTTGAAATGAGGTCTCCCTCTGTCAACCAGGCTGGAGTGCAGTGACTCTTCTCAATTGACTGCAACCTCTGCTTCCCAGGCTCAAGTGATCCTTCCACCTCAGCCTCCCAAGTAGCTGGGATTACAGATGTGTGCCACATCTGGCTAATTTTTTGTGTTTTTTTGTAGAGACAGGGTTTCGCCATGTTATCCAGGCTGGCCTCAAACTCCTGGGCTCAAGTGATCCCCCAGCCTCAGCCTCCCAAAGTGCTAGGATTACAGGCATGGGCCACTGCACTCAGCCAACACCTATCCTTGAGGAATAGAAAGATCCAGGCTCCACACCACACACCATCACTGACTCAAGTGGCTGTTCTGATTCCCAGCTGAGCCTGAGGGGTTCGGGGAGGTAATCTCTGAGGTCCTCACTGCTGGGCCGTGCCTGGGCATGGCCTCTTCCTGCAATTTTCCAACTAAACTCTCCGGGGGGGCTCAGCGCCATGGGGTGGTTCGAAGAACCATGATGAAGGCTGGTTCGAATTGTGATGACCATTTTTGTCCACATCTCCTAGGACCCATAAGCCAGAGTTTCTCTGGAGCTTATAGCTAGAAGGGGTTCTGGGTCCTGGAGTGCAGGCCTGTCAACTTTACAGGAGAGCACTAGATTGCTTTCTGAAGTGGCTGAACCAGGTTATGCTTCCATCAGCTGTGTATGAGCATCCCCATCTTCTTGACCACACTTGAAGCCATCAGTTTCCTTGAAGCATATGGGTTGCACACTTCATTTTGCATGTATCAAGTTTATATAATAAAAAATGTAAGGAAGCCATGGAAATAAAAACGTAGGTGTGCCTTCTGTAGGCTGCTACGCTCCTGTGCACGAGGGCGTCTAGAACTTTGCCCTCCATGCACAAGTTGCAGAGCACCCTCATCAGGACATTTACGAAGGCCCTGGGGTGGGATGGGCACTGCCTATGTGGCCCTCCCCCAGCCCAGCAGTATGCAGTGGCCCGGGTCCAATCAAAGGTCGCCTGGGAGGGTGAGTTGCAAGAATCTGGGGAAAAGAGCCCAAGGTGGCTGCCGCCTGCTAACAGCTTGTCTAGACAGGCCCCATGGGGCTTCACCGCACATTGCGAGAGCTCTGGCCAGCCCCCTGCCCACTTGCAAAAGAGGCTGTTGGCAGCAACACTTCACCACTAGAAACCTTTACTCCAATTCGAAACATGCCTTAACGCACAGTGTGAATTACCCACTCTCGTGGCCCACAGAGGTTGACTCATTCAGGCCCCCTTTTGTTCAGATGAGGAAACTGAGGCTGACTCCGAAGCCTGGGGGCTTTCAGATGTGGAGTGGGTCCCTGTGCCCAGGTGATGAGGGGACCAGGCGGGTCTGGAGCAGGGCTGGAGTGGGGCTCAGATGTAGTAGGCTGGCAGTTAAAGGTGCCAGATGTGAGCCAGGCTGCTGGGTTTGAATCCTGGAGCTGCCTCATAGCAGCAGTAGGACTTTGGGTAACTTACATAGGTGCTGTATGCCTCAGTGACCTCATCTGTAATATAGAGATGATAAGAGTACCTGTCTCATTGGTCTACTGAGTTGTCCGGATTAACTCATTAAATGAGTTAAAACTCATGAAGCCCTTGGAACTGTGACTGACACATAGTAAGTACTCAATAAAAAATAACTGCTAAGACCAGCCACAGTGGCTCACACCTGTAATCTGAGCATTCTGGGAGGCCAAGGCGGAAGAATCCCTTGAGCCCAGTATTTCAAGACCAGCCTAAAGGTCAACATAGGCAGACTCTGTCTCTACTATACATTTTTAGATTAAATTTTTATAATAATAATAACCACTAAAATGTGATTACTAAAGACAGCTTCTTCACAGTACAAAGAGATGCTCTTCTGAGTACCAACTCTTTGGAGGATAAACTGCCCTTATACCTTCAAAAATAACACTTGCCATATATCAAGTCCTTTCAAGTACCTGGAGATTTACCCAGCACTCTGAGATAAATACCATTATCCCTCTGGGCACACAGAGGCTCAGAGAGGTTTAGTCATTTGCCCAAAGTCACACAGCCTGTACGAGGCCAGGCTGGGACTCAAACTCAGTTCTGACTGATTCTAAAATCATGTGTTTAACTGCTGCACTCTAGGACCACCCGCAATGGATCTGTGAACCAGAACCAGCTCTGGTTCTGACCTGCCTAGTAGGGCCTTTGGCATTTGGGGGAGGAGGCCATTGGAAGTCCGAAGCCCCCTTCCAGATTAGGCATGATTGCAGTAAGAGAAGAGACAGACCCTTTGGCCCCCCACCCCTGCTCAGGCTCAAAAATGCAGACCCTGCCGAAACAGTCCTTCTCACCCAGAAGCACCCCATAGGGTGGGCTGAGTAACCTTGGGGGCCTCGTCAGTCTTGGGCTGCCCCATGCCCTGCACAGCCCGCCTGAGGTTTGAGGAAGGGGCAGTTGGCTAGGCCCAGACTGGAGAAAGCCACCCCACCATGGCTCTTCTGCAAGAACCCCCGGCCAGCCACAAGCCTAAGCCCCCTCCTTAAAAGCTCCTCCTCTGACCTTAGCTGTGCATCAAGGGAGAAAAGAAAGCTCCAGGCCGGGTGCGGTGGCTCACACCTGCAATCCCAGCACTTTGGGAGACCAAGGCTGGCAGATCATTAGGTCAGGAGTTCGAGACCAGCCTGGCCAGCAAGGTGAAACCCCATCTCTACTAAAATTACAAAAAATTAGTCAGGCATGGTGACACGTGCCTGTAGTCCCAGCTACTCTGGAGGCTGAGGCAGGAGAATTGCTTGAACCCAGGAGGCGAAGGTTGCAGTAAACCAAGATCACGCCACTACACTCCAGCCTGGGCGACAGAGCAAGACTCTGTCTCAAAAAGAAAAAAAAAAAGAAAGCTCCAAACTGCTCTGCTGCCACATACTCTACTCCTCCTGTCCCTCCAAGGAGGCAGGGATGGGGGTGGAGTGTCTAGAGGGAGGCTGCCTGCTGGCCTGGGGAGGGATCCACAGAGGCTATGACACCACCCCTGGCTGGGCTACTGGGCTCAGAGGCCCCCGGTCAGCCTGCCCAGAGCCTGCCAGCCACCAGGCATGTGACCCAACAACCCCGATGAGCTGAGCAAGGCAGGGTGAAGGAGAAAGAGGCTGGCTAGGACCAGGCCCTGGCTCTGCAGCCAGCACAACTGGGTAACTGTCCCACTCCTCTGGGGCCTCAGGCCATAATGTTCCCTGGTTTGGGACAGAGGGGACAGTTGAGGTCATTCCATGTGTGATAGTAGACACCTGGATTCTCAGAGAGGGAAAATCTAAGGAGCTGGGGGCGCGCCCTGGATAGACAGAGAAGAAGACGGCATTCCAGGTGGAGAGCTCTGTGTACAAAGGTATGGAGGCAGGATTGCAGAGGCATTTTCAGACAACAGCAGAGAAGCCCAGTTGGCTGGAACCGAGAGTTGGTCTGAAGCTCAGTGAGGCTGGAGGTTGGCGAAGCAGAGAAGGCCTAGAGTGTGCGGTGGCTTTGGCAACAGAAACCAAAGCCTCAGAGCTTGGGAAAAGTTCTCCTTGGTATCTGTCTGTCCCTGGGAGGGGGTGCCTTTCTTTAGCCTATTTGTCCCCCTCCCCAAAATACCATCAGCCAAGAACCCCAGTGCAGGGCAGAGACCTAGGAATTTGGATAATGGGCAACTCTGAGATGTCAGGCAATGGGGAAAGGAGAGCTCAGGTGGGACTAGGAGGGGTAGGAAGCCCGAGGGCTGCAGTCACCATCTTCAGACCACTCCAGAGCTTCCTGGGGAGCAGGAACAGAGGACAGGCCATGAAGCCCAGAAAGGCAGATGGCAGCAGAATACTAGGAAGACACCTCCAATAGTCTGTCCAAAGAGGGTGAGGGGATTAGGAAGTACAGACATATCCTGAGTTACAATTTTCTATTTTAAAATGCTATGAAAGCTATATGCATTTGGTACCCTCCTCAACTTATGACGCAGTTGTGATGGGGTTATAAGGTTACTTCGGATAAACCAACTCTATATTGAAAATATCGCAAGTCAAAAATACACGTTCGGGCCAGGCGCGGTGGCTCACACCTGTCATCCCAGCAGTTTGGGAGGCCGAGGCGAGCAGATCAGGAGTTGAGGAGTTCAGGAGTTCAAGACCAGCCTGGCCAACGTGGCAAATACCCATCTCTACTAAAAAAAAAAAAAAAATTACAAAAATTAGCCGGGCGTACTGGCGCACGCCTGTGATCCCAGCTACTCGGGAGGCTGAGACATGAAAATTGCTTGAACCTGGGAGGTGGAGGTTGCAGTGAACTGAGATTGCACCACTGCACCCCAGCCTGGGCAACAGGGCAAAACTCTGTCTCAAAAAATAAACAGAAAAAGCACATTCAACTTACAATATTTTCCATTGACGATGAGTTTATCAGGAAGTAACTTAAGGAACATCTGTAGTGAGCTCCTCATCACCAGAGGTATGTAAGCTTAGTACAGACACCATAGAGAGAAGCCAAACATCAGAAAAGGTTGGGCATCATGGCCTTTCCTACCACCAGCCTCGGATCTCACATGCCAGCTCTAACTGCTTTAGGACAATCATGAGCTGAGCCTTCCTGCAGCCTGGATGTCAGATTCCCAGCCAGACATGACATCAGTTCTGCCCTGACTTTGCACAAGGGCCTCTTGGACCTCCTACCTCCTACCTCCCACTTCCTTTCCACTGCTGCCTCCTGCCTTCCCAGGGGACACCAGGCCTGACCAAAGAGACTTGGAGCCTGGTTGTGAGATGGAGTTCCCCGGGGAACATTCAGCTGATGGCCTTCTGCCCGGCAGGAATGAGACAAAGGGGGCCAGGGACCCTGGGAGCCCTGTTCACACGCTCCAGAGAGTCTGCGTGGAAATTCCAGGAGGGTCACAGGAAAGCTTCAGATTTAGAACCACAGTGCTTTATTTTTTTCCCCTTTTCTCTTCTGTTCCATCCTTTCCCTCATGGTCGGTGGGGGTGTCATAGAAGTCTGGGAAAGGAAAGCAAGCATCCTCTTGGGCTGAGTCACAGAAAGAGCATGGAGAGACGGAGGGTATGGGGTAGATTGGGAGGCCCACCAGACAGGGCTTGGGGCAGTGGACAGCAGTGTGGGAGAGGATGGAGAGGACCAAGAAGTCAAGGGCATGGCCAAACCGCCTGTGAGGGTCCTGGAGCAGTGGGCAACTACATCGCCTGGGCCAGCAGCCTTCCCTAGATGCTCAAGACCAGAGCTGCCAGAACCTGGGTTCAAGCTGGGGTCAGAGAGTCAGCCCAGGGCTTTCTAGAATAAAGACAGAAGGATCTTGGAAATGGGGCTTCCAGGAATCTCAGGCAATGTGCCCCCACCTCACACTGACTGCAGAGCTCAGTCATACAATATCCATCTCATTCCCTCTGGCGCCCCTGGTAGATGATTAATAAATATTCCTGGTGTTAAATCCCATACTCATTGCATCATAGTCCTTTTAGAGCTGAGGGACCTTAAAGAGCATCAGGGCCTATCTCCTCATGTTATAGATGCAGAAACTGAGGCCCAATGACAGGGAGAGACTTGCCAAAATATGCTGCCAGAGTGACCACATCCTTTGCTTCTTCTCTGCCTTCTAGCCAAAGATGGAGACTATGGTACACTCTTCACAGCCAAGGGCAGGGGACAGAGGAGAGGCGGTGCCCAGGCAGGATGCAACTATCTCCAAGAGATAGTTAGAGGATGGCAGCCTATCTTGAGTTCTGGCTGCTCTGCCCAGGAGGTCCCTTTGAATGGCCAGAGATGGTCTCCAATGCTGTTGGCCTCCTGCAGAAGAAAGAGCCCAAGGCTGGGAATGGAAACCCTTGGTTCTATTCCTGGCTGTGCCCTAACTCTTCATATGACCTTCAACGCGACCTTGAACATGCAGCTTCCTCTGGCCTCAGTGTGTCCAGCGAGAGGCTAGACCCGGCCAGGCCTGGTGGCTCACTCCTATAATCCCAGCACTTTGGGAGGCCAAGGCAGGCGGATCATGAGGTCAGGAGTTTGAGACGAGCCTGACCAACTTGGTGAAACCCCCTCCACTAAAAATACAAAAAATTAGCCAGGTGTGGTGGTGCATGCCTGTAATCCCAGCTACTCAGGAGGCTAAGGCAGGAGAATCACTTGAACCCAGGAGGTGGAGGTTGCAGTGAGCCAAGATCGCGCCACTGCACTCCAGCCTGGGTGACAGAGCAAGACTCTTTCCAAAAAAAAAAGAGTCTAGACCCAACCAGCTGGGCAGTAGGGGATTCCAGCCATGATCTCCTGTCTCCTGCAAGGACTCCTCTCCATCAGTCTCAGTCCATTCTAGATTTTACCTGCCCAGCTCAGCACAGGAAGTGAGCCAGGCACAGAAAGAAAATAGCAGCTCTTGGATTCCCCTTCACCTCATAGCAGCATCTTCTATGCCCAGGCTTTGCTTTCTAGCTATGAAATTCCCAGAGAGACAAAAAGCTAAGAAAACCCTTAAGATCACCCCAGTAAGGAAAGCTGAGACCAGAGAGGGTCCACAGATGGCTCAAGGTCACACAGCAAACTGGGAATGGGCCTTGGGTTTCCTGGCTCCCAACAGTGTTCTTGCCACTGACCACACTGCTCTCCAGAATAACAGGCACATAAGCTGTCCTCGTGTGGACCCCGGCATCGATTTAGCTTGGTGGCTTACACCCCCACACAGGGAGCTATAATCTCTTCCCCTGGCTGGGACTCAGTTTCTTCTTCTATAAAACAGAGACAGCCAGGTGCGGTGGCTCATGCTTGTAATCCCAGCACTTTGGGAGGCCAAGGAGGGCGGATCACCTGAGGTCAGGAGTTCAAGACCAGCCCGGCCAACATGGCGAAACCCTGTCTGTACTAAAATTAGCCAGGCGTGGTGGCAGGCGCCTGTAATGCCAACTACTCAGGAGGCTGAGGCAAGAGAATTGCTAGAACCTGGGAGGCGGAGGTCGCAGTGAGCTGAGATCGCGCCACTGCACTCCAGCCTGGGGGACAAAGTGAGACTCCGTCTCGAAAACAAAACAAAACAAAACAAAATAAAACAGAGACACAGCGTGGACCAAATGTCTCTAGACTTTCTGCCATAACACTAAGGATCTACCAGGACCCCAGTGCTTTCCTGGGAGGCCCATGCCAACACCTACCTCAGCCCTATCTTCCCCAAGGGTAGGGCCACTCAGGCCAGGAAATCCCACTAAGTCTTCCCCCCTCATTCAGCCCTGTCCCACCCCAGACCCTGAGGCTGGACTTCATCCAGAATTACAGGCTCCAGCCTAGCTCCCCCTCTGAGGATCTGGACTTTTTCTTACCATAAAAGGGCAAGCGTGCCTCTCTTGGTCCCTGCTGCCAACCCTGCTAGGGGAAAGACTGAGCTATTTTTAGAAAACTCAAGGGTTTGCTCCTGAACTCAAGAGGGGCGTCTCTGCGCCTGCACCCTGAGAGCCCCCTCCCCATCTTTCTTCCTCCTCCTTCTCCCATCGCTCTCTCCTTTCCCTTTCTCTTCCTCTCTGTCTTGCTGTCAGTCTCACTCCATCCATCTCTCTTCCATTTTCGCTCCCTCTCCTCCCATCTCACATCGCTGTTCTGTCTTCCTTCCCCCTCACTTCTTCCTTCTCCCAAAATCTTTTCATAGTCAGCTTCCCTCCCCCACTTCTCTCCCTCAGATCTCGTTTCTGGTGGTGGAAGAAAGTAACACATCTGCACTCCCACCCCTTCTTAAGCACTATTTACAACATAAATTCCAAACATCCGCCATCTGGTTCTAGGAAGGGCCAAAAGATATTTGGAGAAGGAAGTCATGATTATTCCATCTTCAAAGCAAAAGGAACTTAAAGGCTCTCTTCTCTCCACCTTCCTCCCGAGGCCCCTTTGTTTAGTATTTGGCCGATCAGGATCCCCCAGTGAGCAGAAGAGGTCAGGACATTTGCTGGAGTCCCAGCTGGACCTGTGACTGGCTAAATCACTTTGAGTTCCTTGCTTCTCCTCTCCATGCCTCAGTTTCCTCATCTGAACAATGGGTGCAAGACTAGAGTGCTTCCAGCACTGATGTTCCAAGACTTCAAGTCCTGGTGCAGAAAATCCATCTGGTCCAGGTCACTGGGGCCTACTTTGGGGCTGAGAAATGAAGGGTAGGATGGGGGCAAGGGAGTGGGAGGCAATGAGGGAGTGCCATCCTCATTCCTTGATGCACCAGTTTCTCTCTCGCTCCATGGAGATCTATGCCGGCCATTCACCGGCATTCACACCCACATTCACACCGAGGAATGGGGTGGGGTCAGATTGTCCCTCCGTGTCTGATCTAGAAGGACTCTGGACACTCTAGAGTCCAGTCGTGTCCCCACCACATCATGTAGGTGTGGGCCCTTGAGGCTCAGAGAGGGGAATACCCTTGTCCACAATCACACAGCAAATCTACAGAAAACCGGGTACCTAGCCTGCTGCTCCTCCCACCCAACACATTCCAGAAGAAACCAACATTTGTATTTTCTAGAAAGCATTGCCTAGTCCCAGCGAAGCCCCTGGAACCCTGGAGGTCCATGCTCTTTGCAAAGCTTATAGGACAGAGGGAGAACCAATGCCTTTTTTTTTTTTTTTTTGAGACAGAGTCTCATTCTGTCACCCAGTCTGTAGTGCAGTGGTGTGATCTCGGCTCACTGCAACTTCCGTAACCCAGGGATTCAAGCAATTCTCCTGCCTCAGCCTCCCAAGTAGCTGGGATTACAGGTACGCACCGCTGCGCCCAGCTAATTTTTGTATTTTTAGTAGAGATAGGGTTTCGCCGTGTTGCCCAGGCTGGTCTCAAACTTCTGACCTCAGGTGATCCACCAGCCTTGGCCTCCCAAAGTGCTGGGATTACAGTTGTCAGCCACTGCACCCCGCCGAGAACCAATGCCTTTAACATGATGTGAATTTCTTTTAACAAGCAGCACAGAAGAGAAAAATACCACAGGAAAGAGGCAGAACACCACCACCAAAAGGAGAAGCCCCCTTGCTTCTGGAGACAGATGGCTTTCCAGGGTTCAGATGGTCTTCACTTATACTAACAATGCTTTCTCTGTTCACAAACCCCTCTCCAGAAAGACTAACACACACCTAAATATTGCCAAGAGATAATGACTCCGGTTATCACTCTGTAAAAATGATACGATGAGCAGTTGGTCTTACAAGGGAGCCGTGAGAATGTGTGTGGGGCTGCCTGGAGCCAATCTTTACTAGCTGTGTAACCAGGAGGGAGTGCTGTGACCACTGGCGCCTCAGTAAAGTGGAGATAAGAATGGTACCTAATTCTTCAAAACAAGGATCTCTGAGTAAAGAAAAGAAAAATTAAAAGAATGGTACCTAATTCAGCCAGGCACAGTGGCTCATGCCTCTAATCCCAGTGCTTCAGGAGGACAAGGCAGGAGGATCACTTGAAGCCAGGAGTTCACGACCAGCCTGGGCAACATAGCAAGACCCCATCTCTACAAAAAATTAACAAATAAAAAATTAGCTGGGCATGGTGGCATGTGACTGTGGTCCCAGCTGCTCAGGAGGCTGAGGCAGGAGGATCGCTTGAGCCAGGAGTTCAAGGTTACAGTGAGCTGGCTGTGCCACTGCACTCCAGCCTGGGCAATAGGTGTTGCCCTGGAAAGCAAGGTCCTGGAGAGTGAGACCCTGTCTCTTTAAAAAAAAAAAAAAGAAAAGAAAATTATTGGTACTTAACTCATAAGTGACTTTGAGGATCAGATGAGAAAAGCTGTGTAAAATAAAGCACTTGGCAAGTGTGGGGTGCATCAGAAGCACCCAATGACATGTGAGCTCTCATTATGATTACAGCGTGTCCCAATGTGCCTATTGCACAGTCAGCCGGACAGGTGATGGTTCTTACCTTTGTCACTCTTTTCCCAGTTTCTGCCCTCACCGAGGGGCCAAGTGACAGAGACTCACAGGGATCCTGGTGTCTATGCCCCACCTGCCCGCAGGGCCTGAGCTGCTCGAGGCAAGGCTTGGGATTCTAGGCTGGGCAGGTCTTTTTTTTTTCCTCTCTTCCCTTTTCCCTGCAATGCTCTTGTTTCAGCCTCAAACTGCGTTCCCAGAGCTTGCTCAAAACTCCCCAGAGCGACCCTCCCTGGGGAGGAAGTGGGGAGCGTGTGAGGTTGGTGAACTCAGCTGGGGTGTCAAGGGGGTGGGAGGGCACTCTGGGAACAGAGGCCCAGGGAAGCTGTGCGACAAAGGGGACATGGAAAGGGCCACGCAAGGGCTCCCACAGCTTCCCCAGATGCCTCTTCAGACCTTTGCTCTCTCCCTGCTTCTGCTGTTCCTCCCATGGTTGGGCTTTGCTATGGCCCCAGCCCCATGCTAATAATAGAAATGGCAGCCATTTATCATAGGTTTATGATGTGCCTGGAAATATGCTCGCACTTGACATCTGCCTCATTTGACCTTCACAAACAAGGCTGTGAGGTCGGAAACAGGCTCAGAGAGGTGAAGACACCGGCTTTAGATCACACAGCCAGGAAGTGCTAGAGGCGAGATTCAAACACAGGTCTGCATGACTCCAAGGCCTGTGTCTTTTCTTTCCAGACATGTGGTGGAAACCCTACGGCCCTGGAGCCCAAGGAGAGCAACGGCTGTAACAAGTGCACAGGTTTGAGTGCGCTGAGACAGGGGAACCGTGGGCAAAGAGGTCCCTCCAGAAAGAGCTGGGTGTGAGCATGGGTTCGTGAGCTTGCCTGGAGCCCTGGCCTCAGCCCTCTCTCACTGAGGTGCCATCTGGCTCGCAGATGTGGCCCATTCCCAGCCCCTCGTGTTTCTTGGAAATGAGAAAGTCCAGGAAAGGGCACAGGGGCTTTCGCAACGACCGTGGCGATGATAGCTTTGACGTGTGGTCATCCAGCCGGCCACTGCCCACACCCAAGAGAAAGCTGGATTGAGCATCAGGAGCCTGGGTTCAAGTCTGCCTCTCAAGCTGTTCCACAGGTGACCCTGGGCAAATCGCACAGGCTCCTGGAACTTCAGAAAGGGGAAGAATTATTCCTGCCTCTGGCGACATCAGCGAATGTGCCTTGAGTTACGGGAGTGTTTTGAAGGCTGAAAGCTTTGTGTACACGGAAGGGGTCAAAGACAGCCACAAGCCTGTCCCTTTGGTCTTGGTCATCATGTTAACCCCAGGTTTCGATTTAATCCTACATGCTCCTTTCTTATGTGTGAGGCTGAGGTGGGGGCATTGGTCAGAGGAGCCTCTGGGAAATTTCCTTTCAGGACAGTTCTTTTGTTAAGGGGCCTGGGTGTGCTGAGAAGGGAAGGTGGCTCCTCCTGCTCTTGGAGCTTGGAGTTTCTCACAAGCTCTCCCTTAAAAGCCAGGCAGGCCAAGAAGGGATAATGGCTGCTCAGGGCCCAAGGGGCAGGATCTCTGAGGCCCGGAAGATCTCAGTAGGTTTAGCCCAAGAGTATCCAGAAGTGGCCCAGGCCCATTCTCCATCCCTCAGAGCCTGGCAGCCTGGTCAGGACCCTCAAAGGCCATGACCGTACCCGTAGGGCACCCTGGTGTCCTTCTGACAGGTGGGATCTTTGTTTCTTACAGGCAAGGGCGCTAGCTGGTGGGAGCCACCCCGCCATGCTGATGTCAGAGAAGCAAGAACTCTGGAGAAGCAGCCTCCTGGGACCAGAGGAGGGCCAGCAGCAGGCAGCCCGGAGACAGAACTGTGAGCCCACCCCACCTCCACCCTTCCGGCACCCACATCCGCTCCCCACCCCAGCCCACCTGCAGGTGGCTCCTGGAGTATCCTGGGTCCCTCAGGATAAACTCCCCACCCTAACCTCAGAATGACCAAGAAACTGGGCCTGAGGATGACAAGAAGCAGAATGGGCCTTGGTAAAGGAAGACCCCCCACTGATTGGTGGCAGTGCGGGCAGTTCAGGGCTGTCAGCGTCTGGGTTGTAGGTAAAAAGAAATGGAACCCAAGAAGGGAAATCCAACTAGGAGCCAAGAATCCGGTCTACCCCATCCTCCTTACGAAATAGCAATGCAAAGCCCGTGTGATTTGGACATAAAGCCTCTGTTACTCAACTTGATTCGGTGAATAACAGACTTGAAAGAAATGTGGAAAATAATAGTAATCTTCCCTAGAAAGGAGTAAACAGGGTTGAGCTCCCAAAGCAGGAAGACCTGGGGCTGTGTGATCTTGGACGAGTCACTCAACCTCTCTGAGCCTAGTGATAAAGAGCCAGCTCATAGGGCTTTGAGAGGATTTGTGAGGTTGGGCTGGTGTCCCCAGGCACAGCCCTTGGCACATAGTGAAACTCAAGAAAACAGAGCAGTTTTTACCATTCATCACATTATTCCCACACTTGCCAATTTTTTAAGTTCATGCACATGGTGGAACAGGTAGGGTGAGGTGCCAGCTCCATAAGATGAGTGGAGAAACTGAGGCCTGGAGAGGTGAAAGCATTCACTCAGAGTTGCATGTAGAGTCAGTTGCAAAGGAGAATTCTGGCACCAGTTCTCATGTGGATGGAAAAAGTGCAGGAAGATTTGGAGGTGAGCAGAGGAGAAGGGAGGAGGAGGCCGGGTTCCAGGAAAGGAGCTGACATCCAGGGATGTGGGACAAGGCCCAGGCCTGTCTTACATAACATGGTCCACCTGTTCACCCCTGCAGGCCCCACAAATGTGTGCAAACGTGCACCCCGGCACAGCGCACACCCAGTCCTCCCTCACTGGCAAATAAGCCACAGAGACTGGGTTTAAACAAATTGGATTAGGAGGGCTACAGGCGCCTCCTCCCCCCGACTGTCCGGCTCCGACACTAAACAGACCTGCAGAACTGCCAGCTGTGGTCTCTCGGACACACTGACAGTCGGTCCTTGGCTCCCTCACCCCACCCGTGGGCCTCAGGAAGGGGGTTGGGGTCTGAGAGGATGCCACAGTGATGGATGGGGTGAGGGAGGTTCCAGGGCTAGCTCAACAGCGCACAGGATGTTAGTGCTTTTGCGAGGCACATTTCCGAGCTGTTCCCAGACCCGCCCCCACTTCCCCCCTCACCCTCCCCTCCGGCAGCCTCTCCCATGGCCACTGCTGCGGGCTGTGAGCAGAGCCCCGTCCTTGAGCAGATTGACCTCATCTTTCAGTCCTGCAGCTGGGCTGAGCGGGGAGTCAGCTCAGAAGACACTGGCCTGGGGATGAGACTCGGGGCATGCTTCAGAGGGAAGAAAGAGCTTCTGAACAGACAATGCTGTCTTAAAGGTGGCATCTTGGTGCTTTCTCATGCCTTGTTTTCTTTCATCCTCAGAATGTGTCTGGGGGTGAGAGGACGGGTGTGACTGCTGAAACTTCCTTTCTTGGTGATTCCACATCACTCCTTTCTGATCCCTGAGCCTGTGCCACGCCCTGTGTGATGTGCCGGGGACACCAGGGTGAATACTTACAGGCCCTGTTCCCCTTCCTTCATGAAACAGCCTCCTTCGGGCTGGGTCACTGGGCACTGGGGCCTCCCTGGTCTTCCAGGATTGCAACTTCACAGAATCCCTTTTCCATAAGGCACATGAAAGTGACTGTGACCCGCAACGGGAGCCTTGACAACCAGCCAATTCAGAACACAGACCTTGACATCGGAAGGCCCCGAGTTCAAATCCTGCCTTGCTCCCTTTCAGCTGGAAAGCTGTGGTCAAATTACTTAGCCTCTCCAAGCCAGTTTTCCCTTCTGCAAAATGAGGTTACACAAGCTGCCACCTCACAGAATGAGTGTGAGAATTAATTCTTATTTTCCACACCCTCATTTGACAGGGGGAGAAACAGAAGCCCAGAGAGGGAAAGGGCTTGGTTAGGATCACACCATGAGTTGGGGGTTAAGTCAGGATGGGGTAGGTCCCCTCTTTCTCTGGGTGTTCCTCTCCCCCATCCCTTATCTCAACATAAATCCTCCCCAGTTGCCCAGGTTGTCCAGGCGATTCCTGGCACACGTCCTGGGGCCTGCCCTCCACCTTTAGCCCTGCTCTGGCTTCTGCAGCAGCAGAGTCCTGGGTGACCAGCAGTGGCCCCTGGCCCTCTGAGTGGTGGTGGAGGGTGGGGGTGCACTGCAGCAAGCTCCCAGCCCAGAGCAGCCTGGCCATATAAGGGAAGGAGCTCAGGGAGGCCTCCTGGCTCAGGCCTGGCGAGAAAACCCAGACAGCCACTGTTTATTTTCTCCTCCCCAGCTCACCCACGCCTCTCCAAGCCTCCCAACAGAAGACAGAGGTCCCCCACAGCCAGAGACATTTCCTGAAGACATGGGGAACACAGAGGCAGAAACAGCCCATCCACCCAGGAGCTGTCCCCCACACTGCCGGGAGCCGGCACCCAGAGCCGCCAGGTAAAACTGAGGCCACCTGGTTCAACATCACCTTTCACAGAAGGGGAAGCAGCCACAGAAAGAAGGGCCTCGTTAAGAAGTGGAACCTGGGACCCCCAAGCGGTGTCTCTCATCCTGACTGGGGATCCAGAGTAGGAGGGAGCCTTTGGTGGGGTAAGTGGAATGGGGCGGGGTGGGGGGTGGCCATAGACCCCTCTTCTCAGTAAGGCCCTCATGTGAAGGAGGCAGGGGTTGGGACAAGTGCTAAGTATGCAAGACTCAAGGGAAGAGCTGCTGGAGCCAGGAGAAGCACCTCCCTCCCGGCCCCTCTGCCCCTCCTCATAGCCCAGCTGCACTGACTCCTCCTCCAGGAAGCCTTCTCAGCTTCCCCAGGGGTGGGAACCTTTTTGTCCTCCAGGTGTGCTTGGCTGTCCTTTCTTGGGCTCTCTCTCTCTCTCTCTCCTCATCCCACTTGAGTCTGCCCCCTATTCACCTTGTGAGGGGAATTTTCCTTCTACTCAATCTGACCGAGGTCCTCCAGGTCAAGGACAGCGAGGCTCTCAGTCCCACTTCCCCTTGGCACATAGAAGAGGCAGTGCGCTGAAGGGACAGGTGAAATGATTAGACCCTGCCCCCAAACCAAGGCCTGGCCAATTGGACAGGGCATGAGACATTCAGCGTAGAGGTTAAAACGAGGGCCCTGGGTTAGGAACCCCAGCTCAGTTCTCAGCTCTGTACCCTTGGAAAATTCCCTTCCCATGGAGCTTTGTGGATGCACAAGGACTTGCACAAAGAAAACATTCAATATCCAGGACTATAAAATTCCACAAATGATTGTGCTTATTACATTCATTATCACGATGATTATTCCAGACACAAAGGAACAGAACGAGGCACCAACAGCAAGGGGCAAGCAGATTCAAGGGCCACAGAGGAGATGGAGGCAAACACCTTCCCCTGGTCAGAGGCTGTGCCTCAGCCCTTCTCCCTGCATCAGTTTCTCCTTCAGAAGCATGGGACTACCTCCCATCTAGTTCTCGTTTCTAAACCTAGGGGAGATGCTATCTTTGCTGCAATAATCTTAGCCTACATCTTGGAATGGAAATGGCCTTGGTGGAAATGGTCTTCAACTCCTCTGGTCCAAGCTCAGGCCCTGTGACCCTGGAACAATCCCCTTCCTGGTCCTCCATGTAGGAGCAATAACATTCCCTTGCCAGCAGCACCAGCCATTCTGATGATTAAATGGTATCGGACTCTGTTTTCCAAACTCAGTCATTCAGATGCCCCCTATTTTATTTCTTCCATGTCTGCAAATGATTATAATATTTTTAAATGTAGGATGAGTCCTTTTTATTACACATAGAAATAGCTACTGTAAATAGCAAACTCTAACACTGTGCCTAATTAGGAAATAAAGGTAACCATAAATACAGTAAAAATGAAACAATGTTATTATGGTTTAACCTGATAGTGTGGCTTGCAAGGCCCTGGGCCTGAAGCCTGGGCAATAAGTGAGAGTTAGAAAGGTGTCAAAGACATGATAGCAGCAAACTGAGGCTTTGTACCCCACGGTAAATAGGACTGAAAGCAAATTCACAGGGAGCAACTGATCCATTCCACAACAGAATGCTCCCTGTCAATTCGCTTTCCATTCTGTTGTGTCCTGTCTCCCAGCAGAGACTACAAACTCCCCAAAACCACTTACCCACCAGCTGCACGTGAGAAGCCAAAGGTAGTTTATGTGAAAGGGCTTTGGAAATAATCACGCACCAAGTGAAGGCAGAGGACACACCTTGTCAGCTTAGTTCTCAGCAGCAAATCATCTCTTTTCCAGGATAACCCTCCCTGATTCTTATTGAAATCTCTTTGCTGACCACACTAAGCTCTTCTCTCTCAGGGGCAGTGGGAGCCGTGGAGAGTGGAATAGACCAGCTGTCTGTGACCTGCGAGGGAGTCCAATGTCGGAATCACTCCCCAGCCAAATGCACGGTTTTAAAAAATCTATTTATTTATTTATGTAGAGACCAGGCTATGAGACTGGCTAATTTTTCGTATTTTTGGATAGAGACAGGATTTCATCGTGTTGCCCAGGCTGGTCTTGAACTCCTGGGCTCAAGCGATCCACCTGCCTCGGCTTCCCAAAGTGCTCAGGATTACAGGCGTGAGCCACTGTGCCCAGCCACCAAATGCAGTTGAAAAGAGTTTCTGCAAGATAATTCCACAGAAGAGGAAAGCAGTTATCTGGCTGGGAATACCTTAGACAGAGGCTGTCCTCTACACAGGCTGTCAGAACTGACCTACTGACCTGCCTGCTGGCATGATAGACCAGAGGGAAACACTCTTTCCACTCTTCCCAGACTGAGTGTAAGAGACAGACTTTTTTTTTTTTTTTTGAGACGGAGTCTCACTCTGTCACCCAGGCTGGAGTGCAATGGCAAGATCTCGGCTCACTGCAACCTCCACCTCCCCGGGTTCAAACCATTCTCCTGCCTCAGCCTCCCAGGTAGCTGGGATTACAGGCTCCCGCCACCACGCCTGGCTAATTTTTGTATTTTTAGTAGAGACAGGGTTTCACCATGTTGGCCGGGCTGGTCTCGAACTCCCAACCTCAGGTGATCCGCCTACCTTGGCCTCCCAAAGGGTTGGGATTACAGGTGTAAGCCACTGCTCCCAGCCTTTTTTTTTTTTTTTATTAGAGACAAGGGCTCCCCATGTTGCCCAGGCTGATCTTGAACTCTAGGCTCAAGCGATCCTCCTGCCTGAGCCTCCCAAAGTGCTAGGATTACAGGCATGAGCACTGCTCCCAGCTCTGTTTTTGTTTTTTTAAGGAGGTATATTTTTTCTGTTCTCTCTCAGCCCTGAAGAAAGGCTACCCATCCCCTTCAGACATTCCTGAAAATATATGTCATCCAACATCAAGGCCACCACAGTGACCACTAAGCAATGCAAGAAGGTCCTCTGGGGTGCCCTGAGATCTTGGCAGGGCAGGAAGAGTGAGAAGGGGCTTTGCCTGCTCACCTGAAAGTTCCCACCCAAGCCGGGCCCAGAAAACAAAATGAATTATCTACATGGTCATCCAATCAGCCACCAAATGGCATTACCTAGGTCCATCATCATGTACCAAGCCACAGGTCAGACCCAGGGCCCCCCAAATTAACAAGACACAGGCACTGTCCTCAGGAAGTGGAGATCTAGCCAGGTCAGACCCACACACAAATAACACTGATACTAGAGATAATGAGATTGGGAATTATGATTCAGCCATTCAACCTGGGCTTATGTGGCATCTACACCACCTGGCCCTGATTTCAGTAGTGAGCACAGTTGACAGGGTCCCTTCCCTTCACAGGTGAGCCATGTAGTCCACAAGTGGAGGTGGTCGTAAGTGAAAACCACATTACCAGCATGGTAAAGGGTTAGAAAGAGGGCACCGGGTGGGCGAGAACATGAAGCAGGGGGTGCTGATGGCTAAAGAAGTAAAGGAGGGGCTGGGCACTGTGGTTCATGCCTATAATCCCAGCACTTTGGGAGACCAAGGCGGGTGGATCACCTGAGGTCAGGAGTTCTAGACCAGCCTGGGCAACGTGGTGAAACCCTGTCTCTACTAAAAATACAAAAATTAGCCAGGCATGGTGGTGCACGCCTGTAGTCCCAGCTACTTGGGAGGCTGGGGCATGAGAATTGCTTTAACCCGGAAGGTGGAGTTTGCAGTGAGCCGAGATCGTGTCACTGCACTCCAGCCTGGGCGACAGAGGGAGACTCTGTCTCAAAAAAAAAAAAAAGTCAAGGAGGGTTTCCCAGAGTGGCCACTTGATTAGAGACCTAGCACAGGAGGAAGAGATGGGCAGGGAGAGTGACGGGGAGCAGCACAGTCCCTGGGAGCCCGAAGTGGGTGGGCACAGGGCTCCCTAGGAGAATGGAAGGACATCTATGAGCTGTAGCCCAAGAGGAAGAGGTCACTGGGGCTAGATGCGGCAGACCCTCGCAGGCTTTGGGAAGGGCTTCAGAATTCAGCCTGAGGGCAATGGGGAGCCCTTTTGGGATATTAAACTTGAGTAAGATATGAGCATATTTGCATCTTGAAAAATCATTATGGGAAGATGGCTGGGAAGAGAGGAGGAGTGGCAGAAGAAAGATAGGTTGGAGACAATTGATTGCTCGATGATATAAAATGTTAAGTACCATGAATGATGCTGTTAGGCTGGAATGCGCCAAGCATAAAGGTGGGGCATGGCATCAAAAGGTAGGTCAACATATTAAATAATTCCATGTATTGAAATATCCAGAAAATATATAGACAGATCTATAGAGATAGAAACTGGTCTGCCCAGGACTAGGGGTTGTCTAAGGATAAGGAGCTTCTTTTTTGGATGGTGAAATAACCTAAAATATATTGTGCCATTGTTTGCACAACTTTGTGAATATATTAAAAACCTGTTAATTGTACTCACTAAATGTCCTCCTTCTAAATTAAGCTGTTCTTGACAAGAAAAGGAAAGAAACAAAGAAAAGAAGAGAAAAAAGGTCAAGGTTTGGTCCTGGGTGCTCAAATGGCAGGCCACAGACAGGAAACACAGTTGTGAGGAATTACAACAGCCTCCCGGCCAGAGCTGGAGAGGTGGAGCCCAGGTCCCCTCTAACACCCCTTCTCCTGGCCAGGTTGGAGTCCCGCCACAGGCCACCAGAGCGGAGCAGCGCAGCGCCCTGTCTCCCAGCCTGAGGTGCAGTGCTGCATCTCTGGTCAGTTGGGAGTCTGAGATGAAGCACTGTAGCTCAGGAAGAGAGAAGTTGTTCTGCAGCCATCAGCCTGGAAGTGGTAAGTGCTGGGGGGTTGTGGGGGGCCATAACAGGAAGGACAGAGTGTTTCCAGACTCCATACTATCAGCCACTTGTGATGCTGGGGAAGTTCCTCTACACAAGTTCCCCTGGTGCCACGATCTGCTTCACGAGTCTGGGCATGTCCTGACTCCTCTGTGTACCCCAGTGTGTCCATCTTAGCATGAGGCGTTAGCATTTCCCCAGCACCCTGCCTCTGCTTTCTCTTTCTGAGCCCATGGCAGACACAGCTAATCAGTAAAGGCATATATTCTTTTTTTTTTGAGACACAGTCTCACTCCATCACCCAGGCTGGAGTGCAGTGGCATAATCTCAGCTCACTGCAACCTCCTCCTCCCAGGGTCAAGCAATTCTCGTGCCTCAGCCTCCCAAGTAGCTGAGATTACAGGTGTGCGCCACCACACCTGGCTAATTTTTGTATTTTTAGTAGAGATGGGGTTTCACTATGTTGGCCAGGCTGGTCTCAAACTCCTGACTTCAGGTGATCTGCCCGCCTCGGCCTCCCAAAGTGCTGGGATTACAGGCATGAGCCTCCACGCCCCGCCAGGCATCCATTCTTGAAGTGCTCAGATGCAGCTTCAGAATCCTCAACAATGAGCCCTGGAAAGCCACTAGTACTGATTCACAGCTGAAACTCATTCATCATTTGTGGATCAAACAATTCCTAAAAACCCTTTCAGCCCTGAAGATAAAAATTCTGGCCTTTGAGTCAGGGTCTTCACTCTGTACTTCTAACCTTGGCTCCGGGGTATTGCCGAAACCAGTCCAGGCACGTCACAAATGTCTGACTTCTCCCAGAGGCTTCAGAAGCACAATGAGCAGCAGAGGAGAGCCATGGAGCCAAGCACAGTCTCATTTAACCTCCCCAAAAGCTTGGGAAGTGGGTGGTGTTATAGCCCCATTTTACAGATGAGAAAAACTGAGGCTTATTTAAGCAGCTCACCTAAAGTCACATATTGATTGTGCTGAGCTGAGATTGTACCCTAATCTGCCTTCAAATCCATGTTTTTACCCATTGCATGTGATTATGGAACCTGGGACCGAGGAGCAGGAGGAGAACATTCTAAATTCTGCTCCCATCTTGTCTTTACATCTCAGGTCACTTTTAGCAAAGACAGACCCGGACACTTGCCATTAATACTACAGGCTTCCTTCCTCCTACCCCCTTCCCCCAATCTTATTCATCTCACCTCTCCAGTAGGTCGTGGACTCATGCATTTTATAATTAAAGAAGGCCAAGGCTCAGGGGTTAAGTGACTTACTGGAGGTTATCAGAGAGGAAGTTGCCAAACCCAGGCTAGGAACTGAATGGTTGGTTTAAATCCACCCCTCTGGCAGGAGACTGGGGAATACACATGAGCCGTGCAGACAGCAGAGGGCAGTCCTGGGGGTGGGGGCGCCAGAGGGTTTCCGGTACTTTTCAGGGCAATTGAAGTTCCGGTCACTACTCCCCCCCAGAGCAATAAGCCACATCCGGCGACGTGTGGCACCCCACCCTGGCTGCTACAGATGGGGCTGGATGCAGAAGAGAACTCCAGCTGGTCCTTAGGGACACGGCGGCCTTGGCGCTGAAGGCCACTCGCTCCCACCTTGTCCTCACGGTCCAGTTTTCCCAGGAATCCCTTAGATGCTAAGATGGGGATTCCTGGAAATACTGTTCTTGAGGTCATGGTTTCACAGCTGGATTTGCCTCCTTCCCACCCCACAGTTGCCCCCCAATGGGGCCTCGGCTGGCTCACAGGATGAGGGTTCAAGAAGAAGGCTGTCCCTGGAGGTAAGAGGGCTTATGAACCATGTTCCAAACCTTTGCGTTGCTTTTCTTTCCATCGTGTCTATTTCATAACATCCCTGTGAGGCTGGATGTGGGAACTTCAGCACTGCCGTACTCTTGGGAAATTTGTCCAAGGCCACCCGGCTGAGCAGCGGTTGAACCAGGACACCATCAGGCATGCGTTTCTTGTCTCCACCACACCCTCAACCCACTTCCCAACGCGCCTTGCGACAGGGGCTGCGGTATTGCATCCACATGACTGATAAACTAGTAAACACACATGAATTCATTTTAAAAGTGTATTCAATCAGTTAGGTAAACTAAAAACCTTAAGTCTTCGTTCGATTTGGAATGCAGCCAGAGAACAAATGGAAAATTTTTCAAGGTAGAGAAGATGAAAACTCAGAACGCCCTCTTGTGGCATCTCTACCCACCCTAGGAACACTATGGCTCTTCCCCTACACATGGTGATTGCTAACCTTGCTACAAGACGTTGGACACACACACACACACACACACACACACACACACACTGAGGTTCCTTTTGCCCCCTCACTTTTGAGCCAGTGACTACTGAAACCCTCTCCATTGTTGCACCACCAGCAATGCCCCCATCACTTCCTCTCATTTACTTCCACAGGCTGGTTCATCCTCAAAGCCCTCCTTACGTAGATCTGTGGGATCAGTGAGGCTCAGAGAGGTAAAGTGGCCAGCCCAAGGTCGCCCAGACAGCAAAAGGCAGGGCCAGCGCTGATTTCAAGTCCAATGGCCTATGGCAATTTCTTAGCCAAAAGCAAAATCTACAAAAATAAAAAGTCAGGCACAGTGGTGAGTGCCTACAGTCCCAGCTACTGAGGAGGCCGACGGGGGAGGACCACTTGAGCTTGGGAGTTCCTGGCTGCAGAGAGCTATGATTGTGCCTGTGAATAGCCAATGCACTCCAGCCTGAGCAAGATAGGGAGACCCTGTCTCTAAAAAATACCTAAATAATTTTAAAAGTCAGCCTCTCTGACTGCCTATAGAGAATGCTAACTAACTGAATGACAGAAGACCTAATGTAATCCAGGTGCAAAATCAGAACTTTCCGGCCGGGCGCGGTGGCTCACACCTGTAATCCCAACACTTTGGGAGGCCCAGGCGGGTGGATCACGAGGTCAGGAGTTCAAGACCGGCCTGCCCAACATGGCAAAACCCCGTCTCTACTAAAAATACAAAAAATTAGCTGGGCATGGTGGTGGCCACCTATAATCTCAGCTACTCAGGAGGCTGAGGCAGGAGAATTGCTTGGACCCGGGAGGCAGAGGTTGCAGTGAGCTGAGATCGCGCCACTGCACTCCAGCGTGGGGGACAAAAGCGAAACTCTGTCTCAAAAAAAAAAAAATTAGAACTTTCCCCGTACTCTTGCTAGGGCTTTTCATGGAGATGTAGAAATGGTAGTAAGTGCCAAGGCCCCAGAACCCTCATGTTTGGGTCCGACTCCCACATTGCCAGAGACTAGGCAGCTCACACAGGTGTCCCAAGCTGTCTTTCTCACAGGCCGCATTGAAGGCATTTATGAAATGAGACCCCCTCTTCCTCATCCGTAGTGACAGGGCTGGCCTGACCGTGGAGAAATCAGATTTGATCATGATAGCTTCCACTCCGTGACTGGTCACGATCTGCCAGGCGCTGTGCTAAACACTTTCATAGGCCTTGTCCCCCTCCATCCTGATAACACCCCAGTGAAGCAGGCCCTGCTCTTCACTCCACTCCACAAAGCCAAGGCTGAGAGAGGTTAACAGACTTACCTAAGGTCACACAGCTAAGAAGTCGTGAAGCTGGGATCGAATCAAGTCTGTGTTTATGGGTTTAACTATCATGTTGTGGCCCCAACCCCATTTGACCTAGCCTGGCTGGTGGGCCTTCTTGCAGTAGCTTCCCCTGGAGAAGAGGAAAAGCAAACCTTCATTGAGACCCAAGCGGTCTCTCCTGTGCTCTGTGACAATAATAAAGTTCCAGCCCTTGGCTCCTGTCCTGTTTCTTTCTGGGAATTTGGGGAAGGGGGGAGGTGGCGAAGGCAGGGAAAGAACCTGACAGGCCCAGCTGAACACCCCCAAGTGGCTCCACACAGCCACTTTGGGAGGCCACATAGATAGCAGTCAGGACCCACATCCTGGCAGTTGGAGGCCCCAGGAAGCAGCCATGTCTGGGGATGCTTCCCTGGTATGGAGGGTTAGGGGATGGAGAGTGTCCCTTGAAGCTCAGTGAGGGCTTCTTGGGGCACTTGGGATCTAGCCATGTGGCAACCCCTCTCTGTCAGTCACAATGGTGTGACTGACCAGGTCAAATAAGAAAGAGTGTGAAATGTGAAGCCAGTTCACATCTCACACAGGTGTTTGGATTCACAGTGGCCTCTGGACATTAGCCAGGCCCTGCAGTAACACTGGACATTAGCTGTGCCATAGGCAGCGTGGCCAGCACATGAGGACACTTTTCACATGGTTATCTGCCTTGGCGTGATCCTCCAAACTGCCATATTTTGAGGGGAAAAAAAAACACCACCTGAAAAACCACTGTGTTAGTCCGTTTTCACACTGCTATAAAGAATACCACCTGAGACTGGGTAATTTATAAAGAAAGGAAGTTTAATTGACTCACAGTTCTGCATGGCTGGGGAGGCCTCAGGAAACTTGCAGTCATGGCAGAAGAGGAAGGGAAAGCAAGGCACGTCTTACATGGCAGCAGCGGGGAGAGAGAGCGAGGAAGTGCCACACTTTAAAACCATCAGCTCTCATGAGAACTCACTCTCACCAGCTCTCACAAGAACAGCATGGAGGAAACTGCCCTCATGATCCAATCACCTCCCACCAGGCCCCTCCCTTGACACCTGGGGATTACAATTCAAGATGAGATGTGGGTGGGGACACAGAGCCAAACCATATCAACTGCCTCTCACCTGATGATCCTCAAATGCAAAGGGCGTCCCCGCATCTCTCTTGTGCATCCCAGGAGCTGAGAGGAGGCCTGGGTAGCAGCACTTCCCTACTGAGGGGCCTGAGATTCCACAAGGCCACAGGCCACCAAGGAGCCCAGGGAGGGAGTGCAGGGACAGACCGGGGCACTCCAGGCCCCATCCACTGGCCACTGCACCTCTTCCTTTTTCAGCTTTGAAACAGGACCCAACCAGACACTGGGGCTTTCTCAAAGCTCACAGTCCTTGTCCTTGCCATGGTTCCTTCCAGAACTCCCTTTCCACATGCTTGGGGAATGGATCACCAGGTCAGATGGGGCTTCTCGAATCCCACAGACAGGTGGCACGCTGTGGTTTGAGATTCCTGGGGGTATCGGGGTTGGAAGTGGGCAGGAATAATGGTAAATATCCAGGTAAAGGAGCAGCCTCTTTACTCACCCAGTGCCACTAAAGCACTTACGCATGCCTACCTGTGCTTGAGGCTGGAGAGACAGCTGTGAAAAAGACAGCCAGAGAACTCCTGCATTGGAGAAGAAACTCCATCATCGCATGTAAATATGAGATCCTGCACCCCACGTGCAGAAATGCAGGGTTGAGACCATTTCTGAGCACAGCTCTATAAGTAGCAACACTTTCAAACACATCCCTCAATGCCACCACATGGGCCTCCATTCTATAGAGAAGGAATGGGCACCCCATGTGACAAGTCCAGCGAAAAGTCCCCAGGACAGAGCCTAGGGCCCAGGCTCTTCCCAGATGGAGGAGCTGTACCTCCTTTTACTTACAGGGAGGGGTGGACCAGACCCTCCTGGAGTAGTGGGTGATGAGGCATGGCACTGGCAGGGGGAGAGGGTGCCCTCTTGTGGTCTTCCCTGAAAGGACACGTTTCCTTGCTTACAAAGACTTTCTATGATTAATGTTATCAGGGACTATTACCTAACACATTTCTGTAGGATTTTGCATTTCAGAATGAACTTTCAATTAATTTTTTTTGAGACAGGGTCTCACTCTGTCACCCAGGCTGGAGTGCAGTGACACAATCACGGCTCACTGCAGCCCCCACACCCTGGGCTTAAGTAATCCTTCCACTTCAGCCTCCCAAATAGCTAGGACTACAGGCACCACCACACCCAGCTAATTTTTTGAGTATTTTGTAGAGATGGGGTTTCACTATGTTGCCCAGGCTGGTCTCAAACTCCTGGGCAATCAAGCAATCCTCCCACCTCGACCTCCCAAAGTGCTGGGATTGCAGGTGTGAGCCACCAAACCCAAACCCAGCACAAAATGCACTTTCCATCCCATGACCTCATTTGATCCTTGCTATGAGAGGCATATTGTCATTATGCTTTTACAAGAGCCAGAGAGGTCAGACAATACTTGTTATTAAGATAATAATGGCCAGGTGCGGCGGCTCACACCTCTAATTCCAACACTTTGAGAGGCCGAGGCGGTGGATCACTTGAGCCCGGTATTTCGAGACCAGCTTGGGCAACACGGCAAAATCCTGTCTGTACAAAAAAATGCAAAAATTAGCAGAGTGTGGTGGTATGCACCTGTGGTCCCAGCTACTCTAGAGGCTGAGGCAGGAAGACTGCTTGAGCCTGGGAGATGGAGGCTGCAGTGAGCTGTGATCACACCACTGCACTCCAGCCTGGCCAACAGAATGAGACCCTGTCTCAAAAAATAATAATAATAATAACAAAAGTAACGATAATTTGTTGGGCCCTTAACTCTGTGCCCAGCTCTGTTAATTTATTTTACACATATTATCTCATTTGTGATATCAACCTATGAGGTGGCTATTCCGGTCCTTATAGAACAACAAACAACCTGTGAGGTATATATTCTGGTCCTTATAGATGGAGGACAAGTTCAAAGTGTTAGAAACATGCCCAGGGCCCCCTAACTGGTAAGTAGCTACATCAGGAAGCAAACCCAGGGTGCCACCTTCCATACCAGCTTGGTAAGAGCAGTGTTCAATCTGGTCCTCCAGCCTATGGGAGATCCCCCAGCTGCCTCTGGCCAGGAAGAAGGCCCTGGGAGATGTCACCCACCAGAATTGACTCAGGGTTCCCAACAAGGATCCCAAGATGCCATTGGCCTTGGAACCAGCAGCCCCTCTGGAGGCACCATCTTCCACCTCCTTCTGTGCCCTGAAGAAGTTGGCTCAGGAGAGAGACTTTTTTTCTGCTTCAGAAAGAAAGGTTCCCAAGGCTCCCTGAGAGCTGCCTCTCTGAGAAGGGGACAGCAGGAAGGGCACCCTGAAATGGCTGCAGGGTATGGCTCAATGGCCCACACAAAGGAGGTGAAATAGGATGCCGTGGTCCTGAATAACACATGCACACACAAAATGCTGCCCGCTATTTGAGAGCTATTTTAGAGAAAACCTAAGAACTCTTTCTTTAGTGTATGTCATGGTTTCCATAAAGTACTTGGCCTTCAGTATTCGTTTATGTATTTGACAAATGTTTATGGAAGGCTTGCTATGTTCCAGGCACCATTTCCAGCACCCAGGATGGAGGGGTGAACAAAACAGATTCCAGTTCAATTTACAGTCTAGAGTAGGGTACGGGGAACAGGAACAAACAAAGAGACAGATGTATTTATAGTATTAGGTAGAAGGAAAAATACATAAAACATCATCAAGACAATTTTATATTGGCATACATTCGGTGAAATGCAGGAATTCACACTTTGTAAACAGGGTGGTATGATAAGAAGAGCCAAAAACAAAGGAGCTATTTTAAATTGGGAGTTCAGGGAGGACTTCTCGGGGGAGATGAAATTTCAGTAGGAATTACAGGAAGACAGTGGGGACTGAAGGGTCTGGGGGGTCCAGGCAGGAGCAAGGATGGCACCAAGACCTGGCAGAAGGAGGGCGGGATTGGCCGGGTGCAGTGGCTCACACCTGTAATTCCAGCACTTTGGGAGGCTAAGGCAAGCAGATCACCTGAGGTCAGGAGTGCGAGACCAGCCTGGCCAACATGGTGAAACCCCATCTCTACTAAAAATACAAAAATTAGCAGGGTGTGGTGGCGGGAGCCTGTAATCCCAGCTACTTGGGAGGCTGAGGCAGGAGAATTGCTTGAACCCGGGAGGCAGAGGTTGCAGTGAGCCGAGATTACGCCACTGCACTCCAGCCTGGGTAACAGAGTGAGACTCCATCTCAAAAAAAAAAAGAAGAAGAAGAAAAAGAGTGGGATCTTCATGCAGGAGGACAGTGGGGCTGGAGCCTAGAGGACAAGAGGAGACCATGGGATGGGGTCAGAGGGGCACAGAGGCCAGGTTGGGTGGAGCCGCGTAGCCCACTTGAGGAGTTTGGATCTCATCTAAGTGCGTGACTGACAGCGTCAGATACACATTTTAAAAGATCACTCCTGGCCAGGCACGGTGGCTCACACCCGTAATCCCAACACTTTGGGAGGCTGAGGCAGGTGGATCACTTGATATCAGGAGTTTAAGACCAACATGGCAAAACCCCGTCTCTACTAAAAATACAAAAATTAGCCAGGCAGGGTGGCACATGCCTGTAATCTCAGCTACTCGGGAGGTTGCAGTGAGCCAAGATTGTTCCACTGCACTCCAGCCTGGGCAACAGAACAAGACTCTGTCTCAAAAAAAAAAAAAAAAGTAAAATTAAAAGATCACTCCTAAACGGGGCAGGGAGGGAAAGCAAATGTATTCCTCTTGTATACTTTTTTATATCTATATAAAGAAACCCAGGAAAAATACAAAAGGACCTAATAAAAGTGTTTACCTATGAAAGCAAACTTCTCAATACCCACTCTTGCATCATTTTGACATCTTAACCATATGTAGATATCATCTGTATTCCTGTCTTGTGGCTGCCATAACAAACTGTCACAAACTGGGTGGCTTCAGACAATAGCGATTTATTCTCTCACATTTCCAGAGGCCAGAAGTTCAAATCCGGGCGTGGGCAGGGCCACATTTCCTCCCAAGGCTGTGGGGAGCTTCTCTTCCCTGTCTCTTCCATCTTCTGGGGCGCCACACATTTCTTGGTGCATCGAGGACATTGCTCCAATCTCTGTCTGTGTGGTTACAGGGCCTCCTCCCCTTCTCTCTGTTTTTTTTTTTTTTTTTTTTTTTTTTTGAGACAGGTTCTGGCTCTATCGCCCAGGCTGGAGTGCAGTGGTGCAATCTCTGATCACTCCAACCTTCACCTCCTGGGTTCGAGCAATTCTCATGCCTCAGCCACCTGAGTAGCTGGGATTACAGGCGCACCACCGTGCCCAACTAACTTTTATATTTTTTTGTAGAGACAAAGTCCTGCCATGTTGCCTCGGCTGGTCTCACACTCCTGGGCTCAAGCAAAGCACCCCAGAATGTTGGGATTACAGGCGTGAGCCACCACACCTGGCCCCTTCTGTCAAATCTTCCCCATGTGACTCTGATTAAGACACTTGTCAGTGAATTTAGGACCCACTCAAATAATCCAGGATGATCTCTTCGTCTCAAGATTCTTAACTTAATTACATCTGCAAAGATCCTTTTTTCCAAACAAGGTCGCAGTCCCACAGATCCTAGGAATCCAGCTTTGGACATATCTTTTGGGATGCCACCATTCAACCCATCATGCTACCTACTCAAAAAGACCGAAGTAAACTGAAACATTTCTTCTAGCTGTGGGGTGGGGAATGAACTATAGGGTGGTGGGATGGAGGCGGAGTGGGCACGTGTGGGAGGAAAGGCCAAGAGAAAGTGATCTGTGGGAGGGAAAAGTCAGAATGTAGCATTCCTCACCCCTCCCCTGTCTGGTTTAAGCAAATGGCACATTTTGGTGCCTCTGCTGTGGCTGGGGAGATTGGAGGACAAAGCGGGTTTGCAGGAGGTGGGGATTGGGAAGGGAGGAAAGTTTTAGAAGTTTCAAAATGTTTCAAGTAGGTAGTTGGAAGACCGCATGGCAAGGGAGGGGGAATGGAAGCCTCAGATGACTGAGCAACCCAGGCTACAGAAGCCCCATCATCTCCCTCCTTAGAGAGCTCAGCATCTGGGGATGCAGCCACCTGGCAGAGTTGGCCATGATTCAGCTTGTGAAATCCAGGTTTCTCCCAGTCTACATTTGCACAACCAATTCTGTGAATTTAAATGCAAGACTTCTCATCTCCAATGTAAATTTCAGGATCCCTATGACTAATCTTTCCCCGTAATTCTGCCTCCAAACCAAGCAGGAGTGTATGCATAGTATGATCCCATTTTTGCAGGAGGAAAAGACTCTTTGTGTGGGCCTATAACAATAGCTAATCCTGGCTGAGCCAGACATTGTGCTGAGCTCAGCATACTTTATCTCATTTCATTTTCTCAGCCACACTCTAAACAAGGTGGAATTCTCATCTTCCGAGGAAGAAAATGAGACTCAGAGAGGTCACTCGCCCAAACTAGTGACCTATTGGGAGTTGTACGCTGGTGTCTTGGCCTTTGTGTCTATAATCATTAACGCCTCCCCCCACCTTTACGCCCACTTGTAGATACAAATGCATATAAAACATTCAAGCATATACCTACAAAGCTGTTAACAGTGGTTAGTTCTGAGATGGTGGTGAGAGGCTACCCATTACACAGTTCTGCCTCACTTTAAATTATCTTCAAAGGACTGGGCACAGTGGCTCAGGTCTGTAATCCTAGCACTTTGGGAGGCCAAGGTGGGCAGATCACCTGAGGTCAGGAGTTCGAGACCCGCTTGGCCAACAGGGCAAAACCCCTTCTCTACTAAAAATACAAAAATTAGCTGGCTATGGCAACGCACACCTGTAATCCCAGCTACTTTGGAGGCTGAGGCAGAAGAATCACTTGAACCCAGGAGATGGAGGTTGCAGTGAGCTGAGATCGTGCCACTGCACTCCAGTCTGGGCAACAGAGTGAGACTCCATCTCAAAAAATAAATTAATTAATTAATTAATTAAATTAAATTAAATTATCTTCAAGGAATCTGCTTCTCTAATTAGTAAATAGACATCTGTTCATCCAGAGAAAAATCTGGAAGAACATACACCAAAATGTCAACTGTGGTTCCATCTGGGGAGCATAAGCATGGGAAACGAGCTACCTTCCACACTGTATATTTTGATGTTGTTTGAACTTTATACGATGAGCATGTGCCACTTTTGTAAGCAGAAAAAGTAATTAAGACCTTTTTTTTTTTTAACGTAAAAGGAAGAATAAAGAGGAGGGTGACTCAGCAGCTGGCAACAGAGGCCCCACCTTCCTTCCTGTGCTCCTTTCCACCTCTCCCCACCCACATGCACACACCCTAACTGGAAAAACCTGGGCTCCTGCCGGCTGCGTCTGTCCTTCCCGTCTCTCCTCCTAGTGGTTGAACTGGGCCACCGCTAATCCCAGGGCAATAATATCTCCCCCTCACCTTTATTAGTGGCTTGTGGTTTATGGGATGCCTCCAGTGCCAGCTCATGTTTAATCCTCCCCATGATGCTGTGAGGTAGCTATTCTCATGCCCATTCTACAGACATGGAAACTGAGGCTCAGCAAAGCTAAGCTCCCTGCCAGAGGTCACATAGCATGTCTGCGATTGTGCCTGGGCCCAAATTCCCAGGCCAGGCTTCTTGAATGCTGCATCAGTTCAAGCTCATTTCAGGAACCTGAGGTTTGCTACCTAAAATCGGCCTGTTGGATCTTGTTCAGCCACATGAAACAGCAGATGTGCGCCTGTTCTCTGAAGAGCCCATCCCTGCAGCCTCAGGCACTCAGCCCTTCCCTGCACTGCCTTGGCCCTGGGGCTGAGCCTGAGAGAGAGGAATGGAAGGGCGCTTTGGGTCCTGACAGAGAAGCGTGGGTAAAAGGGAGACAAAAAGGGGGCAGACCCCTAGCATACACACAGATGGGCACAGGCAGGCAAACCCTACAGTCTAGGAAAGTGGGTAGGGGCCAGGCAAGGTGGCTTACGCCTGTAATCCCAGCACTTTAGGCCGAGGTGGGAGGATCACCTGAGGTCAGGAGTTTGAGACCAGCCCAGCTAACACGGTGAAACCCTGTCTCTACTAAAAATACAAAAATTAGCCAGGTGTAGTGGCGAGCACCTGTATTCCCAGCTGCTTGGGAGGCTGAGGCAAGAGAATTGCTTGAACCCGGCAGGCAGAGGTTGCAGTGAGCCGAGACCATGCCGCTGCACTCCAGCCTGGGCAACAAGAGTGAAACTCCATCTCAAAAAAAAAAAAAAAAAAAGTGGGTATGGGCTGGATCAGAATCCTGGATATGGCTTTGATCAAATCATTTAGTGTCTGTGGGCCTCAGTTCCCTCATCTGGAAAACGTGCATTACAGTAGCACCACCTTATAGAGCAGTTCCAAGGACTCAGTGGGGAATCCTTAGAGTGCATTTAGCACAATACCTGGACATAATGCCTGCTGAATAAGTGCTGCTTCTTGTTATTAACAAGACTGAATTGATCTGATCAAAGCAGCTCCCTTTGGTTTCAGCGAACATTTACTGAGTGCCTACTATGTGCAGGCCTGGGGTAAGCCCTGGGGATATTGTGATAAAGTAGATGGAGCTCTGCTCTCACACAGCTCCCAAGCGATCAAGGGAGGCCAACCCAGAAAGAGGCAGACCATTCCTGGAGGCCACCAGGGTGGAGGGGTCCATGTGAGGTGAGACCTTGAATGCCAGACTGAGCTATCTGAACCTTCTCCTGTTGGCCTGGGAGCCACGGAAGGTCTTAGAGCAGGGGTCGCTGACCAAGTCGTCTCATGTAGAAGTGGGATCTCGGTCCCTGCGGCCCACCCGCTTCCTGAGCCATCGTTGAGGACGGTGTGGTGGGAGAAGGGGAAGCTTAAGAGGGTCAGGCACTGGGCCTGTGAGGCCAGGATGGGGGCGTCTTGGCTCAGACAGGGTTGAAGGTGGACTCGGGGAGGCCACACAGAGACGTTAGGGAGGGGATTCGGTCCTGGAGTCAGTAGCAGGGGAAGAATCCATTTAAACTCAACCAAGGGCAGGGCTAACAAGCTTATCTGGGGGTGCGGCTGATCACTGCAGGGGCGTCTCAGGTGATTTTGTTTTCTTTCTGCGTGTCTGTGTCTTCCGTTTTTCTACATGGAGTGACCAGAAGAGATGAGGCCAGCTGTTGTTTGGGAGCCCCGGGATGAGACTCAAGGGGTCGCATCTCAGCGCAGGGCACGGAGGAGCTCCTGTGCAGCTGGAGGAAGGAAGCAGGACTCACTGGCAAGTTCTGGGATGCAGGGAGAGAGGCTTGGACATGCCGGGGCTGCGGCTTTGGGCAACGCCAGCCTCTATGAACCTTGACATCCTCCTCTGTTGGGGGGTAATGATGGCGTGGCAGAGGGGGTAGGCCCAGAGGAGGATCTGGGGCACCCCCCTACCCTCCGGCTCCCGGGCGTGTCTGCGTCCGTGTCATCTTCCGCCCAGGCGTGGGCCAACTCAGCACAATCTGGCAGGGCGAGCCTGGGCACCAGCTGAGGGAGGCTGGGTTCCAGCCCCTCGCTGCCCAGCCTGACCCAGTTGCCCCAACAGGAGGGCCTCCAATTTCTCCTGGGGCAGCCCAGTCACCTGGGAAATTCTGCTCATAGCAAGCAGGAAAAGGCCAGGACTCACGCCCCAATGACGCCACAGCTGGGCAAGCCCTGGGGACCCAGAGGGCCTGGTTCCAGTCCCGCCTGTGGAACAAACTCAAAGTTGCCTTCTCTGGGGCTCAGTTTCCCCTCTGATTACCACCTCAACCAATCCGTGTGTTCATTTTCCCTTTGTGGGGGCATCTACCAAGTGTCAGACCTGCAATAAGCATCAAGCATCAGTGAACCCCTATCCTTAGCCTTGGGAAGCACCCAGCCTGGCTCGTCTGCAGCCCTGTGCCCACGCACAAAACTAGAAGCTGCTCTGCAGGGCCAGTGGGCTTGGCTTCCCTCTGCATCCGCAAGGCGGCAGGTGCCCAGAAGAGGGCAGCAGAGAGCGCGTCTCCAGCCTCCCAGGCTGAATCCCAGTGAAAGGGAGCCTGTGACCTTGGCAGTCGTGGAAGGCCAAGGCCAAGGCCTGGGGATTTTTCAGCCTCACTGTTGTCAGGACAAAGTTTCAGAGGTACCTCTGGCACATTAGCATTCTCTTTGTCCTGGACCCCTGGGCGGCCGACACCCCCGCACTCTCCAGTCCCAGAGCATCCGGCCCTGACACCCTGGCCTGTGCACTGCCCCCCAGGAAGAGTTGTCCTGGGGCTGCTTTCAACCAGCTGTGGCCAGCTCTGGGGAATGGAAGGAGGGTACTGAGGACTGAGGAAGGCTGGGGAGGAGAAGCCCCATCAGCCACGGCAAGTCCCCGCCACCAGGGGCATGGGCTGGTCCTAGGAGCAGTGGGCACCCTGCAGCGCCTTCCACTAGGTAGTGAACGATACCAGTACGTTTTCTAAAGATCACCGTGGTGCCATGAGGAGGACAGACTAGCACTCACATTCAGACACACGCTCATGTTCTCATTCTCACACATGCACACTCTCATGCACACTCATGCTAACACGTTTCACACAAATCACCCCAAACTCACACACTCAGATACACTCACACTCACATGCTAACACAGACATATACACATTCATGCTCACAGTCATACCCTTTCACACCAACACACTCATACAAACCAGAGCTCACCCATTTCCACACAGCTTGCACACTCGCGAACACTCGCCCACACTTATGTATACACACAACACTCACACACTCATACTCTCATACACTAACACACATTCATTTTTCACACAGCTCTTACAAGTGTTCGTGTACACACACTTACATATGTTCACACAGTCACACACACACCCCTCCATATGCTCGCACACACACACACACACTCATGCACTCACACTCGAGGCCTTCCTGGAGTGGGTCGGGTGCAGTCCGAGGGGGCACTGTCAGCTCCGCTGCCTCCTGCCGGGGTTCCAGGGATAATCCCAGCTCTCAGGCATCTGATGTGCCTCCCACCCACTTCTGAAAAGGATTTCAGATGGTTTAGAAAGGCAAAGCCCAATTGAAGCAGGATAATGAAAAAGAAAAACAGAGGAGGGTAGAGACGTTAAAATCTTAACCCCGGTTTCTCCTGGCCCAGGGCCTTCTAAGCCCAGAAGTACTCAGTGGTCTGTGATTTCAGAGCCCCTGCCCCAGGCCACCTTTTCCTGGCCTCTGTCAACGGCACTTCAGCCCTTGTGGGCCTCTCTACTTGTCCCAAGGCGGGCTGTGAGAGGGCTTCTCCCCTGCCACCATGCCCACCACTGCTTGGGGGGTTAGGGCACCAGTCTCTGGTCTCCCTTCAGCTGCCTGAAAGGGGGCTGGGCTGAAGGCAGTTCAAATGACTGCCTCACAAATGGTGTTCCCCGACATCGGTCAGGCTGCCAAGCAAACATCTTGGCTCTACCTCTGTCTTTCCTCGAGATGAACTCCCAGCAACCCAGGACCCTCCAGTGCTGAAGCAGAGTTCCTTGTCTCATTGTTCCAGAGTCCTAGTCTTGATGCTCTACCCATCTGACCCTCAGTCCCAACACAGCCCAGCACAGTTTCTCAGTGAGGGCCTTATTCAGATAAGACACCCAGGGAGTGATGATATGGTTTGGATCTGTGTCCCCACCCAAATCTAACCCCCAGTGTCAGAGGTGGGGCCTGGTGGGAGGTGATTGGATCATGCACGGAGATTTCTCATGCAAGGTTTAGCACTATCCCCCTTGGTGCTGTTCTCATGAGAGTAAGTGAGTTCTCACGAGATTGGGTTGTTCAAGAGTATGCAGCACCTCCCCTCTCTCTCTTGCTCCTGTTCCTGCCATGTAAGACGTGCTGGCTTCCCCTTCCCCTTCTGCCATGATTGTAAGTTTCCTGAGGCCTCCCCAGAAGCTGAACAGATGCCAGCATCATGCTTCCTGTACAGCCTGCAGAACCGTGAGCCAATTAAACCTCTTTTTCTTTATAAATTACCCAGTCTCAGGTATTTCTTTACAGCTCTGCAAGAACCAACTAATACAGTGACACATCCTGATATTCCAAAATTGCTCAAGTGGGTGTTTCAGTCAGCTAATGCAGTAACATTTGGTTTGCCGCAACACAAACCAACCCAAAATCTAATGGCTTAAAATAGCTTTTTTTTTTTTTTTTTTGAGACAGGGTCTTGCTCTGTCACCCACGCTGGAGTGCAGTGGCACAATCACAGTTCACTGCAGCCTCAGCCTCCTGGGTTCAAGTAATCCTCCCACCTCAGACTCCCAAGTAGCTGGGATCATAGGCATGCACCACCATACCTGGCTTATTTACTTTTTGTAGAGAAAGGTCTCACTATGTTGCCTAGTCTGGCTTCAAACTCCTGGGCTCGAGCAATCCTCCCACCTCAGCCTCCCGATGTGCTGGAATTACTTGGCCTAAAATATCAATTTATTATTTCTCATGATTTCCACGTGTTAAGAATAACGCTCAAAATCCTAAGGAAATTGTACACTCGAACAAAGGATTCTCAGCAAAGCAATTTTACTTCTGCGCAGGGGAGTGCCTTCTCGGCTAGTTGCCTTGAGATCACACTTGAACAAAGGTCACGAGAGCTTTTATTCTTGACGCAAGTCCTGCCTTTGTACCCTTTCCCCATTGGCCAGGGTCGGGTCTTACAATCTAAACTAATCTTGGTTGGCTAAACGTTGGTTTTTTTTTTTTTTTTAGATAGGGTGGGCACGTAAAAGAAAGTAAAAAAGAAGGGGAAGGGGTGTCTGTAATGAGCTAGAAAGTTAGTCCCCTTTCCAAATAAGGAAAGGAATGTGAGCTGGAACGGATAACGCCTGGTACTGAGGTGTGCCTGAGCATCTAAAAAAGGCAACAGGGAAAAAGGGGAAGAAGGAGGAGAAGGAGTGGGGGGATACTATGAATTAAAGAATAAAAGATTGAGCAGATTATTTCAAGGGAAACCTCATCATATCCCACACACGGGTTGGCTGAGCTCACCTGGGCCATTCTTCTGCTATGCATGGTGTTGGCTGGGGTTGCAATGTTCGAGATAACTTCCCTCACATGTCATGCCTTCACTATGGTGGCTGAAACATCGGTGTCTGCCCAGGCCTCAACTCTCCCGTGGCCTCATAATCTTTCCCACAGGGTAGCTGGACTTGTTTACATGGCAGCTCAGAGCTCTAAGGGAGTAAAAGCACAAGGCTCTAGGTCTCGTAAGGCCTCAGCCTGGAACTAGCACACCATCACATAAGCCACACTCTACTGGTCAAAGCAGGTCATAAAACAAGCTATGAGTCATGATTTAAGGGGAGGGGGAATGGACTTCACCTCCCACTGGGAGACAGCACACACGCACAGGGTTGAATCGTTGGCAACCATTTCACAGACACTCTGCCACGGTGTCCAAGCTCATTAGACTCCCAACATGTTGTCTATAGAAGAAGCAGAACAGCAGATATATCATCGGGCTGAGATGACTCAGCCCTTTTTTTATTTTTTGTTTTTTTTTTTGGAGACAGAGTCTTGCTCTGTTACCCAGGCTGGAATGCAGTGGCAGGATCTCAGCTCACTGCAGCCTCCAGGTTCAAACAATTCTCATGCCTCAGCCTCCTGAGTAGCTGGGATTACCGGCAAGTGACACCATGTCCAGCTAATTTTTGTATTTTTAGTTAGAGAAGGAGTTTCACCATGTTGGCCAGACTGGTCTTGAACTCCTGGCCTCAAGCAATCTACTGGCCTTGGCCTCCGAAAGTGCTAGGATTACAGGTGTGAGCTACTGCGCCCGGCCAGACTTAGCATTCTTAATCACAAAATTCTTATTTCCATTTCCTGGCAGAATTATGTTTTAGTTAATGTATTATTGGGGATAATTTCATTTGTATGTGATGGAAACTCAGTTTAAACCAGCTTATGCAAAAAAGAACATTGACTCATATACTATGAAATTCAGAAGTAGGCTGGGTGCGGTGGCTCATGCCTGTAATCCCAGCACTTTGGGAGGCTGAGGTGGGTGGATCACCTGAGGTCGGGAGTTTGAGACCAGCCTGACGAACATGGAGAAACCCTGTCCCTATTAAAAATAAAAAATTAGCCGGGTGTGGTGGCACGCACCTGTAATCCCAGCCACTAGGGAGGCTGAGGCAGGAGAATCACTTGAACCCGGGAGGCAGATGTTGCAGTGAGCTGAGATGGAGCCATTGCACTCCAGCCTGGGCAACAAGAGTGAAACTCCATCTCAACAAAAAAAAAAAAAAAGAAAGAAATTCAGGGGTATAACAGCTTCAGGCATGGCTGGTTCCAGGGGCCCAGTAATGTCACTGGTAATGTGTCACACTCTCCATTCTCTGCTCTGCTGTCCTGTGTATTGATTTTATTCCCTCATTCCCAGGAAAACTCTTTCTATAAGGTGCAAAAATAGCCACCAGCAACTCCAGATTTACATCTTATCAGCTTAGCACCCACACTGGAAAAGATGTGTTTCCCCTCACCCCTCCCCACCGCCCCACCACTTAAGTTAGCAAAAGTCCCAGGGCTGTCTCTTAATGGCCCAAACTGAACCATGAACAAATCCAGATTCATCACCATGACTCCAATTAGACAGGCCTGAGCATTGTGCTCACCCCCTGGAGGAGAAGAGTGGATGGAATCAGCCCCATCGGAACCACATGGACTGAAAGCTGAGGTGGGGAGGGGATGGGTTGCACAGAAGAAAAGCAGGTGATGTTACCAAAAGGAGGTGAAAGGCATAATGCTAAGAAACAAACACAACAGAGGGCCACTGCACTATCTGATGTGTCGGCAGACTAAGAAAGTCATATGAGCTCAGCTGGAGATAAGCGTTTTCCTGATTCTGAATTCCAGAATGAATCCCTTCACAGAAGCAGTTAAATCCAGGGCCCTTCCTGACACAGTGAACAATAGCTTCACCTCCATTTTTGTACAAATTTGGAAACATCCTTCAAGTACCCATTTCACAACTTGCCCAGCTTTGAAAGCCAAGGACAGAACACCTTTTGCCCCAAGGGAAGGCAATTTTTCAGGTTGCTCAGCTCACATGTTCCCAGGGACAGACTTCCAAACACTGGGAAGATGCTTAGTCAGCAAGAAGAATGGAGAGGCTGCCCTTCTCTAATATCCGGCATCTCTCTGAGCTCTCCTACCCTCCCTCACCTGTCTCACCATTCCATGTCACTCAGATCCCTGCTTTGGGCCAACGGCAAGTGTTCAGACCTTGGCTATAGTGATAGAGAATTGAGAACAACAAACGCATGGACTTGACTTTTAGAATGGAAAGAGATCAAGAATATCATCTAGGGAAGAGACTGCTGATTGTCCCTCAACATCCGTTCTCCCCTTCCACAAAGATGGACTTGGTAGCTGCGACCACGGCCACCCAGAATGAAGACAACATTTCCCGTCCTCCTTTGCCACTGGCCATGGCCATGTGACTAAGTCTAGCCAATGAGATGAGAGCATCGACACCCCTGGCAGCTTCTGAGAATCTTCCTTTTCCTTTTCCACCTTTGCCCCTTCATCCTTCTGTCACTGTCCCTTCTTTCATCTTGCTCCCTGGAATGTGGATATGCTGGCCACCATTTTGGACCATGAGGATGAAGGCCACACGATAGGGAATGTGATTTGAAAGACAGGAGCCATGAGCCCCCTCCCACTCCCTTACCCCTGCAATCAGGCAGAGAAGAGCTGCCACACCAGCCCGGATCACTCATCCTCAGACTTTCATGGGAGAAAGACGTAAGTAAGAAAGAAAAGTATCCATGTTATATAAGCCATTACTGTTTTGGGCTTCTGTTTCCTGCAGTCAAATCTAATCCTAATTGATGACACATTATTTCTTCTCATTTTCCCATAGCCTTCACCCTCCCATCCCCCACCCCCAATACACACATCTTCCACCCAACGCTTGAATCCTCTCCAAACCACTGTATTAATAGAAAGAGTAACTGTACAGTTCACACAGCTAGAGTGACAGGGTGCTTGCTACCTCTCAGGTCACTTTGTCTTTGGAATAGATTTGCCAGAAAAGTGTTAGAAAATTCTGCCTCATATTCATTCATTCACTCTGCATACGAACCCAGTTCTCTCCCTCAGGAGGGCCACCCAGTCTTTCAGACAGTGCTCTGGGCTCCCAGAGCTTCTCTTCCCAGTTTCCTCAGCCTTTCCTATGGGACTTGTCTCCTTTTGGGACATCCTTCACTCTAGTCCCTAAAGCCACATGGGGAAAAATGCCTCATGTTTGCCTCTCCCTGGCACAGGGCTGGGGCTGCAGGTTTGCAGGGAGTTTTTGATTCCATGATGCAATATGTTATATATCAGTGCAGCTCCAAGACAGTTTGGGTATGTGATAAGAATTCCTCACATTTGCACAGCAGCTTACACACTTGGAAGCATTCTCCCACAATTCCATTTTCTGCTTGTAATATAGACTCATGGAAAATAATAATAATAGCAGTAATAATAATATTAATAATGTCACCTTAACAGAAGTGTAAAGGAATGCATAAAACGTAACATGAAAGTACAAATTAAAAAATAGGAGCAAAAGAATAAAAAAACAAAGATCTTAAATCAAGCTCCAGAGACCAGAAAAAATGCACAAGCAAAGGGAAGCGGGTTATAAAATATAAGCAGACTAATAGAAATCACACCTGCACACAGCGTAACTAGACACTTCGCTGCCATTTTAGTGCTTCTTCTTCCTGAGGCCCTGAAGCAAGCAGGGGGCGCTACATGATTAAAGCCTCAGGATACTATCACTGATTTACAGATGGTGAAAATGACACTGGGGAGGTTAAGGGCCCTTTCTCAGGTCCCCCAGGCTGTAAATGTTGGAACCACTTCCTTGACCCCCATGCTCTCCACTCAGTCTTTGCCCCTCATTCCACTGGACGAACTGGCCTTCAGCCTGGAGCACTCTCCCCCACCCCTTTCTTGACACTGGTACCGTCTCTCCTCCACATCTCAACCCAGATGTCACCTCCCCGGCCAGCCCTTCCCTGACCCCAATCTAGAGCAGGCTCTTCCCTCTCTCATAACTGGTTCATCACGAGTCTACTCTGGAACATGCACCCAGTTTACCATGAAGTATTTGTTCAACATGGCCCCTCTCGCTGAGGACCGGACTGCACTGTCTCATTTGCTGCTGTGTCTGCAGCACCTGGAATGGAGCCTGGCACTTCCATGTGCTGGAGCCTCCCGGCAAATGGCAGCCCGTGCTCACAACTGTCGGATGACCCTGCCTTCCCAGGAGGCGTCGCTGAGGCACTGACTCCTGGGACCGAAGGAGCCTTTAGAGCCCACTTCCCCCTATCCCCTCATAATAGAAAGGGGAAACTGAGGCTGTAGCAGGCAAGGAACTTGTCAGGGCCTCACAGTGGTTAGATACAAAGCTGGTGGGGAGGGCCCCAGGTCCTGGGTCCAGGCCAAGAGCCTGACACCAATGGGTTACCCCAACTGTGTCAGGGTTTCTATCCATGGAGGGGTAAAATGAGGCAAGAGGGTCCCAGAAATGTATCTTGTAAGAGGGGTTGCCTAGAACAATGGGGCCTGCTTGGGGAGGAGGTGGAGAGGCCCGCAGGCCTGGCTGGGAAGGAATCCAGCAGGGGCCTTGCTCAGTTTCCTTCCAGCACATGGGGGAAGTAAACACATTCCTTGGCTATGCAAGCGTCCCTGCCTCCAGCCACCCTCCCAGCTGTCAGAGCCTTGGGTCCCAGCCAGTGGCTAGCTGTACCATGGAGGAAAGGACCCAGAGAGAGCGTATATGATTCTCCCAGGGTCACAGAGCACTGTGTGTCTCATACCCTTTGCCTGGGCACAGAGAGGAGAGAAGGACACCAGTGTCTCTCTTCCCTGCAATCCCAGATTGGGCCAGGCAGAGGCCCAGGAAATGCGGAGTTCCAGGTGAGGCTGGGCCTCTCCGAAGATCACTATCTGGATCCCCTGCACTGGCCAGGAAAGTGAGGAGAAGGGTACTAGGGAACCCTGACAAAGCATCCAGCCCTGCCTCCCTACTGTACCAATGGGGAAACTGAGGCCCAGAAGGGCAGGGACTTGCTCCGAGCATCCCAGCAAGCTCGTAGCTAAACCAAGACTAGAGCCCAGGTCTTGTGAGCAATGGCTTCGTATGTCTCTGCTGCCTCCCAGCCCCTTCAGCCCCCTTCTATCCCCTCTTCCTTCTGCTGGGTCTGGTCCTCGCTGATGCTGATTCTTCTGCCCAGAATTCCCTCCTTGAACTTTTTCACCCAGGCAAACTTCTACTTGTACTTCAGAACAATTTCAAGCTTCCTGACTAAAGAGGTCACGCAGCCCGGGGACGGGGCGGATCCTGCAACAGGAGCAGCTGTCCTCGGACCCCAGTGCCAGGGCTGCAATTGCAGCAGCTGTGAAACCTGGCTGTTGGTAGCAGCCAGGAGTGATTCACAGTGAGGGGGAAGGCAGGAAGGTTTGGGTGTCGCCCCTGTGTAAAAAGTCCCAGTGTCGCTGGGTGTGGTGGCTCACGCCTGTAATCCCAGCACTTTGGGAGGCTGAGGCAGGTGGATCACGAGGTCAGGAGTTCAAGACCAGCCTGGCCAGGATGGTAAAACCCCATCTCTACTAAAAATACAAAAATTAGCCAGGCGTGGTGGCAGGCACCTGTAATCCCCGCTACTCGGGAGGCTGAGGCAGAGAATTGCTAATCCAAGAGGCAGAGGTTGCAGTGAGCCAAGATCGTGCCACTGCACTCCAGCCTGGGTAACAGAGAGAGACTCCGTCTCAAAAAGAAAAAAAAAGTCCCAGTTTCATGAAACAGTGCCTGGACTCTGGATGGGGAGACCTGGTCCCAACCTGCCTCTCTCGTCCAGCCGTGGGACCTCTCTGGGCCTCGGTATACTGCGAGATGCCACCAAGGCTGACTTCTGGGTCTGGAATTAGAACCACAGGGTAATTTTTAACTCTTGTGCCAGCTCCAACTGATTGATAGTGGCTGTCTGGAGAGCTGTGTTGAGGAGGATTCTTGTATTGATTGACTTATTGATTGATTGATTGATTGATTTAGAGACAGGGTCTCACTGTGTCGTCCGGGCTGGAGTGCAATGGTGCGATCATAGCTCACTGTAATCTTGAACCCGGGGCCTCAAGTGATCCTCCCACCGTGACCTCCTAAAGTGCCGGGATGACAGGTGTGCACCCCTCACCTGGTCCTGAGGATTCTGAGGTAGGGAGTCTGATGTTCGATTAGTTGTACAAGGTCTCTAAGGGCCCCCCTGCCCTGAGGAATATACCCCTCCGATCCCAGTCAGCAGCTCTGAGCTAATGCAGGGCCTCTGGCCAGGCCACAGGGCTGGGCCTCACCACTCTGAGCTTCCGTGTCCCCGATACATGAAAGACCCCAGCCTCTCAGAGGAGATAAAGGACCTTCCCTGGCAATGGGCCTCTGGCTGCAGGCTGTCGCCCTCTCCCCTCTGCTTGACCCCAGATACACATTCTTTCCAGCTTGTTCCAGCCAGTGCTTTTCCTCCTGAGTTGCTGCTGCCTCTGCAGGCTAATTTGGGCCAGATCAGCACAAAACAGGCCTCAGCAGAGCACTAAGCTAAGCCACTTCCTGCCTGCCACAGGGAAGCGCTGGGGTCTGTAGAGAAAGAGGGGAGAAAGGACGAGAGGCTGAAGTCCAGTCCCTGCACTGATAAGCAGCCTTGGACGCTGCCCTGTGAAGGAATTTCCTGTTTCTGCCTCCTTCTTCCTCCTGAGTGCGGCTTATGTACTCCTCCAGCGCCACAGTGTCTGGTTAGGGACAAGGCTGCCCTTTGTAGGTCAGAGAGCTGGGTTTGCGTCAGCTTGCTGTGTGACGTTGGGCTGGCCTGTGCCTTAGTTTTCTCATCTGTAAAGTGGGATAAATTAACAGCACTAAATTCATTCTGATCAAGTGATGACTAAGGGATTTGTGGGGAATAGTGTCCCCTAAAAACTTAACGTCCATCAGAATCTGTGAATGTGACCTCATTTGGAAACAGAGTTTTGTAGATGTAATCCAATTAAAATTAGTTCATACTGGATTAGGGTGGGCCCTAAATCCAATGTGACTGGTGTCCTTACAAAAAGAGGGAAATTTGGTTGGATGTGGTGGTTCATACCTGTAATCCCAACACTTTGGGAAGCCGAGGACGGTGGATGGCTTGAGCCCAGGAGTTCAAGACTAGCCTGAGCAATGTAGAGAGACCCCATCTCAATAAAAAATAATAATAAATTAAAAACATAAAAGCCGAGGGAAATTTGGACACAGAGACAAAACACAAATATGCACAAAGAGAATTCCATGTAAAGATAGACTGAGATTGAGATAGGCAGAGATTGGAGTTCGCTGCCACAAACCAAGGAATGCCAGAAGCCACCAGCAGTTGGAAGAGGCCAGGAAGGATTCTCCCCAGAGCCTCTCGGGGGAGCGTGTCCCAGCTGACACCTTGATTTGGGACTTCTGGCCTCTGGAGTTGTGAAAGATATAAGTTTCTGTCTTAAGCCACCCAGTTGGAGGTGATTTGCTACAGCAATGCCAGCACACAAAAACAGGGGTATCCATAAAGCACAGGACTTGACGCCAGGCACAGCAGGACCTCAACAGAGGGAGCTGCCGCTGCTGCCTCTGGGGTTGCTATTGTTTCCCTCCGTCCTCCATCCCTGCCTCCCCCGAGACATACCAGTCTTCCTGACTCACAGCCCTAACACGTCCCTCCTCTCAGCCACTGGCCGGCACACGCCAACTGTGGAATCAGACAGTAGGACTAGACATGTGGGGCAGATGGCGGTCTCACAAAGGCTGGCTGAGACCAAGCCCAGAAAAAAGCAGTTTCCCCACAGTGGGAAAGACAAGGTGCGGCAGGACCCACAGCCACTGCCGAATGCTAGACTGTAAGCTCCGCGAGGGCAGGGGCCAG